>NC_000001.11:150059587-150684587 GCF_000001405.40 Homo sapiens | reverse complement strand
TCACACATGTTCCTTATGGAAGGAGGGAGACACTATTATACTAAAAAGAGATAAATATGAGTAAGCAAATAGTTATTTTTTCTTGCATCTTAAAGCTTAAAACCAAGGCTGGGCATCATGTCTCACACCTTTAATCTCAGCACTTTGGGAGGCTGAGGCAGGAGGATTGCTTGAGCCCAGGAGTTTGAAACGAGCCTAGGCAACATAGTGAGACCCTGTCTCTAAAAATAAATAAAACATTAAAAAAGCTTAAGACTAAATGACTAGACAAGCCTCTTCTAGATTTTTCTGTGAGAGTAGGATTATATTAGTTTGCTAAAGATGCCCTGCTAAAATACCACAGACTTGGTGGCTTAAATGACAGAAATTAATTTTCTCACAGTTCTAGGGATTAGAAGTCCAAGATCAAGATTGATGGGTTTGGTTTCTTCTGAGACTTCTCACCTTGCCCTGCAGACTTCCTGCTGTGTCCTCTATGCAAATGCCTTCCTGGCGTCTCTAGGTGTCCAAATTTCCTCCTCTCAAAAGAACACCAGTCAGATTGGTTTAGGGCCCACTATAACACCCTCATTTTAACTTAATCACCTCTTCTAAAAGCCCTATCTTCAAAGACAGATGTATTCTGAGGTAATGGGGGTTATAACTTCAACATATGAAATTTGAGGGGACACAATTCAGCTCATAACAATGATTTAGAAAGGTTTTAGAAAAAATAGGTTATGAAGATAATTGCATATTTATTTATGTACATCCGCCTGAAGGACAGCTCACTCTCAGGAAGTATCATTAAATTGTCTAATGATGTGATTTTTTTTCTCCAGCTCAAGTGAGCCAACATTTATTGAGTATCTCTCTTTTTTTTTTTTTTTTTTTTTTTTTTTTTTTTTTGAGAGAGAGTCTCGCTCTGTCACCCAAGCTGGAGTGCAGCAGCGTGATCTTGGCTCGCTGCTTCCGCCTCCTGGGTTCAAGTACTTCTGGTACCTCAGCCTCCCGAGTAGCTGGGATTACAGGCTCCCACCACCAAGCCCAGCTAATTTTTTTTTTTTTTTTTTTTTTGAGACAGAGTCTCTGTCGCCCAGGCTGGAGTGCAGTGGCGCGATCTCGGCTCACTGCAAGCTCCGCCTCCCGGGTTCACGCCATTCTCCTGCCTCAGCCTCCCGGGTAGCTGCGACTACAGGCGCCCACCACCACGCCCAGCTAATTTTTTGTATTTTTAGTAGAGACGGGGTTTCACCATGTTGGCCAGGATGGTCTCGATCTCCTGACCTCGTGATCCGCCCGCCTCGGCCTTCCAAAGTGCTGGGATTACAGGCGTGAGCCACCGCTCCAGGCCAATTTTTGTATTTTTAATAGCGATGGGGTTTCGCCATGTTGCCTGGGCAGGTCATGAACTCCTGACCTCATGTGATCTGCCTGCCTCGGCCTCCCAAAGTGCTGGGACTATAGGCATGAGCCACTGCACCCGGCCTTGAGTACCTCCTTGATGCAAGGCACTGAGAAAAGTAAGGAAAATATAAAAGTAAGTAAGATGCGCTTATCTTCCTACAGAAGCATAGGGATTTGATAGAGGAGAAAAGATATTTATGCAGTAACCATACAGCTAGACACAGTATGTAAGTACTAGGAGAAAGGTACCAAAAAAATGCTATAGGAACATGGAAAAGGAAGAAAGTCCGTGCCAGTTATTCTTTATTTTCTCTGTTTGACCTTACCTATTCACAGTTGTCCAAGAAGTTTAAGGTAGGAATGGCAAATAGAAAAAAATACTGAATCAAAGGGTTTGAGGTTACTGTATTCTCTTTTTTATTTGTTTTCTTTTTTAGTTAGTTTTTAAAATTTGTCTAAGATATAAAAGTAATTTTATTACTTTTTGATACTTTAAAAGTGAAATACATTTACCCTAAGAAATTCAGACAGAGATCTACATGAGAACACTTTTTTTTTTTTTTTTTTTTTTTTTTTTTGAGAAAGAGTCTGTCACCAAGACTGGAGTGCAGTGGCACTATCAGGGCTCACTGAAGCCTCACCTTCCCCAGGAGCAGGTGATCCCCCTGCCTCAGCTTCCCAAGTAGCTGGAACTACAGGTGCAGGCCACCACGCCCAGCTAATTCTTTGTAATTTTTATAGAGCTGGGATTTTGCCATGTTGCCCAGGCTGGTCTCAAACTCCTAGACTCAAGTGATCTACCTGCCTCAGCCTCCCAAAGTGCTGGGATTACAGGTGTGAGCCACCGCTCCTGGCCCTCCATGAGAACACTTACTGGGATGATAGAAGTGTTGCAGATCTTGCTTGGGGTGTGAGATAACATGGATATATGCTTTTGTCAAAACTCACTGAACTTAACATCTATGCATTTCACTCTATGTAAATTATACCTTTTTTTAAAGGTGTAAAGAAGAAAATAAAAACCACCTATAATCTTGCTTCCCAAAGATAACTACTGTTAAAATTGTAATATATATCCTTATAGACTGTTTTCAGTGCATATATATGTATACACAGATGCATCATTTTTTTTTTTCTTTGAGACATTGTCTCCTCTGTCACTCAGGCTGGAGTGCCGTGGTACCTGCAGCTCACTGAAAGCTCCACCTCCCAAGTTCAAGCAATTCTCATGCCTCAGTTACCAGAGTAGATGGGATTACAGGCGCCTGCCACATACCCAGCTAATTTTTGTATTTTTAGTAGAGACAGGGCTTTGCCACGTTGGCCAGGCTGGTCTTGAATTCATGGCCTCAGGTGATCCACCTGCCTCAGCCTCCCAAAGTGCTAGGATTACAGGTGTGAGCCACCATGCCCAGCCACAGATGCATAATTACCAAAAAATTGATTATAATCAGACATATCATTTTGTAGCCTTCTTTTTCCAAGTATTATAATGTGGACATATTTTATGCCAATAAATATAAACATACCCCATTATTTTTAATGGTTTCATAGGATTCCATTGAATAAATGTATATTATTATTAACTTTAAGGTTAGTCTGCAACCTCCCTGAGAGCAGGACTGTGTTTTCCTGGCTTTCTAAGCCCCACTTCATCTGACTAACCTTATTTCTCGCTGCTTAGTCTACTTACCACTCCAGTCCCATTTGTCTATTTTATATATTCCTGCCATGTTTCCTTCCCATATTTTGTTTTAAAGCCCATCACAAATCCAGCACTGAACTTTACATTCTCTGAATTCTCTTGCATTTATCATACCTCTCAGTGTGCTTAGTAACCATCTTTTATTTTCTAATTTTTTTATCAGCAGTGGATAAAAGCGCAGGCTTTGGAATCAGACACATCTACATTCAAATCCCGGTTCTACCACTTATCAGCTATATGACTTGGGCTCCATTTTCACATTTTTTCCCTTCATTCTTATTTAATAGAGATAATATTGACTTAATAGTGCTATTGTAGGATTAGATTAACTAATTATATTTTTAAAAACTTATTTTTTTGAGGCGGAGTTTTGCTCTTGTCACCCAGACTGGAGTGCAGTGGTGCGATCTCAGCTCACTACATTCACCTTCCAGGTTCAAGTGGTTCTCCTGCCTCAGCCTCCCGAGTAGCTGGGATTCTAGGTGTCCACCACCATGCCTGGCTAGTTTTTGTATTTTCAGTAGAGACAGGGTTTCACCATGTTGCCCAGTCTGGTCTTGAACTCCTGACCTCAGGTGCCTCGGCTTCCCAAAGTGCTGGGATTACAGGCATGAGCCACTGCGCCCAGCCTGATTATATAAAAATTTTAACTCAGAGCATGACACATGTAAATGCTCAATAAATAATAACCATTATTATTATGTTTTTGTTGTTGTTTAAACCATTAGTCTTGGCTCTTAATTAAATGGTCATTTTCTTATGGCCAGAGAGACCTTAGTTGAATGCTGGGCATAAATAGCCACTTACATGCTTTAAAGTAAATATCTGTAGGATAGCCTTAAACTTTCAAAGCAGTAGTTTCTTATTTTTTGACTTGAAAATGATCAGTTGAATCAGCTCTTACAAACTGAGCAACCAATGGCCTGACCTTAGTTATTGGAACAAGAGGGCACTGAAAAATGTTTCCTAGAAGAGAGCCTAACCTAGTATTCTTAGTAATCTTTGACTTTTGTTTCAGCGGCCTCACACATAGGATGAAAAAAAAGTAAATACGATTGTTCACTATTTTCTTACTTGGATAATGTATAATCCTTTAAAAAAAACTCTTAATTTACTTGGGGATATAATCTGGGGGATAGGAAACCCACTTGATATCTGAATTAGTTATGTGTGGCTTCTAGGGATTTTAGATGAATTATTGAGGTGTAGAGGAAGGATAACAGTTTATTTTGTTTTCATATACCTCTCTCTGGGTACTGGTGATAGTTCCAGAGTTGGAAATACATGAAAGAATTCTTGCAGTCTTAGATCTGCACTCTTTGCCATTGATACCTCCTTTCCATTCCCATTTTTGCTTCTTTATCTTATTACCTCCAATCTAAACTGTTGCAGAAGCGTCCTGTTGAAACTCCCTACTTCTCTGGATTTTGTTCCCTCTGCTAAATAAGGAATCATTTCTGTGGAGTCTAGCTCTTAAATTCATCTGAATTAGGAGTCGATAAAAATTTAGCAATAATCATTTTATTCTTTTTTTTATTATTATTCTTTTTTTAAAATAGAGACAGGGTTTCACTGTGTTAGCCAGGCGGGTCTCGAACTCCCAGCCTCAAGTGATCTGCCTGCTTCAGTCTCCCAAAGTGTGGAGATTACAGACATGAGCCACCACACTTGGCCTTTTTATTATTATTATTATTTTTGGTAACAGTCTCCACTCTGTCGTCCAGGCTGGGGTGCAGTGGCACGAACATGCCTCACTGCAGGCTCCACCTCTTGGGCTCAAGGGATATTCTCACTTTGGCCTCCGAAATAGCTGGGACTACAGGCGTATGCCGCCATGCCTGGCTAATTTTTTTTATTTTCTTGTAGAGACAGGGAGTTTCACTTTGTTGCCCAGGCTGGTCTCTAACTCCTGACCTCAAGCAGTCCTGCTTCGGTCTCCCAAAGTGCTAGGATTGCAGGTGCGAGCCATTGCGCCCAGCCCTTTTTATTATTTCTAACCAGCTTTAAATTTTGGCTAATTAACTTTTGAGATAAGATTTGTGACTGCATGCAATTAAGTTTTGGGGTCTTTCATTTTGGTAATAGGTGAGGAACTTAAATGTCTGCCAGAAGACTAAATTCTAGATTTCATTTTCAACTTTAATCTAGAATTTTTGCCTAGTAGAATAGTGAGAAAACTGTGCTGTGATTTCTGAGCTTCTGTACTTCGCTATTTGGGGTAGTGCTTTGGGTTGGTCAAGTAGAATACTGCAGACATAATACCACTGCCCATTCTATGTATGCATCTAATTGTACTATTTATGCTTATGTGACAAATCTTTCTCAGCACTATCACCCTTTTAACATTTTCACTCATAAGAAAGATTTAAGGGAATAATACCAGTCTTAAAATTGTGAAGGTTCACACAAACTTGTTTTTCCTGTTTGTTTTAGGAAAAAATGCTCTTGATAAAGAATTTAAGCAATAGAGGGAAGTATAATTAACAACATTAAAAAAAGAAGAAATCTTACTTCCCAGAAATACTGTAAATATTCTTAAACTTTTTGTTTTTTTGAGACGGAGCCTTGCTCCCTCGCCAGGCTGGATCTTGGCTCTCGGCTCACTGCAACCTCTGCCTCCCAGGTTCAAGCAGTTCTGCCTCAGCCTCCCGAGTAGCTGGGACTACAGGCGTGTGCCACCACACCAGCTAATTTTTGTGTTTTTACTAGAGATGGGGTTTCACCATGTTGGCCAGGATGGTCTTGATCTCTTGACCTTATGATCTGCTTGCCTCGGTGGCATGAGCCACCGCACCCCGCCAAACATCATTTTTTAGTTTAAAACATTCCTTTTTTTCAAAATTACAAATAATTCAGGCATACAAAAATGTGTAAAAAACAATATAATAAACTCTCATGTAACCAGCATCAGCTCTCTCTGCATACATTCAGATAAAGTAGAGCAGATCTGGTGAATTATAGTTATAGAATAGAATATACATATTATGAGTCTACACAGAATAAAAGTTATAATTTTAAAATTGGGAAGTAAGGTAATAAAATATGGGAAGGATATTAACTTGTATCTTTCATAATAAGGAGTCACTTAGACGTTATCTAAAATTGAAACATCTAGTTTTTAAAAATGACCCCAACCTCTTAATAATCTCTTTTTTAAATCTTAGAAAGGAATTTATAGGACATTTGTCCTTTTTTTTTTTTTTTTTTTTTTTGAGACGGAGTTTCGATCTTGTTGCCCAAGGCGATCTCGGCTCACTGAAACCTCCGCCTCCCGGGTTCAAGTGATTCTCCTGCCTCAGCCTCCCGAGTAGCTGGGATTACAGGTATGTGCCACCACGCCCAGCTAATTTTGTATTTTTAGTAGAGACGGGGTTTCTCCATGTTGGTAAGGCTGGTCTCGAACTCCTGACTTCAGGTGATCCGCCCACATCAGCCTCCCAAAGTGCTGGGATTACAGGCATGAGCCACCGTGCCCAGCCACATTTCTCTTTAAAAAAATTTTTTTTTCCTTTTTACTTGATAACCCATAGCCAACATCATGACATATCTCTTATAAGAAACAACTGTTTGAGGCCAGGTGTGGTGGCTCATGCCTGTAATCCTAGCACTTTGGGAGGCCAAGGTGGGAGGATCACTTGAGTCTATGAGTTTGAGACCAGCTTGGGCAACATAGCAAGACCCTCATCTCTAAAAGAATTAAAAGATTAAATGGGCATGGTGGCATGTGCCCGTAGTTCCATCCACTTAGGAGGCTGAGGTGGTAGGATTGCTTGAGCTCGAGAAGTAGAGGGTGCAGTGAGCTACGATTATGCACTCCAGCGTGGGTGACAGAGTGAGACCCTGTCTCAAATTAAAAAAAAAAAAAAAAGAAATGTTTGAAGTTTAGTAATTGTTTCACTTCATTTTTTTTCTGTTAAGTAAAATTATATTTCATTTTACTTTTAAAATTACACATGTAGGCTGGGCATGGTGGCTCACGCCTGTAATCCCAGCATTTTTTGGAGGCTGAGGCAGGTGGATCACCTGAGGTCAGGAGTTCAAGACCAGCCTGGCCAACATGATGAAACCCCATCTCTACTAAAAATACAAAAACTTAGCCAGGCACGGTGACATACGCCTGTAATCCCAGCTACTCAGGAGGTTGAGGCAAGAGAATCACTTGGACCCAGGAGGCAGAAGTTGCCGTAAGCCAAGATCACACCACTGCACTCCAGCCTGGGCAATGGAGCGAGACTCTGTCTCAAAAATAAATAAATAAATAGGCCAGGCACGGTGGCTCATGCCTGTAATCCCAGCTACTCAGGAGGCTGAAGCAGGAGAATTGCTTGAACCCGGGAGGCAGAGGTTGCAGTGAGCCAAGATCGCGCCACTGCACTCCAGCTTGGGTGACAGAGTGAGACTCCATCTCAAAAATAAATAAATAAATAATAAAATAAAATTACGCATGTAGCCTGGCACGGTGGCTCACACCTGTAATCCCAGCACTTTGGGAGTCTGAGGCCCCAAATGAAATGAAATTATATTTCATTTTACTTTTAAAATTACACATGTAGGCTGGGCACGGTGGCTCACGCCTGTAATCCCAGCATTTTTTGGAAGCTGAGGCAGGTGGATCACCTGAGGTCAGGAGTTCAAGACCACCCTGGCCAACATGGTGAAACCCAGTCTCTACTAAAAATACAAAAATTAGCCAGGCTTGGTGGCGGGTGGCTGTAATCCCAACCACTCGGGAGTCTGAGGCAGGAGAATTGCTTGAACCCGGGAGGCGGAGGTTGCAGTGAGCCAAGATCGAGCCATTGCACTCCAGCCTGCTAGCCTGGGTGACAGAGTGAAACTCCATCTCAAAAAAAAAAAAAAAAAAATAGAATGTATGAAATACAGAAGACTAAGTATGGACTTTGGCTCCAGATTCAAACAAAGCAACTGTAAAAAAAAATTTACTAAACAATTGATGGAATATGAAGGCTTACTGGAGTTCTTATTGGGTTGTTTTAGGTATGATATTGGTATTACAGTTCTTTTTTTAAAAAATCCTAATCTCTTGGGGAGAATATGCAGTATTTTTTGGATGAAATTATATAGTAGCTGGAATTTGTACAGAAATAATCTGGGTTTGGGTGGGGTGGGTGGTAAAGATGAAAGATTATATTGATAACTGTTGAAACTAGGTGATGGCTACATAGAGCTACATAATCTCTCTACTTTGTGTATGTTTGAAACTGTTGGCTGGGCATGGTGGCTCAGCCTGTAATCCCAGCACTTTGAGAGGCCAAGGCAGGAGCATCACCTGAGCTCAGGAGTTGGAGACTAGCTTGGGCAACATCGGAAAACCTTGTCTCTGCAAAAAATACAAAAATTAGCCAGGCATGGTGGCATGCGCTGGTAGTTCCAGCTACTTAGGAGGCTGAGGCCAGACGATTGTTTGAGTCTAGGAGGTTGGGGCTACAGTGAGCCATGTTCACACCACTGCACCTCTACTGCAGCCTGGTTGAGTGACAAAGGGAGACACAAAAAAAAAAAGGAAGGGAGGGAGGGAGGGAGGAGTTCAATCAAAAATGTTAAAAAAAAATTGGGGTTGTGTTTTCTTACCACATTACTCAGTTTTAGACAATATCCTACTGACTCCCTGTAGTGAAAGATGATGAAATCAGTACTCTTCGCAGTTTCTTCTATCTCTACTCCTCAATACTTTTTTTTTTTTTTTTTTTTTTTTTTTTGAGACAGAGTCTCTCTTACTCTGTCGCCCAGGCTGGGGTGTAGTGGCGCGAGCTTGGCTCACTGCAACCTCCACCTCCCAGATTCAAGTAGTTCTCCTGCCTCAGCCTCCCAAGTAGCTGGGACTACAGGCACATGCCACCACACCTATCTAATTTTTTGTATTTTTAGTAGAGACGGGGTTTCAACATGCTGCCCAGGCTGGTAATATTTTGTTGAGGTTTATAACATATATATCATACTGTTGTTCCATAATTCACACAAACCTTTGCTATGAAGGGACGCCCCAGAATTGGGGTTGGGAGAGAAGGAGATGGGAAAATAGGTTGATGGGTAGAAGATACATGTATTTTATGTATACAGAAAAGTTTGGTTGTACATACACCCATATGATCATAGGGTAATGGAATTTATGGGTGATTTTTATTTTTTATGAATTTTTTTGTTTTCAAATTTTCTACAATGTGTATATGCTAGTAATCAAGGAGAGAAAAGCTATTTGACCACAAAAAAAAAAAATCTACACTTACCTAGTTTTGCTCTTCTAAGGTTTGAACGTAACATAATTGCTTGTGTTTCTAAGTCCGTTTTAAATCATTGGAAGCCAGGCCAGGTGGCTCACATCTGTAATCCTAGCTACTTGGGAGGCTGAAGTGGGAGGATCACTCGAGGCCAGGTCTTCAACACCAGCCTGGGCAACATAGCCAGACCCTATTGCTACAAATTTTTTTTTTTAATTAGCCAGACGTGGTGGTACACACCTGTAGTCCTAACCACAAGGGAGGATAACTCAAGCCCAGGAGTTTGAGGCTGCAGTGAGCCATGATTGTGCCACTGTACTCTAGCCTGTATGACAGAGTGAAACCCTGTTTCTCTCTTTTTTTTCCTTTGAGACAGGGTCTCACTCTCTTGCCCAGGCTAGAGTGCAGTGGCATGATCATGGCTCACTGCCCCCTTGACCTCCTGGGCTTGAGGGATCCTTCCACCTCAGCCTCCTGAGTAAGTGGGACTACAGGCATGTGCCACCACACCTGGCTAATTTTTAAAATTTTTTATATAGATGGAGTCTCAGTATGTTGCCTAAGCTGGTTACGAACTTTGGACTTAAGTGGTCCTCGTGCCTCAGCTATCCTCCCGCCTCAGCTTGGCAAAGTGCTGGGATTATAGGTAGGAGCCACCATACCAGGCCAAGACCTCATCTCTTTAAAAAAAAGAAAAAGGCCGAGTGCGGTGGTTCACGCCTGTAATACCAGCACTTTGGGAGGCCAAGGCAGGTAGATCACCTGAGGTCAGGAGTTCGAAACTACCCTGGCCAACATGGTGAAACCCTGTCTGTACTCAAAATACAAAAAAATTAGCTAGGCCTAGTGACATATGCCTGTAATCCCAGCTACTCGGGAGGCCGAGGCAGGAGAATCGCTTGAGCCCAGGAGGCGGAGGTTGCAATGAGCCAAGATCATGCCACTGCACTCCAGCCTGGGTGACAGAGAAAGACTCCATCTCAAAAAAAAAAAAAAAATTCTCCCACTCTGTAGGTTACCTGTTCACTCTAATGATAGTTTATTTTGCTCTTATTAACAAACATATGAAAACTTCTATATTCAAAAGAGTACTGCCTCTTTTGAAGTTGTCCCTTAAGATGGCTAAATACTTATTGTAATGATACTATAATTGGTTGTTTTGGGGATGGATTTTAATTTCTAAAATTTCCATAAGTCACTCAGATTCAAGCTAAATATAAGTGGATGAATAAATTGATAAATATTTTATTGTTTAAAAAAATCACGTGAGTTGTGGGGAGATAGACTTAGAGCCTGGACATGTTTTCCATTTTTTTTCTTTTTTTTTTTTTTTTGGAGATGGGAGTCTCACTTTGTCACCCAGGTTGGAGTACAGTGGTACAATCTCGGCTCACTGCAACCTCCACCTCCCGGGTTCAAGCAATTCTCCTGCCTCAGCCTCCCAAGTAGCTGGGACCCACAGACGCACCCGGCCAGTTTTTTTTTTGTACTTTTGGTAGAGACGGGGTTTCACTGTGTTGCCCAGGCTGGTCCTGAACTCCCGAGCTCAGGCAGTACTCCCACCTTGGCCTCCCAAAGTACTAGGATTACTGGCGTGAGCCACTGAGCCTGGCCTGTTTTCAAATTTTTGCTCCCCCTTCTCAACTTTCTCTTTTCTTCTGTTTTCTTTTGTTTTTTGTTTTGTTTTGTTTTTTTGAGACGGAGTCTTGCACTGTCACCCGGGCTGGAGTGCAGTGGTGCGATCTCAGCTCACTGCAACCTCCGCCTCCTGATTCACATGATTCTCCTGCCTCAGCCTCCCAAGTAGCTGGGATTACAGGTGCCCACCACCACGCCTGCCCAGCTAATTTTTTGTGTTTTTAGTAGAGACAGGGTTTCACTATGTTGGCCACCCTGGTCTCGAACTCCTAACCTTGTGATCCGCCCGCCTCGGCTTCCCAAAGTGCTGGGATTACAGGCATGAGCCACCGCGCCTGGCTTTTCTTCCGTTTTCTTTGGACAATGTGTAGCAATTAAAATTCCTCTTTCCGGCCAGGTCACTCCAGCCTAGGTGACAGAGGGAGACTATGTCTAAAAAATAAAAAAAATAAAAATTTTTAGGGTAAAACAACTAATGATATTTTTACTGACCAGAATGAGATTTAAAGCTTATATGGGAATTCAAAGATGACCAGTTGCTTTCCTTTATTTTGCATTTCCCTTTCACTGACAACGCATTAGCATGTTGTTTTTATTTGCTAAACTTTTGATAAGGAAAAAAAAAACAGAAGCCCTGCAAAAACTAATAAACTGATCATTGTAACTAGCTTTGCATCTTTCTACCCACCTTTTAAAATAAACCTGAAAGGATTCAATCTTCATTTCATTCATTGAGAAATCCTGTCCATTTGCCTATATTTATAATCCCTTCCTCACGATCAGGCTGAAATTATCTGTTAAACCAGAACAGCATCAGGTCACAGTTCTTCATTCTCCAATAGGATTAAACAGAGTGGGCTTTTAATGCTTGATCTATTTTATAAAATCTCTTGGCCAGGTGCAGTGGCTCACACCTGTAATCCCAGCACTTTGGGAGGCTGAGGTGGGTGGATCACCTGAGGTCAGGAGTTCGAGACCAGCCTGGCCAACATGATGAAGTCCCGTCTCTACTAAAAATACAAAAATTAACTGAATGTGGTGGCAGGCCCCTGTAATCCCAGCTACTCGGGAGGCTGAGGCAGGAGAATCGCTTGAACCTGGGAGGCAGAGGTTGCAGTGAGCCATGATTGTGCCACTGCACTCCAGCCTGGGCGATAGATTGAGACTCCGTCTCAAATACATACATACATACATAAAATGTCTTTATGAGCTGTGTGGATGTAGAAATAGGAATTGGAGTTTCGATGAATCACATTAATTTGTAAAAGAGGAATTTACATCAAATCCTGAATACCACTCTTTTAATAGAGTGATTCAAGGACAAACAGTACACTAAATTTTCTTAGAGTAATTTTTTAGGAGGAAAAAAATAATAAAATTAGTTTTGCTTGTAGAATTTTTGATAACCCCTGAAGATCATTATACTTTCCTTGGGCTTTGGAATTGGGCAGATATAAAAGGGTTCAAAGCAACATGATAACATTTCTTCTCTCATGGAAGGTGAAGCAATTTTAATGTTAAATCTTCAGACTTGGGGAGATGGAGGGGTTCTTTTTTTCTGAAAATTTTCCTTTAAAAAGTGATATTTTCTCACTGTAGATAATTTGGAAAGGTTAAAAAGCCATGTTTTAATGTAGACATTATTTTATATCATTGTAATAATCCTGGATACTCAATTATATATCTGGCTATTTTTCATTCAACTTTATCACAAGTATTTTCTAATGTTATTTTAAAAACTCCTTATGAGCATATTTTTTAATGATGCTTTAAGTTGTTTTGTTTTCTTTCCTCTTTTTTTTTTTTTTTTTTTTTTGAGACGGAGTTTTGCTCTCGTTGTCCAGGTTGGAGTGCAGTGGTGCGATCTCGGCTCACTGCAACCTCCGCCTCCCAGGTTCAAGCGATTCTCCTTGTCTCAGCCTCCCGAATAGCTGGGATTACAGGCATGCGGCACCACACCCGGCTAATTTTGTATTTTTAGTAGAGACAGTGTTTCACCATGTTGGCCAGGCTGGTCTCAAACTCTGACCTTAGGTGATCCGCCCGCCTTGGCCTCCCAAAGTGCTGGGATTACAGGCGTGAGCCACCGCGCCCGGCCCTTCTTTCCTCTTTTTTTGCCAAGCAGGCAACTTTTAAGATCTTTAACCTTCAGAGTTGTTTTAAGGTGTGTCTTCAAGGAAGTTTGAATAAGGAAGGGCACTTTGAATACTTGACTAAGTGGAAATTCAGCATAAAGTGTTGACTGTCTGAATTTATTGAATTCCCATTGTGCAATCTTTAAAGTTTAAATATGTGTAATATTTGACCCAGAATTTTCTTCTAGATATTCAACAGAAATACACACACAAATGAATACGTCTTTACTTTTTTTTTTTTTTCTTGAGATGGAGTCTTACTCTGCCGCCCAGGCTGGAGTGCAGTGGCACGAACTCACCTCCCTGCAGCCTCTGCCTCCTGGATTCATAGGATTCTCCTGCCTCACCCTCCTGAGTAGCTGGGATTACAGGCACGGGCCACCATGCCCGGCTAATTTTTTTGTATTTTTAGTGGAGACTGGGTTTCACCATGTTGGCCAGGCTGGTCTCAAACTCCTGACCTCAGGTGATCCACCCACCATGGCCTCCCAAAGTGCTGGGATTACAGGCTTGAGCCACCACACCCAGCCAACATTTTTTAATAATAACAAAATACTGTAAGCAACCTAAATGCACATCAGTAAGGGGCTTGGATAGATAAAATTATAATGCATGTAAAATGCAATACTATGCAGTCATTACAAGGGATGAAGAAGTATATTTACTGATGTGGAATGATACCCAGAATAATGGGTTAATGAAAAAAGTTACCACTCAGTGTAATGCCATTTCTAGAAATAATATTAATAAGTGTAAACATAGAATATGTATATAAAAATCTAGAAAAGTACCCATTAAACTGTTGGTAGTGATCCTCTAGAGGGGATAAGATTCTAGAACACTTTCACTTTCTAAAGTCTACATTTCTTTTTATTTATTTATTTATTTTTTGAGACAGAGTCTTGCTCTGTAGCCCAGGCTGGAGTGCAGTGGCACAATCTCGGCTCACTGCAAGCTCCGCCTCCTGGGTTCATGCCATTCTCCTGCCTCAGCCTCCCAAGTAGCTGGGACTACAGGCACCCGCCACCACGCCCGGCTAATTTTTTGTATTTTTAGTAGAGACGGGGTTTCACCGTGTTAGCCAGGATGGTCTCGATCTCCTGACCTCATGATCCACTCGCCTCAGCCTCCCAAAGTGCTGGGATTACAGGCGTGAGCCACCACACCCAGCCTAAAGTATACATTTCTATAATGGGATTTTTCTTTCTTTTTTACAATTTTTTTTGAGATGGAGTTTCAATCTTGTCGCCCAGGCTGGAGTGCAGTGGTGAGATCTCAGCTCACTGCAACCTCCACCTCTGGGGTTCAAGCAATTCTTCTGCCTCAGCTTCCTGAGTGGCTGGGATTACAGGCGTCTACCACCACACCTGGCCAATTTTTATATTTTTTAGTAGAAACGGGGTTTCACCATGTTGGCCAGGCTGGTCTTGAACTGCTGACCTCAGGCTATCCACCCACGTCAGCCTCCCAAAATGCTGGGATTACAGTCCTGAGCGACCACGCCGGGCCTGCAGTTTTTTTTTTTGAGACGGAGTTTTGCTCTTGTTGCCCAGGATGGAGTGCAGTGGTGTGATCTCAGCTAACTGCAACCTCCACCTCCCAGGTTCAAGTGATTATCCTGCCTCAGCCTCCTGAGTAGCTGGGATTACAGGCACGTGCCACCACACCCAGCTAATTTTTGTATTTTTAGTAGAGACAGGGTTTCATCATGTTGGCCAGGCTGGTCTCGAACTCCTAACCTCAGGTGATCCACCCGCCTTGACCTCCCAAAGTGCAGGGATTACAGGTGTGAGCCACCGCGCCCGGCCTACAGATGTATATTAAAGTCCACTATCTGAATATCTTATTCTGCAAATTCTCTGAGATTCTCCATTAGCCATGAGACAATGTGCAATTCCATCTGTGTTGGGTAGGTCCTAAAATTTTCTTTAGATAGCCTTTGGTAATGAGATTTAATGATCAAATGGTGAACTTTAGTATGTACGTGCTAGGTCTTCCTGCTCAGACATACCAAAGCATTGGCCATTTAATATAGAATCTTTATTATGAATGGCTGGAGAATTCACTAAGTTAGATAGATACACTAAGAGGAAAATGACCTTTAAATATAAATAATTGTATTTTCCCTTACCTCCAGGCTATTCTGCACCTAAATTTGTTTCAATCTGTTCTAAATATTACTATAGATGACAATATTATAATCTTTATTGGTCATATGTACCCACAGTACAGGGGAACATTTACTATCATGTTCTCTCTTTTCTCAGTTATTTTCTTTTTCTAAATCCAGTCTCTTTCTTGTAGTTATACAGGTGTTTGTTTTATAATTATTTTCTTAAAACTCTACATATATGTTTTTATACTTTTGTCTATTATTGCATATTCTTAATAAAAAAGTTAAAAACTCGTTTGGAAAGTTTTGTATGTTTTGAGATGCTACAATAGGAAAGTGTGACATTCAAAAATGTAGTTTCTTTATCCTGATCTTCATCATTTCTTTATACTGCTTCTCATTTATAGTTTTGTTGACAATCTGATGTCACTGTCACTGAAACAGAAGTTACATGGTCAGGAGGAAATGAGACAACAAAAGAAAACTTTCTTCCAGTTGCTTTAATATTGGCTAAAATGTTTGCACACCTGTTAAGATTTATTACGAGAATAAATAATGCCTACATAATTACGTGTTCTGAAGGAAGTTATAGTTTAACTTTAATTAGGTAGCTAAACTATAAAAAAAAACAAGTGTTAACCTAAAAAAAAAGCCTACCCCTTCCTTAAAGAGGAGTCACAAATATGAGTTGGGGCCAGGCACAGTGGCTCACACCTGTAATTTTAGTACTTCAGGAGGCTGAGGTGGGCATACCACTTGAGCTGAGGAGTTCGAGACCAGCCTGGGCAACATGGCAAAACCCCATCTCTACTAAAAATACAAATATTAGCTGGGTGTGGTGGCACGCGCCTGTAGTCCCAACTACTTGGGAGGCTGAGGTGAGAGGATTGCTTGAACCAGGGAGGTGGAGGTTGCAGTGAGATGAGATCATGCCACTGCACCCCAGCCTGGGCGACAGAGCGATACCCTGTGTCCAAACAAAAACAAAACCAAAAAAACAAATATGACTTGGAGTAGCCATGAGGCAGGCAGGGGAGGGAACTAATCCCAACCTTGAGTCAAAGATCAGACCCTCAGGAAATTTGGAGATGTCTAAGGAATATTTTATGGCTCAAGCTGAACTTTTGCCAGGTTAACATTTACTTTTAAGCATAAATTTATGCTTTCAAAAATATTTTTGCGGCATAAGGGATATTCTCTCCTTAAGGAATTTGTAGTCTGGTCAGGAGAAATAGTTGTTTGCAATATGATATAATAGAAGTTATGAGAGAAGTATGTATGGGCACACCCAGGTGCAGAACCTAATCCAGAGGGTGGAGTGGAGAAGTAAACAATGTTAGAGAAGGTTATGTGGAAATGTGACCCCTGTACTTAACGCTTAACTACAAAGAGGAGTTTTGGAAGGAAGAATATTGGTTCTTTTCAACAGAGCAGTGTGTGCAAAGGCCAATAGGGGAAAGAGGCCAAAGAAAAGACTAGTGGGCCGGGCGTGGTGGCTCACTCCTGTAATCCCAGCACTTTGGGAGGCCGAGGCAGGCGGGTCACGAGGTCAGGAGATCAAGACCATCCTAGCTAACACGGTGAAACCCCATCTCTACCAAAAATATAAAAAAATTTAGCTGGGTGTGGTGGCGGGCGCCTGTAGTCCCAGCTACTCGGAGGCTGAGGCAGGAGAATGGCGTGAACCCGGCAGGTGGAGCTTACAGTCAGCCGAGATTGCGCCACTGCACTCCAGCCTGGGTGACAGAGAGAGACTCCGTCTCAAAAAAAAAAAAAAAAGAAAGAAAAAAAAAGAAAAGACTAGTAAATAGCCACTTTTGTTTTGTTTTGTTTTGTTTTTACAGACAAGGTCTCGCTGTGTTCCCAAAGGCTGGCCAACTCTTGGCCTCAAGCGATCCTCCTGCATTAGCCATTTGGATTCCATCCTGAAGGCTGAGAGGAATGTTTGAAAGATTTTTAAGCATGAGGGGAGGGAGTTATATCATTACACTTGATGTTAAAGATTGTCCTGGCTATAGCAGGACAAATAGAATTAGAGGTCCTCTAGCCCTGGCAGTATGGTGGTCAGATATTAAGTCTTGAATAAGCTTAATTTTTAATGTATTATTGAGTCTTGGAAAGTAGAAATAATCTTCAAGGGGCCCCCAAACACCAAAATTAAAATCCAAGAGGTGAGCAATAAAGATAACATGAAGATCAAATTACCCTGGGGCAAATTACCAAATCAGTCTTGAGATTCAGGAGTTGGTTGGTCAGGAATAAACTTGATGGTTGAGGTAAAGTGGGGAAACTAGGCTTAAATGTGCTCCCAGTTGTGTGGCACTCCCACAATCCCTCTGTACTTGGCTCTCGGCAGAAACAGATCTTTCCCTCTGAAGGAAGATGTCCTCAATTTAGGCCTCCAGAATCTCGTAAATTCACAAAACGTTAAACGTGAACCTCTTAATCAAAGATCATCAAACATACAAACAAGGAAGAAGTGACAAATAAAGTCCTCAGATATTGTCAGGTATCAAGGACCTCATATATTGTCCCATATTAAAATAATCAGACTAAAAATATGACATTTTTAAAGAAATAAAATAATCACAAAATAAACAAAAAATCACAAATCACCAGACAAATGTGAAAAATAACTAAATAAAACTTCTACTAATGAAAAATTGTTGAAATCAAAATCTCAGGGTTAGTTTGAATTAGTAAATAGGAAGCCGGATATTTTTTAAAAACTCTCCAAAGGCCAGGCTGGTGGCTCATGCTTGTAATTCCAGCACTTTGGGAGGCTGAGGCAGGCAGATCACCTGAGGTCAGGAGTTCAAGACCAGCCTGGCCAACATGATAAAACCCCATCTCCACAAAAAAATTAGCCAGGCGTGGTGAGGTGCACCTGTAATCCCAGCTACTTGGGAGGCTGAGGCAGGAGAATTGCTTGAACCTGGGAGACGGAGGTTGCAGTGAGCCGAGATTGTGCCATTGCACTCCAGCCTGGGTGACAGGTGAGACTCCATCTCAGAAACAAACAAACAAACAAAAACTCTCCAGAAAGCAATACAGAGAACAAGCAAATGGAAAATATAAAAGGTTAAAAGACGGGGTTAAAATAAAGACTGAAGTCCTAGAAGGAAAGAAAAAAGAAAATAAAGGAGAGCCAAAGTGCTTAGAGACCTAAGAGCTGAGAATTTTTGAAGCTAAGAAATGAAACCACAGTTATGGGAAGCACAACATATACCAAACAGAATAAATAAATTCATGCACAGTCATGTTATAGTAAAACTGCAAAACACCAAAAGAGAAGATCTTAAAGGACCAAAGAAAAGATACACCACCTACAAAAAAACCACAATCAATAAGAAAGATAGATTTCTCACTGCTATATTAGAAGCTGGAAGAAGAGGGCATACTATCTTCAATGTGATAACCTGGAATGATCAACCTGGAATTTTATGTCCAGAGAAACTATCTTTCAAGGATGATGGTGAAATACAAAGACATTTCAGATAAGCAAAATAGAAACTGCCTCCAACAGACTTTCACTTAAGGAAATTCTACTTTAGGAAGAAGAAAAATGGTGCCAGAAAGGAAGTCTGAGATACAGGAAGGAACGGTGAGCAAAGAAATTCGTAAGCACCTGTGTAAATCTAAACAAGTGCTACCTGTATAAAATAATAATGATGATGATGATATCTAATTTATGAGGCTAAAAAAAAATACTGGACAACTAAAAGAGTGGTTAAAATATTAATATTTAAAATTTAGGTTTTATGTTAATTTTAAATTAATGTATCATGCATGTTAAAATTTCAAGGATAACTTCTAAAAGTACATAACTTCCAAGCCAATAAAGAGGAAAATTGAATTAAAAAATTTTTTAAATAGTTATTATAGCTAGGTGCAGTGTCTCATGCCTGTAGTCTGAGCTACTTGGGAGGCTGAGGCAGGACAATTGTTTGAGCCCTGGAGTTCAAGTCTACAGTGAGCTATGATGGCCCCACTGCATTTCAGCCTGGATAATGGAGCAAGACCCCGCCTGTCTCTTAAAAAAAAAAAGTAACCCCAAAATATGCACAACTATGATCTATCAGTAAAACACCACCAAAAAAACAACCACTTAAAAATTTCTCTATTTAGCTTCGTGACCTCTGTTATGCTGTATAACCTCTGTAAGCCTTAGTTTTCTCATCTTTAATGTGTGGGTAGTAGTAGTACTTCCTTTATAGGGTTGTTGTGAAGATATAATCAGATAATGCATGTAAAAAGCTTAGCACAAATCTAGTACATAATAAGTATTAGCACATATCTAGTATATAATAAGTATTCAATAGACATTAGTAATTAAACGTTACTGCTGTTAGACAATACCAGTGGCTCTCTTATACGTATATTCCCTATACAAAGGGAAGGGGAGCTAACATTTTAAGTGCCTGCTATATGCCAGGCACTATACTAAATGCTTTCTTATATATTGTATCTCATGTAACCCTCATAACAATCTTATGAAAATATATATTGGTGTCTGCATTTTATAGATGAGGACAATGTACTTCAGAAAGTTTAAGTAACATAACCAAGGCACTTAATGACAGTGGGTTTCTATTATACCTCCCATCAAAAGAACTTCAAATTGGCTGGGCACGGTGGCTCACTCCTGTATTCCCAGCACTTTGGGAGACTGAGGCTGGTGGATGACGAGGTCAGGAGTTTGAGACCAGCTTGACCAACATAGTGAAATCCCGTCTCTACTAAAAATACAAAAATTAGCTGGGTGTGGCAGTGCACACCTGTAATCCCAGCTACTCAGGAGGCTGAGGCAGGAGAATCGCTTGAACCTGGGAGGCGGAGGTTGCAGTGAGCCAAGATCACGTCACTGCACTCCAGCCTGGGCGACAGAGCAAGCCTCCATCTCAAAAAAAAGAAAAAAGAACTTCAAATTAATACATATCTAGGAGGATTAAAAGCTCAAATGCTTTTTACTTTTTTCTGACTTATTTTACCCCACTCTGAAATTTTGTGTCATGGAAACAGACTTCAAAAAAGCCAAAATTCTCCTCAAAAATTAAAATTTTGCATGTCAAACCAGGTGCAGTCACTCATGTCTGTAATCCCAACACTTTCGGAGGCCAAGGTGGGAGGATAGCTTGAGGCCAGGAGTTCGAGACCAGCGTAGGCAACATAGCAAGACCTTGTCTCTACAAAAAAATTTTTTTTAAAAACAGCCAGGCATGGTGGCACATACCTGTAGTCCCAGCTACTCAGGAGGCTGAGGTGGAAGGATTGCTTGAGCCCAGGAGGTCAAGGCTGCAGTGAGCCATGATCATGCCACTGCATTTCAGCCTGGGGGAAAAAGCGAGACCCTGTCTCAAAAAAAAAAATTGCACATCATTTATTGACTAACAGCAAACCATGGAAATTCACTAAAGATCTTGAAGTCAGACAGAAAATCATATTTGGGGGTGTTTAAGAGGATTAAAGAAACATCCTCTTACTCTATACTTTGAGTTCATGTAGTATGATGTGAAACGAATCACAACAAAGCGGCCTGTTCTTAGGGTGCCTGCTGGAAGTCAGTATTCCTCTCAAAACATTCTTTCTCTTCTCTTTTCTCCTTTCCTAGGGGTACACATCTTTCTGGAATGACTGCATATCATCAGGCCTGCGAGGGGGCATCCTGATAGAGCTGGCCATGCGGGGTCGAATCTATCTGGAACCCCCGACCATGCGTAAGAAGCGACTACTAGACAGAAAGGTACTGAATCCTCTGTGAACGTCCATGGCTTATGGAAAGGCAAATACCAACAGTACATTTGGGAAGAATAGAAAGATTTGAGTAGTAAGATAAAATAAATATCACTGACTCAGCAGTTCCATTGTCTAAACAGGTTAATTACCCTATTGCAAGAGGGAGAAATCAAAGTATCCATAGTCCAAAGAGTTATAGGAAGCTCCTGGTTTTGTCTTCCTTTTTTATGCAGAAAAATCATACTCAGGATGCTGTTGATTAAATTCCTCCTATATCTATAGCTATAACATTATGAAATAGCCGGGCACAGTGGCTCACGCTTGTAATCCCAGCACTTTGAGAGGCCGAGGCGGGCGGATCATGAGGTCAGGCGATTGAGACCATCCTGGCTAACACGGTGAAATCCCATCTCTACGAGAAATATTTAAAAAAAAAATTAGCGGGGCATTGTGGCGGGCGCCTGTAGTCACAGCTACTCGGGAGGCTGAAGCAGGAGAATGGCGTGAACCCGGAAGGTGGAGCTTGCAGTGAGCCAAGATCCCGCCACTGCACTCCAGCCTGGGGGACAGTGCAAGACTCCGTCTCTAAAAAAAAAAAATTACGAAATAGAGTATGATGTAGGGAGAGGGACTCATATGGGTCAGGTCAGTCATTGATTAACCCTGGTTATTCTCCAATAATATTCTGTTTCCTTCCATTTACTGCAAGTCCTTTCCAACCATACTCCTGTATCCATTTTCTTACTGAATTTTTCCACTCACAACTTCTTTATCATCCTAAGCACTCCACTTAAACTACATTCTTAGGTATCACCAGCTTCTTTTCAGTCTTTGATTTATTTTTCTCTTTTAACCTATATGTGTCATTTGACACTTTTTATCACTTTGAAACTTTCTTCATTATTGGCCTTTGTTATTATCTTATTCTCTTGCTTCTCTGACTATACACTGTTTCCTTACTTCTCCATTTCTTAACATCCAAGTCTCAGTTTGTATCACTTGAGTGATCTTCTGTCCTTTCAGAGATATCATTTACCTTTATAGCTTCGTCTGTCACCTTCATGAGATTAATTTTCAAATTTCTAGGCAGGTCTTGTTTTTCCACCTCCAGAAACATATTTAACTATTGGCTAGAAATTTCAACTTGGCTATCCCATATCATTTAAAACCAAACTTAACAAAAATGAAAGAAAACCAAATTATCAACCTTTCCCCAAAACTGACTTCCTTTTCTGACTTTCCTGCCTTTGTTTATTTATTTATTTATTTATTTAAATTTTTATTTTTTTAATAGAGAAAAGATTTTGCCATTTTGCCCAGGCTGGTCTCAAACTCCTGAGCTCAGGTGATCCACCCGCCTCAGCCTCCCAAAGTGCTAAGATTACAGGCATGAGCCACTGAGCCCAGCTGTTTCCTACCTTTATTAATGGTTTCAAAAGTTGGTTTCCAGACTCAAAATGAGTTGTTATTGAAACTTTTCTCCATTATCATTCATATCCAGTTTGTCACTAGGGCCCACTTCAAATGTTATTTTTGTCTTTGCACTATCACTCCATACTATATTTTAAACTTCTTGAGGACAGAGACAGTA
Source organism: Homo sapiens (assembly GCF_000001405.40). Lineage (NCBI taxonomy): Eukaryota > Metazoa > Chordata > Mammalia > Primates > Hominidae > Homo > Homo sapiens. The sequence continues at coordinate 150,662,047 of NC_000001.11, read as the reverse complement.
TATTATGCTTCCTTACATTCTTGCAATTTTTAACCAGTAACATATACATGATATATTGAAAGATTTTAACTTGAATGAAGTGAAGGAATCAGGGTTCCTTCTTTCTCCTTTTCTCAAAGGTACTGCTAAAGTCAGACAGCCCAACAGGTGATGTTTTACTGGATGAAACTCTGAAACACATCAAAGCAACTGAACCCACAGAAACTGTCCAAACATGGATAGAGCTACTCACTGGTAAGATGACTTAAAATAATATATGAATTTCACACTTTGTTATCTTTATCCTACCCTGAAATTTAGTAAAAGATGTACCGAAATTCATCGTGCTGGATGAGATAGATGTGGTTCACTATTTAATTCTAATGAGGGACAGAAAAAGCATGGTTAATTGATACCTAAAGTTTTCCAAAGCTTCACCTTATCTTCTGCCACCCCACCCCAAAAGCCCTTAAATAGTATTCTTCACAAGAAACTTTTAAAACATCTTTATTGAGAGGACAATGAGAATATTGGCATTGATGCAGTCTATTATTCTTATTAGAATTTCCCAGTTTTAATTTGCCAAATAATATTTTATTGCATGGCCATACCACATTTGTTTATCCAGTCATCAGTTGATGAATCTTTGAGTTATTTCCACATTTTGGGTATTGTGAATAATGCTGCTGTGAACACGCACGGACAAGTTTTTGTTTGAACATGTTTTCATTTCTTGTGGGTATGTAGCTAGGAGTAGATAACTGGGTCATATGTAAATCAACGAGTAACATTCTTACTGTGGTAAAATATACATAACATTTATTATTATTATTATTATTTCGAGATGGAGTCTTGCTCTGTCGTCCAGGCTGGAGTACAGTGATGCAATCTCAGCTCACTGCAACCTCTGCCTCCCGGGTTCAAGCAATTCTCCTGCCTCAGCCTCCCAAGTAGCTGGGATTACAGGCACGTGCCACCACGCCTGGCTAATTTTTGTATTCTTAGTAGAGACAGGGTTTCACCATATTGGCCAGGCTTGTCTCGAACTCTTGACTTCGTGATCTGCCCGCCTTGGCCTCCCAAAGTGCTGGGATTACAGGCGTGAGCCACCGCGCCCAGCCAACATTTATTATTATTTTAGCCATTCTTAAGTGTACAATTCTGTGAAATTAAATATATTTGCAATATTTTGTAACCGTCACCTCTATCTATACTATACCCAAAGCTTCCTCATCATTACCCATTAAAACTCTGTACCTATTAAATGATAACTTCCTCTTTCTCTCTCCCCCCAGTCCCTGGCAACCTCTATTCTACTTTCTTTTTCTATGAATTTGCTTACTCTAGGTACCTCATATAAGTAGAATCATACAATATCTGTCATTACTTTCCCTAGCTTATTCACCAAGCATAATGTTTTCAAGGTCCATTCATGTCACAGCATATATCAAAATTTCATTCCTGTTTATGGCTGAGTGATATTCCGTTGTATGTATATAACACTTTCGTTTAACCATTCATCTGTTGATGGACACTTGCCTTGTTTCCACCTTTTGGCTATTGTGAATAATGCTGCTGTGAACATTGATACACAAATATCTGTTCAAGTTCCTGTTTTTAATTCTTTTGGATATATACCTAGGAATAGAATTGCTGGGTCATATAGCAGTTTTATGTTTAACCTTTTGAGAAATCACCAAACATTTCCACAGAGACTGCACCATTTTATATTCCCACCAGTATGCACCAGGGTTCCAATTTGTCCACATGCTGATCACCACTTGTTCTTCTCTTTCTTTTCTTTTTTTTAATTATAGACATCCGAGTAGGCCTAAAATGTTATCTCATTGTGGTTTTGATTTTTATTTTCAAATGAAAATAGTTTTCATGTCATTCCTAATGACTAAAAATATTGAGCATATTTTTATGTGCTTACTGACCATTTATATATCTTCTTTGGAGAAATATAAAATACTTTTCCCATTTTTAAGTTTGATTGTTTTGTTGTTGTTGAGGTTTTTTTGTATTTATTTATGAGATGCGGTCTCACTCTGTCACCCAGGATGGAGTGCCGTGGTGCAATCTCGGCTCACTGCAACCTCTATCTCCCGGGCTCAAGGATCCTCCCACCTCAGCCTCCCAAGTAACTGGGACTATGGGTGCGCACCATCACACCTGGCTAATTTTTTGTGTTTTTGGTGGAGATGGGGTTTTGCTATGTCACCCAGGCTGGTCTCTGAACTCCTGAGCTCAGACAGTCTACCCATCTTGGTCTCCCAAAATGCTGGGATTACAGGCATGAGCCACTGTGCCTGGCCAGAGGTTCTTTATATATATTCTGGATATTAATCTTGCCGAGACCAGCTCAGTTGTGGAGACCCTAACCCAGTGGCGCTAGAGGAATTAAAGACACACACACACAGAAATATAGTGTGGAGTGGGAAATCAGGGGTCTCACAGCCTTCAGAGCTGAGAGCCTTGAACAGAGATTTACCCACATATTTATTGACAGCAAGCCAATCATAAGGTTTACTAAAAGTATTCCTTATGGGAAATAAAGGGATGGGCCGAAATAAAGGGACGGGCTCTGGCTAGTTATCTGCAGCATGAACATGTCCTTAAGGCACGGATCTCTCATGCTATTGTTTGTGGTTTAAGAACACCTTAAGCAGTTTTCCGCCCTGGGTGGGCCAGGTGTTCCTTGCCCTCATTCCAGTAAACCCACAACCTTCCAGCATGGGCATCAAGGCCATCACAAGCATGTCACAGTGCTGCAGAGATTTTGTTTATGGCCAGTTTTGGGGCCAGTTTATGGCCAGATTTTTGAGGCCTATTCCCAACACGTCCCCCTTCTTTGTTTTACAAAGCAATAAAAGCAAAGGCAGCTTTGTCAAGGTGAGCTACTTCTCACAGAAGTCAGGATCCACACCTGCAGACTATACAGAGACAAACAACACAGATTAATAACACAATTATCATTGAAATCAAAGGGCTTCCAAGTGTTTTTATCCATTTTAATGGGTTACTAGCTGTTAATCTGTCTGCAGCTCCTTCAAGCACTCCAGTTCCTGGCATTAAGGTCAGGTGTGCCTGGGATGCTTTAAATATTTGTTCTTTTAATTTTGCAATATCCAAAGACAAGTTTGTAGAGTGTCCTTTTAGATGGTTTTTTATTCTTTCCCAAATTTGGATCTTATTAAGAGCCATTAATAGTTTCCACAAATCCTTATGTTTAGCTCCTACAGCGGGCCATATCATTTGAGATTGAGGTGCCACTCTACCACCATGTTTCCAGATAATAGGAACTCTTGTCATACTTCTTACCATTTCTACCATCTGACCATTTTGTTCAAACCAGCTGAACATAGTGTGGCCATGACACGCAAACTGAGAGGTGCAATTCAAGCTAAACATCCCCTTATGGGACCAATCAGTAATGATTCCATAAGAATCATTGCGCAGCACCTCTTCCTGTTCTGCAATGCAATCTTCCTAAACAAGTACGTTCATTTTCTCTGGCCAGGTTCAATTTTGTTTACACATAGGTTTCTGAGGGTGGTATGCCTCAACTATAGGAGCAGATTTATTATGGTAAATACTGAGGTCAGAAAGCATGTGTAACTGCATCATAGAGTGATTACATCCAGGCATTATTGCCAGCCAAGATTGATAAATATGCCCAATGAGTATAATTGTTCTCTGTGTCAGCCCTTGTTGAAGGAATACGCACAGCAATGGTGATCACCACTATCATAGCTACCATTAAATTACTCATTGCGACTGGTTGTCCCGATTTCCTCAGGTTTTCTTCCTCCATCTGTGACAGCTTCTTGATCTGCCCTCAGGTGGGTGGCTGTGTTCAACGGGTGTTGCTAATGACAGTTGGGGTCCTCCTCAGCATCAGTCTCGACATGGCTGCAACCGGGGGGTCCTCGGGATCCTCCCGGAATCTCTTCCTCGGCATCTGGCTCATGATAAGGTTTCAGATGTCTTGATGGTATCCAAATCAGCTGTTGATTCGGTCCTGGAGAAACACAAGCATAACCTCTACCCCAAGTTATTATTTTACCTATTTCCCAACTTTTTGCTACCGGATCTCTCCACCAAACCAGTTGTTTTGCTTCTGTCTTTGCAGCTGGTTAGATGCTGTTCAGCTGCTGCTAACATCTGGCCTTTAGGCAGGCTCAAAAAATTTAAAGTTAATGATGCTAGATTCAGTTGTATATGGGGTGTCCTGTAATCCCTGTTTCCCCCATGTTTTGTTTTTGCAACTGCTCTTTTAGGGAGAGATTCATTCTTTCCACTGTGGCTTGTCCTTGAGAATTATATGGGATACCAGTATTGTGTTTAATATTCCATATAGAGAAAAATGTAGCTAGAGCTTGGCTAGTATAGCCTGGGGCATTATCTGTTTTAATAGAAGCTGGAATGCTCATCACCACAAACACTGCAAAAGGTGACGTTTAACACAGGCAGAAGACTCTCCTGATTTGGCATGTAGCCCAGACAAAGTGAGAAAAGGTGTCCACACATACGTGTACATAAGCTAGTCTCCCAAATGAGGGAACATGTGTGACATCCATTTGCCAAAGAGAATTAGGTTCCAGTCCTCAAGGATTAACTCCTCCTGTAAAAGATGAGGAATATACCATTTGACAAGTTGGGCATCGCTAGATAATAGCTTTAGCTTCTTTCCAGGTAATGCTGTATCTGCTTTTGAGACCAGAGGCATTAACATGGGTTAAATTGCGAAAGTGTTTAGCATTAGATATTGCATTAGCAGCTAGGCAATCAGCCATTTGATTCCCTTCAGTTAAATGTCCGGGAAGAGGTTTATGAGCCCTAATGTGAGTGATGTAAAAAGGGTGCATTCTACTCCTAACTGCTGTTTCTAACTGGGTAAATAAAGTCATCAGTTGTTCATCTGTATGAAATCGTAACTGAGCATTTTCAATTAACTGTGTGGAATGAACCACATATGAAGAATCAGAAATCACATAAATAGGCATATTAAAAGCAGTCAGTACCTCAGTTACAGCTACAAGCTCTGCTTTTTGAGGTGAAGTATAGGGCGTCTGGAAAACTTTACCTTTAGAGCCAGAATAAGAAGCTTTACCATTACCAGACCCATCTGTAAAAACATTCTCAGCACCTTCAATTGGTTTAAATTTAGTTATTCTAGGGAGAATCCAATTAGTTAATTTCAAAAATTGAAACAGTTTCATTTTAGGAAAATGATTATCGAGAATACCCACAAAGTTAGCTAAGTGGGTTTGCCAAGTAAGATTATTTATAAAAGCCTGCTGTATTTGTGCCTTCGTGAGAGGGACAATAATTTTTTCAGGATCATATCCTATAGTTTAACAATCCGAGTTCTCCCATTTCCTATCATGGTAGCGATTTGATCCAAATAAGGAGTTAGAGTCTGTGAATTAGTATGTGAAAGAAAAAGCCATTCTACTAAGTCCTGCTCTTGGACAATAACACCAGTAGGTGAATGCTGAGTTGGAAAAATTAGCAAATCTAGAGTCTTCTCTGGATCTATTCTATTTGTTTTAGCTTTATGGACTTGCTTTTCGATTTGCTGCAGCTCTGCCTCAGCTTCTTTTGTTAATTGCCGAGGGCTAGTGAGACTAGGATCTCCTCTAAGGATAGAAAATAGATTGCTCATGGCATAGGTAGGGATGCCTAGAGCAGGTCGTATCCAATTAATGTCCCCTAGTAATTTTTGAAAGTCATTTAATGTTTTCAATTGATCCCTATGTATGGCTACTTCTTGTGGCACAATGGTAGTGTCATTTACTAAGGTCCCCAAGTAGGAGTAAGGTGTAGTAGTCTGAATTTTGTCAGGAGCTGTAATTAAACCAGCACGAGAAATCGAATTTTGCAAGTGATCATAACATTGGAGTAATATTTCTTGAGTGGGGGCAGCACAAATACATCATCCATATAGTGAATAATGTAACACTGTGAAAATTTTTTACGAGTAGGTTCAATTGTTTGCCCTACATAAGTCTGGCAAATTGTTGGACTGTTTAACATGCCTTGTGGCAACACTTTCCAGTGAAAACGCTTAGCAGGCTGCAGGTTGTTTACTGCAGGAATTGTAAATGCAAACCATTCACAGTCTTGCTCAGCTAAGGGGATAATAAAGAAACAGTCTTTTAAATCTATAACTATTAAAGGCGAATTTTTAGAATTGTAGTAGGAGAAGGCCGTCCTGGCTGTAATGCTCCCATAGGTTGTATAACTGAATTGATGGCTCTAAGATCTGTTAACATTCTCCATTTACCTGATTTTTTCTTAATTGCGAAAACTGGAGAATTCCAAGAGGAAAATGTTGGAGCTGTGTCCGTTTTCTAATTGTTCATTAACGAAGTCCTTTAAAGCCTCTAGTTTCTCTTTACTTAGTGGCCATCGTTCTATCCAAATTGGCTTATCTGTTAACCATTTTAAAGGTATAGGCTCTGGAGGCTTAACAATGGCTGCCATCAAAAATGATATCCTAAACCTTGGCAGGAACTTTGTCTTTCCACTTGAAGTGGTTCCTTCAAACCTTGCAAATTTTTTCCTAGTCCCATACCAGGGACATGCCCCATTTCATGCATCATATGTTGATTTTGAGGGCTATATAATTGCTCTGGAATTAGAACTTGTGCTCCCCATTGTTGTAATAAATCTCTTCTCCATAAATTTATAGGTACATAAGTTATAACTGGTTGAATAGTCCCAGGTTGTCCATTGGGCCCTTCACAATGGAAAATGTAACTACTTTGATACACTTCAGGGTCCTTACCAACTCCAACTATGTTAAATTGGGCGGGTTGAATTGGCCACGCAGACGGCCAGTGCTGTAGAGAAATGATTGAAATGTCTGCTCCTATAGCTACCAAACCTTTAAATTTCTTTCCCTGAATAGTTATTTCACAGGTAGGACATTTATCAGTAATTTGATTCATCCAATAAGCAGCTTTGCCTTGTTTATTTGTGCTTCCAAATCCTCCTGTTCATTTAATTTCACTTTTCCCCATTTCCACATACGGTACAATCAGGAGCTGTGCTATACGCTCTCCTGGCTCTGCTTTCCAGGGAACAGAAGTAGATATAACAATTTGAATTTCCCCACTGTAATCTGAATCAAGGACTCCTGTATGTATTTGTACTCCTTTTAAACTTAAACTAGATCTCCTAGAAGTAATCTTATCGTTCCCGCTGGCAAGGGTCCACAGACTCCTGTTGGGACCTTTTGCGGGAGTTCCCCAGGCAGAAGGCTCACAGCTTTTGTGCAGCATAAATCTACTGCGGCACTACCTGCTATGGCGGGGGACAGATATTGTACAGGGATGAGGGAATGGCCTAAGCTGGAAATGCCCCGGTTTGGAACAGGCCCAGACGGGCCCCTCATGGCGTTTCCCAAATTTAAAAGGAAAAGGCTCAAATGTAGCCATAATATTTCCCTGTTGATCTGGAGGGTGTATCCTAACAGGGAACTGCTTGCTGATTATTTCTTCTGCTTCTTCAAATTTGTTTTTCGTTTTTTGTTTTTTTGTTTTTTTTTTTTAAACGGAATGTCTTGCTCTGCCTCCCAGGCTGGAGTGCAGTGGCACAATCTTGGCTCGCTGCAACCTCTGCCTCCTAGGTTCAAGCACTTCTCCCTGCCTCAGCCTCCCGAGTAGCAGGGATTACAGGCTCCCACCACCACACTAGCTAATTTTTGTATTTTCAGTAGAGATAGGGTTTCCCTATACTGGCCAGGCTGGTCTTGAACTCCTGACCTCAAGTGACTCACCCACCTTGGCCTCCCAAAGTGCTGGGATTACAGGAATGAGCCACCATGCCCAGCCCCCCTAGTATATTTTTTTATTTCAGTTATTATAAGTTTTAGCTCCAGAATTTCCTTTTGGTCCCTTTCTCTATCTCTTTATTGATATTATCATTTTGCTTCTACATTATTTTCCTGTCTTTATCCATTTTTTTAAATATTTGAGCATCTTTAAGACAGTTGTGGCTGGGTGCGGTGGCTCACACCTGTAATCCCAGCACTTTGGAAGGCCAAGGCAGGTGGATCACTGGAGGTCAGGAGTTCAACACCAGCCTGGCCAACATGGTGAAACCCCGTCTGTACTGAAAATACAAAAATTAGCTGGGCGTGGTGGTGGGCACCTGTAATCCCAGCTACTTGGGAGGCTGAGGCAGGAGAATCACCTGAACCTGGGAGGTGGAGGTTGCAGTGAGACAAGATTGTGCCGCTGCACTCCAGCCTGGGTGACAAGAGTGAAACTCCATCTCAAAAAAAAAAACAAAAGATAGTTGTAGTGGGTGTGGTGGCTCACACCTGTAATCCCAGTACTTTGGGACACTCAGGTGGGAAGATCACTTGAGTCCAGGAATTTGAGACTAGCCTGGTCAACAGTGAGACCTCATCTCTACAAAACATAAAATTAGCTGAACATGGTGGTACATGCCTATAGTCCCAGCTACTCAGGAGGCTGAGATGGGAGGATCAGTTGGGCTGGGGAGGTGGTGGCTGCAGTGAGCCAAGATCACACCACTCCATTCCAGCCTGGCAACAAAGCAAGACCCTGTCTCCAAAAAAAAAAAAAAAAAAAAAAAGTTGCTTTCAAGTCTTTCTCCAGTAAATCTAACATAGGAGGCTGAGGCAGGAGAATCACTTGAACCCGGCAGGCAGCGGTTGCAGTGAGCTGAGATCATGCCATTGCACTCCAGCCAGGGCGACAGTGTGAGACTCCGTCTCAAAAAAAAAAAAAAATAAAAAAAAAAAGATTTATACCAAGTTTAATTCCAAGGAAACTTTACTTCTATATAACTCTATTCCCTCTCCCTCTTTTTGTGTTAATATTGCTATATGTTTCTTTTCTTTTTTTTTTTTTTTGTTTTTTTGGCTTTTGGGTTTTTTGTTGTTGTTGTTTTTTGTTTTGTTTTGTTTTTTTAGACAAAGTTTCACTATGTTACCCAGACTGGTCTTAAACTGCTGGGCTCAAGCAATCTGCCCACCTTGGCATCCCAAAGTTCTGGGATTACAGGCATGGGCCCACCATGCCAATATTGTTACACGTATTACATCTCTATGTGTTACAAATTCAACAATTCATTGTTGTAATTATTAAAGAAGAGAAGAAAGCACAAATATATACTTATAGAGTTTGTTATATTAACCTCCTTATTTACCATTTCTGGTTTTCTTCATTTCTTCCTGTGGATTCAAGTTACCATCTGTTGTCATTTTCCTTACTTCAACACAACTTTTTTCCCACCCTCTTTCTTTGTGCTATTATTACATTTCTATGTGTTATAACCTTGCGCAAAAGTTTAAAAAGTTAAAAATTATAACTCAACAATAACAATTATATAAATATTGTTTTGTGCAATTGCTTTATAAATCAGTTGAGATGAAGTATCCAATTATACCATCTTTTTTATTACTTACATAATTACTTTTACTGTTTGTTCACGTGGATTCAAATTACTGTCTAGTGTGTCCTGCTCTCAGCCTTAACAACTTCCCTTTAGTTTTAGTATTAATATTTCTTATAAGCAGGTCTGCTAGCAGTGAACTCTTTCAGATCTAGGAATGTATTTATTTTTTCTCCTTTTTAGAAATTTTTCTTTGCCTTCATTTTTGTTTTGTTTTTTTTAGGGTTTTTTTTTTTTTTTTTTTTTTTTTTTTGAGACAGAGTCTCACTCTGTCACCCAGTCTGGAGTGCGGTGGCACGATCTCAGCTCAATGCAACCTCCACTTCCTGGGTTCAAGTGATTCTCCTGCCTCAGCCTCCTGAGTAGCTGGGACTACAAGTGCATGCCACCACACCTGCTTTGCTTTTATTTCTGAAAGATAGTTTGCCAGTTATAAGATTCTTGGCTAATAGTTTCTACCCTCACTTTGAATAAGTCTACTCATTCTTCTGGCCTGCATTTTTTCTAATGGGAAGTCAGTTATTAAGCTTACAAAGTTCCACTGTGATGTGATAAGTCATTTTTCTCTTCTGCTTTCATGATTTTCCACTTATTTTTGGTTTTCAACATTTTTACTATGATGTTGGATATGGGTCTCTTTGTGTTCATCCAACTTGGAGTTTGTTGAACTTCTCCAATGTGTGGTTGAGTGTTTTTCATCACGTTTGGCAAGATTTTAGCCATTACTTTCTTGAGTATTTTTTCTGCCTCTTTCTCTCCTTTCCTTCTGGTGCTTCCATTTTATGTATGTTCATCAAGTTGATGATACTTTATATTTCTCTGAGTCTGTTCATTTTTCTTCATTCTCTTTTCTCCTTGTTCTTCATATTACATAATTTCTTTGATCTCTAAGTTTGCTAATTCTTTATTTTGCCAGCTCAGATCTCTTGTTGGATCCCTTGAGTGATTTTTTCATTTTGTTTGTTGTACTTTTTTTTTTTTTTTTTTTTTTGAGTTTCGCTCTGTCGCTGAGGCTGGAGTGTAATGGTGTGATCTTGGCTCATTGCAACCTCCGCCTCCTGGGTTCAAGTGATTCTCCTGCCTCAGCCTCCTGAGTAGCTGGAACTACAGGCACACACCACCATACCCGGCTAATTTTGTATTTTTAGTAGAGACAGGGTTTCACCATATTGGCCAGGCTGGTCTCAAACTCCTGGCTTCAAGTAATCCGCCTGCCTCAGCCTCCCAAAGTGCTGGGATTACAGACGTGAGCCACCATGCCCAGTCTGTTGTACTTTTAAACTCTAGGATTTCTAAATGGTTTTTTTGTTTTTGTTTTTTTGAGATGGAGTCTTGCTTTGTTGCCCAGGCTGGAGTGCAGTGGCACTATCTCAGCTCATTGCAGCCTCCACCTCCCAGGTTCAAGCGATTCTCTGCCTCAGCCTCCTGAGCAGCTGGGATTACAGGTGCCCACCATACCTGGCTAATTTTTGTATTTTTAGTAGAGATGGCGTTTCGCCATGTTGGCCAGGCTTGTCTTGAACTCCTGGCCTCAAATGATCCACCCACCTCAGCCTCTCAAAATGCTGGGATTACAGGCGTGAGCCACCGCACCTGGTCTAAATGGATCTTTTTTATAATTTCTGTCTTTATTTATATTCTCTATATGATAAGTCATGGTTTCCCTTAGGTCTTTGAACATATTTATAAAAGCTGCTTTATAGTCTTTGTAAAGTCCAACATTTTAGCGTTCTCAAAGGCAGTTTCCATTGCCTGCTTTTTTTCTTCTGAATGGGTCAATGGGTCACAATTTATTCTTTGTATACTTCATACTTTTTTGTCAAAAACTGGACATTTTAGATAATTGTGCAACTCTGGATACTACACTGCAGCTGTCCCCAACTTTTCTGGCACCAGGACAGGTTTCGTGGAAGACAGTTTTTCCACTGGGGTGGGAGACGGGGGGATGGTTTCGGTATGATTCAAGTGCATTGCATTTATTAGAGTCTCACAAGGAACATGCAACCTAGATCCCTCCCATGTGCAGTTCACAATAGGGTTCACACTCCTGTGGGAACCTAATGCCACTGCTGATCTGATGGGAGGCAGAGCTCAACTTTACTCACCCATGGCTCACCTCCTGCTGTGCAGCCGGGTTCCTAACAGGCTGCAGACCAGTACCAGTCCATGGTCCAGGGGTTGGGGACACCTGCTATACTGGTTTCTCCTTCCCACTAGAGGTTGATTGTGTTGTTTGCTTGGTAATTTGTTTCCTTAGTGACTTGCCTGCAGCAGCTCTCTGAAGTCTGTTTCTCTTGTAGTGTGCAGCCTCTGATGTCACTGCTCATATTTTCTTGTTTTTATCTTTTGGCCTAACTCCCTGTGTGTTGCCAGTGGGTCAGTAGAAGCCACTTATTAGTCAAAGGTTGTGCTTAAGACCTTTTAGCCAATTAAATTTTTTTATCCTTTACTGTTGGATATGTGTGTGTGATTTTGACATAGCCATCACAAATCAGGGAGTTTACATTTTGCCCCACATTCAGTGAGGAACTAGCAGCTTGGAAGTTCCCTCTCTGATTTCTTCTCGGAGAGAGTACATCCTTGGACATACACCAGGGATGTATGTGATTTTTTTAATTTTATTTTTATTTTTTATTTTTCATTTCTTGAGATGAAGTCTCACTCTGTCACTCAGGCTGGAGTGCAGTGGTACAATCTCAGCTGACTGAAACCTCCGCCTCCTGGGTTTTCCTGCCTAAGCCTCCAAGTAGCTGGGACTACAGGCGTGTACCACCACACCCGGCTATTATTATTATTTTTAAGCTTAGCTTTCTAGGAGTTGCCTCTGAGTTAGGGTAGCTTATTGTTCAGCCAGTGTTGGTTCAGTGGTTGTGCTTTAGCCCTTGGTGCCAGTGAAGCATCCACCCTTTTTTGATAGATCTATGTGTGGTCTGGGGAATACTCTCAAGTCAAGCCCCACGTCCTGCTCTGATTGCTCCTGAGTGGGTGCAGCCTGGTGCAAGCACACAGTCTTCCCAACCCCCAGTGTTGGTCATGATTCCAGAAGGACTTTTCTTGGCTTTCTGTTTCTCTGGTTCTGCCTGTTAAACTTCTGGAGGCTTTGCCATTTGGGTTTGTCATACCAGTGCCATAGAGCTAGCAGCACCTTGTAATTGCTCTCCACCAAGATCTCTATGGTTTTCAACACCCTTAGGCATAGAATTCTCCACACTGTGTTCCAAATAAAGTCAGTCCTCTCAGGCAGAGCTTTGGAGCTCTTCATTCTTCAGGCCTTCCTTCCCTCCTGGGCAGAACTTCTGCACAAGGGCCCACTTCTCCTACAGTGATACCCACCTGCTGTATGAGTAGGTGCTGGGGGAAAGAGGTGTTAGCCCCTGGTCTTCTTGACTTGCCTTTTCTGTTGCAGAATCTCTAATCTACGAACAAGCTGGAATGGGAGCAATTGAAGTCTAAATATTGTCAGCCTACCAGGCCTGGGATAGAGCTTCTGCTCTACAAATAGGGTAGGGAACCTCAGTCCTCTTAGCTTCACCAGCAAATAGAACTTCCACAATATAGAGTAGAAATCATCTGGGAGAGACTGGTGTCCTAAATAGAATTTGAAAAATACATAAATAATTACAGTGTCACAGAGGTCACATAAGAACAGAAATAAAGTCTATAAGCTCTAGCAATATGGAAGTCCTTGGTGACATTTTTTGAAGCTGGTTTAATGTGAAATGTGGTTGGAGTCAAAGCCAGATTATAAAGGACTAAGGATTAAATGAATTGAGGAATGAAGATTATGCTTTTAAACATTTTAGCCATTCAAGTTTCCAAACAACTACATGTTTCATTTTGCTTTTCTCTTTCAGTTCATTATGTCCTATTTCTTTTTTCTCATAGGTGAGACCTGGAACCCCTTCAAATTACAGTACCAGCTGAGAAATGTACGAGAGCGCATCGCAAAGAACCTAGTAGAGAAAGGTATTCTAACCACTGAGAAGCAGAATTTCCTGCTATTTGACATGACTACTCATCCAGTGACCAATACAACAGAGAAACAGCGACTAGTGAAAAAACTTCAAGATAGTGTACTAGAGCGGTGGGTAAATGACCCTCAGCGTATGGACAAGCGAACACTAGCACTCCTGGTGCTAGCCCACTCCTCTGATGTGCTAGAGAATGTCTTCTCCTCTCTGACAGATGACAAGTATGATGTGGCAATGAATCGAGCCAAGGACTTAGTAGAACTGGACCCTGAAGTGGAAGGGACAAAGCCTAGTGCCACAGAAATGATCTGGGCTGTGCTGGCAGCCTTCAATAAATCTTAAAGCCGGCAGGTGGATTTCTCCTTTTCCCCTGCTGGCTGGTGACTGTCAGAGACCCCATCACTGAGTTTTGTGTGATGAGATGTTTTCATCATTTTTGTTTCCTTTTCTTGAATCAGACTTGTGATTTGGGGAGAGCAACTTCAGGGCTTCTCCATAGACCTTGACCATTATAAGCAGACCTTATTTCTCCCTACACTTCCACTCCATAGGTAAATAAACTGGGTGAAGCCACACACACCCAATGAACATTTTCTCCCATTTGGTGGTTTAGTTTCACCCAGTGTGCTTTTGGATAAGCAGAAATATCTAAATGGGATTTTGAGTTCTCCAGCTATAGAATGTGAATGAGATAAAAAGTGAACTATCTATTATATTTTTCTGAGTTTGTTTTCTATCATAAATACATGTTTTCACAGCCTTTGTCTCTCAGACTCTGCTAAATAATGTAGCTTATTGAAATAACTGTCGCTGAATAAGGAGCAATGAGAAACAAAACTAATTTTTGGAGCAGATGGTCTCTGGAATTGCATATCCTGCTAGTGATTTTCTCATCTTTCCTTTTCTAACCTAATGAGAATGTCCCAGATTCAATTACCTGGATGTCAAAGTCCTAGAGCCAGAAATATATTCTCTCATCCCTCTTAGCATTCTCTTGCTCCCTCATTCACTAGGGCAAATGTCTAAATGAAGAAAAGTCTCTCTCAACACCTCGTTCATGCAATCAGCATTAGAATTTGTAAGGAAGGAAGGGGGGTGGCATGAAAATTTCCATTCTTGGGGTATATGACTGTCCTGTTTCCCCCAGGCCACTTTTTTTTTTTTTTTCTTTTGAGACAGGGTCTTGCTCTTGCCCAGGCAGGAGTACAGTAGTGCAATCACAGCTGACTGCAGCCTTGACCTCCAGGGCTCAAGGATCCTCCTGCCTCAGTCTCCCAACTAAGTGGGACTACAGGCACGTGCCACCATACTCAGCTTTTTTTTGTTTGTTTTAGACAAGAGTCTCGCTTTGTTGCCCAGGCTGGTCTTGAATTCCTGGGCTCAAGCAATTCTTCCACCTCAGCCTCCCAAAGTGCTGAGATTACTGGCTTGAGCCACTGCACCCACCCCTCCAGACTACTTTAAATGTCTCTGCTCTGACTGAATTGAAGGAATTGTAAGTTTCAGTTGCTGAATATATCAGTATATCTGAACTCCAGATCTTTTTATTTCCTATTTTTGGCTTCCTACATAAATTAATAAAGTCTGTCTATATTTAAGGTTTCTGGGAGTAGTTTTGTCTATATTTAATCCATAGATGTGCTCCTAGTCATCAGTCTTATTTCAGTAAAACCATCTTTCTGGCCAAATCTCTAACACGTTTTTTACTTCAGTAGTGAGGGCAATGAGAAGCTTTATTAAGAAAGATCCTATTTAAAGGGCTAATTTGGTATTGAAAGCATGCTGATATAAAGTCCAGTATTTGAGGATATAAAGAGGATGTGCACTGAGCTGTGCTGATGTTCAGCATTTATTATACTTTAATGGGATAGTGCTTCTTGACCATTATAGAACAACAAACTGTCAAAGGGTTAATACAGATGACCCAGACCTGACATTAAATCCTCTTGATTAGAAATAATTAAATGAATTATTTATTCATTTCTCTCCTCTGCCAAATCTACTTAGCCCCACAAAAATGCCCCAGCTCAGTTAACATTTTTTTGTTTTTCACTTTAGGTATCTCTTAGGCAAATAGAGATATAAATTGTAATAGGAAACAGTCTCTAAATGTGAGGCTGAATACAGCTTCAGTCTGGCTCTCTAATAGGACAAAAGCCAGTCCATGTGTTGTCTCTAACTGATTTAGCTTTTTCTTTTCTTTGAACAATTCGGCATGAATTGAAACCAGGTTTTCCTGTGGAAAGTTATAGCTTGATTGGGAGATAGAAGTTGAATTGAGTTCTTTCTTGCAACTCTTAGTGTTTATTTTTATATCTCAGTAAGACGAGGATACCTTCAGTTTGAATCTGCATAATGTTCACTGCCAAACTCCTTCTCATTTAATGCTTATGGCCTTCACATTTCTGTATAATAAAGATCAATTATCAGCTCTCTGGTCTCTCTGTGCACAATTTTATAATTTAAATTGTTTTAATTGGAACTAAGGACTTTCTACACAAGGCTATTAATGCCTCCCCCTTTACACTAGCATACCAGCTTGTTTTATCCTATGTAGAAAATGAGGGATACAAAAACAATTGTAACATACATAGGCTGAGGGGCAGGACATGTCAAAAGCTGACCACATGAACACCAGCTAATACTATAAAGCCTAAATAGTGTCTCCATCTCAATCAAAATAAATTAGCCAATTATACCATTATTACCATGAAGAGAATGAATATGATCTGTTCTACTAATATCTACTTGCAAATGACACCTGAATTTAGGAGTTGAAAATCTTAAGTTCCAAATGTAGGTGACATGCCTGACTATAACAGAGTTAACATGTAAAAATGTAAGTGTGCTTATAATTGGCTTATTGTTCTCCCTTTCTTTATCTATAGCACAAGGGACAATAATACATTTGTTTATTAGGATTGTTTATACTTTTCTAATATTTTTATTTAAGACAAAGTACTATTTCCATAAGTCATGCTTTATACAATGTTTCTCAAAGTATATTGCAAAGACCATTGCACCAAAATGTGTGTGTGAGATAGGAGGGTAGCTTGCTAAAATGCAGATCCTAGTAAATCAGTCTCTGGAGTTAGGAGGAAGCTGCATTTTAAAGAAATTCTCAGCCAGGCGCGATGGCTCATGCCTGTAATCCCAGCACTTTGGGAGGCCGAGGCGGGCGGATCATCTGAGGTCAGGAGTTCAAGACCAGCCTGGCCAACATGGTGAAACCCCATCTCTACTAAAAATACAAAATTAGCTGGCCATAGTGGCGCACTCCTGTAATCCCAGCTACTCAGGAGGCTGAGGCAGGAGAATTGCTTGAATCTGGGAGGCGGAGGTTGCAGTGAGCCAAGATTGCGCCTCTACACTCCAGCCTGGGCGATAGAGCGAGACTCCGTCTCAAAAAAAAAGAAACTCTAAAAGCTTGCATGTTAAAATTGGAGAACGCCACCCTATATCTTATTGTCTATAATTCATTCATCAAAAAAATATTGAGTACTTACAAATTGATGGGCACTTGCTAGGCACTGACAATAAAACATTGCATAGGGCACCATTCTAGCTCCCAAGAATGCACATTTATGTGGGCAAATAATATAATTTGTGACAAATGCTCAAATAGAAGTATAAACATAATATTTGGAAGCACAAATAAATAGTATTCTCCCTGGGAATGTTAGGGAAGACTTTGAGGTGTTGTATTTATTATGGTTATCATATATTGAGCACTTTTGTTGTGAGGTAGGTACTATGCTAACTGCTTTGTATCTTGTCTCATTTATTACAACACTAAAAAAAAAAAAAAACTCTACAGTGTTCTTTTAAAGAAAACTCCGGTGGCTGGGTGTGGTGGCTCATGCCTGTATTCCCAGCACTTTGGGAGGCCAAGGCGGCTGGATCACCTGAGGTCAAGAGTTCGAGACCAGCCTGGCCAACATGGTGAAATCCCATCTCTATTAAAAATACAAAAATTAGCCCGGCATGGTGGCACATGCCTGTAGTCCCAGCTACTCGGGAGGCTGAAGCAGGAGAATCGCTGGAACCCGGGAGGTGGAGGCTGTAGTGAGTCAAGATCGTGTCACTGTACTCCAGCCTGGGTGACAGAGCAAGACTGTGTCTCAAAAAAAAAAAAAAGAAAACTCAGGTAATGAGGCTTGCCTGAGGACCTAGTGCAGAGCTTCAGTTCAAACACCTACTTTTTAATCACTACCCTTTCTTGCCTTCATTTGAACTAAATCTCAAAGGATCGGCTGGGCCACGGTGGCTTATGCCTGTAGTCCCAGCACTTTAGGAGGCCAAGGTGGGAGGATCACTGGAGTCCAGGAATTCAAGACCAGCCTGGGCCATAGCAAGACCTTGTCTCTATTTTTAAAAAAATGTTTAAAAAGTCTCAAAGGATCTTTTCAGGCTAAGAGGGAAGAGCCAAGGCTACCCTATGCAGAGGAAATAATATGTACAAGATAATTGGTGATGTGCTAGAATTTCATGAATGCATGTCGTTTTCACATATTTCCAGAAAAAAAAAATTTTTTTTTTGAGATGGAGTTTCACTCTTGTTGCCCAGGCTGGATCTCAGCTCACTGCAACCTCCGCCTCCTAGGTTCAAGTGATTCTCCTGCCTCAGCCTCTTTAGTAGCTGGGATTACAGGCACCCACCACCACGCCTGGCTAATTTCTTATATTTTTAGTAGAGATGGGGTTTCACCATGTTGGCCAGACTAGTCTCAAACTCCTGACCTCAGGTGATCCACCCGCCTCAGCCTCCCAAAGTGCTGGGATTACAGGCATGAGCCACTGCGCTCAGCCCAGAAAATAAGAGAATATATTCAAGTTGTAAACTAAACAAAGGATTTTGAAACTGGCAGCTCTTTTTTTAGAGATGGGGTCTCACTTTGTTGCCAAGGCTGGAGTGCAGTGGCTATTCACAGGCGCTATCATAGCCCAATAATGCCTCAAACTCCTGGCCTCAAGGGATCCTCCCGCCTCAGCCTCTCCAGTAGTTGGGATTACAGGCACATGCACCAGGACAAGCTAAATTGTTTTTGTTGTTTGTTTACCTTTCCTTATTCCTTTCCCATTGCTTTTCTTTATATAGAACTGAGTTTCCAGCCAGGCACAGTGGCTCACACCTGTAATCCTAGCACTTTGGGAGCCCGAACAGGCAGATTGCCTAAGGTCAGGGGTTCGAGACCAGCCTGGCCAACCTGGCGAAACACCATCTCTACTAAAAATACAAAAATTAGATGGGTGTGGTGGCGGTCACCTATAATCCCAGCTACTGGGGAGGCTGAGGCAGGAAAATGGCTTGAACCTGGGGGGCAGAGGTTGCAGTGAGCCGAGATTGTGCCACTTAATTCCAGCCTGGGTGAAAGAACAAAACTAAAAAAAAAAAAAGAAGAACTGAGTTTCCTACTTATCATTTTCCCTCTCTCAATAACATTTCTTACAGAGCAAGTCAGCTGGATGTGAATTCCCTCAGTTTTTGTCTAAGAAAGTCTTTATTTATCCTTCATTTTGGAAGGATAATTTAACTGGAAATAGAATTCTATGTTGGGCTGGGTACAATAGCTCACCTGTAATCCCAGCACTTTGGGAGGCCGAGGCAGGAGGATCACTTGAGGCCAGGAGTTTATGACCAGCCTGGGCAACATAGCCAGAGCCCCAGTTCTACAACAACAACAACAGAAATAATTCTAGGTTGGTGGGTTGTTTTTGTCTTTCAACACTTTATATATTCCACTGTCTTACATGTATGCATGCATGCTTTCTGACATTAAATTACAACAAAACTGAAATTTAATTTAGATTCTAACAGATAAAATTTGTTCTTCCTTTTTGCCACACAGCTAAAATGCCCATAAGTGTATATTCATATGGTTTCTTAAAATGTGTTTTACTCTCCCTAAAGAATAAAAATAATCACTTTAATGCTGAAATGTTAGGTAACACTGCTTTTTTGATATTTTTCTATTATCTGTTACATGTGTGTATGTACTCTTTGTTTCTGTGTCTGCAATTATTCTCAAAGCCTTGGTCTGTCTTATTTTTCTGCTGAGTTCCAAGTTGTCTAGGTAATTTGGAAAGAGACAAACCAAACATGCTTTTTTTGTTGTTTTGTAGAGGCAGGGGGGTCTCCCTGTGTTGCCCAGCCTGGTCTCAAACTCCTGGGCTCAAGGGATCCTCCTGTCTCAGCCTCCCAAAGTGCTAGGATTATAGGCATGAGCCACCGTGCTCAGCTGAAAAGTGACTTTTTATTGATAATTGAGGGAGCCATCTCTCCCAGAAAGCAGTAAAATTTTATCGAATGCAAGTCAAAGCGAGAGTCACTTCCTGGCAGAAATCTCCGTTTTCTAGCAGCCCAGCTCACTTACCGTGTCAGTTTTCCTTTGCATTCCAAATTGTAAAAAAGTAAATTGAACCAGAGGGGAAAAACTAAATATTCTCTAAGAGCTCTTTTGTGTAGAATTTTTTCCCAGAATATAAATAATCTGGCTACCGCTTTGTTTTTCTTAATCTAATTCAACCTCCCAAAGTATGATAGTAGATTTAACTGAATTTCCTTCAGAAGCTTACCTGGGAATCTAGGGCCTTCTACTCCTTCAGAAGGGCTTCTTGACTGAATCCATGTTTCTGCCACAAGAAAAAAATCAGTCCAATAAATGTACATCATTTTCCTGATTTAATGAGAAAAATTTTAATCCTAAGTTTTTCTTGTATTTCAGAGATACTGAAATGTTTCCTCCTTATCTGAAAGTGAGACTTCTTCAAAGATTTATGGATATTTAAACCCATAAAATACCTCAAAATATTTGTAGGTTAGCCTTAATAATAATAATAATAATTCTTTTCCCCCTCGTTGTATCACCTCACTTTCATGCTCGTGCGTGTGAAGAGACCACCAAACAGGCTTTGTGTGAGCAACATGGCTGTTTATTTCACCTGGGTGCAGGCGGGCTGAGTCCAAAAAGAGAGTCAGCGAAGGAAGATAAGGGTGCGGCTGTTTTATAGGATTTGGGTAGATAAAGGAAAATTACAGTCAAAGGGGTGTTGTTCTCTGGCGGACAGAGTGGGGGTCACAGGGTGCTCAGTAGGGGAGCTTTTTGAGACAGGATGAGCCAGGAAAAGGAATTTCACAAGACAATGTCATCAGTTAAGGCAGGAACAGGCCATTTTCACTTCTTTTGTGGTGGAATGTCATCAGTTAAGGCAGGAACCGGCCATCTGGATGTGTATGTGCAGGTCACAGGGGATATGATGGCTTAGCTTGGGCTCAGAGGCCTGACACACCTTTTCTTGAACCTCCAAGTAGAGGCCAAAAAAGTCTTGAATAAGTTAGATTAAACTGATTTATATTAATCCAAAGTAGATATTTTTTCTTTTGGGAAGTAGGGAAGAAATGGGTCGAATTGAGGAGGGGAAGGCTGGAGAAGGGTGAAGAAAACAGAATAGCCAAATGGATTCTCAGGAACATTATGAATATTTAAAAGGGTGAACATTCAGTCTGAGAAAGCTGATTGAAGAAAATACTGAACAAATTTTCTTTTTGTCTTTGAGACAGAGTCTCTCTCTGTCACCCAGGCTGGAGTGCAGTGACACCATCTTGGCTCACTGCAACATCCACCTCCCGGGTTCCAGTCATTCTCCTGCCATGTTGGCCAGGCTGGAGGCTTCAAGTGATCCACCCGCCTGGGCCTCCCAAAATACTGGGATTACAGGCGTGAGCCACACCGTCTGGCCAAAAAATACTCTTTAAATGCTCAAAAAGTAATAAAAGACTTTTTTTTTTTTTTTTTTTAAGATGGAGTCTCACTCAGTCGCCCAGGCTGGAGGGCAATGGCATGATCTCGACTCTGCAACCTCCGCCTCCCAGGTTCAAGTGATTCTCCTGCCTCAGCCTCCTGAGTAGCTGGGATTACAGGCCTGCCCCACCACACCCAGCTAATTTTTTTTTTTTCCCTGAGACGGAATTTTGCTCTTGTTGCCCAGGCAGGAGTGCAATGGCGTGATCTCGGGTCACCGCAACCTCCGCCTCCCGGGTTCAAGCAATTCTCCTGCCTCAGCCTCCCAAGTAGCTGGTTTCATGTGCGTCCGTGTGAAGAGGCCACCAAACAGGCTTTGTGTGAGCAACATGGGTATTTATTTCACCTGGGTGCCGAAAAGAGAGTCAGCGAAGGGAGATGGATTATCATTAATTCTTATAGGTTTTGGGATAGGCGGTGAAGTTGAGAGCAATGTTTTGCGGGCAGGGGTGGATCTCACAAAGTACATTCTCAAGGGTGGGGAGAATTACAAAGAACTTTCTTAAGGGTGGGGGAGATTACAAAGTACATTGATCAGTTAGGGTGGGACAGGAACAAATCAATGGTGGAATGTCATCAGTTAAGGCTATTTTTACTTCTTTTGTGGATCTTCAGTTACTTCAGGCCATCTGGGTGTATACGTGCAAGTCACAGGGGATGCGATGGCTTGGTTTGGGCTCAGAGGCCTGACAGCTGGGATTACAGGCATATGCCACCATGCCTGGCTAATTTTTTTTGTATTTTTAGTAGAGACGGGGTTTCTCCATGTTGGTAAGGCTGGTCTTGAACTCCTGACCTCAGGTGATCCGCCCACATCAGCCTCCCAAAGTGCTGGGATTACAGGCATGAGCCACTGCGCCCAGCCTAATTTTTTTTGTTTTTTGTTTGTTTGTTTTGTTTTTTGTTTTTTGTTTTTGAGACGGAGTCTCACTCTGTCACCCAGGCTGGAGTGCAGTGGCGCCATCTCAGCTCACTGCAAGCTCCGCCTCCTGGGTTCACGCCATTCTCCTGCCTCAGCCTCCCGAGTAGCTGGGACTACAGGCGCCCGCCACCATGCCCAGCTAATTTTTTGTATTTTTAGTAGAGATGGGATTTCACCATGTTACCCAGAATGGTCTCGATTACTAATTTTGTAATTTTAGGAGAGTTGAGGTTTCACCATGTTCGCCAGGCTGGCTTGATCCCAACCCGCCTCGGCCTCCCAAAGTGCTGGAATTACAGGCGTCAGCCACTGCACCCGGCCAAGTAATACTATTTTAAATGAGGTGGCTAGCTGGGAATGGTGGCTCACTCCCGTAATCCAAGCACTTTGGGAGGCCGAGGTGGGAGGACTGCTTGAGGCCAAGAGTTTAAGACCAGCCTGGGCAACATAGTGAGACTCTGTGTCTATTTTTAAAAAATGAATAGTGAACATATATAGCCAGCACCCAAATCAAGAAACAGATCGTTACCAGCACCCTAGAATCCCCCCTCATACCTTTTCCCAGTTGCTATTTTCTCCCTTAAAGGTAACCACAATCTTGACTTGAAATACCATAGATTGGTTTTGCTTTTGAGGTTTATACAAATGAAATTATGAAATATGTATGTTTTGTGACCATGAATTAACTATTTTACTTTTTTTGAAGATTTGATTGACCTAGTTTGGGGCAACTATAAATAGAACTACTATGAATATGTGTTTTGGTATAACATAAGAATGCATTTCTTTTTTAATTTTTTTTTTTTTTTGAGACGGAGTTTTGCTCTTATTGCCCAGGCTGGAGTGCCATGGCACGATCTCAGCTCACCACAACCTCCGCCTCCCAGGTTCCAGTGATTCTCCTGCCTCAGCCTCCCGGGTAGCTGGGATTAGAGGCATGCGCCACCACGCCCGGCTAATTTTGTATTTTTTAGTAGAGACAGGGTTTCTCCGTGTTGGTCGGGCTGGTCTCGAACTCCCGACCCCAGGTGATCCGCCCGCCTTGGCCTCCCAAAGTGCTGGGATTACAGATGTGAGCCACCATGCCCGGGCTCTTTTTTAATTTTTGTGGATACATAGTGGGTGTATATATTTATGGGTTACATGAGATGTTTGATATAGGCATGCAATGTGTAATAATTACATCAGAGTAAATACAGTATTCATCACCTCAAACATCTATCCTTTATGTTTCCAACAATCCAATTATACTCTTAGTTTGCTTGTTTGTTTGAGATGGAGTTTCACTCTTGTTGCTCAGGCTGGAGTGCAATGACGCAACCTTGGCTTACTGCAACCTCTGCCTCCCAGGTTCAAGCGATTCTCCACACTCAGCATCCCGAGTAGCTAGGATTACAGGCACCTGCCACCATGCCTGGCTAGTTTTTGTATTTTTAATAGAGACAGGGTTTCACCGTGTTTGTCAGGCTGGTCTCGAACTCCTGACCTTAGGCAATCCACCCATCTCGGCCTCCCAAAGTGTTGGGATTACAGGCATGAGCCACCGCACCTGGCCTCTCTTTTAGTTATTTTTTAATGAACAATTATTTTTTACTATAGTCACCCTGTTGTGATAGCAAATACTAGATCTTACTTTTCTTTCTATATTTTGTGTACCCATTAACCATCCCCTCTTTACCCGCATCGCAAAGAATGCATTTCAATCGGGTATATATACCTAGGAGAGGGATTGCAAGGTCATGGGTTTTGGATTATGTACAGCTTTAGTATATATTGCCACCAGCTTTCCAAAGTATGTTGTACCAATTTATACCCCAACCAGCCATACTGCAGGTCTTTGGAACTGTCAAGTCATATATTTATGAGCATATGATTGTGCTGAGCAGAAGTCTGGATAAATAAAAGCCACTGTTAATTCCTGTGACCTTGCTTTAATTTTATAGAAACTGAGCTGCATTGGTTGGTTTCAGGGGATCTATGTACATCCTAAAATACGTATAATATTGCATGTATGTATTTGTGCTTAAGCACATTTGGGGGACAGAAGAACCATAGTTTATACCAGATTCTCAAAGATCAGATTTGGAAAAACTGGTGGCAATATATACTAAAGTAAACATAATGCAATACTTTACGCACACCACCCCCACCCCAACAAAAAAAAAGTTAAAAAGCTTAATAATGACTGCTTTATGGGAGTCCAACAATCAAGAAGCTATTATTACTCAGGAATACTTTGCTTGTTATTAGCAAATACTGTTCCAGGTTGGTGGTGGTCTGTTGACACAGACACCCAGTCCAAACAGCCAGGTTTCCTGTGGTTAACAGAGAAGGATTAGAACTCTTGACTACTTAATTTTCCTTTTATTTCTAGTAGGTTAAAATCTTTTATTAAAATAGCTTCTGGTGTGGGGGGGAATAGCTTCATAATGCTTTTTATAATTATATATTTTCAATAACTATATTTTTAGAATAGATTCATTGCGATTATAATTCACATACCATACAGTATACCCATTTAAAGTGAATAGTGGTCAGGTGCAGTGGCTCACGCCTGTAATCCCAGCACTTTGGGAGGCCGAGGCGGGTGAATCGCCTAAGGTCAGGAGTTCAAGACCAGCCTGGCCCATATGGTGATACCCCATCTCTACTAAAAATACAAAAAGTAGCCGGACGTGGTGGCGGGCGCCTGTAATCCCAGCTACTCCGGAGGCTGAGGCAGGAGAATGGCTTGAACCTGGGAGGCAGAGGTTGCAGTGAGCTGAGATCGTGCCACTGCACTCCACCCGCCTCAGCCTCCTGAAGTGCTGGGATTACAGGCTTAAGGTACTGCGCCTGACCATTTATTTTTATTAACAAATAATATTCCAATGTATGGATATACCATAGTTTATCCATCAATTGATGGACCTGGTAACTATTTTAAATTATGTCTGTATAGAATATAATGTGTCCATAGCAAAATCTATATTTTCCCTCCTAAACCTTCTACTTAAGGCCTCCCCGTCTCAGTAAACAATGTTATCATTCACCTAGTTGCTCAGACCCAAAACTTTGAAATCATCCTTGAGTCTGCAAATGCTGTTGGTGGTACCTTTAAAATAGATCCCACATCTAGCCATTTTCAACCATCTCCATAGCTACTACACCCTAGTCCAAGTCACTGTCATCTCTTACCTGAACTATTGTAAAAGCCTAATTGGTTTCCTGCTACTACTTCCACTCTGGGTCCCCATGGAGCAGCGGAAGGATCAGTTTAATACCTAAATGATTTTGTGTCAGTCCCCTCCTCAACACCATCTGATGGGTGCCCATTACACAAAAAATAAAATCCAAGTTCTTACCATGACCTAAGAAGCCAAAAACAATCTCATCCCTGCCTGCATCTCTTCTCTTATTCCGGCTCTTAGCTACATTGACCTTCTTGCTGTTTCTCAAATACACCAAAAATATGCTTTTGCTTTAGGAGCTTTGGATTTGCTCTTCCCTCTGCCTGAACCAGTTTCCCTCCAGATAACTGTTGGCTCACTCCCCAACCAGATTTCTGCTCAGATACCTCAGGTCTTCCCCCAATCACCCGATCTATGGCCCAAAGTGGTGGCTCACACCTGTAATCCCAGCACTTTGGGAGGCAGATGGATCACTTAACGTCAGGAGTTCAAGACCAGCCTGGCCAACATGGTGAAACCCCGTCTCTACTAAAAATACAAAAATTACTATATATATACCTCTTCCCGCCCAGTCACAAATAGAATAATCTGGGCCCCAGACATTGTGCTAGTTTTTGTGAAACCTCACTCATATTTTACAGGCTGAAAGTTCCACCCTTCCTAATGCTCAGTAATTTAGCTATATCAAGGATAAATGGGCTGGGCACGGTGACTCATGCCTGTAATCTCAGAACTTTGGGAGGCCCAGATGGGTGGATCACCTGAGGTCAGGAGTTCAAGACCAACCTGGCCAACAGGGTGAAACCCCGCCTCTACTAAAAACACAAAAATTAGCCAGACATGGTGGCGCGCACCTGCAATCCCAGCTACTCAGGAGGCTGAGTGAAGGGGTGGCCTGCCCCTCCACACTTGTGGGCATTTCTTGTCAGGTGGAATGAGAGACTTAAGAAAAGAAGGAGACACAGAGACAAAGTATAGAGAAAGAAAAGTGGGCTTAGGGAAGTGGCGCTCAGCATACAGTGGACCCGCACCGGCACCAGTCTCTGAGTTCCCTCAGTATTTATTGATCATTATTGGGCGTTTCTCGGAGAGGGGGATGTGGCAGGACAATAGGGTAATAGTGGAGAGAAGGTCAGCAGGAAAACATGTGAACAAACGTCTCCGCATCATAAACAAGGTAAAGAAAAAAGTGCTGTGCTTTTGATGTGCATACACATAAACATCTCAATGCCTTAAAGAGCAGTATTGCTGCCAGCATGTCCCACATCCAGCCCTAAGGCGGTTTTCCCCATCTCAGTAGATGGAACATACAATCGGGTTTTACACCGAGACATCCCATTGCCCAGGGACGAGCAGGAGACAGATGCCTTCCTCTTATCTCAACTGCAAAGAGGCCTTCCTTCCTCTTTTACTAATCCTCCTCAGCACAGACCCTTTACGGGTGTTGGGCTGGGGGACGGTCAGGTCTTTCCCGGCCAGCATATTTCAGACTATCACATGGGGAGAAACCTTGGACAATACCTGGCTTTCCTAGGCAGAGGTCCCTGCGGCCTTCCGCAGCGTATTGTCTCTGGGTACTTGAGATTAGGGAGTGATGATGACTCTTAACAAGCATGCTGCCTTCAAGCATTTGTTTAACAAAGCACATCCTGCACAGCCCTTAATCCATTTAACCCTGAGTTGACACAGCACGTGTTTCAGGGAGCACAGGGTTGGGGGTAGGGTTACAGATTAACAGCATCTCAAGGCAGAATAATTTTTCTTAGTACAGAACAAAATGGAGTCTCTTATGTCTACTTCTTTCTACACAGACACAGTAACAGTCTGATCTCTCTTTTCCCCACATTTCCCCATTTCCTTTTCGACAAACCACCATCATCATCATGGCTTGTTCTCGATGGTCGCTGTCTCTTCGGAGCTGCTGGGTACACCTGCAGACTAACAACAGATAAAACAGGCACACAAGGATTAATACGAAATTTATAATAGTAGTACTTCCGATGGTCTTAACCCAAGTGACAGGGTTAAGATTTGCGAGGCCATCAGTCACTCCTGCGATTGCCTCAGTTTCTGGTACCAAATTTAAATGGGCTTTTGATGCTTCGAAAATTGGTTCTCTATCTTAAGAGGAGACTCAGACTTAAATAGTAAGAGAATATTAACCCCAGAGGCAATAAAAGAAATTAAATTAGTGGAACAAAAAATTCAGTCAGTGCAAATAAATAGAATAGATCCCTTAGCCCCACTCCAACTTTTGGTTTTTGCTACTGCACATTCTCCAACAGGCATCACTGTTCAAAATACTGATCTTGTGGAGTGGTCATTCCTTCCTCACAGTACAATTAAGACTTTTACATTGTACTTGGATCAAATAGCTACATTAATTGGTCAGGCAAGATTACAAATAATAAAATTGTGTGTAAATGACCCAGACAAAATAGTTGTCCCTTGAACCAAGGAACAAGTTAGACAAGCCTTTATCAATTCTGGTGCATGGCAGATTGGTCTTGCTAATTTTGTGGGAATTATTGATCATCATTACCCAAAAACAAAAATCTTCCAGTTTTTAAAATTAACTACTTGGATTCTACCTAAAATTACCAGACGTGAACCTTTAGAAAATGCTCTGACAGTGTTTACTGATGGTTCCAGCAATGGAAAAGCGGCTTACACAGGGCCAAAAGAGCAAGTAATCAAAACTCAATATCAATTGGCTCGAAGGGCAGAGTTGGTTGCAGTCATTACAGTGTTACAAGATTTTGATCAACCTATCAATATTGTATCAGATTCTGCATATGTAGTACAGGCTACAAGGGATGTAAAGACAGCTCTAATTAAATATAGCATGGATGATCAGTTAAACCAGCTATTCAATTTATTACAACAAACTGTAAGAAAAAGAAATTTCCCATTTTATATTACTCATATTCGAGCACACACTAATTTACCAGGGCCTTTGACTAAAGCAAATGAACCAGCTGACTTACTGGTATCATCTGCATTCATAAAAGCACAAAAATTTCATGCTTTGACTCATGTAAATGCAGCAGGATTAAAAAACAAATTTGATGTCACATGGAAACAGGCAAAAGATATTGTACGACATTGCACCCAGTGTCAAGTCCTACACCTGCCCACTCAAGAGGCAGGAGTTAATCCCAGGGGTCTGTGTCCTAATGCATTACGGCAAATGGATGTCACGCATGTACCTTCATTTGGAAGATTATTATATGTTCATGTAACAGTTGATACTTATTCACATTTCATATGGGCAACCTGCCAGACAGGAGAAAGTACTTCCCATGTTAAAAAACATTTATTACCTTGTTTTGCTGTAATGAGAGTTCCAGAAAAAATTAAAACTGACAATGGGGCAGGATACTGTAGTAAAGCTTTCCAAAAATTCTTAAGTCAGTGGAAAATTTCACATACAACAGGAATTCCTTATAATTCCCAAGGACAGGCCATAGTTGAAAGAACTAATAGAACACTCAAAACTCAATTAGTTAAATAAAAAGAAGGGGGAGACAGTAAGGAATGTACCACGCCTCAGATGCAACTTAATCTAGCACTTTATATTTTTTAAACATTTATAGAAATCAGACTACTACTTCTGCAGAACAACATCTTACTGGTAAAAAGAACAGCCCACATGAAGGAAAACTGATTTGGTAGAAAGATAATAAAAATAAGACATGGGAAATAGGGAAGGTGGTAACATGGGGGAGAGGTTTTGCTTGTGTTTCACCAGGAGAAAATCAGCTTCCTGTTTGGATACCCACTAGACATTTGAAGTTCTACAATGAACCCATCGGAGATGCAAAGAAAAGCACCTCCACGGAGACAGAAACACCGCAATCGTGCGCCATCGACTCACAAGATGAACAAAATGGAGTCTCTTATATCTACTTCTTTCTACACAGACACAGTAACAGTCTGATCTCTCTTTCTTTTCCCCACAGCTGAGGCAGGAGAATCACTTGAACCTGGGAGGGGGAGGTTGCAGTGAGCCGAGATATCACATCATTGCACTCCAGCCTGGGCAACAAGAATTAAACTCAGTCTCAAAAAAAAGGACAAATGTATAATTTAAATCAATCGTTCCTTTAGCAATCATAGTTTTTACACATTATTCTTAAGCAGAGCTTGGAATTAGAAATAGCTTGATCAGAAAGTATTTCCCAAAAGAATTATTCATCTTTTAGATGAATCCCAAAGTGCTGGGGTTACAGGCGTGAGCCACCACATCCAGCCTCATTCGCCTTTTCTAAAAACATGCTTGAGTCTTGCCTATTCCCCAAAAGAAAATCTGCTGCTACAGCTCTGCCCTTTCCTTGCTTTACTGTTAAATATTGCTACCACTGTTCAATATTGGTACCACCTCCTCGCTCCTTAACGTCTTGCGATTGACCTCTATCACCTCCATCTTTAATTTCTGTATCACATTTAACATTGACAACCTGCCCTCCCTTTCTTCATTTGCTTTCCATGGCTCTTCTCTCTTCTAATTCTCTCCCTACCACTCTGATCATTTGTATGTCTTTTGCCAACTTTTCCCCACGTTTCTGTCTTGGGAGTTTTTTTTTTTTTTTTTTTTTTAAGAGACGGGTTCACTCTGTTGCCTAGGCTGGAGTGCAATGGCATGATCATAGCTCACTGTAACCTCAAACTCCTGGCTTCAGGCGATCCTCTCACCTTGACCATTCAAAGTGTTGGGATTACAGGTGTAAGCCACCGCACCTGACTGGAACCTCTTTTTTTCCTACATTCTCCTTTGTGATCCCATCAACTTCCACAACTTTACTTACATTTATGTGAAAAAGTCCAAAATTTGTACATCTTCAGCGTCTACTTTTCTCCCAAACTCCCACACTTACATTTCCTAGAACCCTTAAATTTCAGATATGGAGATCTTAGAGGTCATTTATCCTAAGTCTTCATTGCCTGGATGTCTCCACCAAATGGTTCATTCGCTTTTAATAAAGTCCATGTTTTCAGGCCGGGCACGGTGGTTCACGCCCGTAATCCCAGCATTTGGGAGGCCGAGGCAGGCAGGTCACCTGAGTTCAGGAGTTTGAGACCAGCCTGGCCAACATGGCGAAACCCTGTCTCTACTAAAAATACAAAAATCAGCCGGGCATGGTGGCGCACACCTGTAGTCGGGAGGCTGAGGCAGGAGAATCACTTTAACCCGCGAGGCAGAGGTTGTAGGGAACTGAGATTGTGCTACTGCACTACAGCCTGGGTGACAGAGCGAGACTCCGTCTCAAAAAAAAAAAAAAAAAAAAAAAAAAGTCCATGTTTTCAAAACTGAATGCCTTATTTTCTCTCTGCTTTTCAGCTCCATTCCCAAATTGACTCCTCTTCTTGAATTTATTGTTTCTATAAATAATCACCTTGAGGCACACAGTCTTCTCATTCTCTATTCAGTCAGCTGCTAGTCTAGTGGATTCCATTGTCACAGACTCTCTTGGTTAGGTTCACTATTTTCTATTCTTAACTACTACGTTTCTAGGTTAAATCCTAATTATCTCCCACCTAACGTTTGCAGAGGACTCGGCTAGACTGTTCATCTCTGGTAGTTTTCTGCTTGGAATTCTGAGTCTTTTTATTCATTACCACCAAATTATCTCCATAAAGAGCACTTCTTATCTGCCACTCTTTTTTTTTTTTTTTTTTTGAGACGGACTCTCACTGTCACCCAGGCTGGAGTTCAGTGGCGAGATGCGATCTCGGTTCACTGCAACCTCCGCCTCCCAGGTAAAAGCGATTCTCCTGCCTCAGGCTCCTGAGTAGCTGGGACTACAGGTGCACGCCACCACGCCTGGCTAATTTTTGTATTTTTAGTAGAGACGGGGTTTCTCCATGTTGACCAGGATGGTTTCTATCGCCTGACATCATGATCCACCCTCATCGGCCTCCCAAGGTGCTGGGATTACATGCGTGGGCCACCGTGCCCAGCCTTGTTTTGTATTTCTAGTAGAGACAGGGTTTCACCATGTTGGCCAGGCTGGTTTCGAACTCCTGACCTCAAGTGATTCGCCCGCCTACGCCTCCCAGAGTGCTGGCATTACAGGCGTGAGTCACCGCGCCCAGCCAGGCCTGTAAGCTTTCTAAGGGCAGAGACTGCCTTACTATACACGTACCCCCCCCAACTAACACAGTACCATCCACATACAGACAGACGCCCAGGAAATGTTAAACTGTAATTCTGGATAGGTTAACTAGTATTAACCGTATTTACCAAATGTTTACCACATACTTACACTGTCCTCCTTGTTTCAAGGAGCGTAGTCCCCAAGGGATCACCCTGATGGAATATAAAAACTACACATAAGAGTGAAACTACGGAACGTAAGCCATTAGTGTTTTGCAAGACAGCTCGGGTTGAGACTCAGTCTCTCTCTTCCACAGGCCAAGTGACACATCGTAATACCATTGGTACCGTTTTATTTTATTTTTCGCGACAAAGTCTCGTCCTGTCACCCAGGCTGGAGTGCAGTGGCGCGATTTCGGCTCACTGCAACCTCCGCCTGCAGGGTTCAAGCGATTCTCCTGCCTCAGCCTCCCAAGTAATTGGGATTACAAACGCCCGCCACCACGCCCGGCTAATATTTGTATTTTTAGTAGAGACGGGGTTTCACCATGTTGGTCAGGCTGGTCTCGAACTCCTAACCTCAGGTGATCCGCCCACCTCGGCCTCCCAAAGTGCTAGGATTACAGGCGTGAGGCACCGCGCCCGGCCTGTTAGTACTACTTTAAAATCGAATCTGACCTCCAAATCATTTTCTGGAGCTCGATCATTTTCTGCTAACACCGCAAAGCTTAATCCTCTCCACCTGAGAATAAAAGGTTCCATCCTTCCGCTCTCCAGTTTGACGCCCTGCTAAGTCTCTCGGACGCGGTGGGCTGGAGTGAAGGAAGCCGGAGCCCACCAAAGCTGCAAAAGTACCACAGCCAGCAGCCCCGCCCCCGATATCCCCCACAGGCTTCCAATTGGTCCTTGTGGCTCACTCTCTTTCCAGGTTGGTGTTCCAGCTTGCCGGTCGCCTCTATAGAGCCCACCTTTAGACGGCGACTATTGGTAGATCGTTACGTCATTGCCCTATCTACCTCACTCCCACTGGCTCTCATAGGAAGGGGCGGTCGCAACGTCACGGGCAAGGGCCGCCATTTTGACTGAGCAACCCTAGTGACAGGAGCCGAAGCAGCAGCGCAGGTTGTCCCCGTTTCCCCTCCCCCTTCCCTTCTCCGGTTGCCTTCCCGGGCCCCTTACACTCCACAGTCCCGGTCCCGCCATGTCCCAGAAACAAGAAGAAGAGAACCCTGCGGAGGAGACCGGCGAGGAGAAGCAGGTGAAGTGGAAGGGGTGCGGGCGGGCGAGCTGGGGAGACCGTGATGGGGCGGGAGACGGTCTCCCACCAGTGCGGATTGGTCGCCATGGTCTCAGGCTCCGCAGGGGTTGGCCACTTTTTGCGTCACGCTGGGTGAGCTTCAACACGACATGCTGCTTTGGCGCTGGTTAGTTGGGTCGTTTGTCACTCAGTACTGTACTCTTCCTGATTGGCCAATAGGCCTACCGCTCAAACCTTGGACGCTGTGCTATAATTGGCCGAGCATGGACGTGGGGCGGGTGGTTGGAAAGACGGTGAATGGAAAGGGGATGGCTGGTGGTCTTGGGTGTGATGTGTGTTATTGGTTTGTAGAGGTAAGTGACCCAGCAACCGGGCTGGGGCCCGCAGCCTCAATCCGCAAAGATAGGGGTCGAGGTAAAGACGTTTAAAAAAAAACCAGTATTGGGGGAGGGGAGAAGTGTAGTTATTATAATGGCTAGTTTAAGGCGGCAACTTTCTCAAGAGACCTATTTTAGTAGCTAAGGATGGTCTATTGCTCACCTTCAGTGAGGACCCAGCAATATTGAAGAGGGCTAGAGTTCCAAACAGAATCATGGTAATTAAACTTGGAAAAGACGCCGACAGGGTCGTGAGAAAGACACTTCTCTCTTCCCCTAGACTTCCAAGGCAGGGACTTAGTGCACCTGCGATTCCGTGATGGAAACACTAACGCCAAATAAACCCCTTATTGGGGTTTGTATTTGACTTTTAAAATTTAGTACTGGGTTCAGGTACTCATTAAATACACTTGGTGTTATATCTATGCGTAATTTCCAAGAGAAAGGAATATAATTCCACTAAAAAGAGTCATACGTTGACTTCATATCTTTTCAAAAAGTCACTAAAGGGCAGCAGGGACCACAAAAAAAAAAAAAAGAGATTGACTACAGTAGTGAGAGTCCCTGCACCACCAGGGTAGGTATTGATTTTTTTGATGAAAACTGGTGGGTAAATACTAGTGAGCCTACTGTATCTTTGTTTTCCTGAGGTTAAAAACAGTATCATTTTCCTCTCTGTTTATCAGCTTGCTACCATAATATTTGTGGAAATGTTGAAGCAAGGCTGTGCCATTACTCAGGTGGAGATCTTTGGAGAAGGCCACATAGCTAGCCGCCTCCACAGGGAGACCTAACAGGTGGCTTAGACCTTGAATAAAGAAGGAACTGCTTTGTCGTGTAGCAATTTTAAAAAAGAAAGAAAAAAATAAGGAGGAAACATTTAGCAAACTATTTTTTGTTGTTGTAGAGACGGGGTTTCAACATATTGCCCAGGCGGGTAGTGAATTCATGAGCTCAAGTGATGCACCTGCCTCAGCCTCCCAAAGTGCTGGGATTACAGGCATGAGTCACTGCTCCCAGCCCCAAACTATTTTTTTTTTAATTTCTCATGTGACATGTAGGATAGCCTAGGGAACCCTGCTACTCATCCTCTATCACCAGAAGCCCTGCTTTTTTCTCTTTGTCTTTCTTAGCATTTGTGCTGAGTGATATGGCCCACTCTGTGATTAAAGTATTGTGTTTAGTATTACCTTTAGCCCAATACGCACAGGTCCCTGGCTGGTTCCTTGGGTGAAGTGTGAGAAGCAGCTTGTCTTTTTCTCTCACAATAGTCATCTTGAGCTTTAGGGATTTTAACAAAGGTCTAGCTTTAACAGCAGAGTAGAGATAGCGTATTTACAAGTGGGTGGATTTCCAGGAGAAGTTGATAGTATAGTTGTTATCAGATGTGAGAAGCTGTTGTTTCTCAGTCTTTAATTTTATTTGGCTCATTTGTTTTCTCCAGGACACGCAGGAGAAAGAAGGTATTCTGCCTGAGAGAGCTGAAGAGGCAAAGCTAAAGGCCAAATACCCAAGCCTAGGACAAAAGCCTGGAGGCTCCGACTTCCTCATGAAGAGACTCCAGAAAGGGGTATGGGGCATAGTCTCTTACCCTCTTTCTTTGGAGCTAAAGGAGGTTCTTCGAATGAAGTCTGTAGAGGTTCTACTGGATCCTTTTCTGGAGGTTTTGTTGTTGAACAGAAGTAGAGGCGAATTTGAAATTTGAAAAGAGCAAGTCAAATTAATGTAAATCCCTGATGTGGTATCAATTCCCTCCTGATTTCCCATGTAGGAAATTAAGGCCTAAATTGGAGCATTTGGGTGTGTGGGGAAATGAGGGAAAGATGTTAGAAACTGAAATGCAGACTGCCCCCAGGCATTTGCCTGTTTGAATGTTGGAGGTTTTAGGATTGTGCACTTTTTAAGCATTAGAGATAAATTTTGGGATGCATCATTTCAGAAGAAGATCAAACCATCTCTCCTACAGAAATAAATCCTCAACTTGAAATGAATCAGTTTCTTCATACCCTTGAAGTGAGCACCAGCCATTAATTATACTCCTGCAGCAAATGTATTTTTCTTGTTCAGAGTGGTCCTCCTTACCAAGAGAGAGTCTACTTTCATAGCCATGTAGCTCCTGATCAGATTTTTAGTTCCCAAAGGTACCTAAAGCTGACTGAGGGATTATATTATCGTTTTTTAAAAAAAAAATTTGGCCAGGCGCAGTGGCTCACGCCTGTAATCCCAGCACTTTGGGAGGCCGAGGCGGGCGGAGCACGAGGTCAGGAGATCGAGACCATAGTGAAACCCCGTCTCTATTAATAATACAAACACTTAGCCGGGTGTGGTGGCGGGCGCCTGTAGTCCCAGCTACTCGGGAGGCTGAAGCAGGAGAATGGCGTGAACCCGGGAGGCGGAGCTTGCAGTGAGCCGAGATCGTGCCACTGCACTCCAGCCTGGGCAACATAGCGAGGCTCCATCTCAAAAAAAAATTTTTTTATTTTCCTTACTCTCCTCTGCAATGACTGTAGGATTATAAATCATTACATTGGAGTGTGCTTCTCTGTGCGGATGAAATGGTGGGTGAAACATCCCTGTGGAGGATCCCAGTTATTGAGTCTTAGTCACAGATGATAATGTGATGCTGATTTGCATTTACCTTGCTGGAGGCAAGGCAGGCGTGGGCAGGCTGTCACAGTCATGGAACATGTGTGGGAGCTGTGAGAGTCAGAAGGAAAATACATTATCCTCATGAACAGGCCCAGTTTCTATTCCTGGTCTGGGAGAATAATCATTTTGAGGTTGTTGGCTTGTGGTTGATCTCCTGGTGGCTAGGATAGCCCCATATTTATCCTTCTCTATATCTTATTCATTTCTGTTTCTCCAGTTCCAGGCTATTGCCCTGTACCCAGTAAGGTCCTCAGTTACCCTTTATGAATAAGTGATTTTGGTGGAACGATCCTCTACTGAGTGGAGTACAAAGGATGGCAGGGGCTATCCCTTGACTCCAAAACTATATACTCTAGCTGGGAAATTGCTTATGTACCTGAAAAAGTCAGAACACACTGGGGAGAAGACATAAGTACATGTAATTAATGTTAAACTGTGTATGCATGAGGTTAATCAAGGAAGACTTCTTGAAAGATCCGAGTGTGCATGAGGGTTTATAATGGATGTGAGATGTGAGTCTCCTTGTTTTTGAGGAAGGCCAGAGTCCTCACTCACCTAAACCTCCCTCTTATCTCTTAGCAAAAGTACTTTGACTCAGGAGACTACAACATGGCCAAAGCCAAGATGAAGAATAAGCAGCTGCCAAGTGCAGGACCAGACAAGAACCTGGTGACTGGTGATCACATCCCCACCCCACAGGATCTGCCCCAGAGAAAGTCCTCGCTCGTCACCAGCAAGCTTGCGGGGTAACCTGAGCCCCCCTCTCCTCCCCTTCCTCAACCACTGGACGTTTATATATTATAGGCAGGGATGAAATGGGCACCTAGTCAGATCTTCTCAGCTTGCTAGCCAGAAATGACTGTGATTCTGCTGGGGGCTGCTGAGAAGGTAATGTAGGTTGAAAAGGGGCTCTAAGTTTATTTATTTCGTTAGATTGACACTTCCACACACTCCCTGTAGTCCAGGTAGGGCCCAGAAATAGGAAAGGCTAGGATTGGATAATGCTGCAAATGCTTTTTTTGTGTGAGAAACTGGAGAGATGTGATTTCTCCTTTTGGGAGAGAATGTCCCAAAATTGATTAGGCTGAGCCTTGGGAATAGTTTGGCAGGTTTAACATCCCAAGGCTAACCTAACGTAGTTGGGAAAGGTAGATTGAATGAGACATGTTTTCTGTGCTTCTAAGTGTTCTGTCCCTTAGGCTGCTATTGCTTCATGTTTCCATTATGGCAGGTTTAGAGAATCCTTAAAAAGAAAAATTGACTTGCTTGCCTAAAACTACAGTGCCCCCTTAGCCTCCATTACTTAGTATCTCTTACAGTTTGCTCTGGCTCTCAAATAATATAAAGATTGATGAACATTATTCACAGAAAATGGGCACCTTCTCTCTCTCTTCCAGCATGTTGCTTTTGAAAGTATCATGGGATAGTGGGACGAGCACTGGTTTAGGAGTCAAGATATCTGGGTTCTCACTCTACTCAGTCCCAGCAGAGCTGTTGTATAACCTTGATTAAGTCATTTAGCCTCTCTGGATTTCTATTTCCTCATCTGTAAAATAGAGTTAAATGTATGTAAGATTGATTCTGATTCTGAAGTCTTAACTGCCAGCAGAAAAACTCCATACTGTTCATTGTAAAACTAAAAGTGAGGAAGGCTCGTGGGTGGTGAACCTCTGCTCTGTAATACTGGGAAAGTACTACAGAGGGGAACCATTTGAGGGATACATGAGGAGAGAGTAAATTGAGGTTTGGGGATTATAAATTCAGGCAAGAGAACCTTATAGATATCACAGTCTTGAGGGTCAAAAAAAAATACTTAGGAAGCTAGCCATGGAAGCTTCTTGCCTCTGACCCAGCCCACTTTCCCAGCCTACCTCTGGGCCTTAGCTGCTAAAAAGCTTCTCTGGCAGCGGAGCTGCAGGCCTGAGGAAACATGCTCAGTCATGCACATGTGTTGACCCATGTTTCAGATGCAGTCTGATGCCAGGTATATTGTTAGGGAAAGAGGAAGAAGGGTAAACTGAGCTAGCCCCTGGGGCTGAGTACTCCTGCAGGGCTGGAGGAACAGGTTCTTAGAAGATGATTCACCTTGGAGGAAGCTGGGGAAAGTGGTTAGGGAGGGAGAGGAGGAAGACTGAGAAATCTCTGCATCCCCAGAACTCAGCAACCCAGCTCTTTTATCATGAGGAGAGGTAGCCATGCTGACTCATGAACAGGTGGAGGAAAGGGGTTGCAGGTGACCAGCATCTTCAATCTAGTTACCACCAGCTTGGCTAGAATTTTATTGAACGCAACTTGCTAGTTATGACAGAGAGGACCAGGGTGAGAACTAATGCTCAAGAGAGCAAGATTCTGTAATCCTCTTGCCCTCTCACATCACAAATTCTGATATGCCAAACATTTGGCCCAATGAGAATGACTGATAGACTTGCTGATGTGCATGTGGGGGGATGAGGTGTGTATATGCCTTTCTCCTGACTGGCCATTCAGTGTTCAGGCTGTCATTCAAATTGGATAGGAGAAAGTTGGTGAGGAAGGAATGGAGAGAGCAGGATCCCTGGACTCCCTGGTCCCCAAACTCCTTGACTGTCACTTGTAATTGTATATAATTTTTGTGTTTCTTGCTCCATTTCCTCATGCTGTCATCCTTAAAGTCCATCTGGGAAGGGGAAAATGCTGAACACCATTGTATAGTTTCTTCAACTGTCCCAGCCATGTTGTACATAGATATGTCATGTTATTATATATATAAATATATATATAATTTTGTACGTTTTCTTCATCTCCGATCTTCTCAAATTCTGTACTTTTTTTCTTTTCTGTCTGAGCTGCCTTCTCTATCATTCAGCTTGAGTCCTCAAGACTACTGGTCACAATGAGTCTGATTTTTAGGAAGGAATAGGAGGAGCAGGGAAATCAGAAAAACTGTTGGTCTCACTCTGTCTCTCTACCTGGTCATCTTCAAGGCTAAGAAAACAAACAAGCTACATTCTGTATTTGCCAGTTTCCACAGCATGAAGTACATAGCTTCCTTAGCAAGGAGTGGTCATTCCAAAATCCAAATGCAAATTGCTTTGATTAAACCTAGATTATTAAATCCATTCAGAACAGCATGTGTGTGGTCTGGTTCTGGCCTCCACACAGTCACCACCTCATCTCTGTGCTACCTCAGTCTTTGCAAGTAGCTGTGGCCATGCCTCTGAAACAGCCTGCTCTGAGCCAGGCAGCTTACCCACCTGGAAACCTCCAGTTATTTTGATCTTATCTAAAGAATTATTTTTCTATGTTTGTTATCCATGGATATCCCAGAAAGGCAGATAACGTTGTTTCGTGGATAGGAAAAGACTGAAATTCTATTTTTTGATTTTTTTTGCAACTCCCTTATGGATAGGATTGAGACATGCCAGGTAGCCTAATGGTTGTTAAATGTGGAGGAATCATGGGGTAGAGACTGGGTTGGAGTTCAGGGTTTTTTTCCCCTATTACTTGACAGTGTTGTTTTTTTTTTTTTTCTTCTGTGTTCGTCCGCAGTGGCCAAGTTGAATGATGCTGCCCGGGGCTCTGCCAGATCCTGAGACGCTTCCCCTCCCTGCCCCACCCGGGTCCTGTGCTGGCTCCTGCCCCTTCCTGCTTTTGCAGCCAGGGGTCAGGAGGTGGCTCGGGTGTGGGCTGGAGAGGCAGAAGCCCTTTCCTGTTGGTGTCCCAGCACATGGAGCCCCTTGGGCTGAGCACCAAGACCTTGAACCTTTTTTGTTTTACCTTTTTTCCAAATAACAGTTGGGAGAAATATCAATGAAATTCTGGGGGTGGGGGTGGGGTTGAAAGGGTGGGGTGGGAGATATGGAGGAGTATGAATTAGGGCTTGGAGTTGGTAAAAACATTCCTGACTATCCTTCTTAACCACGTGGCTGATGTGGGGTAGGTATGAGGGGAAGGAAGTGGAGTAGCCTAATGAAAAGGGGTTCTAGTTGAGCTCTGTAGATAAATGCCTTGTTTCAGTGTGGTTGGAGACCTGGTGTCAGATAAAAGAAACTCCATCCGCACAGACAGATGCAAACAGCTCCTCTAGTTCTGCAGAGCTAGTTGAGAACTCAACATTAATCATTTTAAAAAGTACTGTCCTTGAAATAGATTTGCTGTGGGAAGAAGGGCAGTGAGTGTGGGAGAAAGGAGCCGTGAGCGTGGGGAACCCCACAGAGCCCAAAGGACTTTTTCAGTATTCGAAATAAACAAAACAAAAACCCATGAAAAAACCCAACCCAGAAATATTCTGAAGCAGTTGGTGTGTTTTATTGGGGTTTGGGAGGGGGAAGAAAACAATACTGAAGACATTGTTAATGTGAGATGCGGCTGAGTTCCCCAATACCATCACTTAGGAAAGGGAGCAGGAATGTTGGCATAAACCTTGCCCATCCCTTTGTTTCTGTAACCAATGTAGAAGGTGCATCAACCTCAGTTTGTGGCTCACAAAATGAGGCATTTAAGATATTTGATCTAAATGGTTTCTTGACACCTAAGCCTAGTCCAGGTTTAGCAGAAAAGGAGGCCCAGTCTCCTTTTCCCTCTGTCTTCCATTCCTTTTCAAGTTCCCATGTTTGTGAGGGAGAAATGTGACAAACCAAAAGAAATATATTATTTCTTTGTAATAAGCCAAAAGAAACTCAAGTCTTTCTGCTGGTGGCCAGCAGGAGGCAGAGTGATTTCTTTCCTCATGATGTGCCAATCTGCATTGCTGGAAACCTGCTACTGAAAGAAGTTAAAAGCTGCCTGTGAATGTAACGTACAAAAGAAAGGTTACCAAAGGAGAAAAAACTCCAGCGGGTGTACGGTGGCTCACGCCTATAATTCCAGCACTTTGGGAGGCCAAGGTGGGTGGATCACTTGAGGTCAGGAGTTTGAGACCAGCCTAGCCAACATGGTGAAACCCCATCTCTACTAAAAATACAAAAATTAGCCGGGCGTGGCGGCACATGCCTATAATCCCACTTACTTGGGAGGCTGAGGTAGGAGAATCGCTTGAACCCAGGAGGCAGAGTTTGCAGTGAGCCGAGATTGTGCCATTGCACTCCAGCCTGGGCGACAGAGCGAGACTCCATCTAAAAAAAATAAATGAATAAAATAAAACAAGTACAAATTTAAACTAGAGACACAAGTTAATGGTGTTTATTGTGGTGGGGTTAGTGAGCCATCCCATGATTTCCTCCTGAGTATGTTATCCCTGGTTTGTGTTTGCCAGCTGGGGAATGAGGTGAGGTCTATGAGGCTGAATGTGGGATCATTCAATTTCTTTCTTTCTTTCTTTTTTTTTTTTTTTTTAGAGGCAGGATCTTGCTCAGTCACCCAGAATGGAGTGCAGGGTGCAAACACTCACTGTAGCCTCAACCTCCTGGGCTCAAGTAATCTTCCCATCTCAGCCTCCCAAGTAGCTGGGACTACAAGCACACACCACCACACCTGGCTAATTATTTTTTGTAGAGATGAGGATTCACCATGTTGTCCAGGTGAGTCTCAGAACACAGGCTTAAGCACTCTTCCCATCTCAGCCTCCCAAAGTGCTGGGATTACAGGCATAAG
Organism: Homo sapiens; assembly: GCF_000001405.40. Classification (NCBI taxonomy): domain Eukaryota; kingdom Metazoa; phylum Chordata; class Mammalia; order Primates; family Hominidae; genus Homo; species Homo sapiens. The sequence goes on along the minus strand of NC_000001.11, from coordinate 150,620,816 downwards.
CCACTGCGCCTGGCTGAGAATATATTTTCATCCTTTCTTTTGTAGAGAGGATCTCGTTTTGTTGTGTAGGCTGCTCCTGAACTCCTGGCCTCAAGCAGTCTTTCCACCTCAGCCTCCCAAAGTGCAGGGATTACAGGTGTGAACCACTACACCCAGCAGTTAGTGCAATTTCATTTTAATACAAGTGAGGAAATTAAGGTATAGAGATAAGTTACTTGTAAAGTAGAAAAGCTAGTTAGCTGAAGAGCTTGAGTTAGTATCTTAGGCTTTTATATTATTTCTTCCCACTATTCCTGGCTTCCCTGGTCCTCAATTTTAATTTGTGGCCTTAAGAAGCCTGGGGTGCCAAAAATGTTTGGGGCTATCTGTATTTCATGTTACTCCTTAGCCTTTTTTTTTTCCTTTTAGTTCTTCACCACTGCACACTTGGCAGGATGTATCCCATTTTAAAACTTGACAGTCCATCTCCTTCACTCCCATACTGTAGGGCTAGGCAAGCAAAGCAAACTGATTCTGCAATGCTTCTAATAGTTATTCCTGCTCATTATTTTAGCTAGATGTATTCTAAAGTCTTTATCCCAAAGAGTTGAATCAAAGGTTCTTCCACTCCTCCAACCTGATTGTGCTGACAAGCCACTAAGCTGAGCCATCTAATATACAGGGTGGCAGGGATGAAGTCACCGTTACTGTCCAACAGCTTTTATTTTAAGCTGGTGTGGGCTGGGCATATCAAAGACAGGCAAAGAAAAATAACTTGGAGAGTTGCCATTGAGGATATATCCACAGTGAGCCAACAGCACCCACACAAGCAGCCCTCGTCTGTATAATGCCCTCTACTGGGTCTTGAGGGAGATTAAAAAGAAAGATCTCTTCCATCCTGGGGAACCTGAGATATGACAGCAGCACACAAATACAGGCAGATTTATAGTTCTAAGCAGAGTTCCAGTAGCTAAGCTAAGGGAAGGAGAGTCAGGAGATAAGCTGTTAGCTGAATTTTATTAAAGACAGATGACTTCACTAGTAAAGATAAAGTGGGACCTCCCGTGGTTGGGCTGCAATATTTTAAGTCCCAAGTGACTGCTGAATACTCGCTTTGCAGTTGGAAAAATAAGCTGTTTTTGGCCAGATAAACAGTGTAAGAGGTCATCTCTGCTCTAGAGGAACATGTAACCTAATTGAGACACTTCTACATATAATGCAAGATAGCATATGGTTAGTCAAGTAGTAGAATTCTGAGAAGAGAAAATCTGACTGGACTCATTAGGTAAACATAAGTGGTGGAAATGGACATTTAACTGGGCCTTGAAAGGTGGGTAGTATTTAAACAGTGCAGTTACTTAATAAGTGTCCACAATATGCCTGGCATTGTGCTAAAATACAAGGTAAATTGTATGTGGCTGCCTCTTTCAAGGAGATTACATTGTAGTGGTGACCTACACATGAAGAAATCATATTACAGTGTTAAACTTACAGCAGTGGTGGTCTAGCTATACAGAGGAATAGGGACAAGTAATTAATTAATAATAGTTGCTTTTTTTTTTTTTTTTTTCTGAGACAGAGTCTCACTTCGTCACTGGAGTGTAGTGGTGTGATCTTGGCTCACTGGAACCTCCACCTCTGGGTTCAAGTGATTCTGCCTCACCCTACGGAGTAGCTGGGATTACAGGCATGTGCCACCATGCCCTGCTAATTTTTGTATTTTTGGTAGAGATGGTGTATCACCATGTTGGCCAGGCCAGTCTTGAACTCCTCACCTCAAGTGATCCACCCACCTCAGCCTCCCAAAGTGCTGGGATTGCAGGCTTGAGCCACTGCTCCTGGCCTGTTGGTTTTTTTTTCTTTTTAAGACAGAGTCTCACTCTTGTCGCCCAGGCTGGAGTGCAGTAGTGAGATCTCAACTCACTGCAACCTCTGCCTCCTGGGTTCAAGCTATTCTCCTGCCTCAGCCACCTGAGTAGCTGGGATTACAGGTGACTGCCACCACACCTGGCTAATTTTTGTACTTTTAGTAGAGACGGGGTTTCGCCATGTTGCCCTGGCTGGTCTTGAACTCCTGACCTCAGGTGATCCACCTGCCTCAGCCTCCCAAAGTGCTAGGATTACAGATGTGAGCCACCGCGCCTGGCTGTGGTTTTTTGTTTTTGTTTTTTGTTTTGTTTTGTTTTGTTTTTGAGGCAAGGTCTTGCTCTGTTGCCCAAGCTGGAGTGCAGTGGTGTGATCTCAGCTCACTGCAACCTCCACCTTTTGTGTTCAAGCGATTCTCGTGCCTCAGCCTACCAAGTAGCTGGGACTATAGCCATGCACCACCATGCCCGGCTAATTTTTGTATTTTTAGTAGAGACGGGGTTTTGCCATGTTGGCCAGGCTGGTCTTGAACTCCTGACCTCGAGTGATCCACCCGCCTCAACCTCCCAAAGTGCTGGGATTACAGGCATGAGCCACCGCACCTGGCCTTTTTTTTTTTTTTTTTTTTTTTTGATACAGGGTCTCTGTCCCCCAGGCTGGAATGCTGGAATGCAGTGGTGTAATCATGGCTCACTACAGTCTCAGCTCCTCACTACGAGGTCAGGAGATTGAGACCATCCTGGCTAACACGGTGAAACCCCGTCTCTACTAAAGATACAAAAAATTAGCCGGGCGTGGTTGCAGGCGCCTGTAGTCCCAGCTACTCGGGAGGCTGAGGCAGGAGAATGGCCTGAACCCAGGAGGCGAAGCTTGCAATGAGCTGAGATCGCGCCACTGCACTCCAGCCTGGGCGACAGCGAGACTCCGTCTCAAAAAAAAAAAAAAAAAAGTTCGAGACCAGCCTGGCCAACATGGTGAAACCCCCGTCTCTACTAAAAATACAAAAATTAGCCAGGCCTGGTGGCGGGTACCTGTAATCCCAGATACTCCGCAAGCTAAGGCAGGAGAATCGCTTGAACCCAGGAGGCGGAGGTTTCAGTGAGCCGAGATCAAGCTACAGCACTTTAGCCTGGGCAATAAGAGTGAAACTTCATCTTGAAAAAAATAAAATTTTAAAATCCTGATTTTTTTTTATAACTCTGAACAAGTTTCTTTAACTCTCTGCCTCAATTTACTTACTTGCATAATAGTAACGACATGGTACCTACCATGAGGGTGGTTGTGATGATTAAGCAAGATAAGGCTTGTAAAGGCCTTACTTCAGGGACTACAAAAGTGCGTAAAACATGGTTCCAGCTGGGCGTGATGGCTCGCGTCTGTAATCTCAGCACTTTGGGAGGCCAAGGCGGGCGGATGGCCTGATGTCAGGAGTTTGAGACCAGCCTGACCAATGTGGTGAAACCCTGTCTGTACTAAAAATACAAAATTAGCCAGATGTGGTGGTGTATGCCTGCAATTCCAGCTACTTGGGAGGCTGAGGCACGAGAATTGCTTGAACCCGGGAGGCGGAGGTTGCAGTGAGCCGAGATTGCGTCACTGTACTCCAGCCTGGGCAACAAGAGCAAAACTCTGTCTCCAAAAAAAAAATAAAACATGGTTCCTGCCCTCAAGGAGTTTACAGTATACAGAGGGATATAATAAAAACAGACAGATAAGGAATTAGAAGGGATTGGTGCTAAGACAGGGACAAACACAAAATGCTCTAGAAGCACAGAATAGGGGAACCTACCCAATTTGAGGAGGTGGAGGAAGGACAGGAAAATCCTGTCACAGAAAATAGCTTCTAAGCTGAGATCTGATGAAGTAGAAGAATTTATTCAGGTAAAGGGGTTAGATCGGGAAAGGGGTCTTCTGGGTAGAAAGAACTATGTAAAGTGATTCAGAGTTATTACATTCTGCAAACTGGGAATAATTCACAGTAACTGTAGTAAGCATCCAAGGGGCAAGGCCAAGCTGGGTGTAGTGGCAGGTGCCTGTAATCCCAGTTACTCAAGAGGCTGAGACAGGAGAATCCTTGAATCCGGGAGGCGGAGGTTGCAGTGGGCCGAGTTAGCACCATTGCACTCCAGCCTGGGCGACAGAGTGAGACTCCGTCTCAAAAAATAATAAATGAAGTAACAATGGTGAAGTTTGAAGTAACTCAGGTGAAGTAACACCTAAGTGGAAATTCCATACTCCACTCAGTAAACCATTATCATGGGCTAGTTGAATTGTAAGACACTTTATTATGTTGCTACAATATTTCAGGTGAGAGATGATTAGGAACCAAGGAAGGTAATGACAATGGGTATAAAGAAGAGTAGACAGGGCTGGGCATGGTGGCTCACGCCTGTAATCCCAGCACTTTGGGAGACCGAGATGGGGGGGATCACCTGAGGTTGGGAATTCAAGACCAGCCTGGCCAACATGGTGAAACCCCATCTCTACCAAAAATAGTAAAAATTAACCGGGCGTGGTGGCGGGTGCCTGTAATCCCAGCTACTCAGGAGGCTGAGACAGGAGAATCACTTAACCCAGGAGGTGGAGGTTGCAGTGAGCCAAGATCGCACCATTGCACTCCAGCCTGGGCGACAAGAGCAAGACTCCATCTCAAGAAAAAACTCAAACACCAAATACAAAAGAAAAAGGACTGGAGTATCCATTTGATTTGGCAGTTAGTAACCTTTTTGAGACCAATTTCAGTGGATTTGTAGAGGTGAAATCTGGCTTATAGAACTAAGTAATATGGAGAGGTTTTGTGGTTGTTTTAGGATGGGAATAATTCAGGCATATTTATTGAAAGAGTGAAAGGAATAAGTAAAAGCTGGAGCTCAGTAGAGAATGATAATAACCAAAAAGCAGGGTTCTGAAGAGAAAGGAGGTGAAATGAGCACAGGTGGATGTGGTTTAGTTACATGGTCTACTTCTGCAGACGTTTGCTGAGCACTTACCGTGTGCCAGCCACTCTACTAGGTGGTGGGGTTAGTCTACTTGGGAAGCCAACTGAGTGAGAAAGTGGTCTCAAGTAGGACTATATATGCCTCATCCTGCTGGAGACTCAAGGCGAAAATATAACAGTAAACTCCCAGCTGATTGTTTTTGACTGGGGCTAAGTAATTTATAGGAGTCGTTGTCTGACAGCTTTAGTCAGACTTGTAAAGTAGGATGTTAGAGAGGTGGGAGTGTAAAAAGTATAGCCATAAAAGGACATAGAAGAGAGGAGGGGCGGAGCCCAATGACTCAGGCGCCTATAATCCCGACAGTTTGGGAGGCTGAGGCAGGAGGATTGCTTGAGTCCAGGAGTTCCAGACCAGCCTGGACAACATGGTAAGAACTCATCTGTACAAAAAATAAAAGCCAGGCATGGTGGCACACGCCTATAGTCCCAGCTACTTGGGACGGTGAGGTAGGAAGATCTCGAGCCCAGGACGAGACTGCAGTGCACAATTATCGTGCTTGTGACTAGCCACTGCACTCCAGCCTGGGCAACATAACCAAACCCCATCTCTTAAAAAAGGTGGGGAGGGGTGGTTAGGAAGCAAGCAATGTTGAGGTTCTAACAGATTGGTACCATGAACATGTAATGGTACCAATCCATATCTTTGTGCTATTTTCTCTAGAAGCACCTAGCTCCCTGGGTACAAGAGCAGGGACGACATTATTGTTTAGATCCTGAGTCAGGATTTGTAGACAGATAAAGTATACTAAGAAGGAAGCAAGGGGATGAAAGTGCTGGTGAAAGATTAAAGAATCTCTCTGATTATAGCTAGATAAGAAAATAGGCTAAGGAAGTTGTGATAAACTGGTCAAGCCAGGCGCGGTGGCCCACACCTGTAATCCTAGCACTTTGGGAGGCTGGGGTGGGTGGATCATGAGGTCAGGTCAGGAGTTTGAGACCAGCCTGGCCAACATAGTGAAACTCCGTCTCTACTAAAAATACAAAAAATTAGCTGGGTGTGGTGGCGTGCGCCTGTAATCCCAGCTACCAGGGAGGCTGAGGCAGGAGAATCTCTTGAACCCGGGAGGCAGAGGTTGCAGTGAGGCAAGATTGCGCCATTGCACTCCAGCCTGGGCAACGAGCAAAACCCTGTCTCAAAAAAAAAAAAAAAAAAAAAAAAAAAAAAAAAAACCTCTGGTCAAGAGAATTCTTTGTTTCTTTCTCTATTATTTATTTATTTTTAAGAGAACTCTTTATAAGGTCAAAGAGCAGATGATTTAGAAGCAGAAATGATTAACCTGGAAGTTCAAAACATTGTAGCAAGAATATAAAATTTTAGATTGGAGCCAGGTGGTGGCTCATGCCTGTAATCCCAGCACTTTGGGAGGGGAAGATGGCTTGTGCCCAGGAGTTCGAGACCACCCTGGGCAACAAAATGAGACCCCCATCTCTACAAAAAAATTAAAAAATTAGCCATGCATGATGGCATGCACCTGTGGCCCCAGCTACGTGGGAGGCTGAGGCTGGAGGATAGCCTGAGTCCAGAAGGTGAAGGCTGCAGTGAGCTGTGTTTGCACCACTGCACTCCAGCCTGGGCAACAGAATGAGACTCTGTGTATAAATAAATAAAACTAAGAGAGTTCTCACATCGAGCTGTGAAGGTAGTTTGCTAATTTATCTGGGGTTTTGCTGTTATCTTTTGTTAAAAATCAACTTGCTGGGGTGAGGTGGCTCACATCTGTAATGCCATCACTTTGGGAGGCTGAAGGGGGAGGATCACTTGAGTACAGGAGTTTGAGACCAGCCTGGGCAATGTAAGGAGACCCTGTCTGAAAAATTAAAAAAAAATAGCCAGGCGTGTTGTCATGTGCCTGTAGTTCCAGCAATGGCAGGCTGAGGTGGGAGCATCGATTGGGCACAGGAGGTTGAGGCTGCAGTGAGCTGTGATTGCACTGCTGCACTCCAGCCTGGGCAACAGAGCAAGACCCTGTCTCAATAAATAAAATAAAGTAGCATCAAATTGATACATATCCTAGAGTAGTTATCTTTTTTTCCTCTGAGCTCCAACAAGAAACAACAGTATTTACATTTTTAACTGGAGACAAAACTCTGCATAGGAGAAATTCAAACATCAGCAGACATATGAGGGCGTTTTTTGGCAGAGGCAACTTACTGTCAATAAAGTCTCACCCCTGGTGAACGCCACCTGCTCACACGTACAAAAGGAAAGTCATTTAGTGATCATGAATCCTGGTTTGACGTTAAGGTCCATGTCTGAAGTGTCGTTTATGATTAGGGAAGTCTGAGTCATCCTTAGGCTTCCTCTATTGCATTTGAGTCATTTCCTTTTTTACAGACCCAAACTGTACAGCCCAGGATATTTCTTAAATGTCCAAAAGTACAGAGTTTTGGAACTAAAGGGACATTCGAGATCATTGAGTTCAGTGTACTCGTTTTACAAATGGTGAAACTAAGGCCAAGAGGAGCATGCCTTTGCCTGATTGCACAGCCTCTGTGGGGCAGTTTTGCCTATACCAAGAAGGGTATAGGAAAATACCCTATTCTCTAGAACCAGCTGATTTCACAGCAAATTTGGATTCTGGCTTGAATTTATTTTTGTCAGAAGTAAACTAAAAATACTTGGTCTGAAAGTCTGAGAGGGACTCAGGGCCCAGGGGAACAAGCAGGCATCTCTGGTATATCCCCCTCAAATAGTTTTTTGTTTGTTTGTTTTAGACAGAGTGTTGCTCTTGTTTCCCAGGCTGGAGAGCAATGGCGCAATCTCGGCTCACTGCAACCTCCACCTCCTAGATTCAAGCGATTCTCCTGCCGCAGCCTCCCAGGTAGCCATCACACCCAGCTAATTTTTTGTATTTTTAGTAGAGATGGGGTTTCATCATGTTGGCCAGGCTGGTCTCGAACTCCTGATCTCAGGTGATCCACCCACCTTGGCCTCCCAAAGTGTTGGGATTACAGGCGTGAGCCACCATGCCCGGCCCCCCTCAAATGGTTTTATCTGTCACACTGGTGCTCCTGCAATGGACAAAGGAGACGTTTCCTGTAGGACCAGCATCTCTTTACTCAGGTTTTTCAATCTTGGAACTGCTGACATTTTGGGCCAAGTAATTCTTTGTTGCAGGGACTGTCCTGTGCATTTCAGGATGTTTAACAGCATCTTTGTCCTCTACCCATTAGTTGCTTAGTCAGAATAATCAGAAAAGTCCCCAGACATTGCCAAATGCCCCCTGGAGTTGCCTGGTTGCCTGGTTGAGAATCACTATGCTTAAGAAAGGGGCTCTTGTTGTAATCCCAGCACTTTGGGAGGCCGAGGCGGGAGGATCACGAGGTCAGGAGATCGAGACCATCCTGGTTAACACAGTGAAACCCCATCTCTACTAAAAATACAAAAATTAGCTGGGCATGGTGGCATGCGTCTGTAGTCCCAGCTACTCGGGAGGCTGAGGCAGGAGAATGGCATGAACCCCGGGAGGTGGAGCTTGCAGTGAGCCGAGATCGCGCCACTGCACTCCAGCCTGCGTGACAGAGAGAGGCTCCATTTCAAAAAAAAAAAAAAAAAAAGCGGGGATGGGGGGCTGTTTTAACTCAGGTCTGGGCCCACTTAGTCCTCATGGCAGTATCTATTCTTATTCCTGCATCTCCATGCCTAGCTGCCTTTTTCTCACCTTTCTTTCTGGGGCTACCACACCTTTATCAGATGAGATCCTCCAACCTCTCTCTACCCTCAGTATCTCCAAAAGTGCCACCTGGGTTGAAAATGAGAAGCAAAAGCATCTACCCTTCCCCCTCTTGCACCAAGGGTATACCCTAATTAGATAGGAATTTACATAATTGGTAAAAATAAGATATCATGGGCTGGCCACAGTGGCTCACACCTGTAATGCCAGCATTTTGAGAGGCCGAGGCACGAGGAATTCTTCAGCCCAGGAGTTTGAGACCAGGCTGGGCGATGTAGTGAGACCTTGTCTCTACAAAAAAATTAAAAATTAACTGAGTGGTGGCAGGCGCCTGTAGTCCCAGCTACTCGGGAGGCTGAGGCAAGAGAATTGCTTGAACTTCGGAGGAAGAGGTTTAAGTAAGCAAAGATTACACCACCGCACTCCAGCCTGGGTGACAGAGCCAGACTCTGTCTCCAAAACAAAAGACAAAGTGCATACAAGGCTCAGCTCTTAACAATGACTGCTGTGAGTCAAGGAAAGACCCCTTCCTTGAGGGTGTGCTGGGAGGGGATAGATGAGGGCATACCAAGAGAACCTTTGCCTTTTTTGCGCAATTTCCCCTTGACTCAGCGGTCCCACTTCCCTTCCCCAGCCCACACTTGTCCTCACCAGTGCTTGTATTTAGAAATGCAAGCCCGTGTTGTCATAGAAAAACAGAAACCAGATGGTTGCTATGGAGATTTGTTTAAATACACACCTAGAACATGGCCCAGACTCTGGCAGTGGTGAGTAGCAATTCTTGCTAGGACCTGCATTTTTCTTCCTCTTAATTTGCTGTTTTCCCACCCTTTTCTATTCTTGCTACATTTTCATGCTTCTCACTCCTGCTCCAAAATGCCACTTCCCACCTACCAGTACTGTTCTTAAACATCTCCTGTGTCTCAGGAAGTCACTATTTAAGAACAGACTTATTTACCCTTTGAGCCTTAGTCCCTTCATCTGTAATATGGGAATAATGACAATAAAAACTCTATATGGGGCCAGGTGCAGTGGCTCAAGCATGTAATCCCAGCACTTTGGGAGGCCAAGACAGGTGGATCACTTGAGGTCAGGAGTTCAGGACCAGCCTGGCCAATGTGGTGAAAACCTGTCTCTACTAAAAATACAAAAATTAGCTGGGCGTGGTGGTGCACACCTGTAATCTCAGCTACTCGAGACGCTGAGGCAGGAGAATCGCTTGAACCCAGGAGGCAGAGGTTGTAGTGAGCTGAGATCGTGCCACTGCACCCCAGCTTGGGCAACAGAGCAAAACTCTGTCTTTAAAAAAAAAAAAACAAAAAAACCAAACAAACAAACAAAAAAAACCTTATATGGGCTGGGCTGGGCGTGGTGCCTTATGCCCACAATCCCAGCATTTTGGGAGGCCAAGATGGGAGGATCACTTGAGCCCAGAAGTTTGAGACCAGCCTAGGCTACAGAGTAAGGCCCCATCTCTACAAAAAAACCTTAAAAATTAGCCAGGTGTGGTGGCACGCACTGTGGTCCCAGCTGTACCAGAGGCTGAAGCAGGAGGATCCCTTGAGCCCAGGAGGTCAAGGCTGCAGTGAGCCATATCTACACCACTGCACTCCAGCCTGGGCAACAGCCTGTCTCAAAAACTAAACTAAAAACCTTATATGTTTTTGTTAGAATTAAATTAGATATACAAAAAGAGGGGCCGGGCAGGGTGGCTCACGCCTGTAATCCCAGCACTTTGGGAGGCTGAGGCAGGTGAATTACTTGAGGTCAGGAGTTCGAGACCAGCCTGACCAACATGGTGAAACCCTGTCTATACTAAAATATACAAAAATCAGTCTAGCGTGGTGGTGGGCGCCTGTAATCCCAGCTATTCGGGAGGCTGAGGCAGGAGAATTGCTCGATCCCGGGAGGCAGAGGTTGCAGTGAGCCGAGATCATGCCACTGCACTCCAGCCTGGGCGACAGAATGAGACTCCGTCTCAAAAAGAAACTTGTATCATGGCTAGCAAAGTGGAATTTGGTTTTATGCTAAAATAAAATCCTAGAGCCAGGTGTGGAGGCGAGTGCCTATAATCCCAGCTACTCAGAGGCTGAGGCAGGAGGATTTGTTGAGACCAGGAGTTCAAGACCAGCCTGGGCAACATAATAAGACCTCATCTCAAAAAAAAAATAATAAAGTAAAATAAAATAAAAATCCTACTCTAGGGCACCTGGGAACCAACCAGTGGTGCCTTTGGAAATCTTGGTTTATGCTTCCTCTCTGACAGTAGGAAAAAGCTATTGTGGGAGTTTCTCCTGCCATGTAGAGTGATGGAAGAGCAGAATTGTGGAGGAGCAGGGTTGCTTTGTTTTGTCTTTGTTGTACTCAGCTGGAAAGCTGTTTAAGGAAAGAATCTGGTCATATGACCTCCTTTCTGCAATTGGAAATGAACGCCACAGGGAAAAGAAGATATAAGACACAGAATGCTCCTTGCCTGGCTAAAATGGAAGAGGACAAAGGAAGCAGAATACTTTCTGGGCTTTTGGCTTTTGCTACCCTCCTCTGGCAGACCCCTGTCCAAGACGCTGGCTGTGTTGTGTGCCAGGCTAGAGCTTGTACCTACTGTAAAATCTGTGTGTGATGTCTGTTGAGTTTTTTGGAAAACAAAAAACTTATATTTTAAAATACAAGGTATTAGATAATACCAAGGGCAGATAATTCCACCCTTGGAAATAAAAAAGATTTTCTTTTCTTCAGCTTGAATGTACTGTACAGCTGTGTTTCTGCAGTAGGTCTCAGCTCTTAGGAACGAGAAAAAGGAAAACATTACCCACTTTGCATTTCACTTCTGTTCTTTTCCTGTGAGACAGATACTACTATCTATCCTATTTTTATGGGTTAAAAAGCACAGATCAATTGAAAAAGAACTGGAAGGATAACTGCTAAACTGAGAACTGTTACATCCAGGCACGTTGACTCACGCCTGTAATCCCAACACTTTGGGAAGCTGAGGCCGGTGGATCACGAGGTCAGGAGATCGAAACCATCCTGGCCAACATGGTGAAACCCCATCTCTACTAAAAATACAAAAATTAGCTGGGTGTGGTGGCGTGTGCCTTAATCCCAGCTACTCGGGAGGCTGAGGCACAAGAATCGCTTGAACCTAAGAGGCGGAGGTTTCAGTGAGCTGAGATCGCACCACTGCACTCCAGCCTGGCACCAGAGCAAGACTCTGTCTCAAAAAAAAAAAAAAAGAATTGTGGTCACTTCCAGAAAAGAATTAGGGGAGTGAGATTGGAAGTGGTAATCATAGGAACTTTTGTGTCATCTATATTTTCCTTTTTTCCAAGGAAAATATTCATATATTAATTGTTTAATTAAAAATTAAATTTTGGCTGGGCGCGGTGGCTCACGCCTGTAATCCCTGCACTTTGGGAGGCCGAGGTGGGCGGATCACGAGGTCAGGAGATCAAGACCATCCTGGCTAACATGGTGAAACCCCGTCTCTACTAAAAAATATGACAAAAATTAGCCGGGCGTGCTGTCGGGCGCCTGTAGTCTCAGCTACTCTGGAGGCTGAGGCAGGAGAATGGCGTGAACCCCGGAGGCGGAGCTTGTAGTAAGCCGAGATCTTGCCACTGCACTGCAGCCTGGGCGACAGAGCAAGACTCCGTCTCAAAAAAAAAAATTTTTTTTAAGTTTTGTGCAGTGGCAGTATCATAGCCAATGAGGTTTGTCCAATGTACAATTATTGCTAATTGAAAACGTTTCAGGCCAAGCACAGTGGCTCACGCCTATAATCCCAGCACTCTGGGAGGCCGAGACAGGCCAATCATGAGGTCAGGAGATCGAGACCATCCTGGCTAACACGGTGAAACCCCCGTCTCTACCAAAAATACAAAAATTAGCTGAGTGTGGTGGCAGGCGCCTGTTAGTCCCAGCTACTTGGCTGAGGCAGGAGAATGGTGTGAACTCAGGAGGCGGAGCTTTCAGTGAGCTGAGATCGCGCCACTGCACTCCAGCCTGGGCGACAGAGCGAGACTCTGTCTCAAAAAAAGTTTCAAGCCAGGCACGGTGGCTCACGCCTGTAATCCCAATACTTTGGGAGGCCAAGGCGGGTGGATCACCTGAGGTCAGGAGTTCGAGACCGGCACAGCCAACATGGCGAAACCCCATCTACTAAAAATACAGAAATTAGCCGGGTGTGGTGGCACACGCCTGTAATCTCAGCTATTCAGGAGGCTGAGGCAGAAGAATCACTTGAACCTGGGAGGTGGAGATTGCAGTGAGCCAAGATTGCACCACTGCACTCTAGCCTGGGCAACAGAGTGAGACTCCAGAGTTGAGACTCTGTCTCAAAAGAAAAAAAGAAAAGGTTTCTGTTGGGCCAGGCCCAGTGGCTCACACCTGTTATCCCAGCACTTTGGGAGGCCAAGGCAGGCAGATCCCTTGAGTCTAAGAGTTTTGAGACCAGCTTAGGCAACTTAGAGAGACCCCGTCTTTACAAAAAGTTAGCCAGACATGGTGGCACATGCCATGGAAGGCTCACTTGAGCCCGTGAAGTCGAGGTTGCAGTGAACTGTGATCTTGCCACTGCACTCCAGCCTGGGTGATGGAGTGAGACCATGTCTCAAAAAAAAAAAAAAAGAATTTTCACATATCCCACTGTGGTAACTTACAATATAGTTGGCATTGGCAATTTTTGACAGTCTCTACAGAGACTGACTTTAAAAAAAATAAATAAATTTCAGGCTGGGCATGGTGGCTCATGCCCACAATCCCAGCACTTTGGGAGGCCAAGGCGGGTAGATCACCTGAGGTCAGGAGATTGAGACCAGCCTGGTCAACATGGTAAAACCCTGTCTCTACTAAAAATACAAAAATTAGCTGGTGGTGACGCACACCTGTAATCCCAGCTACTCGGGAGGCTGAGGTAGGAGAATTGCTTGAACCCAGGAGGCAGGAGGTTGCAGTGAGCTGAGATTGTGGCATTGCACTTTAGGCTAGGCGACAAAAGGGAAACTCCGTCTCAAAAAATAAATAAATAAATTTCAAATTGAAAGGTGAGGCTATTTTATAATTTTTTTTTTTTTTAATTTGAGACAGAGTCTCAGTCTATCATCCAGGCTAGAGTGCAGTAGTGCAATCTCGGTTCAGTGCAACCTCCACCTCCCGGGTTCAAACAGTTCTATTCTACCTCAGCCTCCCAAGTAGCTGGGATTATGGGCACCCGCAACCACACCTGGCTTATTTTTGTATTTTTAGTAGAGATGGAGTTTCACCATGTTGGCCAAGCTGTCGAACTCCTGACCTCAAGTGATCTGCCCGCCTCAGCCTCCCAAAGGCTTATGCCCACAGGGTTGAGCCACGGCGCCCGGCCCTATTTTACAAAATTGTAATGAAGCTGAGAAAAGATAATTCATCTAAGATCACTTGATAAATGACAGACTCCAAAGCCCATGGCTACTTGACCAAATCACTTTGCTCTGTATACATCCGTATAGAGAACTAGGTTTGGAGCCAAGAGGGACTCCTGATTTATCCCTCTCATGGGCAGTAGGTTTGTTATAGTGAGCCCTTGGCCTTAGCTTGGTTTTCTTTATCAGTAAAGGAGAGCATGACCAGATCATGCCATACCAACTTGATGGCCTAGGCCTAGGGCTTGGCTTGTGAGGTGTGACTAAATCACATAGCCTCAGATAAGGAATGAGGGAAGATTTAAAGCAGGATTGATAAAGCAGATTATGTTTTATACTTAACAAAATCTTAAACTGGATGTTTCAGCTGGGGTATCAAGATCTAATAGATATGAAACTCCAAAGGGAGACAGCAGATGTAAATGCAGTATTTTAAAGGAACTTACCAAGAACCAGTTGCACAACTCTTGAACCCCCTCACCCATTTCAAGAGTATGAAAAGTGAAGATAGAAGGCCAGATGCAGTGGCTTACTCTTGTAATCCTAGCACTTTGGGAGGCTGAGGTGGGAGGATCACTTCAGGCTAGTTCAAGACCAACCTGGGCAACATGGTGAGACCTTGTCTCCACAAAAAAATTAAAAAATTAGGCCGGGCGCAGTGGCTCAAGCCTGTAATCCCAGCACTTTGGGAGGCCAAGGTGGGCGGATCACGAGGTCAAGAGATCGAGACCATCCTGCTCAACATGGTGAAACCCTGTCTCTACTAAAAATACAAAAAATTAGCTGGGCATGGTGGCACGTGCCTGTAGTCCCAGCTACTTGGGAGGCTGAGGCAGGAAAATCACTTGAACCTGGGAGGTAGAGATTGCAGTGAGCACCGAGATTGCACCACTGGACTCCAGCCTGGTGACAGAGCAAGACTCCGTCTCAAAAAAAAAATAAAAAATTTGAAAAAATTAAAAAGCCAGGGGCAGAGGCTCATGCCTGTAATCCCAGCACTTTGGGAGGCTGAGGCAGGCGGATCACTTGAGGTCATCAGGAGTTCAAGACCAGCCTGGCCAAATGGTGAAACCCCGTTTTTACTAAAAATACAAAAATTAGCAGGGTGTGGTGGTGGGCGCCTATAATCCCAGTTACTTTGGAGGCTGAGGCAGGAGAATCACTTGAACTCGGGAGGTGGAGGTTGCAGTGAACTGAGATCGCACCACTATACTCCAGCCTGGGCGACAGAGCAAGAGTAATACATCTAAAAAAAAAAAAAAAAAATTAGCCAGGCATGGTGGTGCATGCCTGTAATCCCAGCTACTACTCAGGAGGCTGAGGCAGGTGGATCACATGAGCCAGGAGTTT
Organism: Homo sapiens; assembly: GCF_000001405.40. Classification (NCBI taxonomy): domain Eukaryota; kingdom Metazoa; phylum Chordata; class Mammalia; order Primates; family Hominidae; genus Homo; species Homo sapiens. The sequence goes on along the minus strand of NC_000001.11, from coordinate 150,605,553 downwards.
GAGGCTGCCATGAGCCATCATCATACCACTGCACTTCAGCCTGGGCCACAGAGTGAGACCCTGTCTCAAAAAAAAAAAAAAAAACAACAACAAAAAAGCGGAGATTGGGTTTATAAAAGAGCTTTCTTTGGAGAGAGCTACTACCATGCTGTGAGCCCTATTCAATCCCAAAGAGAAGAGGTGGGGAAGGGCCAGGTGAGGTGGCTGACGCCTGTAATCCCAGCACTTTGGGAAGCTGAGGCGGGCAGGTCACCTGAGGTTAGGAGTTCGAGACTAGCCTGGCTAACATGGTGAAACCCCGTCTCTACTAAAAATAAAAAAAATTAGCCAGGCGCGGTGACGGGTGCCTGTAGTCCCAGCTACTCAGGAGGCTGAGGCAGGAGAATCGCTTGAACCTGGGAGGTGGAGGTTGCAGTGAGCTGAGATCGCACCACTGCACTCCAGCCTGGGCAGGGGGAGCAAAACTCCATCCCCCACCCCAAAAAAAAGAGATGAGGTGAGGAGTAATTCTATCTTCTCAATCCTAGAGACAGTGGCTTCAAGACCACTGAAACATTTTGTATTTGTCCTTGGGTAAGGGATAATCATTAGACTGTGTATGACTCACGGTAGAGGAATTTCAAGGCAAAAGCTGACTAACAACAGAGCCTGATGTAACAAAGTAGAGAGTCACATCCTGGAAGTCACCACACTGGCTTCTGATAAACGGTCAGATATACATGAATCCTGTGGACCATGTGTGGAGCCAGTTTAAATCCTACTCAAGAGAACTGCCTGGATGCATAGTGGGGCTCTTCATGTGGAAAAGAACACTGGAAAACAAAAGGATAATGAGAGAGTGGTGGCTATAGAAATAGAATACATCACCTCACTTCAGGAAGTTGCCACTGCCTTTGGAAAGCGCCCCCAGGGAAGCCTCTGATGGAGCCATACAAATGCTCATGAGATAATTCTTAACATCAGCCAGGCCTAGACAGCATGAAGCCACTAATAACCCTTCCTCTTCATTCTGCCCCATTCCTAGAAATATCAGTGTAGCAAAAGGAGAGAAGCCAACTACCCCCTCTTTCACAGAGGCGAGCTGGCTGGCTCTGTTGACCCTAGCTGTGGGGTAGAGAGATTCTTACCTATGATGAAAATTGATGTGTTAATATATTTCGGACCAAGAGTATGTTTTGCTACTTAAAGTGGTTGCAAAGACTATTACCTAAAGGTGATCCACATCTGAGGAAAACCTCTCCCACTGAAATAAATTGTGCAGAGACAGGGGAAAACAAATTAAACTTTAATTTTCATTACATTTCTTCAGTTGGTACTTGTTAAGCATTCCAGTTATGGTCACCTTTGTATTCTCTGAGGCACTTAATTGGCACTCATGATATTGAGATTATTCCTTCCAGATTGTAGTATGTAACCTTCTGGTTAATATCCTCTCTATAATAAAACAAAAGACAGTTTTAGGGACTTAAATTTCAATAAATCTGGTTGAGGCCAAGGAACCAGAAATAAATTGAAAACTCAATTTATTTCAAGGAAACTTGAAATAAATTGAAATAAAGTTAGTTGGAAACTAACTTTAAGATAATCTAGTTCCAGGCCAGGCACGTGGCTTACCCTGTAATCCCATCACTTTGGCAGGCTGAGGCAAGCGGATCTCTTGAGCTTAGGAGTTAGAGACCAGCCTGGGTAACACAGCAGAACCCTGTCTCTTAAAAAAAAAAAAAATCTAGTTCCAACGAATGCCTCCTCAGTGAATCTTTTTCACAGTATCCCTGGAAAGTGAATATTTAGTCTCTTGAATAACTCCAGTGTCTTGAAATCTACTATCTTCACCCTCATGAAAACGTCAAGAGTTTGAGGACCACCTCTTTCTACATCTACTAGCCTAAACATTTTCCCTCCCTTTAGCTAGTCCTCCTTGACATAGTGTGGACTCCTGGCATCACCTTGTCTACTCTCTGGATGAGCTCAAATGTGTCAGTGTGCCTGTCTAACTTTGGTCCAGATGTGGCCTCACCAAGCCAAATAGAACTAAACCATTACCTGCTTGCTTGTAGACCTGGACCGTAGGAGAGCCCAAGGCCCCCTTAGGTTTTCTTTACTACTTATGCTACTGACTCATATCAAACTGACACCTAAGCTGGACATGGTGGTGCACACTTGTAGTCTTAGCTGCTCTAGAGGCTGAGGCAGAAGGTAGCTTGAGCTCCAAGAGTTTGAAACCGGCCTGGGCAACATAGCAAGATGCCCATCTGACAACTGACAAAAACCTACAGGTGTTATTTTCGGGGTAAGGTAGGGTTGTTTTGATTTCATAATAATAAATTAATGCATTAATTTTATACAACATATAACATTAAAAACCTTCATTCAAAAAAAAAACAAAACTACAGGTTGGACATGGTGGCTCACGCCTGTAGTCCTAGCACTTTAGGAGGCCAAGGTGAGCGGATTGCCTGAGCTTAGGAGTTTGAGACCAGCCTGGGCAACATGGTGAAACCCCATCTCTACTAAAATACAAAAAATTAGCTGGGCATGGTGTACTCCTATAGTCCCAGCTACTCGGCAGGCTGAGGCGGGAGAATGGCTTGAACCCAGGAGGTGGAGGTTGCAGTGAGCCGAGATCATGCTACTGCACTTCAGCCTGGATGACAGAGCAAGACTCCAACTCAAAAACAAAAAACAACAACAACAAAAAAAGCCGGTCGCATGGCACATGTATACATATGTAACTAACCTGCACAATGTGCACATGTACCCTAAAACTTAGAGTATAATAAAAAAAAAAAATTAAAAAAAGAAAAAAAAAAAAAAAAAGCCGGGCTTGGTGACTCATGCCTGTAATCCCAGCAGTTTGGGAGGTCGAGGCCGGCCGATCACTTGAGGTCAGAAGTTTGAGACCAGCCTGGCTAACATGGTGAAACCCTGTCTCTACTAAAAAAAAAAAAAAAAAAAAAAAAAATTATCTGGCCGTGGTGGCAGACACCTGTAATCCTAGCTACTGAGGAGGCTGAGGCAGGAGAATCGATTAAACCCAGGAGGCGGAGAGGCGGAGGTACGGTGAGCTGAGATGACACCACTGCACTCCAGCCTGGGCGATAGCGTGAGACTCCTCAAAAACGATGAAAAAAAAAAAAAAACTACAAACAAGGCTTCCTTGCCATTATTCCAAGTCCTGGTCCTTTCCTTCCAGAGATAAACACTGTTTAATATTGATTATATATCCTTCCAGCCCTTTTTCTATGTATTTACATGTAGAAATATATGGGAATTTTTTTTTTTTTTTAGACGGTCTCACTCTGTTGCCCAGACTGGAGTGTAGTGGCATGATCTTGGCTCACTGCACCCTCTGCCTCCCAGACCAAGTAATCCTCCCACTTTGGCCTCCAGAGTAGCTGGGACTACAGGCACATGCCACCACGCCTGGATAATTTTTGTATATTTTTTGTAGAGACAGAGTTTTGCCATGTTGCCCAGGCTGATCTTGAATTCCTGGACTCAAGCGATCTGCCTGCCTTGGCCTCCCAAAATGCTGAGATTATAGGCATGAGCCACCACACCCGGCTAGTTATATGAGACTTTTAAAACATAAATGAACCGGGCATAGTGCCTCACACCTGTAATCCCAGCACTTTGGGAGGCTAAGGCAGGAAAATCACTCAAGGCCAGGAGTTTGAGACCATCCTGGGTAACATAGTTTTGTGTCTACAAAAACTAAAAAATAGCCAGGTGTGGTGGCACACACTTGTAGTCCCAGCTACAGGGAGGCTGAGGTGGGAAGATTGCTTGAGCCCTGGAGGTCAAGGCTGCAATGAGCCATGATAGTGCCACTGGATTCCAGCCTGGGCAATAGAGCCAGACCCTGTCTCAAAAAAAAAAAAAAAAAAAAAAGTATCACATGGTTTGTATTATTCCAGATCTTCTTTTTACCCTTAACATGTTTCAGAGAACTTGCATCTCAATACATATAAAGATGTCTCATTCATAAGAACTGTTATATTGTATCCTATAGTATGAATGTATCACAGCTTACTTAACCATTCTGTTGTTGGACATATAGATTGTTTCCAATTGTTTGCTATTACAATGTTTCAGTGAAAATTCTTTATGCCTCTTAGTGCCATATGGGAGTATTTCTCTAGGGTAAAATATAAATATATATATAAATATAAATATATTATAAATATATATAAATATAAATATATTATAAATATATATAAATATAAATATATTATAAATATATATATATATAATATTGTTTTATTTTATTTTAGACAAAGTTTTGCTCTTGTCGCCCAGGCTGGAGTGCAATGGCATGATCTCTGCTTACTGCAACCTCTGCCTCCTGGGTTCAAGCGATTCTCCTGCCTCAGCCTCCTGAGTAGCTGGGATTACAGGCATGCAACACCACGCCCGGCTAATTTTGTAATTTTTTTGTAGAGACGGGGTTTCATCACGTTAGCCAGGCTGGTCTCAAACTCCTGACCTCAGGTAATCCACCCACCTCGGCCTCCCAAAGTGCTGGGATTACAGGCATGAGCCACTGCACCTGGCCTCTCTACGGTAAATATTGAAAGTTGCTGGGTCACAGGGTATGCACATTTAAATTTTTTTTTTCTTTTTAAAGGGACAGAGTCTTGCTCTGTTGCCCAGGCTGGAGTACAGTGACGCAATCTTGGCTCAATGCAACCTCCGCCTCCCGGATTCTGGCTCAATGCAACCTCTGCCTCCCGGATTCAAGCGATTCTTCTGCCTCAGCCTCTGAGTAGCTGGGCCTACAGGCACGTGCCACCATGCCCAGCTAATTTTTGTATTTTTAATACAGACGGGGTTTCACCATATTGGTCAGGCTGTCTCAAATTCCTGACCTCGTGCTCTGCCCTCCTCGGCCTCCCAAAGTTCTGGAATTACAGGTGTGAGCCACCGTGCCCAGCATTTAAAATTTTAATATGTACTTTTTGCAACCCAGAACTCATTGTTCAGTATGAGTTTTGATACATATAAGAAGGGATATTATGATACCTGAGACAGTTAACTGATGGGAGTATTGATAGCCATAAAGGTTGGTTCCAGGCCAGGTGCAGTGGCTCAAGTCTGCAATCCCCACACTGAGGTGGGTGTATTGCTTGAAACCAGGAGTTCAAGACCAGCCTGGGCAAGAAAGTAACAAACACCTCATCTCCACAAAAATTTAAAAACTAGCTGGGTATTGGGGCGTGTGCCTGTAGTTGCAGCTACTCAGGAAGGGGAGGCTGAGGCAAAAGGATTGAGCCCAGGAGTTGGAGGCTGCACTGAGCTTTGATGGCACCACTCTACTCCAGCCTTCGTAACAAAGACCTTGTCTCCTAAAAAAAAGATTGATTCTAGGACTGTAGAATAGATAGTTAAACAGCATGGGATATGAGGGAAATCCTCAGCAGTATTAATTTTGCATTCCAATTTCATGTTGATGAGACATACGATGGCTTTTTGTTTTAAAAGCTTTTATCTTGAGAACATGATGTCTGGAGTTAAAGGTATTGGCATATTCCACACATCTGTACTATTCTTGAGTGAGATGGCTTAAGGTGTCAAATTGATAACCTGGCAGATCCCCACGACCGACAGTATAAAGGACCCTAAAGTAAATTGGTTGAAGAAATTAGATCCCAAAGATTCTTGGTGAATTTTGAAGTCTTCATCAGTATATCCACATTAAAAGGAGACGACAGGAAGCCAAAGTAATTATGGGCTGACAGGACAACTGGATCAGTTTCATTAAAAAGGCTAACTTGAAGATAAATCTTTTGACTCCAGCTCTTTAGAGGATCTAAAGTGACCTTGATGGACAGTGGAAGAAATCACAACATGGAATTCCTTGAATAAAAATTTATTGACTTTAAATAATTTTGTCTATTGTTACATATCCACAATTTAAAAACTATTTACAGCCGGGTGCAGTGGCTCATATCTGTAATCCCAGCACTTTGGGAGGCCAAGGCGGGCAGATCACAAGGTCAAGAGATTGAAGCCATCCTGGTCAACATGGTGAAACCCTGTCTCTACTACAAATACAAAAATTAGCTGGGCGTGGTGGCAGGCGCCTGTAGTCCCAGCTGCTTGGGAGGCTGAGGCAGGAGAATCGCTTGAACCCAGGAGGCGGAGGTTGCAGTGAGCCAAGGTCATGGCATTGCACTCCAGCCTGGCAACAGAGCAAGAATCTATCTCAAAAACAAAACAAAACAAAACAAAAAAACAAACAAAAACCTCCTTACACTGTTGAAAAAAATTGTAATATGTACTTACAGATTGCCCTAAATTGATTTATATTCCCACCAACCTTGTAAGACTGCTATAGGCCATTTGCCCATACTTTTCTAATACTTGATATTAGATATGAGTGGTCATTTAATTTATTATTATTATTTTATTTTATTTTATTTATTTTATTTTTTTTTTTGAGACAGAGTCTTGCTCTGTTGCCCAGGCTGGAGTGCAGTGGCACAATCTCGGCTCACTGCAAGCTCCGCCTCCCAGGTTCACGCCATTCTCCTGCCTCAGCCTCCGAGTAGCTGGGACTACAGGCGCCCACCAGCATGCCCGGCTAATTTTTTGTATTTTTTTAGTAGAGACGGGGTTTCACCGTGTTAGCCAGGATGGTCTCGATCTCCTGACCTCATGATCCGCCCGCCTCGGCCTCCCAAAGTGCTGGGATTACAGGCGTGAGCCACCGCGCCCAGCCTATTATTATTATTTTAGAGACAGAATCTCACTCTGTCACCCAAGCTGGACTACAGTGACATGATCTTGGCTCACTGCAACCTCCACCTCCTGGGTTCAAGCAATTCTCCTGCCTCAGCCCCCTGAGTAGCTGAGATTACAGGTGCACACCACCATGCCCGGCTAATTTTTGTATTTTTTAGTAGAGACAAGGTTTCACTGTATGTTATCCAGGCTGGTCTTGAACTCCTGACCTCAGTTGATCCGCCTGCCTCGGCCTCCCAAAGTACAGGGATTACAGGCATGAGTCACCACACCTGGCCTGGTCATTTACATTTTTGCCAGAATGAAAGATAAGCAAAAGTTACACATGCACACATATACATACATGCGTGTGTAGAGATTATAGGTATATGTGTATGGGCATGTATGTATATACCATTTGTATTGTCCTCCATTTTAACTCCTTATTTTGCCCATATTTTTGTTGTCTCTCCTAAGTTATTTTTTAGAGACAGGATCTTGCTCTGTCACACAGGCTGGTATACATGGGTGAGATCATAGCTCACTGTAGCCTTGAACTCCTAGGCTCAAAAGATCCTCCCATCTTAGTTTCTCTCAAGTAGCTAGGACTACAGGCACACAGCATCTCAAGATCCTGGCCTCAGGTGAATCGCTTGACCCCAGGAGGTGGAGGTTGCAGTGAGCCGAGATCGCATCACTGCTCTCCAGCTTGGGCGACAGGAACTGACTCCATCTCAGAAAAAAAAAAAAAAAAAAATCCTGAACGCAATTGATTCTCCTGTCTCAGCGTCCCAAAGTGCTGGGATAATAGGTGTAAGCCACCATGCCCTGACACTTTATTTTTATTTATTTATTTATTTAGTTATTGAGACAGAGTTTCGCTCTTGTTGCCCAGACTGGAGTGCAATGGCGCGATCTTGGCTCACTGCAACCTCTGCCTCCCAGGTTCAAGCAATTCTCCTGCCTCAGCCTCCCGAGTAGCTGGGATTACAGGCATGCACCACCACGCCCAGCTAATTTTGTATTTTCAGTAGAGACAGGGTTTCTCCATGTTGATCAGGCTGGTCTCGAACTCCCGACCTCAGGCGATCCACCCGCCTCAGCCTCCCAAAGTGCTGGGATTACAGGCGTGAGCCACTGTGCCCGGCCACTTTATTTTTTTTAACCTTTGCACTGAACTTTGCATTTGACCCATTTAAACTGCATCTTAGCTAGGTGCAGTGGGGTATGCCTATAGTCCCAGCTACTTCAGAGGCTAACGTTAGAGGATCATCTGAGGCCAGGAGTTTTAAGGCTGTAGTGTGCTATGAATGCACCTGTGAATAGCAGCTGTGCTCCAGCATATAGAGACCCTGTCTCTAAAAAATGAAAAAACAAAACAAAACAAAAAAAACCCCACCTCGTTAGATTTGGTCCTGCCTGCCAAGATCTCTTTATATTCTGATTCTGCTATCCAGCATATTATCTCTACTAGATTATTGATGTCTACAAATGTGATAATCTGTCATCAACGTTCTTAACTAAACCATTTGTACAAACATTGAATAGGACAGCACTCAGAACAGTATGCACTAGACACTTCTAATTTGGTGTTAATCCATTGTTAGTTAATAGGATTCTGAGTATTGTTTGCATTGTCTGCTCAGCCAATAGCAACTGGGAGCCTAGTTCAACTGGAATGTGCAGCTACAGGCCCCATTGTAGACTTCACAGAAGAGAGGTGTGAGTTCTGTGTCTCAAGCCAAAAGGAGAAAAAAAATTTTTTTTCTTTGAAACAGCGTTTTGCTCTTGTTGCCCAGGCTGGAGTGCAATGGTACAATCCCGGCTCACCACAACCTCTGCCTCCCAGGTTCAAGCAATTCCCCTGACTCAGCCTCCCTAGTAGCTGAGATTACAGGCATGCACCACCACGCCCAGCTAATTTTGTATTTTTAGTAGAGATGGGGTTTCTCCATGTTGGTCAGGCTGGTCTTGAACTCCCGACCTCAGGTGATCCGCCCATCTCGGCCTCCCAAAGGGCTGGGATTGCAGGTGTGAGCCACCGCGCCCAGCCCAAAAGGAGAAAAATTTAAATTTAATAGTAAACAAGTTTTCTACCCATTTCTTAGGCTTAAGTCATCTGGGTCACTGGGTCATTTCCTCTAAAGATCTGCTTCTTTCATTTCAGAACCCACAAATTTTCTAAACACCTATAAATTGTCATTCATTCTTCAATTTTGTATCACCTAGTTTGGGTCAACTACAGTTCCAATCTACCATATCCTTTCTGGCTTCACTTCTTTCCTTATCCACCTTGGACTTCATGGACAATGATCTCAAGACACTTTTACCACACCCTCAGTTACCTTTGTCTTTTGTTCTTTGGTCCCAACCACCTCACCCCTCCCCAGTTCTAGATCAATGTAAACTTTATGTTTATTTGCTCATTCAAGAAATATTTATTGAGGGCCTGTTGATATGCCAACAGTTGTTCTAGGTATTGAGGACACAGATGTGTTTTCTCTCCTTCTGAGTGTTGGCATCTGTTTTATAGGAGAGCATTAGTTAATCATGAGTCGGAACTGGTACCAGTATGTGGTTTCCAGCCTTAACTTGGCAGTCCTCATGGGGAGCCAAATGCCTTGTCAATTTCTCACAGCTGCTCTCCTTAAGCACCTCTTTCTAGTCCCAGCCTTTGCCTTTTGTAGACCACCTTACAGTCGGCCTCAAAAGGATAATAAACCAGTGCCACATTCTCCAGCGTTCTTCCCTTTCCTTTTCCTTTTCCCCCTCGCCTCCCCTCCCCCAGGCTGGAGTAGTAGAGCGGCAGGATCTCAGCTTCCTGCAACCTCTGCCTCCGAGGTTCAAGCAATTAACCTGCCTCAGCCTCCCTGGTAGCTGAGATTACAGGCACCCGCCACCACAACTGGCTAATTATTTTTGTATTTTAGTAGAGACAGGGTTTCAAATGATCCACCTGCCTTGGCCTCCCAAAGCACTGGGATTACAGGCATGAGCCAGCACACCTGGCCTCTTCCCCCTCTCCCCTCCCCCTCCCTCCCCTCCCCCTCCCCCTCCCCTCCCCCTCCCCCTCCCCCTCCCCTCCCTTCTCTTCTCTTCCTTTTTTTCCTCGCTCCGTCACCCAGGCTGGAGTGCAGTGGCATGATCTCAGCTCACTGCAACCTCCACCTCCCAGGTTCAAGCGATTCTCCTGCCTCAGCCTCCCGAGTAGCTGTGATTACAGGCACCTGCCACCATGCCCGGCTAGTTTTTGTGTTTTTAGTAGAGAAAGGGTTTTGCCATGTTGGCCAGGCTGTTCTCCAACTCCTGACCTCAGGTGATCCACCCGTCTCGACCTCCCAAAGTGCTCTTTCTCTATCTCTTCTTTCCTTCTTTCCCTCTCTCTCTCCTCTCTTTCTCTCTTCTTTTTCTCTCTTTTTCTTTTTTTTCCCCCAGACCAGGTCTCACTCTGTCGCCCAAGATGGAGTATAGTGGCGCCATCACAGCTCACTGCAGCTTCAACTTCCCAGGCCCCAGCAATCCTCCCACCTCAGCCTCTGAGGAGCTGGGACCACAGGTGCACACCGCCACACTTGGCTATTTTTTTTTAATGTTTTTTTAGAGACGGGGTCTCACTATGTTGCCCAGGCTGGTCTCCTGGGCTTGAGGGATCTTCCCATCTGAGCCTCCCAAGGTGCCAGGATTACACACATGAGCCACTGTGCCCGGCCGTATTCCTCCTTTTGACCTCTAAACTGTGAGGGCACCCATCTGTATGTATCTTCCTGCCTGGCTGAAGAAGAGGATCTCCTTACAAAGGCCTTATAACTCAGACCTTTACCCTCTCATCTGTCTCTTCTGAAATACTGCACCCTAACACTTATCCTTTCTCTTTTATAATGTATTTTATTCTGCATGGTCATTCTCTTTAACTTACAAATATGTTTGATTCCCTCCTTCTGAATAATCTTTCTTCAACCCAACCACCCTTCTGCTTTCTCTTCACTCTAACATTTCTTGAAAAAAAAGTTTTATTTTCTTTTGAGATGGAGTCTCACTCTGTCAACAGGCTGGAGTGCAGTGGCACAATCTCGGCTCACTGCAACCTCCGCCTCCCGGGTTCAAGCAATTCTCCTGCCTTTGCCTCCTGAGTACCTGAGACTACAAGCGCGCACCACCACGCCCAGCTAATTTTTGTATTTTTAGTAGAGACGGGGTTTCACCATGTTGGTCAGGATGGTCTCGATCTGTTGACCTCGTGATCCGCCCACCTCAGCCTCCTAAAGTGCTGGGATTACAGGCGTGAGCCACCACGCCTGGCCAGAAGTTTTATTTTCATTTTATTTATTATTATTTTTGAGACGGAGTTTCACTCTTGTTGCCCAGGCTGGAGTGCAATGGCGCGATCTCGGCTCACCACAACCTCCGTCTCCCAGGCTCAAGTGATTCTCTTGCCTCAGCCTCCTGAGTAGCTGGGATTACAGGCATGCACCACCACGCCCGGCTAATTTTGTATTTTTAGTAGAGACGGGGTTTCTCCATGTTGGTCAGGCTGGTCTCGAACTCCTGACCTCAGGTGATCCGCCCGTCTCGGCCTCCCAAAGTGCTGGGATTACAGGCGTGAGCCACTGCACCTGGCCTGGAAGTTTTATTTTCTTCCTTTTTTTTCTTTGAGACGGAGTCTCGCTCCGTCACCCAGGCTGGAGTGCAGTAGCGTGATCTCGGCTCACTGCAAGCTCCGCCTCCTGGGTTCACGCCATTCTCCTGCCTCAGCCTTCTGAGTAGCTGGGACTACAGGTGCCCGCCACCATGCCCGGCTAATTTTTTTGTATTTTTTGGTGGAGACGGGGTTTCACCGTGTTAGCCAGGATGGTCTGGATCTCCTGACCTCATGATCTGCCTGCCTCGGCCTCCCAAAGTGCTGGGATTACAGGTGTGAGCTACCGCACCCGGCCAGAAGTTTTATTTTCTATACCTTCTTCAGCTCTCTTAATTTGTCAACCCACTGAAATTAAGCTTTTATCCTTATGACTTTACTACATCTATTCTCAAAATGCCTAATTGCCAAATACAATAACCTTTTTTTCAGTCCTTATCTGAATTTTTTTCCTCTCTTGTCCTTTTAGGAACTCCTGACTTTCTTCCCAATTTCATATATTCAATGAGACAGGGGTCCCCAAACCCTGGGCTGCAGACCAGCACCAGTTCATGGCCTGTTAAGAACCGGGCTGCACAGCAGGAGATGAGTGACTGGCAAGTGAGCATCACAGCCTGAGCTCCGCCTCCTGTCAGATTAGCAGACATTAGATTCTCATAGGATTGCAAACCCTATCATGAATTATGCATGCAAGGGATTTGGGTTTCGTCCTCCTTATGAGAATCTAATGCCTGATGATCTGATGGAACAGTTTCATCCCAATACCATTCCCAGCTCCTGCACCCCCGCCCCCAAAAGATCCATCGAAAAATTGTCTTCCACAAAACCAGTCACAGGGCCAGGTGCCAGAAAAAGAGTGGTGAGGCTAGGCATGGTGGCTCACGCCTGTAATCCCAGCACTTTGGGAGGCTGAGGAGGGCAGATCACTTGAGGTCAGGAGTTCAAGACCAGACTGGCCAACATGGTGAAACCCTGTCTCTACTAAAATACAAAAATTAGCTGGGCATTATGGTGGGTGCCTGTAGTCCCAGCTACTCGAGAGGCTGAGGCAGGAGAATGGCGTGAACCTGGGAGTTGGAGCTTGCCGTGAGCCAAGATCGCACCACTGCACTCCAGCCTAGGCGACAGAGCAAGACTCCGTATAAAAAAAAAATAAATAAATAAAACACCTAAAACCACCAGCTTGAATATAAAAAGCAAAAAGCATGAATTCAAGACACATATGGCTGGAATTGGCGACAGCTCTAGGGGAATCTGCCAAATCGCCAGTGACAGAGCTTCAACTTTAATGCAGTGGGCACAGGCTCCACTGTCAATGAAAGGGTAAACCAGGCCAGGTGCGGTGGCTCATGCCTGTAATCCCAGCACTTTGGGAGGCCGAGGCGGGTGGATCACGAGGTCAGGAGATCGAGACCATGGTGGCTAACACAGTGAAACCCCGTCTCTACTAAAAATACAAAAAATTAGCCCGGTGTGCTGGCAGGTGTCTGTAGTCCCAGCTACTCTGGAGGCTGAGGCAGGAGAATGGCATGAACCTGGGAGGCGGAGCTTGCAGTGAGCCGAGATTGCGCCACTGCACTGCAGCCCGGGTGACAAAGCGAGACTCCGTCTCAAAAAAAAAAAAAAAAAAAAAAAAGGAAAGGGTAAACCAGTAAATACCCACCTTGAAAAAAGAGACAGCAAGGAAATGTCCCTACTGCAATCTTGGCTCTGAATCAGGGGTGGAAGTCGAGGATTGTGAAGACCTCCCCTGAGTATTCACAGGCTAGTCTTCATGAGTTTATAGTCTAAGTTTATACTACCTGAATAGACAGAAACACTTCAAGCCCAGAATTTTATTTATTTATTTATTTACTTACTTACTTACTTATTTACTTACTTACTGAGATGGAGTCTCCCTCTGTTGCCCAGGCTGGAGTGCAATGGCGTGATCTTGGCTCACTGTAACCTCTGCCTCCCGGGTTCATGCCATTCTCCTGCCTCAGCCTCCCAAGTAGCTGGGATTACCGGCACCCACCACAATGCCCGACTAATTTTCGTATTTTTAGTTGAGACGGGTTTCGCCATGTTGGCCAGGCTGGTCTCGAACTCATGACCTCAAGTGATCTGCCCACCTGGGCCTTCCAAAGTGCTGGAATTACAGGCATGAGCCACCAAGCCCGACCAAGCCCAGAATTTATTTTAAAGTAGTTACAGGGTGATAGTAACCTAATTGTCAGGCACTGCAGAGAACGAAATACAGATCCTCTCTGGAGAAAGTCACCTTCAAGGCAAACCTAAAAAAAATCCCTGGAGTTCAGATGATAAACTATAAGGAAAAAAAATCCCTATTGTTAAGTTCCTTTGAATATGTGTTCACTAATAAAAATCCCACAAACACAAAGCAACAGGAAGTAGGCCACCATAAATGAGAATGAGCAGAAATCATAAATAGCAGAATTATGCCCACAGAGACTTTGGATATTAGAATTATATTGCTGCATATAAAGAAGTATGTTTGCCAGGAGCGGTGGCTCACACCTGTAATCCCAGCACTGTGGGAGACCGGAGGTGCGTGGATCACCTGAGGTCAGGAGTTGGAGACCAGCCTGGCCAATATGGTGAAACCCCGTGTCCACCAAAAATACAAAAATTAGCCGGGCGTGGTAGCACGTGCCTGTAGTCCTGGCTACCTGGGAGGCTGAGGCAGGAGAATCACTTGAACCCGGGAGGCGGAGGTTGCACTGAACCAAGATCATACCACTGCACTCCAGTCTGGGTGACAGAGCAAGACTCCATCTCAAAACAAAACAAAAAAGAAGTATGTTTAATATATATAAAAGCCTGATTCAAGCACCGGACAGAAAAAATAATGTATCACTAGGGAATAAATCACTAAAAATGACAAGACTTCCATAACCATTGCTTGGTTTAAAAAAAAAAAAAAAAAAAAAAAAACAGGCCAGGTGCGGTGGCTCACACCTGTAATCCCGGCACTTTGGGAGGGCAAGGCAGGCAGATCAGGAGGTCAGGAGTTCGAGAGTAGCCTGGCCAACATGGTGAAACCCCGTCTCTACTAAAAATACAAAAATCAGCTGGGCGTGATGGCACATGCCTGTAATCCCAGCTACTCGGGAGGCTGAGGCAGGAGAGCTGCTTGAACTCGGGAAGCAGAGGTTGCAGTGAGCCGAGATCACGCCATTACATTACAGCCTGGGTGACAGAGCAAGAATCTGACAAAAAAAAAAAAAGATTTTTAAAGGAACAATTTCTAGAAATGTAGATACAGTAATTCAACAAATAACTAAAGAAATAACTACATATATACTATGTCTATGTGTGTATGTGTATGTATATATAATATATACTGTGAAGGAAAATAAAGGGTGCCATGAAAACATATCACAGAGTGTTAGGGACTGAATTTTGCCTCCCTTCTCGCTACCCAAAATTCCTGTGTTGAAGTCCTAACCCCCAGTACCTCAGCCTGGGATTGCATTTGGAGAAAGGGTCTTTAAAGAAGTAACTAAGGTTGGCCGGGCACGGTGGCTCACGCCTGTAATCCCAGCACTTTGGGAGGCTGAGACTGGTGGATCACCTGAGGTCAGGAGTTTGAGACCAGCCTGGCCAACATGGTGAAAACCTGTATCTACTAAAAATACAAAAATTAGCCAGGCATGGGGGCATGTGCCTGTAATCCCAGGTACTTGGGAGGCTGAGGCAGGAGAATTGCTTGAACCTGGGAGGCAGAGGTTGCAGTGAGCTGAGATTGCACCATTGCACTCCAGCCTGAGTAACAAGAGTGAAACTCCATCTCAAAAAAAAAAAAAAAAAAAAAAGGGCACCGGACAAGATACAGCCATTTATAAGAGGCCCCAGAAGAAACAACCTTCGATACCTTGACCTTGGACTTCTAGCCTCCAGAAGTGTGAGGAAATAAATTTCTGTTGTTTAAGCCACTGAGCCTTTGGTACTTTGTTATGGCAGCCCCCAAAAACTAATACTTAAACAATTCATCTCTGGTTCTTCTTTCTCTTTTCCTGCCCACCTCTTAAACATTGGTATTCCTCAGAGTTCTACATGGTCCTCCTTTCTCCTGTTACATAGTCTTCCTGGATAAGAAAGGGCTCTACAATTAGACTTGAATTCAAATGCTAGCCATCAATTAAAAGCTGGCTATAAATTCCCAAATCTACATTTAATTTTCTTTTTGTATAAAAAATGGGGATAAGAATATGATATGTTTTTCTTAAGAGTTGTTGGGAGGACTAATAATAATAATAGGGTGGGTGAGGTGGCTCATGCCTATAATCCCAGCACTTTGGGAGGTTGGTGTGGGAAGAGCTCTTGAACCCAGGAGTTTAAGACCAGCCTGTGCAACATAGCAAGATTCTGTCTCTCCAAAAAAAAAAAAAAAAAAAAATTTAATTACCTATGTGTGGTAGTGTGTGCTTTTAGTCCCAGCTACTTGGGAGGCCAAGGCAGGAGGATCACTTCAGCCAAGGAGTTCAAGGCTGCAATAAGCTATGATCAAGCCACTGCCACTGCCACTTGCCTGGGCAACAGAGTGAGACTGCATCTCAGAAATAATATCTTTTCTTGGCCGGGTGCAGTGGCTCACATCTGTAATCCCAGCACTTTGGGAGGCTGAGGCGGGCAGATCACAAAGTCAGGAGTTTGAGACCAGCCTGGCCAACATAGTGAAACCCCGTCTCTATTAAAAATACAAAAAATTAGCCGAGAGTGGTGGCAGGCACCTGTAATCCCAGCTACTCAGGAGGCTGAGGCAGGATAATGGCTTGAACTCAGGAGGCAGAGGTTGCAGTGAGACAAGATTATGCCATTGCACTCCAGCCTGGGCGACAGAGTGAGACTCCATCTCAAAAATAATAATAATAATAATATCTTTTCTTCAGTACTAATTATGTGAAGGGACTGAACTAATTGTTTACTTTCATTATTCATTTAATCCATAATAACCCAGCAAGGTAGTTGTTTTACTCATTTTATAGCTGTGGGAACAGACCAAGAACGTTAATTACTCAGGCAGGGTCACTCAGCTAGTAAGGGGCAGAAGCAGATTCAAACCCACATCTATCTGGCATCAAAGCCTATGCTCTTCAACTGTGAATATAGCTAAATTTCAAAGGTAAAGTAGAAAAGAATTCATCTTTGATTTCCAATTCATTGGAAGAAGAAAGCATCACCAAAGACAGGAGCATTCTCTGTAAGAATGATAAAGTGGTGAAGTTCTAAAGGAGCAGTCCCAAACTCTTCTCATCAAGACTGCCTAAATGCCCTACCCCCTAGCCCCTTAGAGGGTTTCTCTTTCTTTTTCTTTCTTTTTTTGAGACAGAGTTTTGCCCTTATTGCCTAGGCTGGAGTGCAATGGTGTGATCTCGGCTCACGGCAACCTCTTCCTCCAGGGTTCAAGCTATTCTGCCTCAGTCTCCCAAGTAGCTGGGATTACAGGCATGCGCCACCAGGCCCAGCTAATTTTGTATTTTTAGTAGAGACAGGGTTTCTCCATATTAGTCAGGCTGGTCTCAAACTTCCCACCTCAGGTGATCTGCCCACCTTGGCCTCCCAAAGTGCTGGGATTACAGGTGTGAGCCACTGCGCCAGGCTGAGGGTTTCCCTTTGTTTTTGTTTTTTTTGTTGTTGTTTGTTTTTTTTTTTTGAGACGGAGTCTCACTCTGTCACTCAGGCTGGAGTGCAGTGGTGCGATCTCAGCTCACTGCAATGTCCGCTCCCCAGGTTCAAGCGATTCTCCTGCCTCAGCCTCCTGAGTAGCTGGGATTACAGGTGCCTGCCACTGTGCCCAGCCCCAGCTAATTTTTGTATTTTTTAGTAGAGACGGGGTTTCACCATCTTGGCTAGGCTGGTCTTGAACTCCTGATCTTGTGATCCACCCGCCTCAGCCTCCCAAAGTGCTGGGATCACAGGTGTGAGCCACTGCACCCGGCTGGGTTTCCCTTTCTTTTTTTTTTTTTTTTTTTGAGACGGAGTCTCGCTCTGTCGCCCAGGCCGGACTGCGGACCGCAGTGGCGCAATCTCGGCTCACTGCAAGCTCCGCTTCCTGGGTTCACGCCATTCTCCTGCCTCAGCCTCCCGAGTAGCTGGGACTACAGGCGCCCGCCACCGCGCCCGGCTAATTTTTTGTATTTTTAGTAGAGACGGGGTTTCACCTTGTTAGCCAGGATGGTCTCGATCTCCTGACCTCATGATCCACCCGCCTCGGCCTCCCAAAGTGCTGGGATTACAGGCGTGAGCCACCGCGCCCGGCCTGGGTTTCCCTTTCAAAGAAAATTGAGGCCATCAATTATGAGTGCCCTACCCATGCACAAACACCAGAGTGTCTGCCATTTAACAGATGCTCAGTAAATGTTAATTGTTTTCTCATTAAACTACAATCTACCTCTTGATAACTCCTGAAATATTTCTATAGCCCTGACCATTCCTGTAGCCTTAATCCTGCATATCTGACTGCCTGTTGGATTCCTTATCTACTGAGTCTCACAGCACTTCTGGCTCAGTATGTATCATCTTTCCCAACAAAGCTTGTCTTCCAAATATATACACCCTTATTTAAAAGCATCACTTGGCCGGGCACAGTGGCTCATACCTGTAATCCCAATGCTTTGAGTTGAGTTCGAGACCAGCTTGAGCAACATAGCAAAACCCTGCCTCTACAAAAAAAAAAAAAAAAAAATGTAAGCCAGGTGCAGTGGCTCACTCCTGTAATCCCAGCACTTTGGGAGGCTGAGGCAGGTAGATCACTTGAGGCCAGGAGTTCGAGACCAGCCTGGACAACATGGCAAGACCCATCTCTACTAAAACAAAAATTAGCCAGGTGTGGTGGCACACGCCTGTAGCCCCAGCTACTTGGGAGGCTGAGGCAGAATTGCTTGAACCTGGGAGACGGAGGTTGCAGTGAGCCAAGATAGTGCCACTGCACTAAAGCCTGAGCGACAGAGTGAGACCTCTCAAAAAAAAAAAAAAAAAAAAACCAATTTAAAAATGAGCGTGACCAGCACCTGTAGTCCCAGCTACTAAAGAGACTTAGGCAGGAAGATTTCCTTGAGCCCAGGAGTTCAAGGTTATAGTGAGCTATGATGGCATCACTGCACACCAGCCTATGTGAGACAGCAAGAACCTGTCTCTAAAAATATATAAAAAATAAATAAATAATTGAAAAAGCATCACTACTTACCCTGCCTCCCATTATAGAAATCTTTTTTTTTTTTGAAGCAGAATTTCGCTCTTGTTGCCCAGGTTGGAGTGCAATGGTGTGATCTCAGCTCACTGCAACCTCTGCCTCCCAGGTTCAAGCAATTCTCCTGCCTCAGCCTCCCAAGTAGCTGGGATTACAGGCACACACCACCACACCTGGCTAATTTTTTGTAATTTTAGTAGAGACAGGGTTTCTCCATGTTGATCAGGCTGGTCTCGAACTCCCGACTTCAGGTGATCCACCTGCCTCGGCCTCCCAAAGTGCTGGGATTACAGGCTTGAGCCATCGCACCCGGCCGGAAATCTTGGAAGTTATCTTAAACTTCTTCCTTTCTCTTTGGTCACACATCCAACTGGTCATCAAATCCTGCTGATTCTACCTTGAGAAATGTTTCTCAAATCAAAGTCCTTTCATCCTTTCCCATTCTTTTTTTTTTTTCTTTTTTCTTTTTTGAGACAGAGTCTCACTCTGTCACCCAGGCTGGAGTGCAATGGCGTGATCTCGGCTCACTGCAACCTCCACCTCCCAGGTTCAAGCGATTCTCCTGCCTCAGCAGCCTGAGTAGCTGGGATTACAGGCGCCTGCCACACGCTTGGCTAATTTTTGTATTTTTAGTTCACCATATTGGTCAAGCTGGTCTCATACTCCTGACCTTGTGATCCGCCCACATCGGCCTCCCAAAGTGTTGGGGTTACAGGCGTGAGCCACCGCGCCCGGCCCCTTTCCCATTCTTGATAAATTTGTTCAACTCCTTGTCAGATTTTCCCTAGACAATTGCAACAACTCCCTAGCTAGATTCCCATGGACCAGCCTCCCCACCTCTTTGCCCACCACTCCTAGACTTGGCTTCCTAAATTACAAAATTCGATCGTGTCATCCCTGCTTAAAATTTTATCAATAGCACTGAAAGCCCTTCACAATCTGTCACCAAACTTCAAACTTTGCCCCCACCACTCCCCTATGCTCTTACTACATACTAACAGGTACTACTGGCTGGACATGGTGGCTCACACCTGTAACCCAGCACTTTTGGAGGCTGAGGCAGGTGATTGCTTGAGCCCAGGAGTTTAAGAGGGGGTAGTGGTGCACACCTGTAGTTTCAGTCACTGGTGGCCAGGGGAGAGGGGCGGCTGAGGTGAGAGGGTGGGAGGATCACCTGAGTCCAGGAGGTCGAGGCTGCAGTGAGCCACGATCATGCGCCACTGCACTCCAGCCTGAGTGACAGAGCAAGACTCTGTCTTCAAAAAATTCATTAATTAATTTTTTTGTTTTTGTTTTTGTTTTTTTTTTAGATGGAGTTTTGCTCTTGTTGCCCAGGCTGGAGTGCAATGGCGCAGTCTCGGCTCACTGCAACCTCCACCTCCCAGGTACAAACAATTCTCCTGCCTCAGCCTCCTGAGTAGCTGGCATTACAGGTGCCTGCCACTATGCCCAGCTAATTTTTTTGTATTTTAGTAGAGATGGGTTTCACCATGTTGGCCAGGTTGGTCTCAAACTCCTGACCTCAGGTGATCTGCCCACCACAGCCTCCTAAAGTGCTGGGATTACAGGCGTGAGCCACTGCATCCCGCCCATGACAAAGTTTTATTAACATTTTCAGGGTGGCAAGGGAGTCATGGAAAGCTAAGCACATTGTAATTCTGAAAAAAAAAAAATGGGGTTCTGTCAGAAAGGAAGAAAGGGAGGATAAATGTTGGATAAGACGGCTGGGCGTGGTGGCTCACACCTGTAATCTCAGCACTTTGGGAGGCCAAGGTGGGTGGATCATGAGGTTAAGAGTTCAAGACCAGCCTGGCCAAGCTGGTGAAACCCCGTCTCTACTAAAAATACAAAAATTAGGCCATGCATGGTGGCTCATGCCTGTAATCCCAGCACTTTGGGAGGGCAAGGTGGGCAGATCACAAGGTCAAGAGTTCGAGACCAGCCTGGCCAACATGGTGAAACCCCATCTCTACTAAAAATGCAAAAATTAGCTGGGTGTGGTGGCGGGTGCCTGTAATCGCAGCTACTTGGGAGGATGAGGCAGAGAATTGCTTGAATCCAGGAGGCGGAGTTTGTGGTGAGCCGAGATCGCGCCACTGCCCTCCAGCCTGGGCGACAGAGTGAGACTCCGTCTCAAAAAATTAAAAAATAAATACTGGCTAAGACGAGTAGCAATGTCTGTCACACCTCCTGAGAGACTACTGAACTCTAGTTATATGCTAGTGTTACCTGGGGAGACTTGGGCCTGAATTTTTTTTTTTTCTTTGAGATGGAGTCTTCCTCTATCACCCAGGCTGGAGTGCAGTGGCACAATCTCAGCTCACTGCAACCTCCGCCTCCCGAGTTCAAGCAATTCTCCTGCCACAGCCTCTGCAGTAGCTGGGATTACAGGCACCCATCACCACGCCCAACTAATTTTTGTATTTTTAGTAGAGATGGGGTTTCACCATGTTGGCCAGGCTGGTCTTGAACTCCTGACCTTAGGTGATCCACCCACCTCGGCCTCCCAAAGTTCTGGGATTACAGGCGTGAGCTACCACGCCTGGCCAAATTATGATCTTATATGTGAAAATGATTATGTAAAAATGATTGATTATGGTGTTGTGATGGGAGATGCTGTGCTGTCGGCACAGTAGTAGGGCATAGGCTGGGCGCGGTGGCTCACGCCTGTAATCCCAGCACTTTGGGAGGCCGAGGTGGGCGGATCACGAGGTCAGGAGATCGAGACCATCTTGGCTAACACGGTGAAACCCTGTCTCTACTAAAAATACAAAAAATTAGCCAGGCGCCTGTAGTCCCAGCTACTCGGGAGGCTGAGGCAGAAGAATGGCGTGAACCCGGGAGACGGAGCTTGCAGTGAGCCGAGATAGCGCCATGGCAGTCCGGCCTGGGTGAAAGAGCAAGACTCTGTCTCAAAAAAAAAAAAAAAATACAAAAATTAGCTGGGTGTAATGGCACGCGCCTGTAGTCCCAGCTATTCAGGAGGCTGAGGCCGAATTGCTTGAACCTGGGTGGTGGAAGTTGCAGTGAGCCAAGACCGCGCCATTGCACTCCAACCTGGGCGGCAGAGCAAGGCTCCATCTCAAAAAAAAAAAAAAAAAAAAAAAAAAAAGGCCGGGCGCAGCGGCTCACATTTGTAATCCCAGCACTTTGGGAGGCTGAGGCAGGTGGATCACAAGGTCAGGAGTTTGAGACCGGCCTGGCTAACATAGTGAAACCCTGTCTCTACTAAAAATACAAAAATTAGCCGGGCATGGTGGTGCGCACCTGTAGTCCCAGCTACTTGGGAGGCTGAGGCAGGAGAAACGGTTGAACCCAGGAGGTGGAGGTTGTGGTGAGCCGAGATTGTGCCACTCCACTCCAGCCTGGGCAACAGAGCAAGACTCCGTCTCAAAAAAAAAATAAGTAAAATAAAATAAAATAAAATGTATTTGAAACTGGGTGTGGTGGCTCATGCTTATAATCCCAGCTATTCAAGAGGCTCAGGTGGGAGGATCCCTTGAGGACAGGAGTTGTAGACCATCCTGGATAACATAGCAAGACTTTGTTACTTTCTTTCTTTTTTTTTTTTTGAGACAGAGTCTCGTTCTGTTGCCCAGGCTGGAGTGCAGTGGCACGATCTCGGCTCACTGAAAGCTCTGCCTCCCGGATTCATGCCATTCTCCTGCCTCAGCCTCCTGAGTAGCTGGGACTATAGGCACCCGCCACCATGCCCAGCTAATTTTTCGTATTTTTTTTTTAGTAGAGACGGGGTTTCACCGTGTTGGCCAGGATGGTCTTGATCTCCTGACCTCGTGATCTGCCCGCCTCAGCCTCCCAAAGTGCTGGGATTACAGGCGTGAGCCACCGTGCCCGACCAAGACTTGTTTCCTAACAAACAGGGCCAGTTGCAATGGCTCATGCCTATAATCCTAGCACTTTGGGAGGCCAAGGAGGGCAGATGGCTTGAGGCCAGGAGTTCGAGATTGGCCTGGACAACATGGTGAAACCCCATCTCTACAAAAAAACACAAAAATTAGCCAGGCATGGTGGTGCTGGCCTGTTGTCCCAGCTACTTGGGAAGCTGAGGTAGGAGTATCACTTTAGCTCAGGAGGTCAAGGTTGCAGTGAGCCGAGACTGCACCACTGCACTCCAGCCTGAGCAACATGGTGATACCCGTCTCAAAAAATAATAATAACAAATAATGAATAAATGCAATTTATTTTAAAGTGAAACTTGCATTTCCTTTTTTAGCCTCTGTACAAGGAAAAATCATTGCTCCTCCTATTTCCTCAATCTCTTTCCACTTTACCACCTGATAAAATTTTACTTTATAAAGCATGAGAGCAAAGCTACCTCCTCCATAACACTTTCCTCTAGCTCTCTCAGCCCAAAGTGAATTTCCCAACCTCTTAACTCCAAAATGAAGTTGTTAATGCCTTGTGTAGAGCATACATTCCATCTCACATTATGGTTAGTTGCTGTACAAGATTAGACATTCCTTAAATAGAGAAACTATTTCTTATTCACTATAACCACAAAATGCTCTATCCTTGCCACTCATACTATAAACCCCTATGGTTCTAGGTCCTGCCCAAAACATAAATGGGTGGTATGGACGCCGTATCACCTTACTAAACTGTGACATTTTGGGGATTAGGAACTTTTGGCCAAGAGGGAGACTCACGCCTATAATTCCAACACTTTATTTATTTATTTATTTTTGAGATGGCGTTTCGCTCTTGTTGTCCAGGCTGGAGTGCAATGGCGCACTCTCAGCTCACCGCAACCTCCGCCTCCCAGGTTCAAGCGATTCTCCCGCCTCAGCCTTCCAAGTAGCTGGGATTACAGGCACGTGCCACCACGGCCCGGCTAATTTTGTATTTTTAGTAGAGATGGAGTTTCTCCATGTTGGTTGGGCTGGTCTCAAACTCCTGACCTCAGATGATTCGCCCGCCTTGGCCTCCCAAAGTGCTGGGATTGCAGGTGTGAGCCACTGCGCCAGGCCTCATTATTATTATTATTTTTTTTGAGACCAAGTCTTGCTCTGTTGCCCAGGCTGGAGTGCAGTGGCACTATCTTGGCTCACCGCAACCTCCGTCTCTTGGGTTCAAGCAGTTCTCCTGTCTCAGCCTCCAGAGTAGCTGGTATTACAGATGCGCACCACCACACCCATCTAATTTTTGTGTTTTTAGTAGAGACAGGGTTTCGCCATGTTTCCCAGGCTGGTCTCAAACTCCTGGGCTCAAGCGATCCACCCACCTCAGCCTCCCAAAGTGCTGGGATTATTGGCATGAGGCACAGAGCCCGGTCTGTAATCCCAACACTTTGGGAGGCCAAGGTAGGAGGATCACCTGAGTCCAGGAGTTCAAGACCGGCCTGGGCAAAATAGTGATACCCCATCTCTACAAGAAATAAAAAAATTAGCCAAGTATAGGGGCATGCACCTGTGTTCCTCGCTACTCGCGAGGCTGTGGTGGGAGGATCACTTCAGCCCAGGAGGTTGAGGCAGCAATGAGCACTGATGGTGCCACTGCACTCCAGCCTGGGTGACAGGGCAAGACCTCATCTCAAAAAAATAAATAAAAAGTGAGCTTGCTCACCTTTCCTATGTCTCTCAGCACCTTGCTTTTGAATTTTAGCTATTATTTTTACAGATCTTTTAACAAAAAGGCTGCTTTAATTAACGTTAACTAACATACATGGCATATAAGAAGATCCTTGTTCTCAAGGGCTTTACAAACCTCTAGAGTCAAATGTGCCTTATTATCAGTACAAAAATAAATGGTGTCAGCTGGGTGCAGTGACTCACACCTGTAATCCCAGCACTTTAAGAGGCTGAGGCAGGTGGATCACCTGAGGCCAGGAGTTTGAGACCAGCCTGGCCAACATGGTGAAACCACATTGTCAGGCCTCTGAGCCCAAGCCAAGCCATCGCATCCCCTGTGACTTGCACGTATACATCCAGATGGCCTGAAGTAACTGAAGATCCACAAAAGAAGTAAAAATAGCCTTAACTGATGACATTCCACCATTGTGATTTGTTTCTGCCCCACCCGAACTGATCAATGTACTTTGTAATCTCCCCCACCCTTAAGAAGGTTCTTTGTAATTCTCCCCACCCTTGAGAATGTACTTTGTGAGATCCACCCCTGCCCACAAAACATTGCTCTCAACTTCACCACCTATCCCAAAACCTGTAAGAACTAATGATAATCCATCACCCTTTGCTGACTCTCTTTTCGGACTCAGCCCGCCTGCACCCAGGTGAAATAAACAGCCATGTTGCTCACACAAAGCCTGTTTGGTGGTGTCTTCACACAGACGCGCATGAAACACATCTCTACTAAAAATACAATAATCAGCTGGGCGAGGTGGCTCACAGCTGTAATCTCAGCACTTTGGGAGGCCGAGACAGGCAGGTCACTTGAGGCCATGAGTTCGAGACCAGCCTGGCCAACATCGTGAAAACCCCATCTCTACCAAAAATACAAAAACTAGCCAGATGTGGTGGCGCACGCCTGTAATCCCAGCTACTCGGGAGGCTGAGGTACCGAATCGTCTGAACGTGGGAAGTGGAGCTTGTAGTGAGCCGAGATCGCCCCACTGCACTCCAGCCTGGGCAACAGAGCTAGACTGTCTCAAAACAAACAAAAAATGGTGTCAAGACTCTCAGACGAGATTCTAATGGATTAAGGCCTATATGTAAATAGCACCAAAGACTATGGAACAGAGATGGGAGAAGCAAGCAGGGAGGCAGGAATAGTTTAGCTGTGGCAGTTTTAGCTTAGTCCACTTACATAAATGGTTCTTTAGGGTAGCACGTGGAGCATCCTCATTTCCAAACATTGGACTGAGAGTAGAGAGCTGTGCAAAATAACCACAAGTCCCCAACTATGCCCTCTTAATTATCCCTATCATCTAAGACTGTTGTTCCCATCCATCACTGAACTTCCCCGTCCTCTTCCTTCAACCCCTGTGTTAGTCAATGGTTGAAATTTTGATTTGGTAAAAAACCTCTGGCGAAAACCAGCAAAAAGGGCTCACAAATCAGGTCTCAGGGAAGCACAGAGGTAGCCACGAGAAGGCCCGAGGTGCTCATGGAAAGAGCTCGAGCCCAGGAGCTCTGGGAGGACCCCAGGCGCTCGGAGCCGCCGTTACGTAACCGGCACTCAGAGCCTCCGAAGACCGGAAGGCCCCGCTCAGGCCCCGGCTCAGGCCCCGGCCCCGGCCCCGGCCCCGGCCCCGCCCCGGCCCGGCCGGGCAGCTGGTAGGTGCCGTGCGCAACCCTCCGGAAGCTGCCGCCCCTTTCCCCTTTTATGGGAATACTTTTTTTAAAAAAAAAGAGTTCGCTGGCGCCACCCCGTAGGACTGGCCGCCCTAAAACCGTGATAAAGGAGCTGCTCGCCACTTCTCACTTCCGCTTCCTTCCAGTAAGGAGTCGGGGTCTTCCCCAGTTTTCTCAGCCAGGCGGCGGCGGCGACTGGCAATGTTTGGCCTCAAAAGAAACGCGGTAATCGGACTCAACCTCTACTGTGGGGGGGCCGGCTTGGGGGCCGGCAGCGGCGGCGCCACCCGCCCGGGAGGGCGACTTTTGGCTACGGAGAAGGAGGCCTCGGCCCGGCGAGAGATAGGGGGAGGGGAGGCCGGCGCGGTGATTGGCGGAAGCGCCGGCGCAAGCCCCCCGTCCACCCTCACGCCAGACTCCCGGAGGGTCGCGCGGCCGCCGCCCATTGGCGCCGAGGTCCCCGACGTCACCGCGACCCCCGCGAGGCTGCTTTTCTTCGCGCCCACCCGCCGCGCGGCGCCGCTTGAGGAGATGGAAGCCCCGGCCGCTGACGCCATCATGTCGCCCGAAGAGGAGCTGGACGGGTACGAGCCGGAGCCTCTCGGGAAGCGGCCGGCTGTCCTGCCGCTGCTGGAGTTGGTCGGGGAATCTGGTAATAACACCAGTACGGACGGGTCACTACCCTCGACGCCGCCGCCAGCAGAGGAGGAGGAGGACGAGTTGTACCGGCAGTCGCTGGAGATTATCTCTCGGTACCTTCGGGAGCAGGCCACCGGCGCCAAGGACACAAAGCCAATGGGCAGGTCTGGGGCCACCAGCAGGAAGGCGCTGGAGACCTTACGACGGGTTGGGGATGGCGTGCAGCGCAACCACGAGACGGCCTTCCAAGGTAAGGGGGTTCATTAATCGCCAAGGCCTCACTCCCTTTTTTCCATCTCTCCCCGGACTCACCCGCCAAGGGTGGGTTGGAAACCGAAACGAGTCAGTGTTGAAACGTGTCTCATCCTATTCCTGAAGCCAGAATATTCTGGCCATGAGTCATTGTTTCCGCCCATCTTGATTCTTTTGGAAATGGCAGCTCTTGTTCAAAGACCGGAAAGGGTGGGATGTCAATTTCAAGTGGGGTCAACCTGAGTTCTGTAAATCCCAGTAGCGATTTTCCCGCCGCGGGTGGGCAGGCGAATCTTGCGCCGGTTTAGACAAAGGAGGCCGTGAGGACCTGCATGCTTTTCTTTCTCAGGCATGCTTCGGAAACTGGACATCAAAAACGAAGACGATGTGAAATCGTTGTCTCGAGTGATGATCCATGTTTTCAGCGACGGCGTAACAAACTGGGGCAGGATTGTGACTCTCATTTCTTTTGGTGCCTTTGTGGCTAAACACTTGAAGACCATAAACCAAGAAAGCTGCATCGAACCATTAGCAGAAAGTATCACAGACGTTCTCGTAAGGACAAAACGGGACTGGCTAGTTAAACAAAGAGGCTGGGTAAGTTTGCCTTAAGGATGAAAGGGGCCTTGGAGTGGAAGTAGAATGAAGGATTTTTTTTAGAGAGGTGGGGATATCTAAAGGTTTTTATGACGCACGGCTGTTTGCAGGCTCTAACTAAAGGACCATTGTTTATTTGATGTTGATTTAAGTAGTGGATCCTTAGAGATAGTGGTATGGCGGTCTTGAATTGTATCAAAAATCTTGGTTTTCTCTAGGCAATTTTTTGTTCCAATTCAGTTGAATACTCTTCAGTGGATTCAAACCATGAAAAAATAAGTCACCAGGGGAGGATAGCTGAAATAATTCCTAAGGCGGTGCCTGTTTTAATGGAGAAGATATGGGGTGGAGCCTGCGTTTTAAACAAACCCAGATCTGATGCAGGATGTACTTAACTACGTTGAGAAAAACTGATCTGCGCAATTGAGGCGTTACTGAAATATTAGGTGGTGGAGATTTGAGAATAAGGGTTTTCGTCTTTTACCTCATGGGAACTCTGGAAGTCCTTTTGTTAGGATAAATCCTAATAAGACCAAGATAGTACTGTAAAATGAAGTTTAATTATCATGGGTCCCCGCTTAAGAAACTGAAGAACTTATTTTCTTTTTTTGCCCCGGGGTGAATAATAATTGGTTTACTATTGCTTTAGGGGGAAACCTTAGATATTTTAATTTACCTTCTCTCTGGATAGTAGTGTTGTAAGAGAGCAGAAACCCATACTTGAAAATGTGCTTTTCTTTTTTGTTTTCTAGGATGGGTTTGTGGAGTTCTTCCATGTAGAGGACCTAGAAGGTGGCATCAGGAATGTGCTGCTGGCTTTTGCAGGTGTTGCTGGAGTAGGAGCTGGTTTGGCATATCTAATAAGATAGCCTTACTGTAAGTGCAATAGTTGACTTTTAACCAACCACCACCACCACCAAAACCAGTTTATGCAGTTGGACTCCAAGCTGTAACTTCCTAGAGTTGCACCCTAGCAACCTAGCCAGAAAAGCAAGTGGCAAGAGGATTATGGCTAACAAGAATAAATACATGGGAAGAGTGCTCCCCATTGATTGAAGAGTCACTGTCTGAAAGAAGCAAAGTTCAGTTTCAGCAACAAACAAACTTTGTTTGGGAAGCTATGGAGGAGGACTTTTAGATTTAGTGAAGATGGTAGGGTGGAAAGACTTAATTTCCTTGTTGAGAACAGGAAAGTGGCCAGTAGCCAGGCAAGTCATAGAATTGATTACCCGCCGAATTCATTAATTTACTGTAGTGTTAAGAGAAGCACTAAGAATGCCAGTGACCTGTGTAAAAGTTACAAGTAATAGAACTATGACTGTAAGCCTCAGTACTGTACAAGGGAAGCTTTTCCTCTCTCTAATTAGCTTTCCCAGTATACTTCTTAGAAAGTCCAAGTGTTCAGGACTTTTATACCTGTTATACTTTGGCTTGGTTTCCATGATTCTTACTTTATTAGCCTAGTTTATCACCAATAATACTTGACGGAAGGCTCAGTAATTAGTTATGAATATGGATATCCTCAATTCTTAAGACAGCTTGTAAATGTATTTGTAAAAATTGTATATATTTTTACAGAAAGTCTATTTCTTTGAAACGAAGGAAGTATCGAATTTACATTAGTTTTTTTCATACCCTTTTGAACTTTGCAACTTCCGTAATTAGGAACCTGTTTCTTACAGCTTTTCTATGCTAAACTTTGTTCTGTTCAGTTCTAGAGTGTATACAGAACGAATTGATGTGTAACTGTATGCAGACTGGTTGTAGTGGAACAAATCTGATAACTATGCAGGTTTAAATTTTCTTATCTGATTTTGGTAAGTATTCCTTAGGTTTTTCTTTGAAAACCTGGGATTGAGAGGTTGATGAATGGAAATTCTTTCACTTCATTATATGCAAGTTTTCAATAATTAGGTCTAAGTGGAGTTTTAAGGTTACTGATGACTTACAAATAATGGGCTCTGATTGGGCAATACTCATTTGAGTTCCTTCCATTTGACCTAATTTAACTGGTGAAATTTAAAGTGAATTCATGGGCTCATCTTTAAAGCTTTTACTAAAAGATTTTCAGCTGAATGGAACTCATTAGCTGTGTGCATATAAAAAGATCACATCAGGTGGATGGAGAGACATTTGATCCCTTGTTTGCTTAATAAATTATAAAATGATGGCTTGGAAAAGCAGGCTAGTCTAACCATGGTGCTATTATTAGGCTTGCTTGTTACACACACAGGTCTAAGCCTAGTATGTCAATAAAGCAAATACTTACTGTTTTGTTTCTATTAATGATTCCCAAACCTTGTTGCAAGTTTTTGCATTGGCATCTTTGGATTTCAGTCTTGATGTTTGTTCTATCAGACTTAACCTTTTATTTCCTGTCCTTCCTTGAAATTGCTGATTGTTCTGCTCCCTCTACAGATATTTATATCAATTCCTACAGCTTTCCCCTGCCATCCCTGAACTCTTTCTAGCCCTTTTAGATTTTGGCACTGTGAAACCCCTGCTGGAAACCTGAGTGACCCTCCCTCCCCACCAAGAGTCCACAGACCTTTCATCTTTCACGAACTTGATCCTGTTAGCAGGTGGTAATACCATGGGTGCTGTGACACTAACAGTCATTGAGAGGTGGGAGGAAGTCCCTTTTCCTTGGACTGGTATCTTTTCAACTATTGTTTTATCCTGTCTTTGGGGGCAATGTGTCAAAAGTCCCCTCAGGAATTTTCAGAGGAAAGAACATTTTATGAGGCTTTCTCTAAAGTTTCCTTTGTATAGGAGTATGCTCACTTAAATTTACAGAAAGAGGTGAGCTGTGTTAAACCTCAGAGTTTAAAAGCTACTGATAAACTGAAGAAAGTGTCTATATTGGAACTAGGGTCATTTGAAAGCTTCAGTCTCGGAACATGACCTTTAGTCTGTGGACTCCATTTAAAAATAGGTATGAATAAGATGACTAAGAATGTAATGGGGAAGAACTGCCCTGCCTGCCCATCTCAGAGCCATAAGGTCATCTTTGCTAGAGCTATTTTTACCTATGTATTTATCGTTCTTGATCATAAGCCGCTTATTTATATCATGTATCTCTAAGGACCTAAAAGCACTTTATGTAGTTTTTAATTAATCTTAAGATCTGGTTACGGTAACTAAAAAAGCCTGTCTGCCAAATCCAGTGGAAACAAGTGCATAGATGTGAATTGGTTTTTAGGGGCCCCACTTCCCAATTCATTAGGTATGACTGTGGAAATACAGACAAGGATCTTAGTTGATATTTTGGGCTTGGGGCAGTGAGGGCTTAGGACACCCCAAGTGGTTTGGGAAAGGAGGAGGGGAGTGGTGGGTTTATAGGGGGAGGAGGAGGCAGGTGGTCTAAGTGCTGACTGGCTACGTAGTTCGGGCAAATCCTCCAAAAGGGAAAGGGAGGATTTGCTTAGAAGGATGGCGCTCCCAGTGACTACTTTTTGACTTCTGTTTGTCTTACGCTTCTCTCAGGGAAAAACATGCAGTCCTCTAGTGTTTCATGTACATTCTGTGGGGGGTGAACACCTTGGTTCTGGTTAAACAGCTGTACTTTTGATAGCTGTGCCAGGAAGGGTTAGGACCAACTACAAATTAATGTTGGTTGTCAAATGTAGTGTGTTTCCCTAACTTTCTGTTTTTCCTGAGAAAAAAAAATAAATCTTTTATTCAAATACAGGGTGTGATATGGGTCTTTTCTCATCGACGCCTCTTTTTCCTTCCCTCTCTTAGGCAAACCTTTTAGAGAAGTCAGCTGAGCAAATATGTACAGGTGAATTCAAAGCAAAAGCCTCACAAAGTTGATTTGCCTTAGAGCAAAGGACAGTTCCTTTCTTCAATTCTAATTAGAGGTGTTGGGTTTTTAATTAAATATATTACTGCTGTACTTAGAGGAGTTCTTAAACCTCCAAGTAAAATCAAAAACCTCTTTAAAATCAAAATTTCTGTCTTGATTTATTTATTTATTATTTTTTTTTTGAGATGGAGTTTTGCTCTTGTTGTCCAGGCTGGAGTGCAATGGCACGATCTCCGCTCACCGCAACCTCCGCCTCCCAGGTTCAAATGATTCTCCTGCCTCAGCCTCCTGAGTAGCTGGGAATACAGGCATGCGCCACCACACCCAGATAATTTTGTATTTTTAGTAGAGATGGGGTTTCTCCGTGTTGGTCAGGCTGGTCTTGAACTCCCGACCTCAGGTGATCTGCCCACCTCTGCCTCCCAGAGTGCCAGGATTACAGGCGTGAGCCATCGCACCCAGCCTCTGTCTTGATTTTTTTGAATCACCAGGTGTTGGTATGTTTTGTTTTGTTTTGTTTTGAGGCACAGTCTCACTCTTTTGCCCAGGCTAGAGTGCAGTGGGGCAATCTCGGCTCACTGCAACCTCAGCCTCCCGAGTAGCTGGGATTACAGGTGCCCGCCACCATGCCCGGCTAATTTTTCTATTTTTGGTAGAGACGGGGTTTTGCCGTGTTGGTCAGGCTGGTCTTGAAGTCCTGACCTCAGTGATCCACTCGCCTCAGCCGAAGTGCTGCGATTACAGACCTGAGCCACTGCGCCCAGCCTTGATCTTGAGGTAAGAGGGTACTGTACAGCAGTTACTCTATCATAACACCTAAATAATACCTAAAGTTAAAGAGTTTTGATGAAGTTCTTGGCAGCAGTGCTTTTCCCCTTCTGCTTTCCAAAAGGAGGTAAAAAGAAGCCAGTCAATTTCAAAAACCCCTATCCTGCTTTTATTTTCAGCTACCTTGAAAGTGAGCTGAATCACCATGGAAATGTGCAAATGTGAGGTTTGCATACTTGGTTTTAAGCCCTGAGCACCATATGCTAATCAGGCAATCAGGATTCTGTGCCTCCCTGCAGTCAGTTGCATTTCTATTTAAAAGTGCATTTTGGTTTGGAAGCCCCTTTCTGGAGCCTAACTACCAAAAGGCAGCAACTTTTTGTATCATTACAAAGAAAGCTGTGTAAGTGCACTCCCAAGCAAAGGTGTGGTAGGAGAGTAGCAGCCACAGAGGACCCAAGCCCAAGTCTTGGCCTGAGTTAAGTTAGTGCTATTGCTCCCATTGACGTGCTATGATGTGAAGCCGTTTCTGGTACAGTGTTCCTTTGCTCAGCACCTTAAAAGCTTGGATTTAATAGTAACTGGGTAACCTTAATCAGTAGTCAGAATTATCAACACTTTGCTTTATTTGACACAACCAGACTTTCTCAGTTCCTGTTCTGTATCTAGAGCAACGTCTTCATACTGTTTTTTCACAAAATTTTTATTTAAAACAGTTGTGACAGCCGAAGGATTTTTTTTTTTTTTTTTACAAAATTAAAATGAAATAACTTGTACAACTGGTGCGTACCATGGCTCCAGCCAGATGCCCAAAGCACTGGCTATTAATTCCTGGAGTTCAGATGGTCAGTTGAGTCTATCCTAGTTTTTTGCTTCACTTGTTCAATCATGGAACTTTCTAGAACGCTGCCACTCTTCAAAGGCTTCTCAATTTCAAATTTGAAAACTTAATTCTCTCCCTCTTAGTTTCAAAGTTGTTACAGTGTTATCTATGTGAAGTATGTGGAAAGTTGGGGGCTGGGGATTTTCCTCCAGGCAGATTAAGAAACAGCTCTCCGGGTCGGGCGCTGTGGCTCAGGCCTGTAATCCCAGCACTTTGGGAGGCTGAGGCAGGAGAATCGCTCGAACCCGGGAGGCGGAGGTTGCAGTGAGCTGAGATCATGCCATTGCACTCCGGGGCCTGGGCGACAGAGCCAGACGCTGTCTCAAAAAAAAAAAAAAAAAAAAGGCACGGTGACTCACACCTGTAATCCCAGCACTTTGGGAGGCCAAGGTGGAGGGATCATGAGGTCAGGAGTTTGAGGCCAGTCTGGCCAATACAGTGAAACCCCATCTCTACTAAAAATAAAAAAAATTAACTGGGCATGGTGGCGGGCGCCTGTAATCCCAGCTACTTGGGAGGCTGAGGCAGGAGAACCACGTGAACCTGGGAGGAACCCCGGAGGTGGAGGTTGCAGTGAGCCGAGATCGTGCCACTGCACTTAAGCCCAGGTGACAGTGTGAGACTCTGTCTCAAACAAAATAAATACCTCTCTAGTGAGGTGGCTCACGCCTGTAATCCCAGCACTTTGGGAGGCCAAGGCGGGCTGATCACTTGAGGACAGAAGTTTGAGACCAGCCTGGCCAACACGGTTAAACGCCACTACTGGTGGCGGGCACTAGTAGTCCCAGCTATTCAGGAGGCTGAGGCAGGAGAATTGCTTGAACCCAGGAGGTGGAGGTTGCAGTGAGCCAAGATCATGCCACTGCACTCCAGTCTGGGTGACAGAGCGAGACTTCCTCTCAAAAAAAAAAAAAAAAAGGCCAGGGGCGGTGGCTTATGCCTGTAATCCCAGCACTTTGGGAGCCCAAGGCGGGCAGATCACCCGAAGTCAGGAATTTGAGACCAGCTTGGCCAACATGGTGAAACCCCGTCTCTACTAAAAATACAAAAATTAGCTGGGTATGGGGTCACGCGCCTGTAGTCCCAGATTGCAGTGAGCCAAAATCACACCACTGCACTCCAGCCTGGCGACAGAGCGAGACTCCATCTCAAAAAAAAACACCTCCGAAAATTTGGTGTCCTTTACTAATAATTCTTGGGAAGTAGAAAAAGGATATACGTAGCAAGCTTTTGTTCCCACACTATACTTGGTTTCTAATTTGCAGTTCCCTTCTTGACCTGCATAGAATAATAGTTATTTTCCATTGGGAAATGAGAAATCTTCAACATTGAGGTAAGTTAGGATTTTTTTTTTTTTAAGAGGTGGGGTCTCACTCTATTGCCCAGGCTGCAGTGCAGTGGGACTATCACGGTTCACTGCAACCTTGAACTCCTGTGCTCAAGCAATACTCCCACCTCAACCTCCAAAGTAGCTGGTACTACAGGTACCTCACCATGCCTTGTGTTTTGTTTTGTTTTGTTCATAGAGATGGGGTCTTGCTATATTGCCCAGGCTTGTCTATTTAGCAGGAGCTCTAGGCAGCCAGATGTTGAGAGTGTCTTCATTTTTCCATTACATGACAGTAGACTGCTTATTATGTATCATGAACTGTTAGATAATGGAATTATAAAGAGATCATTCTTCCCCTTAAGAAACTCAAAAAAAGAGGCCGGGTGCGGTGGCTCACGCCTGTAATCCCAGCACTTTGGGAGGCCAAGGCGGGCGGATCACAATGTCAGGAGTTCAAGGCCCGCCTGGCCAATATGGTGAAGCTCCGTCTCTAGTAAAAATATAAAAATTAGCCAGGTGTGGTGGTGGACTCCTGTAGTCCCAGCTACTTGGGAGGCTGAGGCAGAAGAATTGCTTAAACCCGGGAGGCCGAGGTTGCAGTGAGCTGAGATTGGGCCCCTGCACTCCAGCCTGGGAGACAGAGCAAGACTCTGTCTCAAAAAAAAAGAAAAAAAAAAGAAACTCAAAAAAAGATTGGGGAATAGTTCAAAAGAAACATGACAACTAACTACACATGTCAAAAAGCTATAAAGGACATGGGGACATTTGCGGAAATTTATGGATTGTATGTTACTACTGTATCGATGTTAAATTTCTTGAGTATTATACCTTGTTTTTAGGAGATGCATGCTAAAGAATTTATGCATAACGAATCCCATAATGAGAATGCAAATGTGGCTAGATGTTAAAGTTTGTGATCTAGCTGGGTGCAGTGGCTCATGCCTGTAATCCCAGCACTTTGGGAGGCTAAGGCAGGCAGATTGCTTAAACCCAGGAGTTTGAGACCAGCCCAGGCAATATGGTGAAACTCCATCTCTATAAAACATAAAAAAAATTAGCTTGGCATAGTAGCACGTGCCTGTGGTCCCAGCCACTGGGGAGGCTGAGGTGGGAGAAACGCTTGAGCTTACGAAGTCGAGGTTGCAGTGAGCTGAAATTGTGCCACTGCACTCCAGCCCAGGCAACAGAGTGAGACCCTATCTTAACAAAAAAAGAAACACACACACACACAAAGTTTACAATCTAGTAAGAGTCATAGACATGGACAGAAATAATTAGAAGGCACTGTACAAAGCATTGTAGGGTTGGGAAAAAGCAGGGTGACAACTTCTAGACGTAGAGGGTGGTAAAGAAGGCTTCATAAGAAATGTGAGGTTGGACCTTAAAACATGAGTAACGAGGCTGGGCACGGTGGCTCATACCTGTAATCCCAGCACTTGGAGAGGCTGAGGTGGGTAGATCACCCGAGGTCACCAGTGTGGCCAACATGGTAAAACCCCATCTCTACTAAAAACACAAAAATTTGATGAGCGTGATGGTGCACACCTGTAATCCTAGCTTCTTGGGGGGCTGAGGCCGGAGAATCACTTGAGCCCGGGAGGTGGAGGCTGCAGTGATCCGAGATCATGCCACTGCACTCCAGCCTGGGCAACAGAACGAGACTCAAAAAAAAAGATGAGTAAGAAACACGTACCAAAGCATGGAATTGGGAAAGACCCTCTGGGTGTATGGAGATGGGAGAAGCAGGGATGGACTGTGTAGGTAATTTTCTTATTCCATCTTCCTTCCCTGCCTTCTTTCTCTGCTCGCCGCTCTTGGTCAGTGAATACTGTATGACTTCAGTTTTTCCCATCTCAGGCCTTATATAAAAATATTAGAGCCAGGCGTGGCGGCTCATGCCTGTAATCCCAGCACTTTGGGAGGCCGAGGCAAGCAGATCACCTGAGGTCAGGAGTTCGAGGATAGCCTGGCCAACATGGCGAAACCCCATCTCTACTAAAAATACAAAAAAATTAGCTGGGCGTGGTGGCTTATTCCTGTAGTCCCAGCTACTCGGGAGGCTGAGGCACCAGAATCACTTGAACCCGGGAGGCAGAGGCTGCAGTGAGTCATGATCACGCCACTGCACTCCAGCCTGGGTGACAGAGCGAGACTCCATCTCAAAAAAAAAAAAAAAAAAAATTTGGCCAGGCACAGTTGTACGTACCTATAGTCCCAGATATTCTGGAGGCTAAGGCAGAAGAATCACTTGAGCCCCGGAGTTCAGGGCTATAGTGTGCTACGTTGATCTGGTGTTCACGCTAAGTTCTGCATCAATATGGTGACTTCCTGGGAGTGGGGGACCATCAGGTTGCCCAAGTAGGGGTGAACCTGCCTAGGTTGGAAATAGAGCTGGTTAAAACTCCTGTGCTCCTCAGTAGTAGAATTGCACCTGTGAATAGCCACTGCTCTCCAGCATGGGCAACATAACAAGACCCTGCCTCTTAAGATAAAATTTGGAAAACACTGATAGGAAAAAAAGGCTCTTTGGTCTAAATAAGTCTGGACTGGGTATAAATGACACACAACTGGATGGACTGTGTTTAGGAAGTAGAAAAGACTCAATTGCTTCCTGTATCATGTTAAAGTGGTGACCCTAAACACACAATCTCAGGATCATAGCCATCTTTGGATCTAGACTGAAGGAGTTGGCATTGGCAGGCCTGGTTTGAATAAAGTTGCTCTTTTAAGAGCATCACCTAAGGTAGGTCACTGGAGCCTCACTGGTCCTTCACCCTCTAGGTTTTACATAGTCAGGGAAAGGAACCAAGGTTTTGCCTAAGAGCACTATGCTGTCTGCAGAACAGAATTTTAATAAGAGCTTCCAAAAGTTATTTAACTGGAACCCTAAGATACTGAATGGTGGCTTCCACTCTCCCTGATCCTGTTCCCGTGGGAGACTCAACTATTGCTATTCCCATCCTGATTCAAAAAACCAGTTTGCTCTAGCTGCCCAGACTTCCCCACAGGCTGCATTCTTGCCCATGAGCTCATTGTTTTGGCTTCTTTGCCTGTATAAGTCTACTGCCAGTGCCAGAGGTCTCAGCCCGGGGCCCCCTAACTAGCTGGGGCTGCATTCCATTCAGAATTTCACCACCCCCACTTGGTGTTCTTCCCGCCCTCATGTGGTCACATGTGTATGTTTACTCAAGTTAGCCTGGGACAAGGTGTGCTGGGATAGAGAGCCAAAGAAGCAGAGAAGGAAAAGAATGTTTAACTGTTAGGTTTCATCCTGGATTAGATTTCAGTAAAAATGCTTTCAGTTCTGTGCCCTAAAAAATGTTAATTTTCTTGTCTGGTAGGAGGAGCTGGTTTTGAAAATTTTGCTATACATTTCATAGTCTACCCTACTGGGCTGGTTATGACTCTCAGGTATTCAGATTTGAAGGCGAGAATGCGGTTAATTCTCCCTGGGAAACACCGCATTCACATGCATTTTATTCCTGAAGCTCCTATGCCCAGATCTATCAGGCCTGCCTTTCTCAGCTCACAACGCCATCCTTTAGGTTGCCTGGAGCAGTTCCCACCGTCTCCGGCCCTTGGTGGAAATGGGGGGAGGGGAGACAGCTGGCCTGCTGCAAGGGAGCAGCTGTTCGGTTTCACTGCTTTGTTACTGAACTTTCCTGAGGGGAGGATACCTTGTTTATTTCCTTTTGCATGAGAGCCCAAATCTAAGGAAAGTGGGGCACACACCTCAGGTGAAGGGCTATGGGAAGAGCATTTCTCTTACTTTGCAGAGTTTTGGATTAATACTAGATGCTTAAGCGGTATACTCCTTTCCTCCACCCCCCTCTTCTTCATCTGTAAAAACAAAACCAAAAAACAAAACTGCAGGCTGCGGCTGTGGGAGGTGACTTTTTTTCATTTCTCAGAAATCCCTCATGAGGCAAAGCAGAGAAACAGAAAGAGGGAAACAACTTTGTGTCAAAATGAGGTTGTGTGTGTGTGTTTTGAAATGAGGTGGCTTGTTGTCAGCTTTAAGGAACAACAGCTCTGCAGAGGAGCCTGGTGATGGCGGGGAGGAGTGCTGGGCTACCTGCTTCCTTGCCCCTTGCCCCACTTCAAAGCTGGGTAGTTGGGGTCAGGTATGAAACAGGATGGAAGTCGCTGTATCTTCCTTTCCCCATCATGAACCATGAAAGATGTATCAGTGCTACTGTATGAAAGAAAAATTTGACCAGTCGCGGTGGCTCATGCCTGTAATCCCAGCACTTTGAGAGGCCAAGGCGGGTGGATCACCTGAGGTCAGGAGTTTGAGACCAGCCTGACCAACATGGCAAAACTCTCTCTACTAAAAATGGGGGTGGTGGTGTGCACCTGTGGTCCCAGCTACTTAGGAGGCTGAGGCATGAGAATTGCTTGAACCTGGGATGCAGAGGTTGCAGTGATCCTAGATCGTGCCACTGCACTCCAGCCTGGGCCAGTGAGACTATGTCTCAAAAAAAAACTTAGTAAATGCTTGTGGCTTACCATTATACATAAGCCTATGTTTGCAAGACAGTGTACCTTAAACAAAGACCAGGAATACTGTCATTTCCTGGACCCAGGAAAATTGGCCAGGCGCAGTTGCACGCGCTTGTAGTCCCAGATATTCTGGAGGCTAAGGCAGAAGAATCACTTGAGCCCTGGAGTTCAGGGCTATAGTGCGCTATGTTGATCTGGTGTTCATGCTAAGTTCCGCATCAATATGGTGACTTCTTGGGAGTGGGGGACCACCAGGTTGCCTAAGGAGGGGTGAACCTGCCTACGTTGGAAATAGAGCTGGTCAAAACTCCTGTGCTCATCAGTAGTAGAATTGCACCTGTGAATAGCCACCGCCCTCCAGCATGGGCAACATAGCAAGACCCTGCCTCTTAAGATAAAAATTGGAAAACACTGGTAGGAAAAAAAGGCTGTTTGGTCTAAATAAGTCTGGATTGGGTATAAATGACACAAAACTATCATGAATTTGAAAGCATTTCTAATTTCTTGAAAGTCTGAAAAAGTTTAAACAGAATTTTAGCTGAAAAGTCCTGAAAGACATTTGAAAAAAAACAGCAAGAACACTTAAAACTATTCAAGGTTTGGGCTGGGCACAGTGGCTCATGCCTGTAATCCCAGCACTTTGGGAGGCCAAGGCAGGCAGATCACTTGAGGCCAGGAGCTCAAGACCAGCCTGGCCAACATGGCGAAACCCCTTCTCTATTAAAAATACAAAAATTAGCCAGGCATGATGGTGCGTGCCTGTAGTCCCAGCTACTCAGGAGGCTGAGGCAGGAGAATCACTTGAAGCCAGGAGGTTGCAGTGATCCGAAATTGCACCACTGCACTCCAGCCTGGGTGACCAAGCGAGACTCTGTCTCAAAACAAAACAAAACAAAACAAAACAAAAAACTATTCAAGGTTTGGATCATTGAGGCCAAAATTATTTTGATAACAAGATGCCCCGTGTGAATGAAACTGAGTAATAGAAGGCTCATGGCCAGTAGTCGTAGCTACTAGGGAGACTGAGGCAGGAGGATCACTTGAGCCTAGGAAGTTGAGGCTGCAGTGAGCTGTGATTGTGCCACTGCATTTCAGCCTGATGACACAGCAAGACCCTGTCTCAAAAAAAAAAAAAAAAAAAAGAGAAAAGAAGGAAGCCAGGCACCCCATAGGCCCAGCTATTCAAGAAGCTGAGGCGGGAGGATTGCTTGAGCTTAGGAGTTCAAGTCTAGCCTAGGCAACATAGTGAGACCCTGTCTCTTAAAAATATACATATAATTTTTAAAAATTCTTTTATTTTTACATAAATGGAAACAGGGTCTCACTGTGTTGGCCAGGATGGTCTTCAACTCCTGGACTTAGGTGATCTCCCTGCCTTGGCCTCTCTTAAAGTGCTGGGATTACAGGCGTGAGCCACCGTGTCTAACCAAAAATAAATTTTTAAAAGTGTTTTTGGCCAGGCGTGGTGCCTGTAATGCCAACACTTCGGGAGGCCGAGGCGAGTGGATCACTTGAGGTCAGGAGTTCGAGACCACCCTGACCAACATGGTGAAACCCTGTCTCTATTAAAAATACAACATTAGCCAGGCGTGGTGACACATGCCTGTAGTCCCAGCTACTTGGGAGGCTGAGTGAGTAGAATTGCTTGAACCCGGGAGGCGGAGGTTGCAGTGAGCCGAGATCACACCATTGCACCCCAGCCTGGGCAACAAGAGCAAAACTCCATCTAAAAAAAAAAAAAAAAGTGAAGAAACTAGATCTGAAGCCTTAATTTTCTCCCCTATAAACAGGACTTAACGATACTGTCAGCTATCTTATTACCGCAAAGATTTAAAGAGAGACTATTGATACACGTGCTTTGTGCTTTTACCTTAAAGCACTACACAAATAGAAGGAGTTTCAGGACTGTCCCTTAAGGGTTTACTCTATTAACCATTTTCAAGTCCTTAAATTCCCTAGGAGAAGCAATTAAGAACCAGGCATCAGTAGAGTATGTTGAATTAAAAGGTTCTACAGCTGTATTTTGAGGCCTGGAAGAGACACAAACAGGACTTTCTATGGCTAGGCAGAGCAGAAGTCACCAGTTAGGAAAAATCCCCAGGGTCAGAAACCACCTCCCTGCCAAATTTGCCCTGCTGCCTGTTTTTGTATGGCCCACAAGCTAAGAATCATTTTGGTATTTTTAAATGGTTGAAAAAAATGGGCCGGGCACAGTGGCTCATGCCTGTAATTCCAGCACTTTGGGAGGCTGAGGTGGGAGAACTGCTTGAGCCTAGTAGTTCAGGACCAGCCTGGGCAACACAGTGAGACCTTGTCTCTACAAAAAAAAATTTTTTAATTAGCTGGGTGTGGTGACCTGCACCTGTGGTCCCAGCTACTTGGGAGGCTGAGGCAGGAGGATGGCTAGAGCCCTGGAGGTCAAAACTGCAGTGAGCTATGATTGCGCCCCACCCCCGCACTCTACCCTGGGCAACAAAGCAAGATCCTGTCTCAAAAAAAAAAAAAGAAAAATTTAAAACTTTAGTGTCACAAGTCTGATTGGAACACAGCTACGCCCATTTGTTTACTTATTGTCTATGGCTGCTTTGTGCTGCTACAGTAGAGAAGCTGCAACAGAGATGATAGGTCCTGCAAAGCCTAACATATTTATCATCTACTCCTGTAGAGAAAAAGTTTGCCCAACCCTCTACTAAAGCTAAAGAGGAGTCTCATTTTGTGATGAAAGAGGCAGGCAACCAATAGTCAACAGTAAGGAGGAGAGGAATGTAGCGATGGGAGAGAGGAAGGGTGACCTTGTTCCAGGGGAGATGATCTCTGCCTGTCTCATCAAGGGGAGGGCCTTTTAGCCTAGGGATCCCAGGGGTACAGTCTGCTCCTTTTTTTATAATCCCACCCTCTTTCCCCCAGTTTCTTTTCCTCTTCACTCAAAGTTCAGTGGAGCTATCTCAAGAGATTCAGGTAAGGCTCAGAAGAGTACAGCACACAAACATGCCGACCCAACCTAGCCTTCCTCCCCCAGCACAGGGCTCTTCCCAGGCCTCTCAGCACAGCTCTCCAGTGCTCACAGGAGAAATGCTCTGCTCTGGCCAGCTTCCAGCCAACTCTGCACCTCCCCTTCAGCTGGCAGAGCTGATGGCTCCCTGGCATCTGACTGCCATATCTCGTGCATACCTTGTTTTGGACTAATCTTATACATTCCTCCCTCAAATCCTTTCTTCCTTCAGACTCAGCCCTGAAACACCCTCTTGAGTTTTCCCAGTCTCCTAGGTCAGGAAGCCCAAAAGTCAGATTCAGGGTTTATGCTGGCTACTTTGAGGTTAACCCAAACTTTTTCTGTCTCTTGTTGACAGACTTAGACTTAGGTACTTTCCTGAGGCTTTCTACTTCCTTTAGACGGTGTCTCTGCCCTTTAAAGCTGACAGCTCTTCATCACCTACCTGTGGCAAACCACCTCTACTTGAAACACACACCTCCCCAAACCATAATTTCTACGGTAGCATGATTCTCCATGGTTCAAAGAGAGGAGAGGGCTTCCTGGGTCAGTTTACTCTGGTGGGGAAGATGCTAACATGAAGTCTCTATTTGTAAACCTGGGGACAAGGGGAGAGCAAGGAATGAGAGAGGGTCTGGCTGGAGAGAATCTGGAGGGAGGCTCTCCTGGCATCTTGTTCTCTCTACACCCCACCACCCTCCATGTCCATCTAGAGTCTCCCACCAGAGCTCTTCTCTTACAGGTTTCCTGGGAGAAGGTGGCTTAAGGCTGAGACACTTATGCCCTGGGCCAGCCACTGGATTCCTGTGCTCTGCTTCACTCCTAGTTACCAGAAAGGTGGAATCTGGATGAGTGGAGGTGAGGAGAAGGTTCAAACTCTCCACCAGACCCATGCTGCAGCTGTGAGCACCTGCTTACAGGGAGGCCTGGGGGTTGGGGAAGTCCAGGAGCTAAATTTAGTCCAAAAGCTGCAACTTAAATTGGGTGGGTATTTACCCTGGGGAAGCTGGGAGGGGGAGGGGAGAGGAATCCTGACCCAGCTGAACTTGTGAGAGCACAGATCACCCCTAGTGTCACTGATACTCAAACCACAACCCCCTCCCCCAGCACACCCTCAGAAAGGAGGCATCCTCAACAATTTGCAGGCCTTTTGCATGCTTGATCTCTCTTGTGCATATCAAGTTTGTTCCTATCACCACCCCACCCTCATCTCAATTCTCAGGGGTCCAGTTCCTCTGAGTCCTTCCCTAAATTCCCACTAGTGCACCAAACCCAGGGGCCCTCCCCACATTCCTCTGCCCTCAGGCTGCAGCTTCTGCTCTCCCAAGTCCCCCCAGAGGGTTTCAGAGGTCAGCGAACAGGTGTCTGGCCACACTACTCCCCTCTACGGGGCCAAGAAAAGGGATTGCTTGGGGTCGGGTTCCCTTTCCTGAGAACTTCCGCATTGACCCCATAATGACCTCAGTGACCAGAGGAAGGAATCCTTAGGGGCTGCACTGAGTCCTAGCTCTAAAATAAGAGGGGAAAGGGAGCAGACCCCCAGAGGAGAGCCCACCTCCTGAGAGGTCAGAGGCTGGAGGCCGAGAGGGAGCTCATGGGCGGGCAGAAAGAGAAAGGGGGTGCTGAAGCCGGGGAGCCCTGCGAGGGGCTGCGACCGCACCTCCACCTGCGATTGGTTCTCAGGCTCAGGGCAAACGCCAAACCTGCCCAGCAACAGCCCTGAGCAGAGGGAGGGGAGCTTCGGGGAAGTCAGCTGAGCCGGCACCGCCCAGCTCTGGGCTTCCAGGAATCGCT
This sequence comes from Homo sapiens, assembly GCF_000001405.40. Classification (NCBI taxonomy): domain Eukaryota; kingdom Metazoa; phylum Chordata; class Mammalia; order Primates; family Hominidae; genus Homo; species Homo sapiens. The sequence continues at coordinate 150,562,165 of NC_000001.11, read as the reverse complement.
GGGAGGGCCCCAGCCTCCACCCCACCCCTCCCTGGGTCTCAGGACTCTGCCTTCGGCCTTCTATACCTACTGGGCGGGCTCGGATCCCGTTTCCCTGGCCCCCCACATCTGTGATTCCCTGCTGAGGCCTCTTTAGGCTCAGCAGAGACGTTGGAACTGGGCTTTCCTTGTGGCCCCCTTTCCTCGCTCCCTGCCCTGGGCTGACGTCAGTTTTATCTTCCTTCTCCATTCCCTTTTGCCTCCTTCCCCACTCGCTCTCCTCTTAAGATGTCCAAATTCTTCCTTCTCAGCCACTTTCAACCCAGAGAAAGCCCGAGTCCCAAAGCAACAGGAAGATGTGCGGGGGACCGCGAGTGTGGGGACATCCTGCCGCCTCGGGCAACTCTGTCGTCCCCCACAGGGTTCAGGTGCTCAGAAAACAGCAGCCACTGAGTTCACTGTTTCCGCAGGCCCCGTATTCCCGGCCGTGCTCAGCTGGGCTTGTGGAGTCGCGAGCGGGGGCGCTCCTGCGGCACCGCCCCTCCTGGGCAGCCCGGCTTCCAGGAGAGACTCGGCCTCAGTCTCCGAATGGCAGGGGTCTGGGAGAGGATGTGATGGCAAAGGCCTGCCCCTCTCAGGCCGCCTCTAGCAAGTTCTCTACCTTGAGAGAAGCGAGTAGGAGGAGGAAGGAGGCCAGGCTGAGCCATCTCTGAGGAATGTGGCTTTGGCAGGACATCCAGTGCTGCCCCGCTCCTCCCTCAGCCCCGCCCAGGGCCCTGGAGCCGGGCCGGGCTCCTCCTCCTCCAGGGGAAGGGCTCGGGGCAGGAATCCCTTCCCTTTCCCCACCCCAGAAGAAGCCCCAGAGCGTAGGGATATGCGTACGGCAGAAAGGGAGACAGAAGGCAGGGCTAGAGAAAGGGAACAGGAAAAAAGAGCTTCGACAAGCCAACTGCCCTTCGCTCAGGCCCCAGCGGAAAGGCGCAGATACCCGGAGACTTCCCAGAGAGACTCGACCCACCAAAAAGCGCACCGCGGCCGCGCAGCCCTTCCTTCAGCTCTGGAACCCAGCGCCCCACACCTCAAATGGGAGAACTGGTGACCTCTAGTGGCCCATGACCAGCCTGCAGGGCCTGGGGCTGGCGGGGATTCTCTGACCCAAACTCTCCTGGGCTCTAATGCTGTTCCCCTGCCCACCCTACCTTCTGCCTTCACACTGCTGAGGGGTCCATAGCCGACAAGGAAGAGCTCATTTCTCATTTGTCATGACCATCTTTAATAAAAAATAAATTAGTTCTGGGTGGGAACCATTTCAGGAGGCAGGGAGTGGGGCTAGGGGCTGGGCGGGGTGGTGGGGGAGCGGATGCTCACATTTCTCTTTTTCACCCTCTGCCCAGCTGGGCCTTGCTCTGGAGAGGCAGTCTCTTTCCTCCTGCCTTCCTGAGTAAGGCAGGATTGGCAGTGGCTGACCCCAGCCCTAGCTAATTAGGGAGGCAGGGGCAGAGATACTAGGCAAATGAGAAGGGGTCAGAGACACAGGGCGGCTTAGAAGATGTGAGGTCTGAACATGAGAAATGAGGCTTAGGGCACAAAACTGGAGTTGGTGGGGAGACCACACTCTAAGTAGCTCAGATTAGCAAGGAACTGCAGACTTGCTTTCCTTTCCACCTAGGAAAGTCTCAAGGAAACAGGTCTTGTCCTTCTCAGTCTGTGTAACCTCTTTTTGAAAAGTGATACACGTTTGAGCACACACATATCCATGCAGTCCCAAAAGCACACCTGAGGCATATGTGCACACACCCATCACACCACCACATGGGCCTGACCACAGCCCTGAAAGTCACTTTGTGTCAGTCACCTTGCCACCCTCTGTCACCTGGAGGACATCCCTGCTGAGACTGGGACAGGCTGGAGAGCCAGGGGGTTCAGAGTGGGCCGATCAATGGGTGACCGATGGTGGCACAGAAAACCGTGAAGGTGCCCCGGACCCCTTTCAGGAGGGATCCTGGGGAGACCGCTCCAGGACATGTGCGCAAGAGCGGCAACAGGTGGCTGTGTAGTAGGGGTAGACGCAGAGCCGGGCCTGTACCACCAGGGGGCAATGTGGAGAGCTGTCCTTGCATTGATCATCTGGGGACAGAGGAGGCCAGTGGGCACAAGAGAGTCACCAGGACCCACCCGTCTGGGAATGGGTGTGCTGCCCATTCCCACTGGTCCTTTCTCATCTCCTCCCATACTTCAGCTAATCCACTGTATTGGGGATTGGGGAGAGGGGGCTCTTTACCAGGGCGCTGGCTGCAGGGTTGGCTGTTACAGGGGCGCTTCCTGGAGGGCCGCAGTTGAGGAGGGCATCGGGTGCTGAGGGTCTGGTTGGTGCTCAGGCACTGGACCTCCCGTGTCTGCGTTCCCCCTTGGCAGGAGCGAGAACACTGGGGCGACCCCAGCCATCATATCAGACCTTTGCCAGGCCCGGGATTCTCCTTAACCCCTGGCTGCCACCTCTCTCCCCAAAAGGTGGTGGTGGGGACCCTCCTAGGACATTGTGAAATCCCAAATGGAGAGGGCCCATCTTTCCTCCAAGTCTATAAGAAGTAGGACAGTGGTAACGCTTGGCTGGGCTTATTCTGGGGCACAGAGAGACCTGGAGGGGGTACAGCGAGAGGAGCTCCCCTCCCCTAGGGGCCCAGGCTGAGCAGGGCAGGACAGCGCAGCCAGACACTCACTGGGCTCCAGGGCGTGGAAAACCATCGGTCCTGGCAGGCCTGCCCTTGACAGGGCTGCAGGGCAGGGGGCCTGGGGAGGTGAGAACAGTTGCTCGGAGAAGTCACGTTGAACTCCGTCCCCAGTTTGGATACACAGATGATGTCTCTACGCTGTGTGCCAGAGCCACATTCGGAGGAGCACTAGTGTAGGGGGAGGGCAGGGTGATGAGGGGAGGGGAGGACAGAGAGCACCCCAAGTGCCCACAAGGAATCCCACTGGGACTGGCACCCCCTTCCTGCTCTCAGCAGGCGCTCAGCTTACCTCACCCCAGGGCCCTGTGTACCAGCGCCAAGTTCTCTCACAGGGCCCCAGGCTGCAGGCGCGCATGTCAGGGGGCCGGCTTCCTGTTGGACAGCTCTGCCCAGTTCCTGCTCCTGCTTCCCCCTGGCCTGGCCCGAGGGCTGCCCCACTCCCAAGGCAGACCACAGAGCGCCGCTGGATTCCCGTCCCACACTCGGCTGAGCACTGCGGAGGAGGAGAGCGGCCTGTGTGAGGGGCCTGCTGGTGACTGGCACAAGGGACAGTAGGGGGGCAGGGAGGGACGCATCCTGGGTCCGAATCCTGGGTGGTTGGGAATGTCCCCGGGTACCAGGCCCGGACGAGGAATCCTAGCCGGGCCCCTCATGGAAGTTGTTCTCACTTATCTCTGAGTTCCCAGGGTCAGGCATATAGCAGGCGCTTGATCAATACAAGTTTATTGAGCTATGCTGGAAAGGCTGAGGTGTCCTGGGCGTGGTTACCCAGGATGCAGGATATGGCTGGGGGTTCCGGGCTCACCTTGGAGCTCCAGTCGCTGTGGAACCAGGCAGTAGTACAGGGCCCCATGTCACAGGCCTCTCTGCTGGGGGGCTGCGGGGGGCCTGACGCACACTCCTGCTCGCTCACTTCATCACCATTGTTCCCAACACAGCGAACCTGCCGGCTTCTCTGGCCCCGGCCGCACCGCACGGAGCACTGAGGGGGCGAGGGGAATCCAGGGAGCTGGGCTTCCCAGACCTTCTCAGCCAGCTTCCAGCTCTAGGCTTCAGAACCAGGCTCTGCCTTCGATCCCCAGCCCAGCAGTCACATGGCTTCGTGGGCTGAGGAGGAGGCTGAGCCCTAGGGCCCTGGGCCCCCAGTCCCTGGTTCAGTCCCTTATCTGACTTCTATATTGGGGGTCCATATGAAACCCTGTTTGTAAATAGTTTCTGCTGATGAAAAAGAAGTTGAAAAACCACTGCTGTTGTTCACCTGTGCCCATTCCCCTCCCCAGCACCTCCTTGCCTGGGCAAACTCACCTGGCTCCAAGGAGAGCCAACTTCCCAATGGCCACAGAGGCGCAGCTGGCAAGACTGGGTGATGTTGGGCCGGGGGAGATGTCCACAGCGCTCCGGGGGCACCGAGGAGCCACCCCCCCCAAATTCCTGCCGGCACTGCAGCTGGCGGTGCTGGGTGCCGGGGCCACAGGAGCGGCTGCAGGATGTCCACTCGCCAGCCTCCCAGCTGCAGGCACCAGCAGGGCAGGGAAGAGGCGGAGACATAGATGAGATGTGTGGGGCTGCCGTGGCAGCAGAGATGGAAGACACACTGGACGTGGGGGCCTCAGAGGAGAGTGGGCACGTTTGGCGTTTGGAGTCTGGGTTCCTGGGGGGCTCAGCCTGCCATGGCTTTCTTGCTGCCTACCGAATGTCTGCCTTTCTAATCTAATGTTGTCTCTCTGCAGCCAGGAGATGTTGCGTTGAGTGCAGAGTTCAGGTAAGATTCTGGGGGCAACTGCTGTGTTTCCAGTACCCTAACCCTCCCCGTGGGCTCCCCCATACTCACTATGGGGGGCATGGGGTGCCGTGGCAGGGTTCAGGGGAGGCTGGGGGCCTGGCACCCGCGGCACAGCTGCGTTCATCCAGTTCCTCTCCCGACTCACGGGAGATGCAGAGGAAAATGGGGCGCCAGACACCTGAGTGGGTGAGAAGGCAGCCAGGGAGGCAGGAGGCTAGAGCCCAAGCTCAGTGGTGTCCCAGACGCAGGGTCGGGCGTGGCCCCACAATCCAGGATGCGGGAGTGTCAGTTGGGGGGTTTGGACCGAGATGCGGGGAACGCACTGTGATGTCTCACCTTTCCCGCAGGACGCTGAGCATGCAGAGTGTCCCACTCGTTTCCAGTACGCAGCTGGAGACCCCAGGGGTGTCCTGGGATGGGGCGGGGCGGGCATCTGGGGGATCCGCACCTGACGCTGGAGGGTGCCTGGGGTCCGGGCTGGGCGGGGTGCCGGAGCAAGTGGGGGCTCCACCCTCAGAATCTCTGTGCAGGGGAGCAGGCGAATCAGATGCCACCCCACTGCCCCGAGCCAGCCCTGCAGCCTCTCCCTCCTCCTTCCAAGTGCAGGGGTCAGAGTCTTACCCGGCTGAAGCTGGGGGACAGGGGGCTCTGGGGTGGGGTTCTCAAGGATTGGAGGAGGTGAAGAGATGACATACTGATAAAAAACGCCTGGGTTTTCCTCCTGAAAGATCATCTGGGGAGAAGAGAAGATAATGAATATGTGGGGGTGGCCAGAAGAGGATGCCACCAGCTCTCTCTCCCATCTTGACAACCACAGCTCTGCCCAGAGGGAACAGCCTCCCTCCCCAGCATTCAGCTGCCCCTGGCCCCAGGCTCACATAGACATCCACAGGCTGGGTGGTGGGGCCTTCAGCCGACAGACTCTCCCCTTTGCCCTCCTCCCTGGGAGGACGGTTATATCGAAAGACGGTCCCGCCGGCCCTGTAGGACCCAGGGGGATCCACAGCCCAGTTCCCATTGATGATGGACCGGCCCCCAGGGCCACGAAGTGCTGCGGGTCAGAGGTGAGAGATCGGGAAATTCCAGGGTGATAATACCTTCCTCCTCCCACACCGTGTCCTTAGCCTATAGAAGCTCCCACCAGAACCTAAGATCCCCCCAAGCCCTCTCAGCTTCCTCACTCCTTCCACGAGGGGAGGGGCTAGGCCCTGGACTTCCCCCTGTTTGGCTTGCTCACTGCTCTGAGTAGGGGTATGGAGGGCCGAACAGAGACGGAAGTGGAAGGGGAGGCAGCTGGGTGCTCACCCAGGTAGTTGGAGCTAGGCCGGAGCTGGGCAATCTGGAGCCGCAAGGCTCCCGCTGGAATCCACAAGATCTTCTGATAGCCCAGGGGGCCCCCTCGGTCAGTGAGGTTCCCCGAAACAAGGCGACAGGTAGAATCATCACCCCCACAGACTCCACAGCCATCAGGACGCCTGCCAGAGCCAAGGATCCCATCACAGCCGGGGCTCTGGAGAGAGTGAGGTGAGGCAGTGGCCACAGAACGCCAGACACCACCTCAACCCCACCCCGGTCCCCTCGGGAGCCTCAGCTCACTACCCTGCTTTTTGTGCCACAAGTGAGAGCACAAAAACAGCCCCACCATCCCCAGCCAGACCCAGGGACATGGACAGGTGCCCGATCAGATCCTTCAGGCTCTGCTCAGCGCAGCTTGGCAGGTGAGAATTCTCCCTCAGTGATCTCAGTATGGTGTTTTGTTGTTGAATTGAGACTGTGCAAATACGTGTGTGTGCATGTGTGCATGTGTTCATGCATGTGTGTCTACATGTGTGTGCATGTGTCTGCATACGTGTGTGTGCATGTGTTCATGCACGTGTGCACATGTGCATGCATGTGTCTGCATATGCATGTGCATGTGTGTGCATATGCGTGTGTGTGCGTGTGTGTGTGTGCGTGTGTGCATGTGTCTGTGCGCATATGCGTGTGTGTATGTGCTTGCATGTGTGCATGTGTTCATACATATGTGTGTACATGTGTATGCATATGGGGGCATGTGTCTGTGTGCATATGCATGTGTGTGTGCACACACACACTGTCTTCCCTCACCAGACAGCGTCCAGCCACACAGATGTCAGGGGCTCCAGGCTGACACAGGGTCCCATCCTGGACCTTTTCAGTGTGACGGACATAGAAGCGGAAGCCACGGGGCCGGCAGTTCAGTTCACAGCGCTGGGAGCCCTGGACTAAGGGACAGGGTAGAAGGGTGGTTAGTGGGCTCCCTGGTGGGAGGTTAGCTGAGAGAGGCCCCAGAGGGGGCACCTTGAGGTTGCCCAGGTCACTGTGGATGAAGGAAATGTGACAACAGCACAAGCTGAGGTGGTCAGGGCCGGGCGCAGTGGCTCATGCCTGTAATCCCAGCACTCTGGGAGGCCGAGGTGGGTGCATCATTCGGTCAGGAGTTCAAGACCAGCCTGGCCAACGTGGTGAAACCCCATCTCCACTACAAATACAAAAATTAGCCAGGCGTGGTGGCACATGCCTGTAGTCCCAGCTACTCGGGAGGCTGAGGCAGGAGAATTGCTTGAACCCAGGAAGCAGAGGTTGCAGTGAGCTGAGATCGTGCCACTGTACTCCAGCCTGGGTGACAGAGTGAGACTCTGTCTCAGAAAAAAAAAAAAAAAGGTGGTCAGGTCAGTTGAGGTCACCGAGACCATCAAGGGGACTCTGAACTGAGAGAGGAGCAATCCCTGATGCCCATGATTCTGTGTGTTCAGAGCTCTTGAGTGCTTATCCCGGTGTCAAGTTAACACAGGCCTAAAATGAAGCGGATGGTAACCTGGGAGCAACCGATACGACAGTGCCCAGGATGCGTGGCACACCCCCACCTGGCTGTCACGGCTGGACAGGATCTCTCCCACCATGGCCCTCTTGTGTCACAGCCACCTGACCCCCAGTGATGGCCTTCCCAGGGGAGTCCGGACAAAGCGTGTCTCCCACACCTCCTCCTCCCACCCCGACCCTTCTGCAGACCACTCACCACCTGTGCTGTCTCCTGACCCAGCCCCAGGGAGAAGAAAGAAGGCATGGCGCAGGGGAAGCAGAGGGGCTGGAAGTCATTCAGGGCTGGGAGTAAGCAGGTATCTCCTCTCCCCTTCATCCCCAATTCCAAGCCACCACTGCCCAGGGGTGAGCAAGAAACCTCACCTTCAGTGAAGGGCTCCCACTGATACAGCTGGCCCATGAATTCCTGGGAGTTAAAGGCTGCGCACTGCAGGGCCCGGGGGTCTGGCTGCTCAGGGGGGCAGGGCTGCGGTGAGGGGTACAAAGGAGTCAGAGCTGGGGAGCAAAATGAGGGTAGGGGCAGGGCTGAACCTGGGGAGCAGGTGGGAGGCTCAGGTCAGCGGAAGAGCTCCAAGACCCCTGCCCTGAGGTGGTCAGATGCCAAGGCCCTTCTCCCTCAGGTGCCAAGCGGAAGCTGAAGACCCAGCTTCAGGGCAGGGAAGCCACACTGGAGGTCGGGGTTGGGAGGGGAGGCCCGAGGAGACTCACCGCTTGGCTGCAGGCTCTTAGCTGTTCACTCTCCCCAGAACATCTTGGAATAGGGCTACTGGGAGCAAAGAGGCTCCAGAGGGAGCTGGCATGGGGGCCGTTGCTCAGCAGGGGCAGCCAGGCGCCCGGGTGCTGAGGGTCAGGCTCCAGGCGGGGCCCGTGAGGAGTCCCCCCCGTTCCCCAAGGCCCTTGGCCCTGCTGGCCTCGGCCCCGAGGGACCGAAGGAAAAGGATCAGGGCGTCTCCCTGCTACCTGGGGACTGGCCCAACCCTGGGAACTTGGCCTTCGTGGCTGAGGGGATGCACGGAAGAAGCCACCTTCTCCTAAGGAGTGCGTGGGTGAGGGGGGCTCTGTGCCAGAGGCCTGGGCTCTGGGGTGATGCCGTAGGGGGGCAGGCCTGGTTCTGGGGGCCACCTCTGTCTGAGCAGTTTCAGGGCTTAGAGGTTCTGCTTGGGGGGATGGGGTGTGGACAGACAGTTCTGTGGGAGGGAGCTCAGTTTGGGGGCTGCCGTTTGCGGAGAATGGCTCTGCTCTTGGAGTAGGGGACGGAATAGCCTCTTCCCCTCTAGAAGAGATCAGGGACAGCTCAGATCTGGGTGGGCTCCGAGGGTGCCTGCGGTTCCGGTGCAGTGGCAATGCAAAGGGCACTCTCCCATAACCGAACATTCCTGGCTTGATGGGGTCTCGAAGCCGGGACCTGAGAAGGTGTTTCAGATGTGGGGGCACAGCTCTGACCACCTCTGACCCTGTTTCCCCAGTTTACTTCCTGGCACCAAAGACAAGCCCTCTGAAGCCACCCGTGCTCCCCTTTCCTTCATGCTAAGCCCCCACCTTGCCCAAGGCCCACCTCTTCCACCCAGGCCTCTCACCTCCTGGCCGCTCGAATCTCCTGGGTCTCCTCTCTCCCTAGGTGGGAAGCGGGACCTCGAAGTGGGCCACCCCTTCCCCGAGACTGTGTCCTGTACAAGGGGAGGGTTTCTGGAGAAGTCTGGGGTCTGGGACCCTGGCCCCGGGGGAGGAGGGCTTCTGGATGTCTTGGGGGCCGGGGAGGGAGGGGCAGACTCGGGTGGAGCTGCACTGTAGGGAGCTGACATGTCCGGCTCCTGCGCTGCACCCCCACCCCGCAGGGCTGGGAGCAAGAGGCCCACTGGACCCAAGGTCCCCAGACACCTTCGGGGCCCTGGCCCTCCTCTGTAGGTGTCTGAAGAGAGTGTCCGGACAACACCTATATAGAGAAAAAGGTCAGACAGAATTGGAAGGATTAGAGGGAACTGTCCAGAGTGTCCATGTAGACCAACACTGAGGCTCACGGAGTCGCTACCAGTCCAAGGTCACATTCAGCAGCAGAGGGAGAACTACACCTCGGCCTCTTGGTGTTATGAGGCAAGGAACTGGGGAGTTGGCAGGGGAGGTGGGTGGGCTGTGGGGAATGGAGGCGTGGCCTGGAGAGATGGGGTGGGAGCCTAGGGGGAGATGAAAGGGTGGCAGGCAGGCTGCAGCTGCTCACTTGTCCAGAACTCACCTCCTGATCCAAGCAGAGCTGAGGGAGGGACAGAAGCAGCAGCAGATACAGCCAGGGCCTGCAAACCAAAGGCCAGGGGAGGGACGTCAGACTGGAGCCAGAGGGGGTGTTGCAACACTGCCCTCCGCCCCCAGCCGGCTCCCATATCCTGACTACCAACTTCTCAGAAAGCAGAAGTTACTCATCACTTCCCCTGCCCCTCCCAGTGGTCCCCTTTCCCTCACTTCCAGACACAGAGCCATCCCAGCACCTCCCCTTTTCCTCCCCCCCAACCCGTGGCCCCTTCTCTCACCTGCCAGTCCAGTTCTCCATCGCTCCCCCTCTACTGCCCCAGGGGGAGGCAGGAGCGGACTGGTCACAAAAACTACGCAGGCATCTGGGCGTGGAGGGTGCTCTCTGCAGGGACAGAAGCCTGGTGGTTACCTCTCCAGTGTCCAGAGAGCTTGGGGCTGGGAGGACAGCTCAGAGAATATGGAGGAGGGGGTGAAACTGGTCCATCCCTTTAGGATCCTCAGGGTGGGAGCAGGGAGGATCACTGCCTTGTCCATCTGTAGAGGCTACATGGTCAGGGGCTGACCTCAGCCCTCCAACTAAGGCTCAGTCCCCACCTCTGGGCCCTGTAGGGGCTTCTTAGCTCCTCCCCAAATCCTACCTAGGGACTGTTTCTAAGCCGGCTCAGGCACACACAAAAGGCTTTTTTTTTTTTTTTGAGATGGAGATCTCACTCTGTCATCCAGGCTGGAGGGCAGTGGTGCCACCAAAGCTCATTGCAGCCTCAAACTCACAGGCTCTCCTTCCTCAGCCTCCTGAGTAGGTGGGACTACATGCGTGCACCACCACACCCAGCTAATTTTGGTATTTTTTGGTGGAGATGGGATCCAGCTAAATTGCACAGGCTGGTCTTGAACTCCAGGCCTCAAGCGCTTCTCCTGCCTTGGCCTCCCAAAGTGCTGGGATGACAGGTGTGAGCCACCGCACCCAGCCAGAGGGCTCCTTCTAAAATGGTTGTCATCTGCTCCCACTCCTGCCCTCCCAGAGGTGCCTAGAAAGTAGAGGAGGAAGGCTCCACTGAGGATGCGCCAGACACTCTCTCTGAGGACCCACCAGAAGCCCCTTCCTTGGGTCTTCCAGACACAAGACCTTCCCCAGTCATCTCTCTGTCCTACTTGCCTCCCGGCTTTCTCTTCCCTTCTTAGATAAGCTCTTTAGGGAACATCCAGGCACATCTCATACACTTTTTGGCCAAGGGATAAGCTAAATGGGTTGACGGTTTAATCTCTAGAGAAGAAGCCGGCAATGTAACACCCACTCTGGGTGCCAGCATCTGGAGTTGGTTCAGTGAGGGCTTGTTTCCTGTGCGTCTCTACCAGCTGGGGAAGCGGGAAGGAGAGGTGCAGCCGGGGCTGCCTCATGCCCCAGCCACAGGCCTCTCATTCTGAAGAGCCGGGAAGTCCATCTGAAGTTCAGCTTTGAACACTGGAGAAGTGAGGCTTGGAAGCCACCCCAGCCACCAAGCCTGACTCTCTTTGCCCCCTTCTTCTCACTTTGAGTCCTTCCCACCCCTGCTCCTCATCCCACTCTTAGTTCTGCTTTCCAGGAAAAAAAAAATCTGTTTCTGTTGGATCTGAAAGGCACCCGGGAGAGGAATCCAGGGAGCCCTCGCATTGCTGAGGTGGGCCAGCTCTGGGGCAGAAAATGACCAAGAGAAGGGTAGGAATGTGCCTGGGGGCAGACACTCAGCCCCACTGCCCTCCCTGAGACCTAGGGTTCGGAATTTGAGGGAGGGGTCAGAGTGGCTGAGCCAGAGCGGGCGCCTCAGGGATTGGGGTTGGGGTGGGGGTTGCCGATGGCCACTCCTTCCCCTGGCTGGGCCGGCCACTAAGGTCAGCAACTCCACCCTGACTGAACGGGGGAGGCCAGGATCTCCAGAGAAGGGCCCATGTTCCACCCAAGTCTTCAGGCTCTGCCTGACTCTTGTTACTCCAGCTGAGGGAAGAAGAAATGGGGTGATAGTCACTGCCTGCCCCTTCTCTGATGCCGACCCCTCTTCATGCCCTCTCTGCCTCTGCTTCTCTCTGCCACCGAGATCTCTTCTCGCAGCCCCTCTCCACGGGTCTACCCAGTACACATAATCCCATCCCGAGCTGGGTTTGGCTTTGGCAGTTCCCTGGAGAAGTGAGGGGTGGGGGTGACGTGAGCTCCCGGGGCCCGGGCCAGGCCTGGCTCCCTCTCTGGAAAAGTCCCACCCCACCCTCCCCTGCGCAGCCCGGCAGGGGCCCATGCCCCCTCCTCTGCAGAAACACACGCACATTTATGCTTCTCACCCCTTTCCATGTCCCTCATTTGGTGTCGTTCCCGGCCCAGGACGAGGAAAGGAGAGGTCAGAGGTGGTCACTCTGGTGCCAGAGTAGACCCTGGTCTGGACAAACGCGGGCTCCTCCTGGCCACACCTCTCCACACTGCCCAGTGAAGACCAAGGAACAGAGACCTGCGCAGGGCTCACCCCTTCACCCCCAGGTCTCCCTGCTGGAGAGTGGTTGGACCCTGTGTTTCTGGGCCTAGCCATGGAGAATCCCTGTCCTGAGTCCGAATTCCCGGGCCCTCAGAGCCCTCCACTCCTGGGTCTGGCAGGCCACCCCAACAGGTGTCTTTCTTTTTTGTCAACCTCTTCTGCCATCGGGCTGAGCTGGATCAAGGGCACCCACCTGCGTCCCTCGCGGCGACCCTGTCCTCCAAGTTCAGGAGTGCAGTGGGGGACACACCGTCCGAGAGCACCCTCCTAGAGAGAGGGCAGGAGGCACCGGCCGCGCGGGGAGGTCATGGGTCTGTTTTCCAACTTTACTATGTGACTTAGGAGGAATTTTGGTTCACTCCCCGCCCGGGTGATGGGGCCAGAGTTCCACGGGATCAGACTCCCTCCCCAGGAATTCGACCCCAGGGGCTGGAAGATTGTCCGAGGCCACCGGAGCTGGGTCCGGGGTCGTGGCGGGGTCGCGACCGCACAGCGCAGGGAGAGGGGACGACGCGGGCGCGCGGGGCGGGCGGTCTAACGGGACCCGGGAGAGGGGCGGCCGGGGCCGGGGTCCCGGGGAGGTCTCTACCTGCTCTGCGAGCCCCCGGTGGCCCGTTAACCCTTCTGCGCCCAGGCGCTCTCTCCAGGCAACCTCGCTCCGCGGCGGCCACTGGGGCCCCTGAGCCGCGCTCCGGTCACGGCCGCCTCGGCCGCAACTCCGCCCTCGCGCCCGCCCCCGCCCAGCCCCGCCCGCCACGCGCCCCAGCCCGCGCCCCTCGGCGGCCCCGGGGTGGGGCCGGTCTGCCTCGCAGCCCCACTCGCCAGGACCACCCACCCCGGGCTGCGCGCCGGGCGCCCCCCGACGGCTGCGTGAGCTGAAGCCCGGGCTGGCCCAGCCGGGGTCGGAGGCTGCAGTCGCTCCCGGGCGCTGTCCTCGTGCCCGGCCGAGACTAGGGACTTAAGCAGCCCGGGCTGGCCCAGCCGGGGTCAGAGGCTGCAGTCGCTCCCGGGCGCTGTCCTCGTGCCCGGCTGAGACTAGGGACTTAAGCAACCCGGGCCTCCGAGCCGCTCGGGTGAGCGGTGCGAACACGGCGCGGCGCGGCGCGGCACAGGCGGGGCAGCCTCCAGGGGCGCCTGGAGCGAGGCGGCCTGGGAGAGCCGCTGGTCCGGGAGGGAAGCGCCCTGGACGGAGGTACCCGCGGCCCCCGATCCGCGTGGGTCCAGGCTCTCCCCTCCACGCAGCCTCCCCTGCAAACTCAGTCACTCCTGCCTCTCCCGTGTTGGGCAGTGGTGGTTCAGATTGCTGGGACTTCTATGAGCTTCGGTTTTTTTCCTCAGTAAGGTTTTACACTCGGGACTCAGCGAAAGGACAGCGTGCTGACTTCTGAGTCAGACTGATCTGGATTTGAACCTCAGCTCCAGCTCTTGCCAGCTATGTGGTCTTCGACGAATACTTCCACCCCTGTGTGGTGCAGTTTGCTCATCTGCAAAATGGGACTAATCTAATATATATGATGGGCTTGGATATGTCTCTTTATGCATTTATACATGGAAGAATGCACCCCAAACTCAGTAGTATTGGTGACATCTGGGGAGGGATGCAGGGTTGGGGGAGGACTGAAAAAGGCTTTTGCTTTTTACTCTGCGTTATGTTTATTATTATTATATTATTATTTATTTATTTTTTTTGAGACGGAGTCTCACTCTGTCGTCCAGGCTGGAGTGCAGTGGTGCTATCTTGGCTCACTGCAAGCTCCGCCTCCCAGGTTCACGCCATTCTCCTGCCCTAGCCTCCTGAGTAGCTGGGACTACAGGCGTCTGCCACCACGCCCGGCTAATTTTTTGTATTTTTAGTAGAGACGGGGTTTCATCGTGTTAGCCAGAATGGTCTCGATCTCCTGACCTCGTGATCCGTCCGCCTCGGCCTCCCAAAGTGCTGGGATTACAGGCGTGAGCCACCGCACCCAGCTATGTAATGTTATTTTTGTGAATTTTTTTAACCACAAGAGCAATCCATCTATTAGTTTTATCTTTTTTTTTTCTTTTTTTTTTTGAGATGGAGTTTCACTCTTGTTGCCCAGGCTGGAGTGCAGTGGCGCGATCTCGGCTCACTGCAACCTCCGCCTCCCAGGTTCAAGTGATTCTCCTGCCTCAGCCTCCCAAGTAGCTGGGATTAGAGGCATGCGCCACCATGCCTGGCTTATTTTATATTTTTTAGTAGAGACGGGATTTCTCCATGTTAGTCAGGCTAGCCTCCAACTCCCGACCTCAAGTGATCCTCCTGCCTCGGCCTCCCAAAGTTCTGGGATTATAGGCGTGAGCCACCGCGCCTGGCTATTATTTATTATAAATAATATATGTAAGCTGGGCATGGTGGTGAAAGCCTGTAGTCCTAGCTACTCAGGAGGCTGAGCGGGGAGGATTGCTTGAGCCCAGGAGTTTGAGGCTGCAGTGAACTATGATCGTGCCACTGCACTCCAGCCCCTGCGACAGAGAGAGACCTCGTCTCAAAAAATAAACACATAAATAAATAAAATATGTAAAATGGCTGGCATAGAGTAGACAATAAATGGTCACTGCTATTTTTATATTTTACTTTTTTTTTTTTGAGAAGGAGTCTTGTCCTGTCACCCAGGCTGGAGTGCAATGGCGCCATCTCAGCTCACTGCAACCTCTGCCTCCTGGGTTCAAGCCATTCTCCTGCCTCAGCCTCCTGAGTAGGTGGGATTGCAGGCACGAGCCACCACGCCTGGCTAATTTTTTGTATCTTTAGTAGAGATGGGGTTTCACCATGTTGGCCAGGCTGGTCTCGAACTCCTGACCTCATGATCCGTCCGCCTCAGCCTCCCAAAGTGCTGGGATTACAGACATGAGCCACTGCTCCCGGCCTATATTTTTACTTTCTATTTACTGACGCGTTGTATTTTGTTGGGTCTACTCAGTGTTTTAAAGGTTTTTGTTTGTTTGTTTTTTGTTTTTAAGACAGGCTAGTTTCAAACTCCTGGGCTCAAGAAATCCTCCTTCCTTGGGCTCCTAAAATGCCGGGATTACATGTGTGAGCCACTGGGCCCAACCTAAAGGCACATTTTTTTTTTTTAAATAACTTGTCAATACGTATTTTAAAACCTGGATATTTTAAAATTTCTCTTGAAAAACTAAAACACAAAAATAGAAGCTCTAACAACATTGTCCTGCATCCTCACAAAATATCAGAGGTCTTTGGTTCCCCACCTGTCATTTTTTGGGCGCCTTTTGCACTTGGTGTTGAAGAAGCAGCAAGAAGTCTCTGGCCTCAAGGAGTTGGGTCTGATCAGGCACAGACACGGCAGGTAATGGGGTCATGCGAAGGTTAATACTGGGCTCAGCTGAAGGAGATGTTATCTCTAAGAAGATGATGGATATGAAAACGTAAAATGCTTTCAAAATGTAGGAATTGGGCCGGGCGCGGTGGCTCATGCCTGCAATCCCAGCACCTTCGGAGGCCAAGGCGGGCGGATCATCTGAGGTCAGGAGTTCAAGACCAGCCTAGCCAACATGGCGAAACCCCATCTCTACTAAAAATACAAAAATTAGCCGGGTGTGGTGGTGGGCGTTTGTAATCCCAGCTACTCAGGAGGCTGAGACAGGGAGAATTGCTTGAACCTGGCAGGCGGAGGTTGCATTGAGCTGAGATCATGCCACTGCACTCCAGCTTAGGTGACAGAGCGAGACTCTGCCTCAAAAAAATAAAGAAAAGAAAAGAAAATGTAAGAATTGTGTCCCGAGCTGGGTACAATTGCAGGCACCTGTAGTCCTGGCGATTCGGGAGGCTGAAGTGGGAGGATCACTTGAGGCCAAGAGTTCAAGTCCAGCCTGGGCAACATGGCAAGACCCCATATCTAAAAAAAAAAAAAGAAGAAGAAAAAAGAAAGGAGAAAAAGAATTGTATCATTATTTGAAATTTAACATGCATATTTTTTCTCGGTAAATCACTAAGTTCTTTCAGAATAAAGGACTATTTATGCTACTTTGTATCATCTATACTTTTTCCTATTTTATATTAGAGTTTTGTTTTTTTGATAAGTCACTGAAACAACAACAACAACTTGAAAACACGAAGTACACCACGAAACATGAAGCGGGTCAGATTGACCTGCGCCTCTGGGAGGTGCCTCTCCTCATCCTCCATCTGAGTCCTGAGTTCCTACATGGGTTGAGAAGATAAAAGGTTAATGCCCCTCCCAGAGGGGTGGTTTATCTAGGGACTCCTGGTGACAACCTGGAGACATATTTATAGTGCTAGCTTTGAAGGGGAAGCCCCTTTCCCCAGACCTCAGAGTATGATATAGATGATGAGAAGCCCAGCCTTCCGGGCAGAGGAAGATATTTTGGGCCAGGGACCCTTCAGTCCTGGCCCAGTCACACCTCATCAGCATTCACTTATCTACAGGGAGGGAAGCTGCAGGACAGGAGTGTGGGAGGGGAGCCTGGGAGGAGAGAAAAGGTCTGCCTTTGACATTTGTAACTGCTGAGAACTGAAGGTCAGATACAGTCCTTTCCACTAAGAAATGGCTGCTCACCGAAGAGCTCATGAGATTTGCTACTGCTGTCACCTCTCATGGCTTGGTGGTCTGAAAATATTGTAGAAAGAAAAGAGTTTCCTATGCCTCAGCAACTTGTGAAATACCAGATTAAGTTTGTGGACACTGTCTCCAGGATAAAAAGTTTTTAGGCTGGGTGCGGTGTCTCACACCTGTAATCCCAGCACTTTGGGAGGCTGAGGTGGGTAGATTGCTTAAGCCCAGGAATTTGACACCAGCCTGGGCAACATAGCAAGACCCTGTCTCAAAAATAAACAAATACATAAATAATTTTTAAAAAGAAGTTTTTAAGGCCGGGCACTGTGGCTCACACCTGTAATCCCAGCACTTTGGGAGGCTGAGGTGGGCGGATTACCTGAGGTTGGGAGTCCAACACCAGCCTGACCAACCCTGTCTCTACTAAAAATAGAAAAGTAGCCAGGCGTGGTGGCGCATGTCTGTAATCCCAGCTACTTGGGAGGCTGAGGCAGGAGAATCACTTGAATCTGGGAGGCGGAGGTTGCGGTGAGCTCAGATTGCACCATTGCTCTCCAGCCTGGGCAACAAGAGTGAAACTCCGTCTCAAAAAAAAAAAAAAAAAAAAAAGAGAGACGTTTTTAAAAAGATTATGTAATAAGTAGATGTTCATCCAGCCTGTAATCCCAGCACTTTGGGAGGCCGAAGTGGGCAGATCGCTGAGGTCAGAAGTTTGAGACCAGTCTGGCCAACATGGTGAAACCCCGTCTCTACTAAAAATACAAAAATTAGCCAGGCGTGGTGGCAGGCGTCTGTAATCCCAGCTACTCGGGAGGCTGAGGCAGGAGAATTGCTTGAACCCGGGAGGCGGAGGTTGCAGTGAGCCGAGATCGTGTCATTGCACTCCAGCCTGGGTGACAGGGCGAGACTCCATCTCAGAAAAAAGAAAAGTAGATGTTCATCCAAAATTATCTCTAAAGATTGGACAGATAAGGAAAAAAAGAGGGGACAGGCTGACATTGGTCTGACTTTGAGCTCAACATACTGATTTAATAATAATAATATAGCTAACATGTATATAGCACTTACTTTGTGCCCCCGACCGGGCTGTTAGAAGAGCTTTACACACATTACCTCACTCTGTCCTCATTGTAACCCTGTGAGGTGGAGACTGTTACACCATTTACAGATTTGCAAACAAAGACACAAAGACAAATCCACTAATTTGTCTCTAATCTCTCAGCTAGAAAGTGAGAGAGCCAGGATTCTAAATTAGGCGCTGTTATTTGTATACATTGTATGCAAATAAAATTTCCAGAAATTTAGCTGAATTTACTTAATAATTTTTTCCCCTGGCAGTAGCATAAGGAAGTTTTATAAATTAAATAACATTTTGAATGAATGCCTCATATAAGACGTTGTCCCTATTCCAAGATAATGCTGATGCTAATACCAATAATATGTACAGTTGGGGCCCAGAAATGAACATGCAGCTGTCTGTCTTTAGGTTTGTGGTCATAGCAACCATTTTCGGAAAGCCTGGTGTTTGCTTTTCTGCCTCTCCGAATCATGGTTGCTCAACTCCTTTGTTCCAAAACAGACACCCCATTCCCAATTGCTGCGCGCCAGGCTGGCTTCCAGCCGTTGAGTCCGTGTCCTGTCATGCTGTCTCCACTGTTTTGTCTCACTGATGCTGTTCTTCTGACCATTCCGCTTTGGCTTGACGCAGCCGCCCATACTAGGCAGCTGCTATGAGAGCAGCCAGTGGTGACCTGTGCTCTTCCAGGGACTGGAGGGTGAGACCACCTTGCTGTGTTTACCTTTGTATTCACCACCTCACTCTGCACACAGTAGGCATTTAATGAATGTGTGTGGGGTGAGCACTGCCTCAGCTCTGGCCACATTCCAGCATTTTCTGGTTGTTGTCCTGCCCCATCACGGCCCAACTGCCTTGCACCTGATGAAATGATGAAGAAACAGGATGTGATCCATTTGGTACGATGAGGACCAAGACATGAATGGGATATTCTGGTCTCCCAGTCACCGCTATGTAGACTTTATTTCTTTATTTATTTTCTTTTTTAAAAAAGATATACTCGGTCAGGCGCGGTGGCTCACGCCTGTAATTCCAGCACTTTGGGAGGCCAAGGCGGGTGGATCACGAGGTCAGGAGTTCAGGACCAGCCTGGCCAACATAGTGAAACCTCGTCTCTACTAAAAATACAAAAATTAGCTGGGCATGGTTGAGGGCATCTATAGTCCCAGCTACTCGGGAGGCTGAGGCAAGAGAATTGCTTGAACCTGGGAGGCGGAGGTTGCAGTGAGCCGAGATCACGCCACTATACTCCAGCCTGGGCAACAGAGCGAGACTCCATCTCAAAACAAAAAACAAAAACAACAAAAAAAGATATACTCCTATATTTTTTTCTTTTTTTTTTTTGAGATGGAGTCTCGCTCTGTCGCCCAGGTTGGAGTGCAATGGCAGGATCTCGGCTCACTGCAACCTCGCCTCCCAGGTTCAAGCAATTCTCCCGCCTCAGCCTCCCAAATATGTGCCACCACCAGCTAATTTTTGTATTTTTAGTAGAGACGGGGTTTCACCATGTTGGCCAGGCTAGTCTCGAACTCCTGGCCTCAGGTGATCCACCCGCGTCAGCCTCCCAAAGTGCTGGGATTACAGGCGTGAGCCACCGTGCCTGGCCAACTTCACAGGTTTTCATAAAACCCCAAATACAACTGATGGAATATGTATGAAAGCTGTGGAGTCATATACAAAACGAAGGCAGCACTATTGTTAATGATGCTGTGCAAAATTATTTTGTAGCTGATGTTCTAGGTAGATCAAGACTGCATTAAAGGAAGACTTCATGCTGCTCCTCTGTGATGCTCAGAGTTCTTTGCTGGGGATGCTCTCAGAGTCCAACAAGACTCTGGTCAGGATTTGCCAGTGACAGAGAGGACATAATGTCTTTTCACAGTAGGTTGACAATAATGGCTCAGCCTCTGTGTCAGGAATTGGGGGAAAAAATGATGCTGCCATCTGTACAGGACCTTTCTTTTCTTTCTTCTCTCCTCCCCTCTTTTCTCTTTCTTTCTTTTTTTCTTTCTTCTTTCTTTCTTTCTCTCCTTTTTCTTTCTTTTCCTTTTTTTTTTGAGACAGAGTTTCACTCTTGTTGCCCAAGCTGGGTGCAGTGGCGCAATCTCGGCTCACTACAACCTCTGCCTCCCAAGTTCAAGTGATTCTCCTCCCTCAGCCTCCTGAGTAGCTGGGATTACAGGCGTGCACCAACACGCCTGGCTAATTTTTTGTATTTTTAGTAGAAACGGGGTTTCACCATGTTAGCCAGGCTGGTGTCGAACTCCTGACCTCAGGTGATCCGCCCCCAAAGTGCTGGGATTATAGGCGTGAGCCACCGCGCCGGCCCTTTCTTTTCTTTCTTTCTGCTTTTTTTTTTTGAGACGGAGTTTTGCTCTTGTTGCCCAGGCTGGAATGCGATGGCATGATCTCAGCTCACTGCAACCTCTGCCTCCCTGATTCAAGCGATTATCCTGCCTCAGCCTCCCGAGTAGTTGGGATTACAGGCCTGCACCACTACGTCCAGCTAATTTTGTATTTTTCGTAGAGACAGGGTTTCTCCATGTTGGTCAGGCTGATCTTGATCTCTTGACTTTGTGATCCACCTGCCTCGGCCTCCCAAAGTGCTGGGATTACAGGTGTGAGCCACTGCACCTGGCTTTTTTTTTTTTTTTTTTTGAGATGGAGTCTCGCTGTGTTGTCAGGCTGGAGTGCAGTGGCGTGATCTCAGCTCACTGCAACCTCCGCCTCCTGGGTTCAAGCGATTTTCCTGCCTCAGCCTCCCGAGTAGCTGGGACTACAGGTGCACGCCACCATGCCCAGCTAATTTTTTTTGTATTTTTAGTAGAGACAGGGTTTCACCACGTTGGCCAGGATGGTCTCGATCTCTTGACCTCGTGATCCACTCGCCTTGGCCTCCCAAAATGCTGGGATTACAGTCATAAGCCACCACGCCTGGCCTTTTTTCTTCTTTTTTTTAGATGGAGTCTTGCTCCAGTCACTCAGGCTGGAGTGCAATGGTGTGATCTCAGGGCTCACTGCAACCTCCACCTCCTGGGTTCAAGCGATTCTCCTGCCTCAGCCTCCCAAGTAGCTGGAATTACAGGCACCCACCACCATGCCCGGCTAATTTTTGTATTTTTAGTAGAGACGGGGTTTCACCATGTTAGCCAGGCTGGTGTCGAACTCCTGACCTCAGGTGATCCGCCCCCAAAGTGCTGGGATTATAGGCGTGAGCCACCGTGCCGGCCCTTTCTTTTCTTTCTTTCTGTTTTTTTTTTGAGACGGAGTTTTGCTCTTGTTGCCCAGGCTGGAATGCGATGGCATGATCTCAGCTCACTGCAACCTCTGCCTCCCTGATTCAAGCGATTATCCTGCCTCAGCCTCCCGAGTAGTTGGGATTACAGGCCTGCACCACTATGTCCAGCTAATTTTGTATTTTTCGTAGAGACAGGGTTTCTCCATGTTGGTCAGGCTGATCTTGATCTCTTGACTTTGTGATCCACCTGCCTCGGCCTCCCAAAGTGCTGGGATTACAGGTGTGAGCCACTGCACCTGGCTTTTTTTTTTTTTTTTTTTTTTTGAGATGGAGTCTCGCTGTGTTGTCAGGCTGGAGTGCAGTGGCATGATCTCAGCTCACTGCAACCTCCGCCTCCTGGGTTCAAGCGATTTTCCTGCCTCAGCCTCCCGAGTAGCTGGGACTACAGGTACACGCCACCATGCCTAGCTAATTTTTTTTGTATTTTTAGTAGAGACAGGGTTTCACCATGTTGGCCAGGATGGTCTCGATCTCTTGACCTCGTGATCCACTCACCTTGGCCTCCCAAAATGCTGGGATTACAGTCATAAGCCACCACGCCTGGCCTTCTTTTTTCTTCTTTTTTTTAGATGGAGTCTTGCTCCAGTCACCCAGGCTGGAGTGCAATGGTGTGGTCTCAGGGCTCACTGCAACCTCCACCTCCTGGGTTCAAGCGATTCTCCTGCCTCAGCCTCCCAAGTAGCTGGAATGACAGGCACCCACCACCATGCCCAGCTAATTTTTGTATTTTTAGTAGAGACAGGGTTTCACCATGTTCGTCAGGCTGGCCTCGAACTCCTGACCTCAGGTGGTCTGCCCATTTCAGCCTCCCAAAGTGCTGGGA
The DNA here is from genome assembly GCF_000001405.40 of Homo sapiens. Lineage (NCBI taxonomy): Eukaryota > Metazoa > Chordata > Mammalia > Primates > Hominidae > Homo > Homo sapiens. The sequence continues at coordinate 150,540,336 of NC_000001.11, read as the reverse complement.
TTACAGGCATGAGCCACCACGCCTGGCCCCTCTCTTATCTCTTTTCTTTTTCTTTCTCTCTCTCCTTCCTTCCTTCTATCTCTCTCTCTCTCTCTCTTCTTCCCTTTCTTGCTTTCTCTCTCTCTCTTTCACCCCCTTCTCCCTCTTTCTTTTCTTTTTTTTTTTTTTTTTTTGGAGTCTCGCTGTGTCACCCAGGCTGGAGTGCAATGGCGCGATCTCGGCTCACTTTAAGCTCCACCTCCCGGGTTCAAGTGATTTTCCTGCCTCAGCCTCCTGAGTCGCTCGGATTACAGGTGTGCACCACCATGCCCAGCTAATTTTTTGTATTTTTAGTAGAGATGGGGTTTCCCCATGTTGGCCAGGCTGGTCTCGAACTCCTGATCTCAGGTGATCCACCTGCCTGGGCCTCCCAAACTGCTAGGATTACAGGAGTGAGCCACCGTGCCGGGCCTTCGTGCCTGCCTGCCTGCCTGCCTGCCTTCCTTCCTTCCTTCCTCCCTCCCTCCCTTCTTTCTTTTCTTTCTCTCTCTCTCCCTCCCTCCACTTCCCTCCCTTCCTTCTTTCCTTCCTCTCTTTCTTTTCTTTTCTTTCTCTCTCTCTCTTTCTTCTTTCCTTCTTTCTTGATGGAGCCTTGCTCTGTCGCCCAGGCTGGAGTGCAGTGGTGCAGTCTCAGCTCACTGCAACCTCCACCTCCCAGGTTCAAGCCATTCTCCTGCCTCGTAGTAGCTGGGATTACAGGAGCCTGCCACCACATCCAGCTAATTTTTGTAGTTTTAGTAGAGACGGGGTTTCACCATTTTGGTCAGGCTAGTCTTGAACTCCTGACCTCAAGTGATCCACCCACCTCAGCCTCCCAAAGTGTTGGGATTACAGGCATGAGCCATCATGCCTGGCCCTTTCTTTCTTTCTTCTTTCTCATTTTTTTTTTTTTTTTTGAGACAGGATCTCACTCTGTTGCCCAGGCTGGAGTGCAGTGGTGTGATCATAGCTCACTGCAGCCTCAAACTCTGGGGCTCATGCAATCCTTCTGCCTCAGCTTTCTGAGTAGCTGGGACTATAAGGTGTGCACAACCACGTCCGGCTAATTAAAAAAAATTTTTGTAGAGACGGAGTCTTACTATGTTGTGCAGGCTGGTCTTGAACTGGGCTCAAATGATCCTCTCACCTTGGCCTCCCAAAGTGTTGGGATTACAGGCATGAGCCATGCACCCAACCAGAACCTGTCCTCTTTACTGCGAATTCTGGTGGCAGATATGCCAGTAGAACTGAGTTCTGTGATGACTTCCCAGCTTGGCAGGCTCCTTGTGCTTGGGGGTTCTGGACAGAATGTGAGGTGGTTGTGAGGGCAAATGATCTGGGAAGAGGGGTGAGACCACAGAGGAAGGATAGGCGCTGCCTAGTGGTTGGGGGGCCAGGCCTGAGGACTCAAGGCATTTTGAGAAAACAGAGCATCCTATTGTTTTGTTCTGGAGTCTGGAATCACACTACTGTCCTGACCCCATGGCACTGCACCCAATTCCCAGGACAATTGTAGATGCTGAATTAAGAGCAAGAAATAGTACATTTTGTCTCAAATAAGGAAGGTGAGAGAAACCCAGTTTCCTTCCCCAAAGAGGCTCCTCCGAGAACATAAACATCCAACCATGATGGCCCCAAATTGCAATCTGTCGCCCCAGTCCAAAAGTAAATGAAGAATTTTTTTCCAGCAGAGCAGAGCCTTACAGAGAGGTGAGCTCTGGGGGTGAGAAGGGCCCTAGTCATACTTTGAGGAGGGCCTGTCTCTCTCTGTCAAGAGCAGGGCACAGGGTTGGAGGTGGGGCGGGCGGGTGCAAGACCCTGAGCGAGCTGTTTCCCTCCAGACAGGGCCTCCCCCTCCAGGGTGCTATCCCGGCCTGGGTCGGGTCAAGGATCCAACCCCAGGACTGCCTTGAGGAAGGGGCCATGAGCATTTTCCCCAAAGGAATCTTGTTCTTGTGCCTAGAAGTTTTCCTTGAATTTCCAGAGAAAGCCAATTTGGTATCAAATTAATCTTGACACATTGGGCTGAAGGCCTGAGAAAGGCAGACATAAAAGGGTAGGAACAAGGGACAAAACTGTAACTGCAGCCAGGGAGGCAGGCAGGGCGGCCAGAGGAGAGGCAGGAATTTCATACGTACCAAGGACTTGAAGTCAGAGGCAGGAGAGCCCGGGCCTGCTGGGAAGGAAATGCAAGTTGAGGCAGGAGGTGCTCACCCCTCCCACCACAGGCCCAGCTCATCTCAGTGGACAAAGGGTGGACGGGAAGGTGTGTATCTGCTTTTTGTTTTGTTTTTTTTTTTTTGAGATGGAGTCTCGCTCTGTTGCCCAGGCTGGAGTGTGGTGGCATGATCTCAGCTCACTGCAACCTCCGCCTCCTGGGTTCAAGTGATTTTCCTGCCTCAGAAAGGCCTCCCGTCCCTGCTCACAGCGCCCCCTGTCCCGTCAGCTTCAGGATCTGGCCCTGGCCCCTTGCTCAGCCGCAAAGCCTGTGCCCTCCGGCCTCCACTGCCTCTCCAGCTTCAGCCCCTCTGCCCAGGGCCACCCTCCCTCCCCTGCCCTCTGTGGAGAGACAGCTCAGTCTCACTCTGAGGAGCCTGTTGCCTCTTGGGAGGGCCCCTGCCCCACCGCTCTCCCAGCCCAAACCCTCTGGGCAGCTCTATCCTCCCCAAAGAGTCTCTCACTTTAGTGTGCCTAACAATTGCCTGGGAGGTTATGAAAATAAAGGTGCCTGGTCCCCTCCTCTGGGTGGTCCTGTTCATGAGCTCCACAGGGGTTCTTCTTTATTTTTTGGGACAGGGTGTCTGTCACCCAGGCTGGAGTGCGGTGGCATGACCTCAGCTCACTGCAGCCTGGATCTCCTGGGCTCAAGCGATCCTCCCGCCTTGGCCTCCCAAAGTGCTGGGATTACAGTTGTGAGTCACTGTGCCCAGCCTCCACAGGGGCTCTTATACACACCCAGTATGAGATCTGCCCCGTTTGTTGGAAAGTTTGCCTGTGAACCAGGTATGAGCTAATTGGGGCCCTCAAACAGAAGTATGCAGGGACCATATGTTAATTGATTTCTCAATAACAGCCTGTTTCTGTTTCCAGTGCCCATTTCCCTGGGGTAAAGGAACTTAATTGTGAATTTAGGGGATCCCCACCTTCACCTGCAGGCTCTCCAGTGCTATCGTGGCAAGATGGTGTTGGTGATGATGGTGCTTCCTCATTGGGGAAAAGCTGGGGCAAGGGCCACTGCCTCTCATTGCTCTGGCCTTGATGTAGCCAGGCTCACATCTCAGGGAGAGACGTAGGGAGGCAACACACGTCCCATGCAAGTCTGAGAACGGGTCAGCCTGTGGCAGCGCTGGAGGACCCCAGCAGAAGGAAGAGTCGTGAAGGGGTCCACGCATTTTATCTAAAGCTGAAGGCCTCTCCCCAGATCTGCTGTTCTCCAGACTCCTCACCTCCTGCTGCTGGGCCTGTTCTTCAAAATCCTAAAGTCATCTTCACTCCTTTCTACCCTGATTCTAAAGTAGTAAGGAACTTTGTTACTTGTTTATTTATTTATTGCCCAGGCTGAAGTGCAGTGGTGTGATCACAGCTCACTGCAGCCTCGACCTCCCAGGTTCAAAATATCCTCCCCACTCAGCCTCCTGAGTAGCTGGAACCACAGGTCCTGCCACCATGTCCAGCTAATATTTTTAATTTTTTGTAGAGACAAGGTTCTTCCTGTGTTCCCCAGGCTGGTCTTGAGGGAGCTCCAGTGATCCTTCTGCATCAGCCTCCCAAAGTATTGTGAAGATAGGCGTGAGCCACTGCACCTGGCCCTAGGAACTTTAGAAACCGTCTTGCCCAGTCCCTTCATTTTACAGGTGAAGAAACTGTGCCTCGGAAGAAGGGTGACTTGCCTTGGGTTTACAGACAAACACAGGGTTAGATTCCAGGTCCTCACAGGTGTCAAGTCTTGGCCTTTTAACCCAAAGACTTCCTTCTTTCTCCACATATTTATGTGTCCACCTCCATTCTATGGCCACCACCTGCCTGAGCTGTCCTTGCTCTTACATGGATGACAGTGATCAATGCAAAACTGTGACACTTTGCTCATGGCATCCCAGGAATGCCTTCTCCTTCCCATCCCTCATCTCCTGCTCATTCTTCAAGTGACTCAAATGCCACCTCTTCCAAGAAGCACATACTGGCCCGATGTGACCTCTGCCCTTCCAGCTTCATTCAGCACTTGGAATCCACACAGCTCATGCCATGGTGTTACCACAGATAGGCTGCGTCCTTATGTTATTAACTTTTCAGTACTGAGATTAGAAATTCCGAAGAGCAGGGCTTGCCTTACATATCTTGGTTTCCCCACAGGGCCTGGCATGGAGGACTGTGTGATGAAATTGCAGTCACTGATTATGTGGTGGCTGCTTCTCAGCCCCTTGCTATGTGCTCTAAGCCCCAGGTGCAGAACCAGTCATCAGGATGTGGACTTTCGTTCTCCAGTTGCTGGACCGAAGGTAGGATTCCATTCAGTGCCAGACTCTGGGGCCCTTTTGTGGATCACTCTGTTTTTGTTTACGAGCAGCTCCAGGCAGAGCGTTTACAGGCTGCCTCGGCTCCCTGGCCAACTGGCTGTGTGGAGGGGGCCATGGACCATGCCAAGCGTCAGGGTTCTGTGGAGTTTAAATGAAAAGATGCACATAAAGCCCGTAACTGAACAGTGCCTGGCCCACCATAAGTCCCACACACATATTGGCTATTTGTATTACTATTTAATTTAGAGTTAGAAGATTTGAGCCTGGGCGCGGTGGCTCACGCGTGTAATCCCAGCAATTTGGGAGGCCAAGGCTGGCAAATCGCATGAGCTCACGAGTTCGAGATCAGCCTGACCAACATGGTGAAACTCTGTCTCCACTAAAAATACAAAAATTAGCCAGGCGTGGTGGCGGGCGCCTGTAATCCCAGCTACTTGGGAGGCTGAGGCAGGAGAATTGCTTGAACCTGGGAGGCGGAGGTTGCAGTGAGCTGAGATTGCGCCACCGCACTCCAGCCTGGATAACAGAGTGAGACTCGGTCTCAAAAAGAAAAAAAAATCAAGTTAGAAGATTTGGCATAAAAATACTGTTTGTCAACACAAGTTTGGGTGACTGTGCTCTTATCCCTCAGAGGAAGCCATTTCGAAGGCCTCAGGAGGAAGCTATGCAACAGTCCCAATTGTTCTCAAGCAGAGGAGAGCAGCACTTTGGTTTACCCAAGTGCTGGCCCAGGAGGCCCTCAGCCGCTTTGCATCCTGCCAGGGACCTGTCATCACCAGTCAACTCTGTTCCCCGGCTCGTGGACCCAGATTACTGGGGATCTGAACACCAGGAGGGGCTGGCTGATTGCTGAGAACAGGTGGGTCCTGAAGGCCAGGCCAGAGCCTATTTGTGGGGAGGCAAAGTCAATTCCAGCCAAGATTCTGGAGAGAGTTAGAGAGGACATTTTTTTTTTTTTTTTTTTGAGACAGAGTCTTGCTCTGTTGCCAGGCTGGAGTGCAGTGGCATGATCTCAGCTCACTGCAACCTCCAACTCCCTGGTTCAAGCGATTCTCCTGCCTCAGCCTCCTGAGTAGCTGGGATTACAGCCACGCGCCACCACACCCAGCAAATTTTTGTATTTTTAGTACAGACGGGGTTTCACCATGTTGGCCAGGATGGTCTCGATTTCCTGACCTCATGATCCGCCCACCTTGGCCTCCCAAAGTGCTGGGATTACAGGCTTGAGCCACTGTGCCAGGCTAGAGAGCACATTTCTATCTCAGCCTCCATCTCCTGAGTGGGGGCTGGGGGGGCACAGATACCAGGCATAGTGAGGTGAACTTTGACTGAAAGCAAAATGACCAACCAAGACTTTGGGACTGAACCCTTCATAAGAACTCAGGTCTGAGCAAAGCGATCCTGTTGGGGCCAGCCAGGTGCCTCTTTCTATGAAGGTGCGGGGCTCAGAAGAGCTTGGGGCATGCTCAGAGGACGACAGCGGCTTCAGTGGCCTGGACAAAGGGCATCCCTCTCCAGGGAGTCTCTTGCAGAGCAGTGCAGCCCACACCTGCAGGGCAGCTGCAGCCTCCTTGGGCTCAGGGGAGGTGCCGCCCTCCTGCACCCCACCTCTCCAGGACCAGCTCCTCAGAGTTGAGGCATGTGAGCACAGGTTAGGGGTGGGGTGGGGCCACCTGGGTTAGGATCTGACCCTGGGTTTGTCACTGCCCCACCCTGGCCCAGAAGGCTGAGTTAAGGATGGGAAGGGCCTCCCTGCAGGTTCCTGCCATGCCGAGACTTCAGCACCTTTCTCCCCACGCCATCCTTGTCCACAGTGTTAGTCCTTTACGCCAGATTTTAAAAACAGGTAAAGCACACACAGGATCCACGACACGTCTCCTTCTTCCAGCCTCCCTCTCTCCTCCTCCAAGGCCACATCTGAACATCCTTATTAAAATACCCCATGCATATGGAAGCACAGGTGTCATTATTCACCTTTTTCTATCTTTTTTGGTCACAGAGACTCTGCTGAGAGGCTGATAAAAGCTCTGGGTTCTTAGTGCTTAGGAGTTAGAATCTGAAAAAAACAGGCTGGGCACGGTGGCTCATGCCTGTAATCCCAACACTTTGGGAAGATGAGGCTGGTGGATCACCTGAGGTCAGGAGTTTGAGACCAGCCTGGCCAACATGGCGAAACCTCATCTCTACTAAAAATACAAAAATTAGCCGGGTGTTGTGGCACACCACCTGTAGTCCCAGCTACTCAAGAGGCTAAGGTAGGAGAATCACTTGAACCTGGGAGGCGGAGGTTGCAGTGAGCAGAGATTGCACCACTGCACTCCAGCCTGGGCAACAGAGTGAGACTCCATCTCAAAAAAAAAAAAAAAAAAAAAAAGCTCTGGTTCTCTTCCTAAGATAGGTATACACAAAAAACATTTAGCATAGAGTTTCGGAGTTTCCACACTCGATGTGGCCCATCTTGCCCTACTCAGCAAGGGGTTCAGTTGTGGCTTACAGCAGTGAGGCTGATCTATACTCCATCCCCTCAAGGCCGTCCCTCAACACCCACGGGTGCCCTCTGCTGCAATCCTGACAGGAGCTTGGCAAAGCAGCTCTTCTAAGGCCCTGAAAAAACGGCTGAGGCAGGCTAGCCATTCAGTGCCTTTTTGAATAAAATGAAATCTAAACTCTTGACATGGCCAAGAAGGCCCTTCATGCCTGGCCAGGCGTGAGCCTCCTCCCTGGCCTCATCCCAACGCTATTACTGCTACTCTGGCCACACTGGCCTCTCTGTTCTTTATTGGACATGTCAATCCTGGGCCACCTCAGGGTCTTTGCCGAAGCTGTTCCCCATGCCTGGAAAAGCTCTTCCTCTCTAGTTGCACTGCTGGCTCCTGGCTGCTAGGGTGTCAGCACAGATACCTTCCTCCAAGAAGCAGCATTAGAAAGGGGCATGTGTCCCCACCCCCCAGCACCCTTTTTCTCTGTTGCACCATCTTAGTTTATTTTGCTCAGGGCACTTGCCACTTCTGAAATTACCTTTTTTTTTTTTCCTTAGTCAGTCACTGTTTGTCTTCACCGTTAGGGGGCGAGCTCCACGAAGTCAGTGGCCTTGCCTGTCATCTCCCAGAACAGGGCCTGGCGCACACACTATGCACTCAGTGAATATCTGTGGAATGAAAAAAGGATCATAGTGGAGGTGAGATAAGAATCTTGACTCAATTCTCTGTCCCACCAAGGCGGGTGCTGGCAACCCCTGGCCCCCATTCTAGGCAAAGTTCCTGCCTTTCCCTCATGTCTCTATTGCCGGCCGGCCTGCTCTTTTCCCAGATCTCTGGAGCCACTCCCTCCCAACCAGCATCTAACAAAAACTCTTTTGTGATTTTATGCCTGGGGTATTTCATCTGAGTCAATTGGCTTCTCCAGCCTTACCTCAGCTGAGTCCAAAGGTCTGATCAGTGTTTCCAGTGTAACAGCCAACTCTGTGGTCCCAGGGCTCAGAGCTCCACTCCAGGGGAACGAGGGAACTGACAGAGGACGGTCCAGCCTCTGCTCCCTGCGCTTTCGTTCCTGGGTCTTGTGGAAATAAAGGAAAACCAACTTTAAAAAAGCAAAGGCTGGCCGGGTGCGGTGGCTCATGCCTGTAATCCCAGCACTTTGGGAGGCCGAGGCAGGTGGATCAGGAGGTCAGGAGATCAAGACCATCCTGGCTAACATGGTGAAACCCTGTCTCTACTAAAAATACAAAAAAATTAGCTGGGCGTGGTGGTGGGCACCTGTAGTCCCAGCTACTCGGGAGGCTGAGAGGCAGGAGAATGGCGTGAACCCGGGAGGCGGAGCTTGCAGTGAGCCAAGATCGTGCCACTGCACTCCAGCCTGGGCGACAGAGCAAGGGTGTCAGCCATCTGCACTTGCATTTTGACGGAGCTTCGAAGGCAGGCAGAGGAGTGGGACACCTTTATAGCTGAGGAAAGTGAAGGCTTCAGGTGTGCCCTGATTGGAGGCTGTTGGTGTGGGGAAGCTGCCCGTGCATGGGCTAACTAGAAGCAGGGCATCCTGTGTGCTTGGTTAGGGGTGCATTTTTGGCTTTCCCTGGTTGGTCCTAAAGTGAGGACAAAATTAAGGAAACTGTCAGTTACTAATCAAATTCTGGCCATTTGGGGCTGATTGTTACAGACATTATTGGTTATTGTTTAGCTTCCTGGATTGTCACTAGAGATAGCAATCTGGCTTCTTGCAGGCCTGATTTAGAGCAGGAAGACCTCCCAGGTTAATTGTTGCAGATAATGAGTTAGTTTCCCCAGCAAGTGACCGCAGGCTGTGGGTGAGAGTTGTATTTTTTTTTTTCTTGAGATGGAGTTTTGCTCTTGTTGCCCAGGCTGGAGTGCAGTGGCGAGATCCCGGCTCACGGCAACCTCCGCCTCCCAGGTTCAAGCAATTCTCCTGCCTCAGCCTCCAGAGTAGCTGGGATTACAGGCTAATTTTATATTTTTAGTAGAGACGGGATTTCTCCATGTTGGTCAGGCTGGTCTCTAACTCCCGACCTCGGATGATCCGCCCACCTCGGCCTCCCAAAGTGCTGGGATTACAGGCATGAGCCACTGTGCCCAGCCTAGAGTTGTATTTTAATATATGGTCTGGCCATTGTTCATTTGTATAATCAGTTTCTTAGTGTACAGATCAGTCATTTGGGGATTCTTTCTCCCTTCCCTTAGATGTGTGAATGCCTTGGAATAGTGGAATCATTGAGTATTTCATTTCCTTTGTTCAAGAGCTCTCTACCAAAGGTATTCTCTGTGCAAAGATGGTGACAGATGTGGTAAAAAGAACAGGATGGGGCCAGGCCTGTCCCCAGAGGCTGCAGTGCAGTTAGGGAACTGAGGTGTGTTGTTCCTGAGAACTGCATATGCCACATGACTGGCTCAGAACAGGGGCTTCTGATGAGAGGAATTAGGAAGGCGTTATGGACAGTGTGGTTTCTGGAGTTCCGCTTTGAACCAAAAGCTGGATATCTATAGATGGAAATTGGGAAGGGAAGGGCGAGGGCACTCTTGGAAGGGAATACTCTGAGGAAGGGCGCGGGTGTTGCGGGCCTCCGTTTGGTCACTCGCTCTCTTCTGTGCTCAGTGCTTCGGCCCGTAGAGCCACTGGACACTGGAGACAGTGTGAAGGTGCCTGCTGGGTTGTGACGGCTTCAGTGCGGGGCAAGGCCTGGTGGGAAGAGCCTTTCTTATCAAGATGAGGAGCCTGAATTTGGGCCCTGGGCAGTAAAAATCGCAATAATAACCAGCACTTAGTGAGCACCGGCCTCAGAGAGTCCCTGCAAACCATGAGGCAGTTACTGTTATCATCTCCATTTTACAGATAAGGAAACTGAGGCAGTGATTAAGGAACCTGCATGGGACCACACAGTATCAGAGGGGAGAGAATGATCAGATGTTGTGCTTAGCAAAAAAATTGTCTGTAACTGTGCTCCCCCAGCTGCTGCCTCCCGATTCAAAGTCTTTGTTCTTAAATGTGCGTCCTATTAGTAAGTACCCAGCCGTTACTAAGTACCCAGCATGGCCTCAGCATTTGCATGTATTATCTAACTTAATCTTCACAGCCCTCTGAAATAAGGAACTGGGATTATCATTCCCATTTTACAGAAGAGAAAACTGAGGAGCTAAGTAGCTTCCCTGAGGTGGTGCAGTCCAGGCCCCTGCACATCTACCTCTGTGCCACACTGCCCCTTGTCAATAGGCAGGGATGTAACTGCCCATCAGTCAGGCCCTGATCCACAGCAGTGGATCCAAGAGCTGACCCAAGTTAGGGGCTCTTGTCTTTCTGGATCACCCTTTAAAGAATTTGATGTAAGCTACAGATACTCGCCCCAGAAAAATGCACACACACAGACACACCGCATTTTGCATACTTTAAGAAATTCACAGGCTGGGCGCGGTGGCTCACCCCTGTAATCCCAGCACTTTGGGAGGCTGAGGTGGGCGGATCATGAGGTCAGGAGATCGAGACCATCCTGGCCAACATGGGAAAACCCCGTCTCTACTAAAAATACAAAAAATTAGCCGGGCGTGGTGGCAGGCGCCTGTAGTCCCAGCTACTCGGGAGACTGAGGCAGGAGAATGGCGTGAACCCGGGAGGCGGAGCTTGCAGTGAGCCGAGATGGCGCCACTGCACTCCAGCCTGGGTGACAGAGCGAGACTCCACCTCAAAAAAAAAAAAAAATCACAGATCCCCACAAATCTTTCCATGGGCCCTGCTAGGCAAGCAGGCCATAGGGGAAGACGTTTGGGGTAAATGCTTCAGCCTTTTTGGCTCCAGTCTAGGGCCAAAGGGCAAGCCTTTGAGTTCTACAAGGTTTCATTTTGGGGACAAGGAAAACAAAATTCCACATCTATTTTCATTTACTTCATCTGAGAAAGGAACAAAAGGCAGCAGCCTGCCCACCAAGCCCCCATTTTGGGGCTGACCTAATTACCCAGCTTCTCTCCCACACTCAGATGGCTGAACGCTGCTGGAGGAAATCTTCTAATTCTGCTGGTTTCTGCCAATGCACACGTATGGTTTCTAATCCCAGCTGGGCCTTTAACACTACTTGGCAGCTCTTACTGTACCAGATAAACACTCACACCCCGTTCCCACAATGGTCATTCCAACCCTTCTTTAATGATTCATTAAGCTTTAAAGTTTCCATGTGATAGCAGAAGCCCAGCTGCACATATTTCAATTCACACCTTTCACGGATTTATCCTGCTTCTCCCTCCACCTGTGCTCTAGATCCTTTGATTTTTTTTTTTTTTTTTTTTTTTGCTATTTATTTAGTGGCTCCTGTGCCTGTCATTGGGCTAGGCTCTGGGATGCCTGTCATAGTCTCTGCTCTGGTGGAGCAAATAGCCCTGAGACAAAGACCATCATTCAATAAATATTAATAATTACAAGTGCCAGGCGCAGTGGCTCACGCCTGTAATCCCAGCACTTTGGGAGGCCGAAGCAGACGGATCAAGAGGTCAGGAGATTGAGACCATCCTGGCTAACATGGTGAAATCCCATCTGTACTAAAAATACGAAAGAAAATTAGCTGGGCGTGGTGGTGGGCACCTGTAGTCCCAGTTACTACTCGGGAGGCTGAGGCAGGAGAATGGCGTGAACCTGGGAGGCGGAGCTTGCAGTGAACCGAGATTGCACCACTGCACTCCAGCCTGGGCGACAGAGTGAGACTCCATCTCAAAAAAAAAAAAAAAATTAATAGTAATAATAATTACAAGTGTGATGAGGACCACTCAGGGACAGTGGGGAGTGTTACAGAATGTGTTGATCTGGGGGTTTCAGGAAGGTCTCCCTGAGGAATGACATTTAAAGCTGAGACTTCAGGGATGACATGTCGGCTAGGAATGCTTTGGCCTACACATAACAGAAAACCTGACTAACAGCAAAACCATAAGGATGTTGACTGTTTCCTCAAGAAGCCCAGAAGCAAAAAGTTCCAAAGTTTTTAAGAGGCTTCACAATATCAAGAAGCAGGAGTTGACATCTTTGCAATTTTCTTCACTTCTCTCTCAGTTATAAGATGTTGCCACAGAATCAACTGTGCCTTCCTTATATAACATCATCCCAATGCAAAAAAAAAGAGAAAGGGCTCTGGTTCCTCAACAGCTCTCTTTTATAAGGGCACAAAAATTCATCCACAAGTTCCCTGGAGTCTTCCTCTTGTGTCTTTTTGGTGAAACCTGGGTCATATGCCCACCCCGGATAGGCGAAGAGGAAGAGGGTTACCATGATTGACTTAGACCAATCATGATTTCTTCCATAATACAGCGAGGACCCCACCTTCCCTGAAAATATTTGCTGCCTATTGGATGCCTCACTTGAGGGTCAATGGGACCACCAATTCTGCATATATATGACTAGATAATTCAAGCAAGTCCTCCTACCAATGAAAACTTTTATTTATTTATTTATTTACTTATACATTTTTTGAGATGGAGCCTTGCTACGTCGCCCAGGTTGGAGTGGAGTGGTGCGATCTTGGCTCACTGAAACCTCCGCCTCTCGGGTTCAAGCGATTCTCCTGCCTCAGCCTCCCGAGTAGCTGGAATCACAGGTGCCCACCACCACGCCCAGCTAACTTTTGTATTTTTAGTAGAGGTGGGGTTTCGCCATATTGGCCCCATGTTGGCCAGGTGGGTCTCAAATTCCAGGTTCCAGACCAGCCACCATGCCCAGCCTCTGGTGCTTTTAAAATGAGTTTTTCAAGCTTTTAAGTTTTTGGCCAGGCACAGTGGCCCACACCTGTAATCCCATCACTTTGGGAGGCTGAGGCGGGCAGATCACCTGAGGTCAGGAGCTTAAGACCAGCCTGGCTAACAGGGTGAAATCTCATCTCTACTAAAAATACACAAATTAGCCAGGCGTGGTGGTGGGCACCTGTAATCCCAGCTACTCGGGAGGCTGAGGCAGGAGACTCGCTTGAACCCGGGAGGCAGAGGTTGCAGTTAGTCAAGATCATACCACTGCACTCCAGCCTGGGCAACAGATCAAGACTCCATCTCAAAAATAAATAAGTAAATAAATAAAAAATAAAAATAGGCCAGGCGTGGTGGCTCACATCTGAAATCCCAGCACATTGGGAGGCTGAGCCAGGCTGATCACCTGAGGTCAGGAGTTCGAGACCAGCCTGACCAATATGGTGAAACCCCGTCTCTACTAAAAATAAAAAAAATTAGCTGGGTGTGGTGGTGGGTGCCTGTAGTCCCAACTTCTCGGGAGGGAGGCTGAGACAGGAGAATTGCTTGAACCCGGGAGGCGGAGGTTGCAGTAAGCCGAGATCGCACCACTGCAATCCAGCCTGGGTGACAGAGCAAGACTCTGTCTCAATAAATAAATAAATATATAGGCCAGGCGTGGTGGCTCACACCTGTAATCTCAGCACTTTGGGAGGCCGAGGCTGGTGGATCACGAGGTCAGGAGATCGAGACCATCCTGGCTAACATGGTGAAACCCCATCTCTACTAAAAATACAAAAAAATTAGCCGGGCGTGGTGGTGGGCGCCTGTAGTCCCAACTACTTGGGAGGCTGAGGCAGGAGAATGGCATGAACCCAGGAGGTGGAGCATGCAGTGAGCCGGGATTGCGCCACTGCACTCCAACCTGGGCGACAGAGTGAGACTCCGCCTCAAAAAAATAAAAATAAATATATAAAAATAGAAATAAAAATACAAAAATTAGCTGAGCATGGTGGCATGTGCCTGTAGTCCCTGCTACTCGGGAGGCTGAGGCAGGAGAATCAAAAAAAACAACATTAGGTTCAATAGATAACAGCGACATACTCGCCGTGTGCAGTAGCTCAAGCATGTACTCCCAGCAACTTGGAAAGATGAGGTGGGTGGATCACTTGAGCCCAGGAGTTTGAGACCAGCCTGGGCGACATAGCGAGACCCTGTCTCTACAAAAGAAAACTTTTTTTTTTTTTTTTTTTTGAGACGGAGTTTCACTCTGTCACCCAGGCTGGAGTGCAGTGGCATGATCTCGGTTCACTGCAAGCTCCGCCTCCCGAGTTCACACCATTCTCCTGCCTTGGCCTCCTGAGTAGCTGGGACTACAGGTGCCCGCTACCGCGCCCAGCTGATTTTTTATATTTTTAGTAGAGACGGGGTTTCACCGTGGTCTTGATCTCCTGACCTCGTGATCCGCCCGCCTCAGCCTCCCAAAGTGCTGGGATTACAGGCGTGAGCCACTGCACCTGCCCAAAAAAAAACTTTTTAAAAAAGGAATGAAGTACTGATGCATGCTGAACATGAATGAACCTTGAAAATATTATGCTGAGTGAAAGAAACCAAACAAAAAAGACCACATATGGAATAAATCTATTTACATAAAACGTACATGGCTGGGCATGGTTGCTGACACCTGTAATCTCAGCACTTTGGGAGGCCGAAATGGGAGAATTGCTTGAAGCCAGGAGTTGACACCAGCCTGGGCAATACAGCAAGACCTCTGTCTCTACAAAATTAGCCAGGTATGGTGGTGTGTGCCTGTAGTTCCAGTTACTCGGGAGCCTGAGGCAGGAGGATCACTTGAGCCCAGCAATCTGAGGTTGTAAAATCAACTCTAGGTGGTTACTAGCCTTAAATAAGCTAGGCAAAATGAGCTGTAACTGTACCACTGCATTCGTGTCTGGGTGACAGAGGAAAACACCATCTTTATGAAAACAAAAAAATAAAACATAGAACGGTGGGACCAACCAAAACCAACAGATTTAAGTTTTAAGTGTAAATGGACAAAATATTTCATTTAAAAGGCAGTGGTTGCAGACTGGATTTTTTTTTTCCAGTTGAACTGTATGCTTTTTGTTTGTTTGTTTGTTTGTTTTTTAAGACATGGTCTCACTCTGGGACCCAGGCTGGTGCAATCATGGCTGACTGCAGCCTTGATCTACCAGGTTCAAGCGATCCTCCCACCTCAGCCTCCAGAGTAGCTGGGACCACAGGTGCATGGCACCACACCTGGCTAATGTTTTGGGTTTTTTTGTTTTTTGTTTTTGAGACGGACACTTGCTCTGTCGCCCAGACTGGAGTGCAATGGTGCCATCTCAGCTCACTGCAAGCTCCGCCTACTGGGTTCAAGCGATTCTCCTGCCTCAGCCTCCTGAGTAGCTGGGATTACAGATGCGTGCCACCATGCCTGGCTAATTTTTAGCAGAGATGGGGTTTCACCATGTTGTTCAGGCTGGTCTCGAACTCCTGACCTCGTGATCCGCCTGCCTCGGCCTCCCACAGTGCTGGAATTACAGGCGTGAGCCACTGCACCAGGCCTTTTTTTTTTTTTTTTTTTCAAGACAGGGTTTCACTCTGTTGTTCAGGCTGGAGTGCAGTGGTGTGATCATGGCTCACTGTACCCTCAAACTCCTGGGCTCAAGAGATCCCCTCAGTTCAGTCTCCTGAGTAGCTGGGACTACAGGCAAGTACCACCACACCACTCTAATTTATTTTTATTTTTTGTAGAGACAGAATCTTGTAAACTCCTGGCCTCAAGTGATCCTCCTGCCTGGGCCTCCCAAAGAGCTGGGATTACAGGCATGCGTACCTGGTTGCTTTTTTTCATTATAGCCATTTTAGTGGGTGCAAAATGGTACCTTCTTGTGGTTCTAATTTGCATGTCTCTAATCACTAAAGATGTTGAGCATTTTTTCATTGCTTATTAGCAGTCTGTATATCTTCTTAGATGAAATGTCTATTCAAATCTTTTGTCCATCTTTTGATTGACTTGTCTTATTATTGAGGTATGAGTTCTGGATATTCTTTTCTGCATATACACCCATGTTGTTTTTCAGTAGAATTATGTCTTAAACTCAACTATACTCTGGTTTTGGATTTCACTGTCAAGATGATGTGACTTTTTTTGACATCTTTGTAGAGGTAGTCTAGTTATTCTTAATAACTTATGATGCTGTGGAAGCCTGAGATTTTTTTGAGTCTCTGGTGTATATAATATTTAAATTTAAAGAAATTTGGCCAGGCACAGCTGTGCACCACACCTGTAATCCGAGTGCTTTGGTTGGCTAAGGTGAGAGTGTCTCTTGAAGCCATGAGTTCAAGGCTGCAGTGAGCTCTAATCGCACCACTGCATTCCAGCCTAGGTGGCAAAGTGAGATACCACCTCTAAAAAAAATTAAAAATAAAAAAATTAAAAAACAAATCTAGCAGCGTAAAACAACAGTCATTTATTCTCTTATAGTTCCAGAGGCCAAATGTCCAAAATGAGTCTTATGGGGCTAAAGTCAAAGTGTCATCAGGACTGGTTCCTTCCGGAGGCTCTGGGGGAGAAAGATTCTTTTGCTTGTTTCTTCCTGTTAATGGTGGCTGCCCACATCAATCACCTTGATCTCTGCTTCCACAGTCAAATTCCTTCTCTTCTGTTGTCAAATCGCATTCTGCCTACTTTGTGATGCCATTTAGAGTCTGCGCAGATAATTCTGGATAAGCTCCCATCTCAAGATCCATACCCTTGGCTGTATCTGCAAAGTTCCTTCTGCCTTGTAAAATAAAATTCACGGTTTCCAGGGAGTAGGACCTGGAAATCTTTGGGGCCATTATTCAGCCCACTACACTGTCCAGCAGAAATATAATTCCAGTCACCAATGTAAGCCACACATGTAATTTTTTTTTTTTTTTTTTTGACGGAGTCTCGCTCTGTTACCCAGGCTGGAGTGCAGTGGCATGATCTTGGCTCACTACAACCTCTGCCTCCCGGGTTCACGCCATTCTCCTGCCTCAGCCTCCCGAGTAGCTGGGACTACAGGCATGCACACCATGCATGGCTAATTTTTGTATTTTTAGTAGAGACAGGGTTTCACCATGTTGGTCAGGCTGGTCTCGAACTCCTGACCTCAGGTGATCTTCCTGCCTTTGGCCTCCCAAAGTGCTAGGATTACAGGCATGAGCCACCGCGCCTGGTCGCCACATATGTAATTTAAAAAAATTTTAGTAACATTAAAAAAGTAAAATGAGACAGATGAAATTAATTTTAATAATATATGCCAGGCGCAGTGGCTCACACCTGTAATCCCAGCACTTTGGGAGGCTGCGGTGGGCGGATCACTTGAGGTCAGGAGTTTGAGACCAGCCTGGTCAACAATGCAAAACCCCATCTCTACTAACAATATAAAAATTAAGTTAGCCGGGCATGGTGGTGCATGCCTGTAGTCCCAGCTACTCAGGAGGCTGAGGCAGGAGAATCGCTTGAACCTGGGAGGCAGAGGTTGCAGTGAGCCAAAATCATGCCACTGCACTCCATCCAGCCTGGGTGACAGAGCAAGACTCTGTCTCAAAAAAAAAAAAAAAAAATATATATATATATATATATATATATATATATATACACACACACACACACATATATATGTATATATATATGTATATATATGTATATATATATATACGTATATATATATGTATATATACGTATATATATATATAGAGAGAGAGAGAGAGAGAGTTCATTAATCCAGTATACCTCCAAGTTTTCATGTAAACAACAGGAAAAATATTGATATCTTGCATCCTTTATTGTAGAAATCCATTGTGTATTTTACACTTACAGTACACTGCAATTCAGACCAATCACATTTCAAGTGCTCAGTAGTCACAAGTGGCTGGTGGCTACTGTGTTGGACAGTGCTGCCAACTTCTTGTTTTTTTTTTTTTTTTGACAGAGTCTCACTTTGCTGCCCAGGCTGGAGTGCAGTGGCGCCATCTTGGCTCATGGCAACCACCCCCTCCTGGGTTCAAGCGATTCTCCTGCCTCAGCCTCCTGAGTAGCTGGGACTACAGGCATGCACCGCTATGCCCAGCTACTTTTTGTATTTTTAGTAGAGACAGGGTTTCACCACGTTGCCCAGGCTGGTCTTGAACTCCTGACCTTGGGCGATCCTCCTGCCTTGGCCTCCCAAAGTGCTGGGATTACAGGCGTGAGCCACCACTCCCGGCCAACCACTACCAACTTCTAAGCTGGAAAGTCACTGGAATGACTGTTCAGAAAAGGATTACAACATGGCTTTTCTTTCTTTCTTTTTTTTTTTTTTTTGAGACAGTCTCACTCTGTCACCTAGGCTGGAGTGCAGTGGCGTAATCTCGGCTCACTGCAACCTCCATCTCCTGGGTGCACGCGATTCTCCTGCTTCCACCTCCAGAGTAGCTGGGATTACAGGCACAGGCCACCACACCCAGCTAATTTTTTTGTATTTTTAGTAGAGACGGGGTTTCACCATGTTGGCCAGGCTGATCTCGAACTCCTGCCCTCAGGTGATCTGCCCACCTTGGACTCCCAAAGTGCTGGGATTACGGGAGTGGGCCACCACACCTGGGTGGCTTTTCCATTTTTAAGACTTACTTAAAGAATCTGTATATACTGTTCCTACAATTTGTGTCCAGTCATTAAACAATAGCCAAGACTTTCCTGAAGAACAAATTGGGAGGGAGTGCTTGGCCTATAAATATCAAACTTTAATATAAAGCTACCAACTGTGCAGTATTGTGCAAGGAGGAACAGATAGTAGAATGGAAGGTCCATAAATAGACCCATGCAAATATGGACACTTGATTTATGACAAACATGGCCTGCAGAGGGGTCATAACAGTCTTTTCAACACATGGTGCTGGAATAACTGAATCTCCAAACGGAATAATATGAATCATGACCCTCTACCTCCCAGTAAATGTCAAAATCAACTCCAGGTGGTTACCAATCTTAAATGAGCAAATAAAACAATAACACTTTCAGAAGATAGGCAAGGGACTTGAGCAGGCATCTCACAGAAGATATCCAAATGATCAATTGACATATCACAAGGTGTTTAACCTCATTTATAAACACAGAAATGCAAGTTAAACCCATACTGAGGTACCATTGCACCACAAACTCACCAGAATGGCTAACCACATTGACAACCTCAAGAATTGGAGAGGGTGTAGAACAAGTGGAACTCTCATACACTGCCTGTGGGAAGAAAAATTAGTACAACCACTTTGGCATTCTCTAGTTAAGCCAAATAAACTCTGACCCAGCCATTTAACTCCTAGCTGTATACCTGACAGAAATTCATGCAATATCTACCATTTTTATAATAGCATATTTGAAATAGCTTAAAACTGGAAACAATTCATGTATCTATCAACAGTAGAATGGATAAATTGGCATATTTCTGAAATAGAATTCCATATGAAAATGAGGCCGGGCGTGGTGGCTCACGCCTGTAATCCCAGCACTTTGAGAGGCTGAGACAGGCAGATCACCTGAGGTCGGGAGTTCGAGACCAGCTTGACCAACACGGAGAAACCCTGTCTCTGCTAAAAATACAGAATTAGCCAGGCGTATTGGCAGGCGCCTGTAATCCCAACTACATGGGAGGCTGAAGCAGGAGAATCCCAGGAGGCGGAGGTTGCAGTGAGCTGAGATCGCGCTGAGCCAAGATTGCACCACTGCACTCTAGCCTGGGCAACAAGAGCAAAACCCTGTCTCAAAAAAAAAAAAAAAAAAAAAAAAAAAGAAAAGAAAAGAAAAGAAAATGAATGAACTACAGGTATATAAAATAACATGAATGCATATTTAAAAAGTCAGACATGCACAAAAAATATGTTGTAATTATTCTGATTCCATTCTTATGAAGTTCAAAAATTGGCAAAATGAAATAATTGTGCATTATTCACAATAGTTGAAAGATGAAAACGACCCAAATGTCCATCAACAGATGAATGGATAAGCAAAATGTGGCATATACACACATTGTATGTATACACATACAATGGAATATGATTCAGCCATAAAAGGGAATGAAGTTCTGATACATGCTGTAACATGGATGAGCCTTGAAAACATTATGCTAAGTGAAATAAGCCAGATGCAAAAGGACAAATATTATAGGCACATTATATGAGGTACCCAGAATAGGCAAATTCATAAAGACAGTATATTAGGAGTTATCAGGGGCTAAAGGGAGGGGGGATGCCAGTTATTGCTTAATGGTTACAGAGCTTCTGTTTGGGGTGATGGAAAAGTTTTGGAATAGATAGTGGTGACGGTTGTACAATATTGTGAATATAATTAATGCCACTGAGTTGTACACTTAAAAATGGTTAAAATGGCAAATTTTGTCATACATTTGTTTATTTATTTATTTTTGAGACGGAGTTTCACTTTTTGTTGCCCAGGCTGGAATGCAATGGTGTGATCTTGGCTCATGACAACCTCCACCTCCCGGATTCAAGTGATTCTCCTGCCTCAGCCTCCTGAATAGCTGGGAATACAGGCATGCACCACCACACCCGGCTAATTTTGTATTTTTAGTAGAGATGAGGTTTCTCCATGGTCAGGCTGGTCTCGAACTCCCGACCTCAGGTGATCCGTCTGCCTCGGCCTCCCAAAGTGCTGGGATTACAGGCATGAGCCACTGCGCCAGCCTATTTTATTATTATTTTTTGAGACAGAGTTTCGCTCTTGTTGCCCAGGCACAATCTCGGCTCACTCCAACTTCTGCCTCCCAGGTTCAAGCGATTCTCCTGATTCTCCTGCCTCAGCCTCCCGAGTAGCTGGGATTACAGGCGCCCACCACCATGCCCGGCTAATTTTTTTGTATTTTCAGTAGAGACGGGGTTTCACCATCTTGGCCAGGCTGGTCTCGAACTCCTGACCTTATGATCCATCCACCTCAGCCTCCCAAAGTGCTGGGATTACAGGCGTGAGCCACCGTGCCTGGCCCTAATTTTGTATTTTTAGTAGAGATGGGGTTTCTCCATGTTGGTCAGGCTGGTCTCAAACGCCCCACCTCAGGTGATCTGCCCACCTCGGTCTCCCAAAGTGTTGGGATTACAGGCATGAGCCACCGCCCTTACATTTATTTTACCATACTTTTTAAAAATTAATAATGTAATATACCAAAACCCATTGAATTGTACATTTTACATGGGTGAATTAATGGTATGCGAATTATATCCAATAAAGCTGTTTACAAAATCCAAAATGACTGCTTTTAGGGTTCATTTTTAGGGGTAAACTAGTTTTAACAAGCGATTGAGTGATAACTCTAAATATCAAGGGAGCAGGATTCCTTCATGGGCACGGGAGGAGGGCGTCATCAGGAAGCAGCACTGTGGGGGCCTCTGGGATGCTTTGGCTTGACTTAGGCATTTGTTGCAGGAGGTTCATTTTATAACCATCCATTGAGCTATAATACATTTATGTTTTGCATACTTTTATTATTAATTTGTTTGTTTGTTGAGACAGAGTTTCACTCTTGTCGCCCAGGCTGGAGTGCAATGGCATGATCTCAGCTCACTGCAACCTCTGCCTCCTGGGTTCAAGTGATTCTCCTGCCTCAGCCTCCCAAATAGCTGGGACTACAGAGGCACGCCACCACACCCAGCTAATTTTGTATTTTTGGTAGAGACGTGGTTTCACCATGTTGGCCAGGCTGGTCTCAAACTCCTGACCTCAGGTGATCCGCCCAACTCGGCCTCCCAAAGTGCCCGGATTACAGGCGTGAGCCACAGCGCCCGGCCAGGGATTTTCAAAGGTTATGTTAACTATGTAATTTTGGCCTTATGTACTGACTTATAACCTAACTTTGGTGTAAGGTGTAACTCTATTGCTGGGCACGGTGGCTCACGCTTATAATCCCAGCACTTTGGGAGGCTGAGGCAGGCGGATCACCTGAGGTCAGGAGTTCGGGACTAGCCTGAACGACATGGAGAAACCCCATGTCTCTACTAAAAAAATGCAAAATGAACCGGGCGTGGTAGTGCATGACTGTAATTGCAGCTACTTGGGAGACTGAGGCAGGAGAATCACTTGAACCCAGGGGGCACAGGTTGCGGTGAGCCGAGATCACGCCATTGCACTCCAGCCTGGGCAACAAGAGTGAAACTCCATCTTAAAAAAAAAAAAAAAGAGAGAGACTTGGCGACTGATTAGACTACAAGGAAAAAGGAGAGAAACTGAAGAATGATATTCCCAGGCCTAACAACTCTGATATTCTCTGGCCTAAACAACTGACTAAACAGTTGTTCTATTTATTGAAATAGGGCACATGGGAAGAAGAATAGTTGGAGGGTAAAGAGGATGGGCCCACTACTTTTTTCTTAATATTTTATCATGAAAAATTTCAAAAATACAGAAAAACTGACAGATTGTACAGTAAACAACCATATACCTACCACCTAACTTATTGCTATATTTTCTTCTTCACATCTTTCCATATACCTAGAAGAATTCATTTTTGAAGCTGAATTTGTGATATCTAGGAGACATCCAAGTGTCCTGTGTAATAGGCTGCTAGTGTAGAGTGCAGAAATACATTAAGAGCAGGCTACAAGTGCTGCCTCCTTTTCTTCATCTCCCATTCATACTCAACTCTCCAGAATTTGACTTTTGACACCTTCCGTTTGAAGTTGCTACCACTGAGGACACCGACTACTGAGAAGTCCAAAATTGAACTCATGTCTTCCCTCTGTGAAACCTGCTCCTCTTCCTCCTGTATGTTCTGCTGCCTTAGTCAGTATGAGCTGTGAAGTACCATAGACAGGGTGGGTTAAACAGCAGAAATGTATTTCTCACAGTTCTGGAGGCTAGAAGTCCTAGATCATGTGCCAGCATGGTCAGGCTCAGGTGAGGGCCCTCTGCCAGGTTGCAGCCTGCCAACTTCTTGTATCTCACAGGGCAGGAAGAGCTAGAGAACTCTCTGGGGTCCCTTTTATAAGAGCACTAATCCCATTTATGAGGGCTCCACCCTCATGACCTAATTACCTCCCAAAGGCCCCACCTCCTAATACCATCACACTGGGGGCTAGGATTTCAACAAATGCATTTGGGGGTACACAAACATTCAGTCTGTAACACTTACCTTAGTTACCACAGCCTCAAACTTGGTAGTCACCCTAGACACCAGCAAACAGGTTCTCTCAACCCTATCTCCTGAAGAGCTTTTAAAAAAAGTCCCCTCCCTCACCATGCCCTCAACCTTTTTTTTTTTTTTTTTTTTGAGACGGAGTCTGGCTCTGTCACCCAGGCTGGAGTGCAATGGCACAATCTTGGCTCACTACAACCTCTGCCTCCTGGGTTCAAGCAATTCTTCTGCCTCAGCCTCCCAAGTAGCTGGGATTAGAGGCATGCGCCATCATGCCTGGCTAATTTTGTATTTTTAGTAGGGACGGCTTTCACCATGTTGGTCAGGCTGGTCTCGAACTCCTGACCTCGGTTGATCCACTGGCCTCGACCTCCCAAAGTGCTGGGATTACAGGTGTGAGCCACCGCGCCTGGCTAGGTATATTTAAATATACCACACTTTCTGTGTTATTTCCTCTTCCTGGAAGATCTCCCTGAAGGCCAGGCTAGGTGGCTGTCTCAGAATTCTGAGAATATTTCTAACATTAGATGTTCAAGTCTCCACAGACGCTAAAGTCCCTGAAGGTGGTGTTGTAGTCTTCGTTATAGCCAGAGTACTTTTAGCACTCTGCCTAACACAAAAAGGACTGTTTACTTTAGCTGAACTTTGCATACATTCAATGCTTTGTATATCCTTCCCTTTCAACAAAACCCTACTCAAGCTTGAATTCTGTGAAGCTTTCCCTGGCCTCTCCAATAATTAGGAGCTCTGACTCCTTTACTTTACTCACCGCCCCTGAATTGAGCAAGTTATATTTTAATAGTGTATACAACGAATTGCAGTGAATGTTAACACGTTCACCTTTTATTGCTAACAGCAATGCTACCCGTGCTTCCAGGCTCTATCCAAACTCACTGCTTCCAGATAATAGCTGGCTGGTCCCTAGGGAGAATTCTTTAACTCTCAGCATTTGATGCTCAATTCAGTACCTCCTCATATTCAGCACTGTAGCTTACAAGTGCTCTCCGGGTTCCCTTCCTCTCCTCCCCGACAGACTAAACTGCTAGGGTTTGGGACCGCAGTCCTCCTCTCCTCTGACTCCCACCTCTCTGCAGCATTTGGCGCTGCACTTTGCAAACGCAGCTCTAAAGCATCTCCGGGAAGCTCCTGCACAGACCAAAGCCCCCCCGCTCCCTTTTTTTTTTTGAGACAGAGTCTCCTCTCTCGCCCAGGCTGGAGTGCGGTGGCGCGATCTTACTGCAGCCTCCGCCTCCCGGGTTCAAGCAATTCTCTGCCTCAGCCTCCCGAGTAGCTGGGATTATAGGCGCCCGCCACCACGCCCTGCTAATTTTTTTTTTTTTTTGTATTTTTAGTACAGACGGGGTTTCACCTTCTTGGCCAGGCTGGTCTTGAACTCCTGACCTCGTGATCCACCGCCTCGGCCTCCCAAAGTGCTGGGATTCCAGGCATGAGCCACCGCGCCCGGCCCAAAGCCCTTTAAAGACAAGTCTCCGCTTGCGGATTCGCCCGCCAGGTGACAAGGCTTCGTGGGCCAGGACTCCGCCCGCTCCCCGTGGGCTGGGGCGACCCAGGCCAGGAGGGTACACGTGGGACCGGGGGGTAGGGGAATTGCTGGGCCGGCCTTTTCCCCCTGCCTCCCCCGGTTCCTCTGTCCTGGAGGCCGTAGGAGATGCGCAGGACGCCCGCACATGCGCAGTGTCACTCTCGAGCTCCAGACTCGAGCGCGGCGGGCAGGAGGCCCAGGCGGCCCCGGGCTCCCGAGACTGGGCTGCCGGCTCAGGGGCGGGGCACAGCGCTGCCCTCGCCCGCTCATTGGCTCGCGTGCTGACGGACAGGTGGGGCGGACAGCCGGCGAAAGATCTGAGGAGCCGCTGGACTGGAAACTGCTACTGGGCTAAAAATACTTAAGTAAATAAATGAAAGCCTGTGGAGGAGGAGAGGAAGGAGAGGCGGGCGTGGGTTTGGGAGCAACTGAGGCTCCGCTTGCCCCTGGCTGGCGCAGGATGATGGTTCTTGGTTCACTCTCTCCGTCTCCGCTAGAACTGGAGCGGAGAAGTCTGCTTTCTGGAAGGTCGTCCTGGCGGCGGAGTCACACAGGACTTGTTCCCCTGGGACTCTTCATTCCGAGTCTTCATTCCGATTCTTTCAGATCCAGCCTTGAGGCCTCGGGTTCCTGGGAGCAGCTTTGTAGGGCTTGAGAGTCCTAGTCACCGCCACCCTCGGGTCCAGCTCAGGTTGGGGGCTACAGCTCCGTCCCTCCGGCACTTGGGACGACACTCTTTGAACTGGCCTCCCAGCGTCCCGCCTTGCTGGCTGCCGACTAAACTTTTTTTTTTCTTTTTGAGACTGGGTCTCGCAGGTTGAAGTGCAGTGCCGAGACCATAGCTCTTTGGGTGGCTGGGATTACAGGCGCGCGCCACCTCCCCGGCTCTCCGACTAGACATTATTTTATTTTATTTTATTTTTGAGGCACAGTCTCGCTGTGTCGGCCAGGCTGAGTGCAGTGGTGCGATACTGGCTCACTGCAACCTCCACCTCCCAGGTTCAAGTGATTCTCGTGCCTCAGCCTCCCGAGTAGTTTGGATTATAGGTGGGCACCACCACGCCTGGCTAATTCAGTAAAGATGGGGTTTCACCATGTTGGTCGGGCTGATCTCGAACTCCTAACCTCAAGTGATCCGCCCGCCTCGGCCTTCCAAAATGCTGGGATTACAGCGTGAGCCAGTGCGTCCGGCCTAGACATTCTTAAAAGGCAAATTGGAACACATCCTCCGCTTGAAAACGCCAGTGCCCCCTGGGCCAGGGCACCAAGATCCACTTAAAACCCTGCGGGTGAGGCATTAGTGATGAGCTCCTGCTTATCATTCCAGCCATATCAGAGAGGAAGGCCACCAAAGAGTCAGGTCCTTTCAGCCTTGACCCTTGTGCGCACTCTGCCCGCTCACACCCTCTACTTCTTTACTGGAGAAACTCTGACCTCAACGCCCCTCCTGTGCACCTGTGCTGCCCCCAGCCCCACTCCCACCTCGGGACGTTCCTGTCATGCTCAGAGCACGCTGGGGGCCCTGTACCACAACACTTGTCACACCTGCTAGGCTCAGGGACAGTGAACAACCTCAGGGCAGGGGCTGTGTGTGTTCTGGATGTGTATCCCCAAGTCTAGCAGAGTGTGCATAGATAGGGGTTCAATAAATGGATATTGGCCAGGCACAGTGGCTCACGCCTGTAATCCCAGCACTTTGGGAGCCTGGCCAACATGGTGAAAACCCGTCTCTACTAAAAATACAAAAATTAGCTGGGTGTGCTGGTGCACGCCTGTAATCCCAGCTACTCGGGAGGCTGAGGCAGGAGAATCGCTTGAACCCAGGAGGGTTGCAAGTTGCAGTGAGCCAAGATCGTGCCACTGCACTTCAGCCTGGGCGATAGAGCGAGACTGTGTCTCAAGAAAAAAAAAAAAAGGATATTGAATGAATGAAGGCATGAATTCTAAGGATCAAAAGTGAAGCTTTAAAAATGTTAGGCTGGGCTGTGGCATTTTGGGGGCTCACCAAGGCCAAGAACCATATCTTCTTTGAGTCCTGATAGCTAGCTAACAAGGTGGCACTCCTTTCAAAATATGTGAATAAATTCAAGATGGCAAAGTGACGTCAAGCTGTTTAGTTATGGTCGCATCCCACAGCCTGTGAACATCTGCTCAGTGAAGGGGGCAGGGCCGTGGGCCTCAGGGGCCAGGCACTGAAGGAAATACAAGCAGGCTTAGGAGGGTGTGTTTGTCTGTGGTGTGTCTGAAAACGCCAGTGCCCTCCTGGGCCAGGGCACCAAGATCC
The DNA here is from genome assembly GCF_000001405.40 of Homo sapiens. Taxonomy (NCBI): domain Eukaryota; kingdom Metazoa; phylum Chordata; class Mammalia; order Primates; family Hominidae; genus Homo; species Homo sapiens. The sequence continues at coordinate 150,513,604 of NC_000001.11, read as the reverse complement.
ACTTAAAACACTGCGGGTGAGACATTAGATAGACAATGAGGACACCAAATCCAAGAGGTGTTTAGTGTAATGAGTGTTCAGATGGGTGGGGCAGGGTGGGGTTCCCCCCATCTGACCCTCTAGGGCTCTGGGGTGACTCATTCTTCCTTGGGCTCAGAGGTGGAGCTGATATTTGTTCCTCCAGTTGAGCCCTGCTCCCCCTGGCCCTTGGCGTTCTCAGTGTCTCCAGACACTAGAGCCACGTTCCTCAGATAATTGATGTTGAAGCAGTTGACCTGTTCATCCCCAGGACTCAGGTAACAGCAGAGGGCAGGGTCTCGCCAGATGTTACGTCGGGGACCACACAGATCATTGATGAAGGTTAATTTCTGATGAATGAGAAAAGTAAAACAGATGATGGGGTGGGGAGGTGGTCCAAGGACAGATGTAGATACTTGGGTGCCAAAGTCCCCCTTTCATCAGCTTCTACTGCTCTCTCCCTCGTTCCCCTCCTGGGGCCCAGAGAGAGTACAAGACTGCCTTGCACAGCTGGATTCCTTGTGACTGACAAATGTGTACATCTGGAAATGCCAGAAGCTTGTGGCCCGGAGAAGGCATAATAGGAACTTAGAGATGGGGAGCAGGCCAGGTCAGAGTGAAGACTTTTCTGGAACCAAGAAAAAAACACCTCCCCCACTAGTCATTATAACCAAAGGCTGGTTTGAGGTACTAAAGAGAAGGGGTGGCCTGCAGTTCTAGCTCTTTCCCTCCCCTCCCCTGCATTCCTCTGGAGACTAGACTCCACACACTCACCTCCTCCTCTGCACAGCAGGCCTGTTCTGGAAATGGCAGGTCACAGCAGCGGGCAGTCATGTTGTGGATCAGCCCAGGAATATGTTTACTATGTTGGTGTGAAAGGGGCAGGGGTTAGGGTCTTTGGGCATCTTCTGGCATCAGATGGGGTTGGGATATCATGATTTTGCTTTTCCCAAAGGTGTCCCAAAAGGAAGTTTTCGGGAAAGGAAGAGAGTGGGGAAGGACTAGGCAACTTACTGCTTGGTGAGAACTCTTTGGTTTCCACAGAGGTGGCCCATGAGGTTGGGGGTGACTCGACCGATGTCAATGGTCAAGATGTCCCGGTCATAGTTGGGGTAAGGAGCCCGACGGGCAAAGCACTCATCCCGAGTAGGGCTGGGAGGGTGGCGGCAACACAAGTGGTGGTGGGTCTTCACAGCATACTCCCGGTCACAGTATTTGTCAAGGGTATCCTCCCACTGTGGACCAGAGAGAGGGAAGTCAGAAGCTGGACACTTGGCCCCTTCTCTCCTGACCATCGACTTCCCTTATCGTCCCTGGCAACTAGATGAGGGGCTCCCAGCCCGAGAGGCCCAAAGGGAATGGCAAAAAAGTAGAGGGTTAGGAGGCAACTGTTGATGTGTGGGCTTGGGAAGGTGGACGGGTGGAAGCCTGGATGAGGTTCCAAGCTGGTGCCGGGAGATGAGCTGGAACAGTGGATGGAGAAGGTCAGGTGAGGCCAGAGCTGGACGGATGGATGGATGGTAGACAGATGCGTGTGTGGATCATGAGTGGAGGAGGCCAGAAGTGTAGTACGAAGCTCAAGATGAACAAACTCAGGTGACAAACACAATGGATGGACGGACAGCCACAAGCAGATGAACGGGTGGACGCACTCACAGCAGGGGGGGTACATGGATGGATGGACTGGCAGGATCAGAGGTCGAAGATGGGCAGGCAGGCAAACAGGCTCTCAGGGAGGCTGGGACGCCCACTTACGGCCTTCCATGTACAGGTGTGATTGTTCCCCTGGCGGCAGCAGCGCTGGAACTCCCTCTCCAGCTGGATCAGTGCCAGCAGCTCCCTTTGTAGGGGGTCAGTAGCTGGCAGGTTGCGTGGCACAGAGCGGAAGCGCCTCAGGTGGCAGATGTTCTTGATATTGTCCAATGTGGGCACCCCAGGAGGGAAAGGCAGCTCAAGACCCGAGGAAATATCAGGCTGATGGCTGGGGCAGGCCCGGAGCTGGTAGTGTGGCTGGGGAGCTTCCTCCTGGAAGCAGGAGAACCGAGCCTCCCCCTGCCGCGTGCAGCACCAGTGGGGTCGGGTCTTGACCGAGAACTCGGCCTCACAGAATCGGCTCATTGCTTCCTCCCACTAGAGCAAGAGGGGAGGATCAGCCCACTTTCCACATTCCTGCCTTCCTCCCAGGCTCCAGGAAAGGACACTGGGCAGGCAGATAAAGAAGAGACAGTGGTTGTCCTCTGCTCCCCTGGCACATTGGGGAGGCCCAGGGTAGGGCCAGTGAACGGGACCTGAGGTTCCTCCAGACCCAGGCCTAGTGCTCTAACCCTTAAAACACACATACTGTCTGGGGTTAAAGGACACCCCCCGGCATCAAGAACCCAACCTTACCACAAGTTTGGCACACTCTAGGCGGTTTGTGTGGCTGCGGCAGTGGCAGCAGCGGGAATATCCAATCTCCAGGAAATTGAGGGTCTCACCCTGGCGAGTGAGGTGGGAGTAGCTGGACTGTGGTAGGTTCCAGGGACCATATACCACATGCTGACGGTTAGGAAGGCAGATTTGGTTCAGATTGTCTGGAGAAGGCCGCCCAGGGGGGAAGCCATCCAGCCGGTGGCCCCAGCCCCCTTGGGACCGGTCCTGTTGGCAGTGCTGGGCTGCATTCCAGGACTCAGGTTCTGGATGGCTCTGGTCCCCAAATGGAGCTGGCGTTCCTGGAATGGGGAAAACAGTGGGAAGCGGGGACATGTGAAGGAACCCACAAAGGCTGGATGAGCTGGGAGGATTGAAAGAATCTGGGGTGGAGGAGAAAGGGTTGGGAGGATATAGTGGAAATGAGAAAGAACAATTTGTGGCTCTTCCTTTTAAAATAACTGAAAGGAAAAGAGAAGCGAGGTGTGAAAGGTGTCAGCTCACAGCCTGCCCCCACCTCCTCCTGCTTCTCAAGGCTCGGGCTTCCTGCTCCTCTCCCCAGGGTCCTGAGCACTAAGGCAGGAGGATGGACAGACCAAAGCTGTCACTCACCCTCTCTCGGCATGGAATGGATGATTATCTCCTCCTGATATGGAAGAGGTGGGTCTACTGGGTAGAAGGAGTAAGCAAAAGCCATGTTGGGATGGCCATCTCTAGCAGAGAAAGCCTGGCTAGTTTACATGCACAAAGAAGAACTCAGCAGAGAAGCAAGTGAAAATAGATGCTATTTTTGCACATCTAATCACATAACTTTCTAAAACAGGTATATCCTCAATTTTACAGATGAAGAAACAAAGGCTTGGAGAAGTATGTAACTTACCCAAGGTTATACAACTGGTGAGTGGCAGAGCCCACCGTCTTGTCTGCCCCGAAGCCCATGCTCTGGGGGAAGGCCATGAGGTAAAGGTGGGTAAAGAAGAGAGGGAGCTGCTTACCTTCCTTCTGTTCATTGGGGTGCTGGAGAGAGGGCAGCTCTTTTTGGAGGGGGACAGCTTCCTGAGGGAGAGGGGGACCCACTGCAAGATAGGGGTGAGGGCACCAAGGAGCAGGGATCAGCCTGGTGTCAACAGGATCCATAGTGGGATAGAGGTGAGGGAGGGTGGGCAAGCGCTCACCTTCCTTTTCAGCAGGGAGTTGGGCAGGTAGCAGCTTTTCCTGTTGGAGAGGGGTGGCCTCCTGAGAGGGAGGGGGCTGCACTATAGAAGGGGGAATGTGTGAGCAGCCCACCCTTTCTCCTAGCCAGGGCTGGGAGTGGGGGCGAGGGCCTCTTCCCTCCTTTCCACCTGAAAAGTGGGATATAGGCCAGATTAGAAACCTGGAGGGTCACTGAGGAGGGCATGGGATGGTGACCTTACCTTGACTCTGTCCCTCAAAGGGAGGGCCATGCTGAGAGGAGTCAGGGTGATCCATGGGGAGGCTTCGGGATAGGGGTGGGGAGGGGGGAGCTGCGTAGCCAACTAGAAGCAAGAGGGGAGACATCAGAGCCCACAGTGCCTCCTGGAGTCCCAATCCCATGCTGCTCCCCCAAACTCTTACCTTCTTGAAAGTGCTCTGGCCTCAGCTGCCTCTGTCCTGTAGCCGTGAAGCCTGGAGGGAAGAAGGGCAAGTCAGGGGCCACTGGGAGGGCCTTCCCTGGACTTCAGCAAGGGATGGGGAGGCTGTGGAGATCAAGAGTGTAGGACAGACAAGCAAGACACGAGATGCCCCTCTGTATTCACCTGCCCCGTGTCCCCTAATCCTCTCCCAGCCCCAACACACCTAGACATGACCAGCTGGGTTCTGAGAAAGCCTGTGGCGGTCTGATAGCTCCACCTCTACTGGCTCAGAGGTTGGGCCTAAAGGGAGTATGGCATACGGGATTGGGGAGGGAGGCCCTCATTTCCTCTGCCAGTCTTTCCCTCAGGGCTGTGGGTTGTCCTCCCCAGTCTCTGCTGGGATGCGTCTCTAGCTTTCAGAGGAAAAAGTCTGGACCTTGAGCTGGTTGGAGCCTACCCAATCCACCTCCTCCACCCACCCTCCTACTCCAGGCCCTTGAAACATCTTTAGGCCTTTGGTTAAGGAGGCTTCCTGAAGGTTGAGTGCTTCCCCTTCAGCCAGTCTCAGCTCCGCCTTAGTTTAGGTCTCAATTTAGGGCCTGGGGGACTGGGACAGGCACAGGGAAGGGTCACTTGTAGGTGATCTGCAGACACAAAAGACCAGGAGCTGGGAAGAATGATGGCATGGGGCTTCACAGAGAAGTGGACAGATTTGCTGACATCCTCAGCAGCTTCCTGCAGGAGTGCCCTGGGTGGTTTTTTTCCTTTTCTTTTCCTTTTTTTCTTAGTTTCCACCCATAGCATTGAGGGGTTCCTGTTTTGTTCAGGCATCAAAGCAGATAAAGAATGTGTTTGTGCTGGATGGAGGGTGGGTCTGTGGATGGACACCCCTCAACTCCTCTAATCAGACAGGGAGTCAGTCGAGGCTTGCTGGGCCAGCAATCCGGTTTTGAGCAGCCTGGGGGCCCCTTTTCCCTCCCTTGCCTCTCCCACCAGCCACCTCCCTACATCCTCATCAGCAGGAGACCCTCACTCTGTGAACCCACCCCCCACTCAGTTGTCTATTTGACTGGGATTCTGTGTTTCTTGGCAGCAGTTTCTAGGAACCCCTCTCCTTCTGTGCCCCTGCTCTCTGCCTCCTTGGTTAAAGGCTCCACTGGCCTAGGCCCACTTTGGGCCTGCTCAGAAAAGGAAAGCCAAACGGAGAATCACTCTGCTAGTGATGAGCCGTCTGGGATGCCTGGACCCAGACCCCTGCCATGCAAGCCCAGACCCCCTCCTAAGTGCTGATCCCCCAACTCACCTCCCTCAGAGGCAGCAGAAGCAACAGCCAAATAGGTCAAGACCAAGGCTGCTCTGGCTGTGGTCCCCATCCTGGGGCAACTGACCACTGGACACTCAGAGGTGGGTCCTCTCAGGCAAGTCTGGATGTGAAGGGCCGGCCACTGAAGCTTGTCTGGTGGCTGTTACGGTTGTGAGCTTCAGGACCAGCTCTTCTTTTATAATTGTCTGGTGTGATCTCCCGCCCTCCTCAGCTTCCTGCCATGACTCAGTCCCAGCTGCTCCTCCTCTGGAAGCCACTCCTCCCAAAGTCACCCTGAAGCCTCCTCAGAGGATTGAGAAGAATGGGACTGATTAGAGGAGAACATTCTTATGACCTTCAAGAGAAACTGATTCAGAGAATCCAGGAGCAAGAGGTGTTTGAGCCCCTAGTTTGTGCCTCAGTTTCTCCATCTACAGGCTGCCTTCTGTGGAGAGGGGATCTGCCAACTCATGAACTGGGGTTGGGGAAACAGGGCACAAAGGAGTTTACAGCGGGGAGCAGGAAACCTATCCAAGGGATCTCCCCTACCAGTGTGAGGTCTGGACTGTCCCTTTTCAATTTCCCTAACTCTCTGGGACAAAAAAGAGGGAGACAAAGTGGAACATCCTTTTATCCCACCTCTCCAGAGTCAGAGATGAAGACATATGACCAGCAGCTTCCAGTTTGTATTTATTTATTTATTTATTTATTTAGAGACAGAGTCTCGCTCTGTCGCCTAGGGGGGTGCAGTGGCGCAATCTCAGCTCACTGCAACCTCTACCTCCCGGGTTCAAGCGATTCTCCTGCCTCAGCCTCCTGAGTAGCTGGGATTACAGGCGTGTGCCACCATGCCCGGCTAATTTTTTGTATTTTTAGTAGAGACAGGGTTTCACCGTGTTAGCCAGGGTGGTCTTGATCTCCTGACCTCATGATCCGTCCGCCTCAGCCTCCCAGAGTGCTGGGATTACAGGCATGAGCCACTGCGCCTGGCCCAATTTATTTTTTTTTGTAGTTTCATTCTCCTCACATCCAAACAGCTACAGCTTCCCTCCTTTTGTGGGGTCCCCAAACCAAGTCTCTTTTCAGGAGAGCAGACATGTGCCTCCACACAGTTCTGAAGTTCTGGGGGCTCCACATTGTCAGCTGGGTTGGGGTCTCCCATGTGAGGGAGGCTGATGGCACTCGCAGGTTTTTGCCTCATCTATGTACAAAGGCTCAGAAAATTTCTTCGGCATTTGGGACCCTCGTGTTCTGTAGCTCCACCAGTCGCTGCACAGCCTCAGGCAAGTCCCACTCCCCAAGGCGACGATTATCTCGAGTCCGAATGTTCACTGTTCTCTTACTTTGCTCTTTCTGGCCAACCACTGCAGGTAGAGGAAGTTTGGGAACCTCAGGGCAAATTCACCCACATGGAACAGTTTCTTTTGCTCTGCAGAAACTTGAGAGACCTAAATCTTTAGGAAGGGTGGGAGCAGAGCCCAGATATGGTTCACAGAAAGGAAGTATTCAGCTGTGTCTGCTAATACTAAATGACCAGTCCTGCTCATCCTGAGGAGACAAGGAAGTGCTTCAGTCCCCGCAGGCCTTATCGCTTCTGGTCAAGAGCCCCAGGGTCAGAGACATAAGAGTCAAGCAGAGAAAGACAAACACTGAGAACCCCACAGAGAGAAACTGTGTGTGTGTGTGTGTGTGTGTGTGTGTGTGTCAGAGACATTAGAGTCAAGCAGAGAAAGACAAACAATGAGAACCCCACAGAGAGAAACTGTGTGTGTGTGTGTGTGTGTGTGTGTGTGCGCGCGCGTGTCTGAAGGGGGTATTAGAGCAAGTGGAAGGTGGCAGGAGTGGTGTGGCCTTCACACTGCCCCGCCTCCCCCCAACCACTCTGACCCTTAGAACAGTTTCCTCTCATCAGTCCCACTCTGGCTCTTGGTGTCTGTTAGGGCTGGATTCACAGAGTGAGGGGCCTCTGCTGAGGAGGATGTATGCAGGGGCTGACTGGGCGGTAAGGGAGGGAAAGGGGCCATGTACAAGTCCCTGGGATTGCAGCACAGCTTGCTCTGGGTGCTTGTAGGGAGAGTGGGGTGTGCAAAACTCAAGAATCAGGTAATCTGGCTGAGGAGTTTCTGCTCCTCACCTTTGAGATAGAGCCCTGAACCCTGGAAAATGAAAAAGGGAGCATGGCAGTGCCAGAATTTTCTCCCTAAGGCCTTTCTCCTCATCCCTTAGGGCTGATTCCATCTAGGTCTAAAATAAACAAGGGTAATTAACGCTGTATTAACCCTCCCGTCCCTTTCTCTCTGATGCTCCCTTGGTTAATTAACCTAACAGACACCAACAGCTAGAGTGGAGTTAAAAAGAGGAAAACTATTTTGAGTGTCAGAAGTGGTTATGGGGAGGGCAGGGCAATGTGAAGGAACACAGGGCCCAAATGAGTCAGGTGTCCTGAATCCTGGCTCCTACCTGCTCAGGTAATGAGCCCCAATTAACCCAAATATGCATTACCAGACTTGGTAAACTTAACAGCAAGAATGCAGACGGCAGGTGGGAGAACATTGGCTCTGAGGTTCAGCTTACCAAACTGAAAATTGTAGTGGGCAAGCTGGGCCCGGCGGATTCTCCGGCTGAGGGTCAGTCCAGAGTCTGCATCCAGGTCACTGACCAGTCCTGCAGCCCGCAGGCTCTGCTGTGCCTGCAACAGAGGTTTGGTGACAGGAAGTTAATTTACTGGAAAGTTAAGGAGCTAGAACAGTCTGATGCTCTTTTCCCTCAATGCCCCCATCTGTTCCTCCTTTCCCTGCCTCGGGGCTCTCCACTTCTTACCAGCAACCTCTCCTCATTTCATCTCCACATTGAGGCCTCCTCCCCATTCATCCCCAACCCCACAATCTTTCTGCCTCCTACTGGAGATGACCCCCCAGTTATTCCGTGGACTTTGCCTTCTAGCCACTGCTCTACCCAACCAGCTGTTTGACTCTGGTACCATCCATATCCTCAATTCTCTCTAGAAAGGAAAAATAAAACTGTGTACTCAATCCCAGTTTTGTGCCAAGTGCTCTTTTGGTGGCTTTCAACATTTGTTAATTTGTTTAATTTTCATACATCTCTACAAGGTAGGCATTAGTCACATTTTTTAGATACAGGATTTCCAGCATCTAGGACAGCAGCCACTCGAGCCCAGTCTTGTGGCTGTGAGGGCTGTGCTCCTTCCTCTACCACCCCTGCAGCCTCTTCCTGCCCACTGCAGGGCACCAGACTCTCTACTGGACCTGCTTCTGCCCCCTCCCTTACCTCAACTCCTTACCTCTTTGGCGTATTCCTCTTGCTCACTCCCCACAGGGATGACCACCACCTGGAACGGGGACAGCCACAGTGGCCTGGTAGGGAAAGAACAGGTGATGGCAAATTAGTCACTCTGGCTCTGGCCAGAAGTGTGCTTGTATGGAGCAGACTTGAGAAGGAAAGAGGCTGGCATATGAAGGGGGACAGGATCTGGAGCATAACTATCCGGTTTGGGGCCAGAACAGAAATCCAGGTCAGAGGTCTCACCATTTCCCCCCGCAGCTTTCTGCCAGCACTCCCAACAGTCTTTCCACAGAACCGAGCACTGCTCGGTGAATGAGGACTGGACGCTCCAGGGCACCCGCCTGCCTTGAAAGGAAAAAGGGGGGGGTGGATGGAATGGTGGAAGTATCACGAATTGTGTACCCAAGATCACCTTCCAGTTTTTAAGAAATATTCAGCTCTGGCAGGAGAGGGTGTGGAGGGTTTAGTTTTTAGGGCCAAAGGCAGAAGGACTTATTCCATGCACTGTCAAGGGAAAAGAGGATAGGGCAAGGTTTTATACCCCTTATACTGGAGGTCAAATCTCAGGGGCAGTTGGAAGTCAAGCTGAATTGTCCCACACTGATGTGGCCGGCCCAGGGCATCGTGGAGGTGCACGTCAATCTACAGGAAACAGATGGGAAGGCACGAGATAAGCCAGAAGCACTATCCAGAACCACTATCCTCCATTACCTGTGCCATCCCACCCTTTAACCTACCCTCATCCCGGGCTACTACCTTCATCATGTCACCTAGCTCTATCATACGCTACCCCTCCAGTTCACTCTACTCAACTCACTCTGGCAGTAGTTCTCAGCAGCTCTCTCCATCTAATAATGGTGTTATAATATTACCTGATGTCCACACCCTGGCCTCTCAATTCCTTGAGCTCCTCATCTCAGAGATCTTCACCACCACCCATCTATGGCTACACCCTTTATCCTGTCATCTCCCCCAATGGCTGTACCTCTGAAACTGTCCATCAGACACCCTACTCTGATTACTGTCTCTTGGTCAGCCAGCTCTGAGAATTATTCCTTTTTTTTTTTTTTTTTTGAGACAGAGTCTCACTCTGTCACCCTGACAGGAGTGCAGTGGCACGATTTCAGCTCACTGCAGCCTCCGCCTCCCGGGTTCAAGCGACTCTCCTGCCTCAGCCTCCTGAGTAGCTGGGACTACAGGTACATGCCACCACGCCCAGCTAACATATATATATGTATGTGTGTGTATATGTGTGTGTGTGTGTGTGTATATATACACACACATATATATACACATATATACACACATATATACACACATATATACACACATATATACACACACATATATACACACACATATATATACACACATACACACACACACACACATATATATACACACACACACACACACACACACACACACACATATGTGTATTTTTTTTTTTCAGTAGGGATGGGGTTTCACCATGTTGGCAAGGCTGGTCTCAAACTCCTGATCTCAAGTGATCTGCCCACTTCGGCCTCCCAAAGTGCTGGGATTATGGGTGTGAGCCACCACACCCGGCCATGACAATTATTCCTATTAATGGCACTTCAACCCACCGGTTCTTTAACTCCTCTTTTTCTCTCCCATCCTCAGGCCCCTCCCACCTTTGTTTCTTATCCCATGAAGCTGTACCATTTTCCCTAGTTCCCTTTGTACCATTCATTGTTCTTCTGCACCTTAGCCTCCTACATCTTTGGCCCTGCAAGAGAACTGCTCAGTGCTGCCCAATATGTCACAAACCACACAGATGCAAATGCAGAGATTGATGCCACCATGGAAGTCAGTATTTCGAGATTCAGCTGGTCCCTGTCTGCTGCCAGCAATCCTTTGGATTGCCCTAATAAGCTCTATGCTCTGTTCTCCTCAGGGATGTTCCAGTTTTTTGCTCTCTCTTTTTATAGCAGTATCTGAGCCAGCAACTTATTAGACTGATTCAACATAATACACACTTTATGACTGTTATATCTGTAACCTTAAGCACATTGTTTAACCTCTCTCAATTTTTTTCTTAGTAATAAAGATATTTTATTTGCCTACTGTTATTGCTGAAATAAATCAGAAGACACACTTTCATTACTGTTAATATTTTAATTTACTAACTACTTAGTGAAGCAGGTAAATAAATACCATATGCTGGAATAAACACTTGGGACATAAAAATGAGAATACACATGTTACCTGAATAAAAGACCCCAACACAGTCAACAGCAACTTTGAGTACTCAAAAGATTTTAGCCAGGCAAGGCACATGGCCCACTCCTGTAATCCCAGCACTTTGGGAGGCCGAGGTAGGTGGACCACCTGAGGTCAGGAGTTCGAGACCAGCCTGGCCAACACGGTGAAATGCCGTCTACTAAAAAAGGGAATACAAAAATTAGCTGGTGTGGTAGCGGGTGCCTGTAATCCCAGCTACTGGGGAGGCTGAGGCAGGAGAATCGCTTGAACCCAGGAGGTGGAGGTTGTGGTGAGCCGAGATTGTGCCACTCCACTCCAGCCTGGCGACAGAGTAAAACTCCGCCTCAAAAAAAAAAAAAAAAAAATTAGCTGGGCGTGGTGGTGCACACCTGTCCCAGATACTCGGGAGGCTGAGGCAAGAGAATCGCTTGAACCTGGGAGGTGGAGGTTGCAGTGAGCCAAGATCCGCCAGTGCACTTCAGTCTGGCAACAGAGCAAGAGTCTGTCTCGGGGAAAAAAACAAAAACGAAAAAAACGCTGGGCAAGATGGCTCATGCCTGTAATAATCCCACCACTTTGGGAAGCCAAGGCGAGCAGATCACCTGAGGTTGGGAGTTCAAGACCAGCCTGGCCAACATGGTGAAATCCCATCTCTACTAAAAATACAAAAATTAGCCGGGCGTGGTGGTACATGCCTGTAATCCCAGCTACTCGGGAGGCTGGGGCAGGAGAATCGCTTGAACCTGGCAGGCAGAGGTTGCAGTGAGCCGAGATTGCGCCACTGCACTCCAACCTGGGCGACAGAGCAAAATTTGATCTCAAAAAAATATATAAAAATAAATAAATAAAACAAAACAAACAAAAAAAAGATTTTAGCTATATAACAGTTCTTGAGTAATTTCCTTTCTCTATCTTTTTATTTATTTATTTTATTGAGACAGGGTTTTGTTCTGTTACCCAAGCTGGAGTGTGGTGCCTTGATCATAGCTCATGCAGCCTCAAAATCCTGGGCTCAAGTGATCCTCCCACCTCAGCCTCTTGAGTAGCTGGGACTACAGGTGCCCACCATCACATCCAGCTAATTTTAAAATTTGTTTTAAATTTTTTGTAGAGACGGTCGGGCGCAGTGGCTCATGCCTGTAATCCCAGCACTTTGGTAGGCCAAGGCGGGCAGATCATGAGGTCAGCAGATCGAGACCATCCTGGCTAACACGGTGAAACCCCATATCTACTAAAAAAAAAAAAAAAGAAAAAAATTAGCCAGGCATGGTGATGGTGATGGGTGCCTGCCTATAGTCCCAGCTACTCGGGAGGCTGAGACAGGAGAATGGCGTGAATCCAGGAGGCGGAGCTTGCAGTGAGCCGAGATCGAGCCACTGCACTCCAGCCTGGGCAGCAGAGCGAGACATAGTCTCAATAAAAAAAAAAAAAAAAAAAAAAAAAAAAAATTTTTTTTTGTAGAGACGAGGTCTTATTATGATGCCCTGTTACTATGTTGCCCAGGCTGGTATCAAACTCCTGGATTCAAGTGATCATCTCAGCTCAGCCTCCCTAAGTGCTGGGATTACAAGAGGGGGCCACTGCACACAGCCTTTTCTTCATATCTTCAGCCCCCTCACTGACAACTCTCCTCTTCTCCACTCTCATTTCAGCAAATGATCCTGCCTCATGAAGAATTCAGATAATTGATACCATGGGATGGGAAGAGCCTCAACTTCCTGTTACCATGCCTACAAACTTCCTTGCATCTACCTTCAGCCTTTCCTTCCACCCTGGATACAATGGCAATGGTGATCCCTTCTATGAAGGCTTCTCAATCCTACCTTAAACCTCTCCAGGAACTTCCCTTTACAACAACTTCTCCCTCCAAATAGACTTCCTCTCATCATAGCATTTATTTTATTTTTCATTTTATTATTATTTTTCTGAGATGGAGCCTCACTCTGTCGCCCAGGCTGGAGTGCAGTGGTGCGACCTCGGCTCACTGCAACCTCCGCCTCCTGGGTTTACAGGTGCCTGTCACCACGCTGGGCTAATTTTTGTATTTTTAGTAGAGACAGGGTCTCAAACCCCTGACCTCAGGTGATCCACCTGCCTCAGCCTCCCAAAGTGCTGGGATTATAGGCGTGAGCCACCGCCCCCAGCCTGTTTTATTTTTACTTTTTGGGACGGAGTCTTGCTCTGTTGCCCAGGCTAGGGTGCAGTGGTGTGATCTTGGCTCACTGCAACTTCCCAGGTTCAGCGATTCTCCTGCCTCAGGCTACTGAGTAGTTGGGACTACAGGTGTGTCCTAACACCTCACCCGGCCAATTTTTATATTTTTAGTAGAGATGGGGTTTCGCCACGTTGGCCAGGCTGGTCTCGAACTCCTGACCTCAAGTGATCCACCCACGTCGGCCTCCCAAAGTGCTGGGATTACAGGCGTGAGCCACCACACAGGCCTCATTTATTCATCTTCTAACTCCACCCTCAGGCCCTACTTTACTGAAAATGGTCCTTTGAAATCCAGCAGCCTTTTTACTAAATCCAGTGGACACTTTTCAGTCCTTTTTTCCCCTTGGCTTCTTTTTTTTTGAGACAGGGTCTCACTCTATCACCCAGGCTGGAGTGCAGTGGGGCGCAATCTCGGCTCACTGCAGCCTCTACCTCCTGGGACCAGGTGATCCTCCCATCTCAGCCTGCTGGGTAGCTGGGACCACAGGCACAAGCTACTGCACCCGGCTAATTTTTTTTTTTTTTTTTGGTAGACACAGGGTCTCCCTGTGTTGCCCAGATTGGTCTGCCATGTGTTTTCATCCTTATCCCCAGCCTCTGCCTACACTGTTCCCTCCTGAAACACATCTTTACTTGGCCAACACTCACCTTTCAGATTGGAAAGTGATTCCTGCAGGACACCTTTTGTAACCTCCCCGAGTAATGCTAACCCCAGCTAACGTGCTCTCTTGGTACCTACACAGCACAGATCTCGCAGCACTGATATGGCCTATTTACCTTCAGCAGCCCTCACTAGATTGCAGATGCCAAGAGGGCAGAAAGTATATTGTTTTTCTTTATATCCTACGTAAGTTTAAAAATATTTCTTTGTGGCCGGGTGCGGTGGCTCACGCCTGTAATCCCAGCACTTTGGGAGGCCAAGTGGGGTGGATTGCCTGAGGTCAGGAGTTCGAGACCAGTCTGGCCAACATGGCGAAACCCCATCTCTATTAAAAATACAAAAAAATTAGCCGGGTGTGGTGGCGTACACCTGTAATCCCAGCTACTCGGGAGGCTGAGGCAGGGGAATTGCTTGAACCAGGGAGCTGGAGGTTGCAGTGAGCTGAGATCACACCACTGCATTTTAGCCTGGGTGACAGAGTGAGACTGTCTCAAAAAAAAAAATTCTTTGTATCTATTAAATATTTACTAAAACAAAGCAAAAAATAAATAAATACAACACTAACCAGGGTCCCAAGCTTACCTTAGGTCCATAGAAGGCACCATCTCCAGAGTTGAGGTCCCAGGGTTCTCCAAATTCCTTCAGGGCCTGTTTAAGGACCTTTGAAGGAATGAGACAAGAGTGGAATACATCATCTTAGACTTCAAAAGCAACACATCCGGTCAGTCCCCAACAAATGACCCACTCACCAGATGCCTCTGAGAACCTTGATTACTGTATTCTCCACTCCTTCCCACCAGAGAGTGGTTTATCTGCCTCTATTTCTCTACCTCCTACTCACCTGTTCGGCCTGGTCCCAAAGGCAAGGGTCCCCCAGGAAGCCAGATGGCCGGGTGGACAGTGCCAGGCGGAAGGAGAAGCCAAGAACGGCATAGACGGAACGGAGGAAATCAAGACAGCTTTGGATCTCTGCTTCCAGCTAGGGGCAGGAAATAAGGGTCAGTGAGCTGTGAGCCCGCTAGAGATCAGGGATGCTGGCAGTTTGAGGAAAACAAAGGGCAAAAACAGAGAGGAAGCGGAAGCAAGCTGGGGGTAGAATGTAGCTGAATTATAGTACATACAGGGGGCAAATAAAGATCAGGGGTTTGCAGGTTCATAGGGAGAAAGAAAGGTGGTTTAGAAAAGCTTTGGTGGAGCCAGGGAAAGGCCACCTGATCTGTTGTACAGAAGATGTGAGCGTCATCCTGCTGGAAGCACCGCAGTCGGGTCAGTCCCCCCAGACCACCAGAGGCTTCGGCCCGGTGTAGAGCCCCAAAGTCAGCTAGTCGCAGGGGCAGTTCCCGCCAGGATCTGGGCCGGTGGGCGAACATCAGGCTGAGGTTGGGGTGCAGAGGGGTCAGGGCCATAGGGAGGACTAGCCCCCGAAGACTGCTCCTCCACCCAATCTGCTTGCCTACTTTCTCTGCACCATCTGCTATAACCCTCTCCAGCCTCAGCACATCCTCCCACTGAGTCCTGTCAATCCCACTCATCACAGTCTGAGCCCTGAGGTTCAAAAGTGGATTTCTCAGTAACACAATAACAGACATCGTTTACCATTTCCCTGTTCTGTGATGGTCACTGAGCTGAAGGAGGAGCCTTAGATAGCAACTTTAAGGAGACTGAGACCTAAAGAGGTAAAATGAGTTTCCCAAATTTACATGGTTAGCTAGGGGGAAGACTGTAGGCTCAAATCGGTGTCCCAATACTCTTTCCAAGGTGCTTTCTTTTTTTTTTTTTTTTTGAGATGGAGTCTCGCTGTGTCACCCAGGCTGGAGTGCAGTGGCGCGATCTCGGCTCACTGCAAGCTCCACCTCCTGGGTTCACGCCATTAGCCTGCCTCAGCCTCCTGAGTAGCTGGGACTACAGGCGCCCGCCACCGTGCCCGGCTAATTTTTTGTATTTTTAGTAGAGACAGGGTTTCTCCATGTTGGTCAGGCTGGTCTCAAACTCCCGACCTCAGGTGATCCGCCCGCCTCGGCCTCCCAAAGTGTTGGGATTACAGGCGTGAGCCACCGTGCCCGGCCCCAAGGTGCTTTCTATTATTTAATATTTAGCAACCTGATTGTAACCCTAGCTCCCAGCTTACCAGTGTGCAGGGCAGTTCATAGGCTTGAGGGCGAGTGTATCTGTGATATGCCTGGTAGAATCGTCACTCTGGGAGCTGGGAGGCCTGTCAGAGCCTGGGGGCTGCACGGCAAACATGTCTTCCTGATAATGCTCCCAGTGCCCTGACTGTTCCCAGAGCTTCGTAGAAAACAGTGTGGGAGTTTTCACCTCGGAGAAACCACGATGGGCATACTCAGCCTGGAGAGGAGGGTACAGACATGGAAGGTCAGAGTAACTGGAAGGAAAGCAGGTAGGGTGTCAGCTGTGTGATCTTCCTGGGCCCTCAGGCCATGCTGATTGCAACCACAACCTATTAAATACCAGGTCCCATCTCTATGCTCCCCGACTGCAGACCACACAATTGTAGTATTAAAGGTCACCAGCACTTTCAATATTTATGTTTATGATTCCAAACCAGCCCCCCCACCTTTTTTTTTCTCTTCAAGACGGAGTCTCACTGTATCACACAGGCTGGAGTGCAGTGGCTCAATCTCAGTTCACTGCAACCTCCCCTTCCTGGGTTCAAGGGATTCTCCTGCCTCAGCCTCCCCAGTAGCTGGGACTACAGGCGCTGCCACCACACTGGCTAATTTTTTGTATTTATTTTAGTAGAGACAGGGTTTTGCCATGTTGGCCAGGCTGGTCTCGAACTCCTGACCTCAGGTGATCTGCACGGCTCAGCCTCCGAAAGTGCTAGGATTATAGATGTGAGCCACTGTGCCCGGCCCCAACCCCCATCTTTTAACACAAACACCTTAGCTTCTTCTAGTCCCTCAGCCCCTCCCTGGTCTTCTTTCCTCTAGACCTGGGTCCCCTTACCCTGATAAACGCCACTAGTGCATTATACACCCTTGTCCCTCGTGGCAGGAAGAAGCAGCTCCCAGGGCTCAGTTCATGGAAGAAGAAGAGCTCCTGTTCCTGGGGTCAGGAATAGCAATATTGGGTCACCTCAAGGGCAAGGAGGTGGCTTTGGAACTCAGAACAACTGACGGAGCTGCTCAGTCTGTGTGACTGAATCTGCTCCCAATTTCATAATCAGGTTCTGTCATCTCTCTCCAACCCTTATCACCATCCCTCCCTATCTTCCCAATTCCTGTACCTTCCCAATGCGCCGGTGGTCCCGCAATTCTGCTTCCTCCCTCCATGCTTCCCAGACCCTCAGCAATTCTGTTGTGGGGAAGGAAATCCCTGACACTCTCTGCAGTGTCTCTGGGGCCCCTGAAGACCTCCATAAGGATGATGAGTTCTGTGTGAGGACATAGGGGATCAAAGGAAAGATGAGGACTGAAGGCCCCCACCTTTTTCAAGACTCAAATGATACTCTCAGTGTTAAGTGTCACAGGTATGCCTCTTGACAACAATCCCACCAGTAGGATGAACACCTCCATCCTCTAGACACCATTCTTCTAGATTAAAGTGTTGAAATTGCCTGACTCTTAATTCCTACATACAACCTGGTCAGGCCTAACCTTACCTTGCCATCTCTTTTTCTCCCCATTCTCATTACCCCTTTACTTAGTTCCTTCCCATTCTAATCAATGACTGCTTAGAGGAATAACCATAAGCTCTGGTCAAATGTCAGTCTATTCCTCCATTTATCAATATCCTATACAGCTGCTAGAAAAGTCAGTCTTCTATACCATATCCCATTCCTGGCCACATGAAATCCAAAAGCCTCTGCCTGCTCTCTCCTTTAACAGTACTAATGAGCCGGGCGCGGTGGCTCACGCCTGTAATCCCAGCACTTTGGGAGGCCGAGGCGGGCGGATCACGAGGTCAGGAGATCGAGACCATCCTGGCTAACATGGTGAAACCCCGTCTCTACTAAAAATACAAAAAAATTAACTGGGTGTGGTGGTGGGTGCCTGTAGTCGCAGCTACTCGGGAGGCTGAGGCAGGACAATGGCATGAACCCGGAAGGTGGAGCTAGCAGTGAGTCGCGATCGCACCACTGCACTCCAGCCTGGGCGACAGAGCAAGACTCCATCTCAAAAAATAACAAACAAACAAACAAACAAAAAAGTACTAATGAGAGGCCGGGCGCAGTGGCTCACACCTGTAATCCCAGCACTTTGGGGGGCTGAGGTGGGTGGATCACAAGGTCAAGAGTTCAAGACCAGCCTGACCAACATGGTGAAACCTTGTCTGTACTAAAAATACAAAAATTAGCCAGGTGTGGTGGCACGTGCCTGTAACCCAGCTACTCAGGAGGCTGAGGCAGGAGAATTGCTTGAACCTGGCAGGCAGAGGTTGCAGTGAGCCGAGATCAGGCCACTGCACTCCAGCCTGGGCAACAGAGCAAGACTCTGTCTCAAAAAAATAAAAATGAAATAAAATAAAACTGTTAAACAGTACTAATGAGAAACAGTCTATACGTGTGTGTGTGTGTGTATATACATCTGTCACCCAGGCTGGAGTGCAGTGGCGCGATCTCGGCTCACTGCAAGCTCCGCCTCCCAGGTTCACGCCATTCTCCTGCCTCAGCCTCCCAAGTAGCTGGGACTACAGGCCACCACCACCACACTCGACTAATTTTTTTTTTCTTTTTTTGAGACGGAGTCTCGCTGTCGCCCAGGCTGGAGTGCAGTGGCGTGATCTTGGCTCACTGCAGGCTCCACCCCCCAGGGTTCACGCCATTCTCCTGCCTCAGCCTCCCAAGTAGCTGGGACTACAGGCGCCCGCCACCTCGCCCAGCTAATTTTTTGTATTTTTAGTAGACAGGGTTTCACCGTGTTAGCCAGGATGGTCTCGATCTCCTGACCTCATGATCCGCCTGCCTCAGCCTCCCAAAGTGATGGGATTACAGGCGTGAGCCACTGCGCCCGGCCACACCTGGCTAATTTTTTGTATTTTTAGTAGAGACGGGGTTTCACGGTGTTAGCCAGGATGGTCTCGATCTCTGGACCTCGTGATTCACTCGCCTCAGCCTCCCAAAGTGTTAGGATTACAGGCGTGAGCCACCACGCCCAGCCCCTATATGTATATTTTTTGAAACAGAGTCTCACTCTGTTGCCCAGGCTGGAGTGCAGTGGTGCAATCTTGGCTCACTGCAACCTCTGCCTCCCAGTTCAAGCAATTCTCCTGCCTCAGCCTCCCGAGTAGCTGGGACTACAGGTGCATGCCACCACGCCCAGCTAATTTTTTATTTTTAGTAGTGACGAGGTTTCACCATGTTGGCCAGGCTGGTCTTGAACTCCTGAGCTCAAGTGATCCGCCCAACTTGGCCTCCCAAAGTGTTGGGATTACACGTGTGAACCACCGCACCTGGCCGACAGTCTGTATTTTACAGCACTTTTTAACTTTTCCTTTTTCCTGAATTAGTTGGTTTTCATTATCTTTTTTTTTTTTTTTTTTTTTGAGATGTTGTCTCGCTCCGTGGCCCAGGCTGGAATGCAGTGGCACAATCTCAGCTCACTGCAACCTCTGCCTCCTGGCAGAGTTCAAGTGACTCTCCTGCCTCAGCCTTTTTTGTAGCTGGGATTACAGGCGTAGGCCAGCACACCCAGCTAATTTGTGTATTTTTAGTAGAGACAGGGTTTCACCATGTTGGCCAGGCTGGTCTCGAACTCCTGACCTCAAGTGATCCGCCTGCCTCACCCTCCCCAAAGTGCTGGGATTACAGGTGTGAGCCACCATGCCTGGCCTGGTTTTCATTATCTTTATGAGGTGAATTTACTGGTAGGACAAAAAGGAATTAATAGCCTCATTTTATAGATGGGGAAAATAAGTAAGATTTACCCAAGGCCACCGCGCCATGGGGTTTTGCCATGTTGGCCAGGCTGATCTCAAGTGATCCACCCACCTTGGCCTCCCAAAGTGCTGGGATTATAGGCATGAGCCACCATGCCCAGTCTAAGTTCAGAGCTTTTTGCTCTACACATCTGCATTTCCCCTTGCTCCCTTGTAACTCATCCCATTCCATCTAGTAACTCTTCTTGTCCAGAACAGTATTTTCTTTTCTTTTTTTTTTTTTTGAGACGGAGTTTTGCTCTTGTTGCCCAGGCTAGAGTGCAATGGCACGATCTTGGATCGCCACAACCTCCACCTCCCAGGTTCAAGTGATTCTCCTGCCTCAGCCTCACAAGTAGCTGGGATTACAGGCATGTGCCACCACGCCCAGTTAATTTTGTATTTTTAGTAGAGACGGGGTTTCTCCATGTTGGTCAGGCCGGTCTTGAACTCCCGACCTCAGGTGGTCCACCCACCTCGGCTTCCCAAAGTGCTGGGATTATAGGCGTGAGCCACCATGCAGAACGGTATTTTCATAAAAAGCATGCCCTTTACTAAAGGTATTTTCCCTGTGCCTGTCAAATGGTGTTCATCTTCCTCCTGGACCACGCCCCCTCTCTCTACAACCCTTCCCTGTATGACCCATCCAGCTTGCTCACACCCTCCTGCTCCACCCCTCCACCCCCCTTAATACTGACATCATATTAGGGCATCTGAATTGGCTTCTGGGCCCTAGCAGGCTGTCCAGTGTGTGCCATCAAACGGGTTTTTAGAATGTGGGGACAAAGTTTCTTTCTCCTGTATTCCCCGCTCAGCTTATGAGAGTACAGGGCCAGGCTCAGTGGCTCATGCCTGTAATCCCAGCACTTTGGGAGGCTGAGAAGGGAAGATCACTTGAGATCACCCTGGCCAACATGGTGAAACCCTGTCTCTACTAAAAATACAAAAAGTAGCTGGGCATGGTGGTGCACACCTATTATCCCAGCTACTCGGGAGGCTGAAGCAGGAGAATTGCTTGAATCCAGGAGGCGAAGCTTGCAGTGAGCCAAGATCGCGCCACTGCACTCCAGCCTGGGCGACCGAGAGACTTGGTCTCAAAAAAAAAAAAGGGGGGTGCCGACAGAAAGTATCACCTTCCGATTCTCCTGCTCATCCCAGTGAAACCAGGAATTTTTTTTTTTTTTTTTTTGAGATGGACTCTCGCTCTGTTGCCCAGGCTGGAGTGCAGTAGTGCAGTCTCGGCTCACTACAACCTCCGCCTCCCAGGTTCAGGCAACTCTCCTGTCTCAGCCTCCCGAGCAGCTAGGACTACAGGTGTGTGCCACCACACCCAGCTAATTTTTGTATTTTTAGTAGAGACGGGGTTTCACCATATTGGCCAGGCTGGTCTCAAACTCCTGACTTTATGATCCATCTGCCTCAGCCTCCCAAAGTGCTGGGATTACAAGCGTGAGCCACCATGCCCGGCTCAAAATAGGAATCTTAACCTAACTCTGTCCCACAACTGACCGATAGCAGCTTCAGTCCTCCAATCTGTCCAGTATGCCGAAGGTGGGGGCCCTGGCAAAGGTCAACCAATGTGCCACACCTAGGAGAAAGAAGAGGCCAGTTAGTGATTTTCAGAATCTTCAGCTTCTAGCTTTCTCCCTCTCATGGTCTTTAGCTGACAGAAGAGGTGAAGAGAAAGGAACTGTCCTACTGAGAGAGGGCAATGGCAGATAAAAATCAATTCCCTGGCAGGGCGCGGTGGCTCATGTCTATAATCCCAGAACTTTGGGAGGCCAAGGTGGGTGGATCACGTGGTCAGGAGTTCGAGACCAGCCTGGACAATATGGTGAAACCCCGTCTCTACTAAAAATATAAAAATTAGCTAGGCATGGTGGTGCATGCCTGTAGTTCCAGCTACTCGGGAGGCTGAGGCAGAAGAATTGTTTGAACCCGGGAGGCAGAGATGCAGTGAGCCGAGATCGCGCCACTGCATTCCAGCCTGGGTGACAGAACAAGACTTCATCTCAAAAAAAAAAAAAAAAAAAAAAACTAGCCAGGCATGGTGGCACATGCCTGTAATCCCAGCCACTCTGGAGGCTAAGGCAGGAGAATCACTTGAACCCAGGAGGCGGAGGTTGCAGTGAGCCGAGATCGTGCTACCGCACTCCAGCCTGGGAGACAGACCAAGACTCCGTCTCAAAAAAAGAAAAAAAAAAAATCAATTCCCATTCCCATTTCTTTTTCTGGAGCAACACAAATTACCTTCTATCTTTCTTCCCTTATCGCATTTCTGGCCTTCTTCAATGCTTCCCCACCTCTCTGTTTGCCTTAATCTTGACAACTCTTACCCATATACTGTTGCTGTTGGACCTGTCACTTTCTCCTCAATCAAGTGAAGCTTAAAGGGGTTATCCTGGAAAAAGGTAGAAGGGAGATTGAAGAAAAGTGTTTATTCCCACAAAGATGTCCTGGAAGAGCCACCTCTTCCCTCCACCCCACCTTGAACAACTGGCGAAGCTGATCCCGTGAAGCCTCTAGCCTCCGGAAGGGTCGAGCAGCAGCTGTAAGTTCCTGGCAAATCCGCTCCAAAACAGGCAGCTCTGAGCCCCGGATTGTCCTGGAAAGAGGAGAATTGGTTGGGTTGCATCCTATGAGGTGCATCAATCACCTGGGTGACACACCTGTTGGCTAGCGGGTAAGGTCCTGTCCTTCAAGAGAAATCTAGAGTTATAGGCAAAGACAGACAAACTCAGAGAAAATATAAATAGGATATCAGGTAACAGATATTACAGCTGGAGAAAAAGCTCTATGCATGAAGTTAAAAGTTGAATGCAGGAAATCTGGATAGACAAAGTTAGAACAATAGTAATGAGGGCGATTAAGTAAAACTTGAATTTATGAAAGCTAACAAGTAACAAAGTAAGTTGTTTCTTCTTTTTCTTTTTGTTTTTTTTTTGAGAAAGTGTCTTGCTGTGTCACACAAGTTGGGTGCAGTGGTTAAGATCATGGCTCACCACAGCCTCAACCTCCCAGGCTCAAGTGATCCTTCCACCTCAGCCTCCCAAGTAGCTGGGACTACATGTGCACCAGCCAAGAAGGTAAATTTCAAGCAAAGTTAGAAGAGGGACATGGACTAGCACAGAAGGAGATACTAATGTCATAGTTGAGACCTAGAGAAACCCTTCTCCTCCAGCTTCCTCATCCAAATGGAGCATGCCCAAGGCCCCTGAAAAGAGCCTCAGAAACCATCCCAGAATCATTCTCCTCCTTCCTTTCATTACTCACCTCTCCTTTCCCAGGAAGAAATCATGGTAAAAGCCATATTCTGTACTTGGACCTCTGCAGAGAACAGCACCTAGGAATTGTTCAGCTGCTGCCCCCAGGACATGGGTGCTGGAGTGCCAGAACACCTGGGTTCACAAAAAAGGGGTTCACAAGTTCATAAACTTCTCCCTTAACCCCTAGATCTCTGAGCTCTTCCTCACAAAAGCTGGTAGGAAAGCCGGTATGGTTCTTCTAGGAATAACTACCACAAAATGGGGATCCTAGATTTTGGGGGTGACCACTAAAAAGTAACAAGCTTAAAAAAAAAGGCTGGGCACAGCAGCTCATGCCTGTAACCCCAACACTTCAGGAGGTCAAGGCAGGCGGATCATCTGAGGTCAGGAGTTCGAGGCCAGTCTGGCCAACATGGTGAAACCCTGTCTCTGCTAAAACATACAAAACTAGCCAGGCATGGTGGCGTGTGTCTGTAATCCCAGCTACTCAGGAGGCTGAGGCAGGAGAATCACTTGAACCCGGGAGGTGGAAGTTGCAGTGAACCAAGATCGCGCCACTGCACTCCAGCCTGGGTGACAGAGTGAGACTCCATCTCAAAAAAAAAAAAAAAAAAAAAAGACTGAATAGAAAAGAAAGAAGGCCAGTATTTTTTCTTCTTTCAGTGCATAGAAGCTCCAGCCCCACCCCTCAATCCTTGGTTCTTCCCAGTTCCAAAGCATAGAAGCTGGAGGCCAGTCAGTCTTCTGCTGCTCCTGTAAGCTTTTAGGGCTTCAGAATAATTTTTCTTTTTGAGACGGAGTCTCGCTCTGTCGCCCAGGCTAGAGTGCAATGACGCGATCTCAGCTCACTGCAACCTCCGCCTCCAGGGTTCAAGCAATTCTCCTGCCTCAGCCTCTCAATTAGCTGGGATGACAAGTGCTCACCACCACGCCCAGCTAATTTTTGTATTTTTAGTAGAGACGGGGTTTCTACTATGTTGGCCAGGCTGGTCTTGAACTCTTGACCTCAGATGATCCACCTGCCTCGGCCTCCCAAAGTGCTGGGATTACAGGCGTGAGCTACTGTGCCTGGCCAGAATAAGCTATCTTCTTAACACAGTGGTTACTTAGGTCTCTGTTTGGTCTTTTAGTCCTATTTTTTTCTGTCCCACGAATCTAGTGCGATATATTCCTCTTGGATTTGGTCACTATTTACACATAGATGGCAGGAGAACTCTATTTTTCTGGATCCTAATAGGCAAGGTCTGTGCTACCTGAGCTGACATGAAGAAGACAAGGTGGGGAGGTGACCAGGTTGTTTGCTCAGCTGTATAAGCCATGTTAGAATTGAATATACACTACAGATGACTTATAATGTACGTGCTCAAGAGTTGAGGGGGCTGAATTTACATATTTATCCTTTCGTTTTTTCAACATATCATCTCTCTCCCTCTCACTAGCACAAATGTTTGCTTAATAGATCGAAGCTAAGTTAAAAACTTTCACCATAAGTTTCCTAACCAGAAATAGTCAAGACAGTCTGTGGTAGGTCTCCCTCCCAACTGCAAATGGAGAAACTGCGGCAAAAGAATAAAATGTTAGAATTTCCTGCTTCAATATCTCTTGGTTTAGTAGTCACTGTATTCCTGATAAGAAAGAAACTTACTGCTTTCCCCTCTGGGGAATCGAATGTCAGAAATCTGAGGTCAGAATCTGTCTCCAAGGGCCGCTCCAGATCATAAGGTTCTCCATTCACTTGAGCAGCCACTGCAGTATCTGCCAGTGTTGAACTTCAGCAGTGGAAGGTGGGGATGAAGAAAAAGACAGGGTTACAAGGCACAAAAAGGAAAATATCACATGTTCTGATTCCTATATGAGAGTTTAAAAAGTTGATCTCACAGTGGTAGAGAATAGAGTGATAGTTACCAGAGGCTGGAAAGGATGGGGGAGGGGAGATGAAGAGGTTGGCTAATGGGTACAAAAATAGAGTTAGACAGAAGGAATATGCTCTAATGTTCCATAGCAGAGTTGGGTGAATACAGTTAATAATAATTTATTGTATATTTCAAAATAGCTAGAAGATTTGAAATAGTCCCAACACAAAGAAATGATAAATGTTTGGGGTAACAGATATCCTGAACACCCTGATTTGATCATTACATATTGTATGCATATATCAAAATATCACATATACCCATTCATATGTTCAATTATTATGTATCAATTATTAAAAAGTAAATTAATGATTTAAAACAGACAGGGTTACAATCCACAGTGGGGAGAAAGTTGCTCATCTCTCAGCAACTGTAAACTTGCAAAGGTGAAATGAGTTACCAGAGCAACAGAAGCTTTCATTTCTTTCCCCAATGAAAGGACAGAGACTCTGATGCAGAAACTAATACAGATAAAACAAATCTCAGGCCGGGTTTGGTGGCTCATGCCTGTAATCCCAGCACTTCGGGAGGCTGAGATGGAAGGATCGCTTGAGCCCAGGAGTTCAAGACTAGCCTGGGCAACATGGAGAGACCCCGTCTGTATAAAAGAACAACAACAAAAAACAAAAACAAAATCTTCAGGAAAGGCTATCTTAATGGGGACGGAACAGAAACAAGCAGACCAAGTTTTCTTCCCCTGCTCAAGTGAAGAGAAAGTAAAGGGGCAGAAGGATAATCCTGGTAGTTACAGGATGGGCCTGTTACCTGATCTGCCGGGCTAGTTGGTAGGGGGTTGTGTTCCATGCCACAGCATCAATTTTCTGGCCTCCAGGAAGTGATATCTTAATAGTCCGGGGTTCCTTCTGTGCCATGCTTGCTAATCTCTTTACCTGAGCAGCCCACAGCTCCTCAAAAAGGCCAAGCCGCTCTGCCAACCAGCGTGGAGGGGTCGACACAACTGCCTGGAGGGAAAGATATATTAGCAGGTAACACACGTCCCATCATTCTTTCTTAGAATTGCAGATGATGGCACTTTGGGATGGTTAAGTGGACTTCGTCCGAATTCCTACTTTTTAAGGGGATTGGGTGATACAAGACCCTAGGCTGGGGGTCCTTCGAGCTCAGAGTCCCCCAGACCGCTAACTCGAGAATTAGATAACGAGTTTAGATACGAGTCCTTTTCTGGGGACTCGGAGGACCAGGGAGAGGAGGAGTGGCGTGAGGCTGGGTTAACATAAAAATTTGGGGGCTTCGGCTGGGCTAAGTCTGATGCGGATCGGAGCTTTGGGGGTGCCTCACGCACCGTGTGTAGCCTGCAAGCCTGTAAACCTTGGAGCCGGAGACACCGCCACCTCTGATACAGGGCCATGTTCCTTCACACCAGTGCCTACATCCTCAAACAGATTATCGCCGCTTCTCCTCCACGTAATTCTTCATTGGCTTCTGGTCCAACAAAGTCCGTGTCTATTGGTTACTACAGCTGCCACTCTAGTCTGGCACCACCTCCAGGAACTCCGAAGAGGTACACCCTACACAGCACCAGCAGCGGTGTGAGTGGTTCCGGCTGACCGGAAGACCGAAAATGTAACACACCCTCGCTATTCCCCCAGACCCGTGGCGTTTCAGCTGAAACCCAAAAATAGCAATTAGGCGTCCTGTGGCTTTGAGGACAAGGGCAGGTGAACTTTTGAGGGCGAGAGTGGGAGAAAACCAGACAGGAAATGGTAGTAATTTCCCTTTAACTATACATTTTATTTTACGTGGTCCTTACAGCAAGTAGCAAAACTTAAGAGCATAGACTGGGGAACCAGACAGACCTAGTGTAAATTCTGGATCTGCCATTAACTATGTAATTTTGGGAAAATTATTAAACTTCTCATATTTATTTAATAGAGACCGGGGGGGGCGGGAGGGGGGGGCGGGTCTCACTATGTTGGCCAGGGTAGTCTCGAACTCCTGGCCTCAAGCAATCCCTCCCCTCCCCCCCACCAAACCGCCACCGCGCTCCGGCCTCCCAGAGTTCTGGAATTACAGGCATGAGCCGCCTTGCCTGACCTATTTAATTTCTCTAAGCCTCAATTTTCTCAACTATAAAATGAGAATAGTGTTGCTCCCAATTGTTGAGTTAAATTTTATGTAAATCGTCTAGTGTGGCCCATGGTTTTTTGGTAATGGGCAAAAGCAACAAGAAGCTATTATGATAAATGACTGTAACAGTTTTATTTTTTAATTTTGAGACAAGGTCTCACCGTTGCCCAGGCTGGAGTGCAGGGGTACAATCATGGCTCACTGCAGTCTCGACCTCCTGGGCTCAACTGACCACCTCAGCCTCTGGAGTAACCACTTTAAAGCTGGAGCAAAGATGGCCGCGCGCAGTGGCTCACGCTGTAATCCCAGCACTTTGGGAGGCCGAGGCAGGTGGATCACCTGAGGTCAGGAGTTCTAGACCAGCCTGGCCAACATGGTGAAACCCCGTCTCTACTAAAAATACAAAAATTAGCTGGGCGTGGTGGTGGGCGCCTGTAATCCCAGCTACTTGGGAGGCCGAGGCGGGTGGATCACCTGAGGTCAGGAGTTCTAGACCAGCCTGGCCAACATGGTGAAACCCCGTCTCTACTAAAAATACAAAAATTAGCTGGGCATGGTGGTGGGCGCCTGTAATCCCAGCTACTTGGGAGGCTGAGACAGGAGAATCGCTTGAACCCGGGAGGTGGAGGTTGCAGTGAGCCGAGATCACGCCATGCACTCCAGCCTGGGGGACAAGAGCGAGACTTCATCTCAAAACAAAACAAAAACAAAAAAGCTGGAATCAAGAATCTGCAGAGGTCAGTTTGAGTCCCTTTATACTCATGGTGCTTAATAGGGACTTTATAGACCTTTTAATCTTTTTTTTTTTTTTTTGAGATGGAGTTTCACTCTTGTTGCCCAGGCTGGAGTGCAGTGGCGTGATCTCGGCTTACCGCAACCTCCGCCTCCCCAGGTTCAAGCGCTTCTCCTGCCTCAGCCTCCCGAGTAGCTGGGATTACAGGCATGTGCCACCCCAGGCCCAGCTAATTTTGTATTTTTAGTAGAGACAGGGTTTCTCCATGTTGGTCAGGCTGGTCCCGAACTCCCAGCATCAGGTGATCCGCCTGCCTCAGCCTCCCAAAGTGCTGGGATTACAGGCGTGAGCCACCATGCCCGGCCGAGACCTTTTAATCTGACAGATGAGGAATTTAAGGTCAAACAGCAAGTGCTGATGGTGATTTCTGAATCCAAGCTTGGTTTTCTTTTACCACACCATGCTTTCTCTAGAAGAGTTTGCTCCCAGTATACTCCCCCATCACCTCAGAAAGAGGTGCCTGACTAGAATTTTAGCTCTCTGCTCCCTACATAAGCCCTTTGCCTCTAATTCCTATCCCAGCTCTCAACTTCCTTTATCCTTTCTCTTCCCTCTCCCTGATACATCTAGGACACAGGACTAGGTAAATTTCATCAAATTTACTCAGTAAATATGGGAACATGGTCAGATTTGTAGTAAAGTATGAAGGGAAACTGACTTGGGGGTAGCCATCAGGCTGTCAGTAATTCTCATTAGTCCCCTCACCTGGAGGTGGGGATGGTTAGAGTTGGTTCTGAAGTTTCAATGGTGATAGAATCAAGGGTTGTAGAGGAAGAGGTGTCAGAAAAAGCAGTTTAATCAAGGTTTCCGGAGAGACCAGGTTTCCCGGGCAGGGCAGTTGATCTGAGTCACAGGAGCCTCCATGGATCTTGGGTCCATCTTCTGGTAGACACCCTGAAATACAAAGAGAAAGAGACAAGAGTGTGGGAGAGGAAGATAACTTGTGTGTGTGTGGTTTGGAGAAGGTAGTTAAGAATTTTTAAATGGCATTCAGAAAGGGTGGCAACAGGCAGAATTCTTCTCATGCCTCTGCACCAAAAGGGGAAAGGTGTATTGCAGGCAACAAAATGGTAGGTGCCCAATAATTATTGAATCAAGTATGTACCAATCACGGTATTGATTTGATGCTCTCATTTACTAACTGCTTACTGTGTGCAATGCAGTGAGCTGGGTGCTGAGGGGATGCCGATCAATCAACTACCACATCATCACCTATGTAACTTGTGTTGCAGTGGAGGAAGGAAGGAATGTTGAGTTATTCCATCCGCCCTCTGTAAGAAGCAAGCAAGCAAGTAAGCAAGTGCAAGAGCAAGCTAAGGCCAATTCATGAGTTACTGGTTCTTCTACAACTTCGGACTTGTGACTAGCATATGCCTCAGTATTGGGGAATTTTAATCCATTAGTCAGCCTAGGAAACATCTATTCTTTTTTTTTTTTTTTTTTTTTTTTTTGAGGTGAAGTCTTGCTCTGTTGCCCGGCTGGAGTGCAGTGGCATGATCTTGGCTCACTGCAACCTCCGCCTCCTGGGTTCAAGTGATCCTCCTGCCTCAGCTTCCCCAGTAGCTGGGATTACAGGTGTACGCCACCACACCCAGCTAATTTTTTTTGAGTCAGAGTCTTGCTCTGTCGCCGAGGCTGGAGTGCAGTGGCGCTATCTTGGCTCACTGCAACCTCTGCCTCCCGGGTTCAAGTGATTCTTCTGCCTCAGCCTCCTGAGTAGCTGGGATTACAGGTGCGCGCCACCACGCTCGGCTAATTTTTGTATTTTTAGTAGAGACAGGGTTTCACCATGTCAGGCTGGTCTCGAACTCCTGACCTCGTGATCCGACCACCTTGGCCTCCCAAAGTGCTGAGATTACAGGCGTGAGCCACTGTGCCCGGCCTGTTTTTTGTTTTTTGAGATGGAGTTTCACTCTTGTTGCTCAGGCTGGAGTGCAATGGCACGATCTTGGCTCACTGCAACCTCCGACTCCCAGATTCAATCGATTCTCCTGCCTCAGCCTCCCGAGTAGCTGGGATTACAGGTGCCCGCCACCACACCTGGCTATTTTTTTGTATTTTTAGTAGAGATGGGGTTTCACAATGTTGGCCAGGCTGGTCTTGAACTCCTGACCTCAGGTGATCCACCTGCCTTGGCCTCCCAAAGTGCTGCGTTTACAGGCGTGAGCCACCATGCCTGGCTTGAAACATCTATTCTTAAAACTTGGGCTGTTGCCCCTCCACCCTAGACTACTACTGAACACCCGGTGCTATGCCTTCACTATTTCACCTAATTCCTAAAACAACTATGTCAAGTATACTCCCTTTAAAACAGGAAAATGATTCTCAAAGAAGTAAAGCCCCCAGTCTATCTGAATGCAAAGCCCTTGTTGTTTATGCTATGCCATACTGCCTCTCAGGGACCAGATTGGTCATAATGTGTCAGGTTATAAGATTCTGATACTTGTGGCCAAATAGGCCTTTGATATAGGGTAAAAGAGGTGGGTCCAATAGAAAGCCAAGAAAAGAGGCGTCTTCCGACTTTTCTCTACCAGATTAAGGTTAAGGAAAAAAGTGTGCACAAAATAAAGCTAGATTTCCACAGAAGTGCAGGAAAAAGGGAATCCACAGTGAAGGGTGTCCTAGGCCCTTAGTAAAATTTTAGGAAATTCTCAGCTTAACTCCACTTTTGGAATAGAAATTCCAAGGTGACTAGAGTCCTAGTTCAGAAGGTATTGTTTTTATAGCTTTAAACTACATGTAACTTTAAACTACATGTAAATATTTTCCACTTGTCCTCAGGATCAGCACATACCTCCAAATCTATCTTACTTCTTAGAAGCACTAAAGATGTAGAAAGTATATTTGGCTGGGTGTGGTGGCTCACGCCTGTAATCCCAACACTGGAGGCTGAGGCAGGCGGATTGCTTGAGTCCAGGAGTTCGACAACAGCCTGGACAACATAGTGAGACCCCCATCTCTACAAAAAATAAAAAATTAGCTGGGCATGGTGGTATGTGCCTTGGGAGGCTAAGGTGGGAAGATTGCTTGAGCCCAGGAGATCCAGTGCAGTGAGGCGTGATTGCACCACTGTACTGCAACCTGGGCAACAGAATGATACCCTGTCTCAAAAAAAAAAAAAAAAAAAAAAAAAAAAGAGAAGGCAGAGGCCGGGCACAGTGGCTCATGCCTGTAATCCCAGCACTTTGGGAGGCCGAGGCGGGTGGATCACGAGGTCAGGAGATCGAGACCACCCTGGCTAACATGGTGAAACCCCGTCTCTACTAAAAATACAAAAAATTAGCCGGGCGTGGCAGCGTGCGCCTGTAGTCCCACCTACTCGGGAGCTGAGGCAGGAGAATGGCGTGAACCCGGGAGGCGGAGCTTGCAGTGAGCCGAGATCGCACCACTGCACTCCAGCCTGGGCAACACAGCAAGACTCCGTCTCAAAAAAAAAAAAAAAAAAAAAAGAGAAGGCTGGATGCAGTGGCTCACGCCTGTAATCTCAGCATTTGGGAGGCTGAGGCAGGTGGATCTGAGGTCAGGAGTTTGAGATCAGCGTGGCCAACATAGTGAAAGCCCGTCTTTACTAAAAATACAAAAATTAGCCAGGCGCGGTGGCTCACGCCTGTAATCCCAGCACTTTGGAAGGCTGAGGCGGGCAGATCACCTGAGGTCGGGAGTTCGAGACCAGCCTGACCAACATGGAGACACCCCGTCTCTACCAAAAATACACAATTAGCCAGGTGTGGTGGCACATGCCTGTAATCCCAGCTACTTGGGAGGCTGAGGCAGGAGAATGGCGTGAACCCGGGAGGCGGAGCTTGCAGTGAGCCGAGATTGCGCCACCGCACTCCAGCCTGGGTGACAGAGAGAGACTCTGTCTCAAAAAAAAAAAAAAAAAAAAAAAAAAAAAAGCCTGGCGTGGTGGCGCATGCCTGTAGTCCTAGCTACTTGGGAGGCTGAGGTGGGAGAATCACTTGAACCCCAGAGGCAGAGATTGCAGTGAGCCGAGATCGTGTCACTGCACTCCAGCCTGGGCAACCAAACAAGAATCCGTCTCAAAGGAAAAAAAAAAGATATTAGAGGTTAAAAAAAAAGGAATAAGGTAAAATATATAAAGAAAGGATTATGAGGCCGGGTGTGGTGGCTCATACCCGTAATCCCAGCACTTTGGGAGGGTGAGGTGAGCAGATCACTTGAGGTCAGGAGTTCAAGACCAGCCTGGCCAACATGGTGAAACCCATCTCTACTAAAAACACAAAAAATTAGTTGGGCATGGTGGTGCACGCTTGTAGTCCCAGCTATTCGGGAGGCTGAGGCGGGAGAATCGCTTGAACCTGGGAGGTGGAGGTTGCAAGGAATTAAGATCATGCCACTGCACTCCAACCTGGGAGACAGAACAAGACTCCGTCTCAAAAAAAAAAAAAAAAAAAGAAAAAAAAAAAGAAAGAAAAGAAAGGATTATGTCATTGCTAACAAAAACCTTTGGGGCCCAGAGAAGTAGCCAAGTGGCTAAAGGCACAAGTGGTAGGGAAGTTAGGTTTATTTTTTAAAAAATAATTCCCTAGTAATGTAAGTGGAAGATCTGGGATGGGGCCAATCTTTAACTTTGCTTTAAAATGCCATCATAGGCTGGGCATGGTGCCCCACACCTATAATCCCAGCACTTTGGGAAGCCAAGGCAGAGGACCGTTTGAACCCAGGAATTCAAGACCAGCCTGGATAACATAGTGAGATCCCATCTCTACAAAAATAAAAAAAATTAGCTGGGCATGGTGGTGCATGCCTGTAGTCCCAGCTACTCAGGAGGCTGAGGTGAGAGTTGCTTCAGCCCAGGAGTTGGGTTACAGTGAGCTATGATTATGACACTGCACTCCAGCATGTACAACAGAGTGAGGCCCCCGTCTCTAAAAATAAAATAAAAGGGCTGGGCATGGTGGCTCATGCCTGTAATCCCAGCACTTTGGGAGGCCAAGGCGGGTGGATCACTTGAGGCCAGGAGTTTGAGGCTAGCCTGGCCAACATGGCGAAACACCGTCTCTACTAAAAATACAAAAATTCGCTGGGCGTGGTGGTGGGCACCTGTAATCCCAGCTACTTGGGAGGCTGAGGCAGAATTGCTTGAACCAGGAGGTGGAGGTTGCAGTGAGCCGAGATCGCGCCATTGCACTCCAGTCTGGGTGACAAGAGTGAAACTCCATCTCAAAATTAATAAAATAAAATAAAATAAAATAAAATCAGGCCGGGCACAGTGGCTCACGCCTGTAATCCCAGCAGTTTGGGAGGCCGAGGTGGGTGGATCACCTGAGGTCAGGAGTTCTAGACCAGCGTGACCAACATGGTAAAACCCTGTCTCTACTAAATAATAATAAAAAAAAAAATTAGCCAGGCATGGTGGCACATGCCTATAATCCCAGCTACTTGGGAGACTGAGGCAGGAGAATCATTTGTACCTGGGAGGCAGAGGTTGCAGTGAGCCTAGATTTCGCCATTGCACTCCAGCCTGGGCAAAAAAGAATGATACTCCGTCTCAAAAAATAAAATAAATAAAATAAAAATAAAATCAATAAAATAAAATGCCACAATGTGTCCGGGAACAGTGCCTCATGTCTGTAATCCCAGCATTTTGGGAGGCCAAGGCAGGAGGACTGCTTGAGCCCAGGAGTTTATGACCAACCTGGGCAACAAAGCATGACCCTGTCTCTATTAAAAAAAAAAAAGAAAAGCCACAATGGGAGAGAATGTTCAGCCACATTTGCTGAATGAGTAAAGAGGTAAAAGCTTTCTGTCAGGGGCATGGATAAATTGAACTTTGACTTTGAAAACAAACCCTTGGGCTCACCTAAAATCTCTACTAAGATTTCCCTTCCCAGAACATCTCTTGGGGCTGTAGAAGAAAAACAAGCAGACACTCCCACCCCAGCTCTTACACAACTGATATGTCAGGTCAGGGCAAAAAGAGGAGATCCGCC
This sequence comes from Homo sapiens, assembly GCF_000001405.40. Classification (NCBI taxonomy): domain Eukaryota; kingdom Metazoa; phylum Chordata; class Mammalia; order Primates; family Hominidae; genus Homo; species Homo sapiens. The sequence continues at coordinate 150,479,984 of NC_000001.11, read as the reverse complement.
AAACACAGGAGCTAGTCTAGGGTAGGGATGTGTCCATTTAGGTTCCACGCTAAAGTAAAAAACAAAGGGAAGGACAAAGTACTCTAAAAGAAGGTCCTAGATAACATCTGTAGAAGGAAATACAGGTTGAGTATCCTTATTTGAAATATTTGGGACCAAAAGTGTCTGATTTTGAATCTTTTCAGATTTTGGAATATTTGCATTATACTTACTGCTTGAGCATCCCTAATCTGAAAATCCGAAATCCTCCAATGAGCATTTCCTTTGAGTGTCATTTTCGTGCTCAGATTTTGGACTTTGGATTTGGGATGCTCAACCTGCATACAACTGAGGCTCACTTCTAAATAATAAAGATTTCAAATCATTTCCTAATCACTATTGCCCCTGGCAATGATTGACTATCTTCAGTGTTGTCTCATGTAGGTGCAAAGGACTGTTAGCCAGGGAGGAGGGAGAAACAGAGGAAAGGGATGCTGTCGGTCTCCTTTCTACCCATTCCAACTGAAACACCCCAAGAAAAATGTAGCAAGTTTCAAGTCCTTTTCTCTCCTCTCCCACAAATTATGTGGCAAAGGATATGAGTAATTCTCGAAAATAAGGGGACACAATGGGGATGAGGAAGGAAGATCGCTGGAATATCCAATTTACCATGACCCTGAACATGTCCAGGGTAGACTGGTTTAGCCAACTCTCAAGTCAAACACAAAAACCTGCAACCTGCATTTGTGTTTTCCTTTTGAGACGGCGTCTCACTCTGTCACCCAGGCTGGAGTGCAATGGCACAATCTTGGCTCACTGCAACCTCTGCTTCCCGGGTTCAAGCGATTCTCCTGCCTCAGCCTCCCAAGTAGCTGGGATTACAGGTGCGTGCCACCATGCCCAGCTAATGTCCCCCCCTCCCCCCACTCCGAGACAGAGTCTTGCTCTGTCACCCAGGCTGGAATGCAGTGGTGCGATCTTGCCTCACTGCAACCTCCGCCTCCCAGGTTTAGGCGATTCTCCTGCCTCAGCCTCCTGAGTAGCTGGGATTACAGGCGCGTGCCACCACGCCCAGCTAATTTTTGTATTTTTAGTAGAGATGGGGTTTCACCATATTGGCCAGGCTGGTCTCAAACTCCTGACCTCGTGATCCGCCTGCCTTGGCCTCTCAAAGTGCTGGGATTACAGGCGTGAGCCACCACGCCTGGCCCTAATTTTTGTATTTTTAGTAGACAGGGCTTTGTCATATTGTCCAGGTTGGTCTTGAACTCCTGATCTCAAGCGATCTGCCCGCCTTAGCCTCCCTAAGTGCTGGGATTACAAGCGTGAGCCACCACGCCTAGTCTGTATTTGTGTTTCCTCAGTTGGCACTGAAGAATTCACTAGCCCCTCCACCCATATCTGTATTCTCAATTTTTGATTCTTCCCTAGGTGTGAACAAAGGATAGAAAAACGTAACATTTAAAAAAGGAAATGTACAGTTGGCTCTGTCTGGGGGTTCTGCATCTATGGATTCGACCAACCACAAAAGTATTCAGGAAAAGGTAATAAAAAAATTAAAAGTAACACAAATTTCAAAACATACTGTATACAACTATGTACATAGCACTCACATTGTATTAGGTATTAGTAATCTAGAGATGATTTAAAATTTACTGGATGATGTGTGTAGGTTATATGCAAATACTATGCCATTGTATGTAGGGGACTTGAGCATCTGTGGATTTTGGTATCCATGGGGGTCCTGGAACCTGGTATCCTTCATGGATACCGAGGAGGGTTGACTGTAACTGCAATGATCAACTTTTACATAGATGTTGGCCTTCTTATCCTCTTCCCCTCAAACTTGTAACTAAGCAAAGGCTTCTCCTTTCTTTCCCCAGCAATTAATTAAAAGTAACTGATAGTTTTACACTGCACTTGCTTCTTTGCTTTAGAGTGCTTCTATTTCCTTCTACATGGGGAAGACAGAACAGGATGTTTACTTAAGGGCCAATATCTCTCTTACTGATGACCCTCTCGTAGCCTTGCCTATGCAGCCTCAGTGAGTTATTACTTAGCAATTGTGAACAGCAGCTGACCGGACTTGTCCATACAGTTACTCATAAACAAGTATGAGAAACGCCCCAATACCCCAAAACCCATTCTGATTGTGTTTGCATTGCTACGTCTACATACATGAAGGAATAACTCATCCCTGCTACACAAGATTGGCTTACATTAAAAAAAAAAATTAGGCAGAGGAAATTATGAATAACATGCCCAGAAAACCTTATGAGGAAGTCTCAAAGCTGTTGCTTCTTTAGGGGTAGATATAGAAATCAGGTGGGCAAGTCAAGGTCCCAAGAGACAAGGAAAAAAAGGGTGAGCCAGATTCCAGTACAGTGGTACACCCTACCTGCTGGGTGTGTTCCCAGGCCACTGCTATTTAAGTGTCTGGTGACACATGTACGTACCTTCACATAAGCAAGGCTGCTATTTAGAGCCTTCTACCCTGCCAGTGACCCAGGCCTGGCCCAGATGCAGTGACTATCCCTCTTTACCCCTTACAGCCAGCATTCCAACCCAGCCTCACTGGGTTATGAACAAGGGATGGGGTAAGACAGAAGGGTTAAGTGTGGCTTCTGCACAACAGATTGCCAATATGCAGTAAGGGCAGATGTGGGCAAATAATTGGCCAGAAGGATCCCTGCTACCACCCCAAACCCCCAATTCTATGCTTGCTTTAAAAATGCTTCTTGGCTCACAGTTGCACAACCTTTTGAAGACATGCACAAAAAATTATTAATACAGTATATCCCACTTCACCAACCACTCCCTGAACATCTAGAACTCACCCGACCCATTATCCCTTTCCAAAATTCAATTACACAAAGGATCAAACAGAAAACCCACAAGGCCATAAAGATCTTAAGAGGCTCAGATTGCCTTCAGTGACATTAAGTGCAGAAGTCAAAGGGGACATCTGGAAAAGATCAACAGGAGGGGAAAAGTCAACCACACAACAAAGGAAACCATACTTTATTAAACTGGAAAACAAAATAATGGGGACAAAGGGATTAAAAAAAAAAGGAACGTCTGGAAGAGAGTAAAGTGCAAGTGGTTACGAAGTGGGTGGTCTGTGGTATCTCTGTGTGTGCCTGAGAAATGTGTGGGCGCACACACCACTACTCCCACCCCCATACCCTTGGACCAAAAGCCAATACAACCATATCTTCTGAGATATATCCAGGCTTTTCCTTCTGCATTCTCTAGTTGGTTTCACCTTCGGCCCTGGACAGTCAGGCTGGGTCTTTGCTAGAGAAAACTTAGGTTTTCCAACCACAGGCCTGCTCCACAAAGCAGCGGTTTCAGCTCCTGAGAAGTTCCCTCCTATTTGCACTCACTAGGAAGCCAGGGGCCCCTGGTCCAAGCCCGTCTCAAAGAAAAATGTCAAACCTTTCAAACTAGTTATTTTATTAAACGATATTAACACACATTTCAAAAGGATTTCATTGTTGTTGCTTCTAAAGCATGTACTTGTTTTGTTTTCCACACCGAACACGTGAGAATATCAATCCAACATATCTATTTTAGATCTTAACAGGCGCCCCCGCCCACTTAAAAAAAATAGTGGGGGAACTGGGGAAAGCAGTAATTTACAGCGGCTTCAAAACAGTAACAGCTGAAGCTCAATTCTGCAGGAACCGGTAACTTCAGGATTGAGAGTGAATATCCTGCCATTAGGAAGTTTATCGTATTCACATTATCTCGATAGGTTTGCTGGACCCATATATATCACAAACATTTTATTCCTGGTATTGGAAAGTATAAAAGTCCTATTCTCTGCTTATTTTCCCCTCCCTGGAATCAAACCAAATTCTATTTACTCTCAACTTTTGAGAGGGTAGAGGGGAGCAGGGAGAGAGCTCTCATCTAAGCTGACTGAAGAGTAAACTCTTTCAAAATACTTAAGGACCCTATTTCTGAACTGTATCACTGAACTTTAAGTGGTACTAGTGTATTCACAACCCCTACCAATTCTCTGTCTGTGATTTTACAGTGAGTACCAAGGACCTTACAACTTCTCACATTCTGCTTCCATATGAATCATGTCCTTGCTAAGACACACTATGTTATGCTTTCTTTAAAAAATATCTTGTTTATTTGTTTAAACTCAGGTTGAAATACAAAAGTCAGAGCATGGTCACGGAGTTTTAAATCACAGACACAGAAAGAATAAAACCCCTTTCTTTCACGTTATGAATACCAGAACTGTCTTTTCTGTTTCACTATTTATCACATATATACACACTGTCATCTTCATTTACTGATGTAAATGTAAATTTTAAGATTTCCTTAAAATTAATAGCTGACAGTCTCATACAAATCCTCACTTCCATCCTAAAACAAACATATTGAGGATTTTGTGGCTTAAAAAACAAAAAAGTACCCCACAAAAACCCAACTCCTTAAAAGCCCACCTTCGAAACTGTCCAACAAAGTCTTCCTTTCATGTATTAACCATCATACTTTTGAGGACAATTATCCCGCCCCAACGTTCAGGAAGCCACTTTCCTGACATCCCCACATTTTCTGATAAAAATTAAATGGTCAGAGAGCCTTATCAAGTAAACACTACTTTTAGCTTAAACAAGAGCAGCAAAGAGAATTCACATTCTTTTATTCTAGAATGAAAAACATCCCATTTAATTTCTGCAAAAAAAAAACCTATTTCAATTTTGAAAGTCAAATATCATTTCCCCACCTCCCACCCCATTTTCTCTTATGCTTTTCCCTAACAAATGTCTTAGGACTCAATATAACTATACTTTCTTTTCTTTGCTACACTACATACCCCATCCCACACGTAAGGTCATGGTATCATGCATTTTTGTGGGGAGAGCTACAGGGCAGAGAGGGTCGAGGAAAGAAAGAACAGTTGGCTTAAGACCAGACAGGCATTAAGAAGATGAATGACCTGCAGCATCCTAACCCCAGAACACATGGCGAGCCCAAATAAATAACAGAATAAATTACGCAAAAACTCCCAAATCATGATGTGCACCTGGTTTATGCTGCTCTTTCTCTGAAAAGTTCATTCTGAGAGAATCATTTTCTGTCACTACATTGCCCACCCTCCCCCATCTTTAATATTCTACTGGAGGAAAAAGCAACCCCATACTTCCTATAGTTAGTTCTATACTAACTTGGAAGAAAATATGAAACTTGCCAGAATTCTCTGGAAAACTAAACACATACTGTTTTACTCATCTAGCTGGAGATTATCAGTTGAGTATGCCTTGGGGTAAGACACTAAATTAAAAAAAAATTGTAGTAAAGCAACATTTACTTTTCAGTGTCCCTAGATATAAAGATATAAACACTCAAAGTACAGTGATTGTCTATTTCCCAAGTACTAGATGTAGAAATACAAACAAGTCTTTCAGTCCAGGGAGAAGGAAAGCACTTATCTTGCATGTAAAACAACTAAGGGCAGAAATGGTCTTTATTTCCTATTGGGAGCGAGAGGTGGGGGTAAGACTTGAGCCTTGAAATGGGATAGACACATGTGTATAATATAAAGGAAAATGCTACTGAATCTCCTCCTTTAAAATATCAAGAATAGGGGTGAATAACACGACTGAGGCAAGGGGAAAAGGAAGATAAAGACAAATATTTCTTTCTTTAATAGTTAACCTTTGTTGAAAACCACCAATAAATATCACTTACATTAGGGAGGCACCATGGTAAAATTAATGTCTACTTCTTATATTTAAAAATGCAGGGATAATATTTCTGTTGCACCTTTGTATCAATAGTCAACTGTAGTGACTGTCTTTCTGGCCACAGCAGAAGAAAAACTGAGGGAGATAAAGTCAAAAAGGAAAAGCAAGAGGCATGAGCTTGGTGCAAGACATGTGAAACTACCTTGAAAACATTTCCTATTCTCTTGTTTACAAAAAAACAGGCAGGTCACATCACACCATTAATGCTTCCTTTCCTTATTTTACATACTGTAGTCACTCCTTATTTTAACCTTGAGGCTGATTAAAAAAAGATTTTAGGAGAAGGGTAAAGAACTAAACTTCAACATGCCTTTAAAAACAAAACAAATAAACCTGACAGGTTCAAGGTCTCTCACATTTCCTCCCTTGCAACATCTCTTGGCTGTTAGCAGGACACAGATACACAGGGAAGGGAGCCGAGCTGGCTACAGCAGTTACTAAGCTGCCGAGAGAGGGGACGGGAATCCTTCCATTGACTACTCGATAAGCCAAGCCCAAAATAACATCCCAACATTGCACATGTGGTTATCTGTACTGATGGAAGTTTTATTTCAAATGTAATAATACTCTTCAATAGATGGGGTAAAATAAAGATTGTTTTCCTCCCCACTCCCCAACCCCCCAGCCAAATGAAATGGCTTTGGTTGTGTTTCTTTACTTTTTTTTTTTTTTTTTTTTTTTAATACAAACAACTTGGGGAAGGTAGATAAGTGCAATGGGAGGGAGGATTGAATTGAATAGTAAAACGTAAGCGTATGTGATTTCTTACTTTGGAAGAGAGGCCCTTTGTTATAATAAAAAAAAAATCGAGAAAGAGAAAACAAATAAAAACAACAACAATAAACCAAACTCCTACTTCCAATGTTCTCTAGACTGTTCAAAATGCCTTTCCCTTGGTTTCCATCAGTACCTGGGAGGGAAGAATGGGCGTTTTGGTGCAAAGAACGGAGGGCCCCTAGCAAAAGGTGGCCTGGGTCTCTTTAAACTGTGAAATGGGTCTCTGCTGAGAAAAGGTTCCCTAGGCCGAAAGTCTGGCCGGGGACTCCGTAAGATTATACCACTCCGGCTGATGGTGTCTCTGTGTGAGGGACCCAAGGGGGGGCCACTGCTGCTGTTGCTGCCTCCCCCACCTCCTCCTCCATGGGGTGGGCCCAGGTGTTCCAGAGAATGGGAGGGTAGGGTGAGGCTCTCTCGTACACGGCTAAGGCCAGGGCCGTTGAGGTCCCGTTGGGTGGGGCCCCCGTGGTCCCTGGGTCCTGGGAGTACCCCAAAATGCTCAGCCAGGGTCCCTTGAAGGAGGGAACTATGGTCCTTGGGAAATACTGCCACAGCCCCTGCCACTCCGTGCTCTGCCAGTGGTGGGGCTGGGAAGGGTACAACTCCAGAGTGGTCAACAGGGGGTGGAGGAGGGGGTGGAGTAGAAAAGGGGACACCACTCCCACCACTGCTGCTATGTTCCCCAGGAGGGGGAGGAGGAGGTGGGGTAGGGAAAGGAATTCCACTGTGCTCTCCAGGAGGAGGGGGTGGGGCAGCATGGGCCAGGGCTGCCTCCTTTGTGAAGGGGTTCGAAAGATCCACAGAGGGTAGATGAGTGGGTGCATCTCGAGAGAAGATACCACCATGATCCTTAGGAGGGACAGGTGGGGCAGATGATGGCCCCACTGGCTCTCTCTGGAAGGGTGTCCCATGTTCCAAGGGGGATGGGGGAAGATGATGCTCAAATGTTGAGTTGAAACTGTTGGAACGAAAGCTGCCGACACTCTCCTGAAATTGAGGTGCCCGTTCCTTGTATGGTGCTGTTTTAAAGCCAGTGAGGCCTCCGCTGCCCCCACCCCCAAGGGATGCCAACTCAGAGGCACTTGAAGGGCCATTGTCAAAAGAGCTACCTGATGTGCTCAGATCAAACCAACCCACCCTTGAAGCCTCACGCCCATGTCCTCTATTTCCCTTCCCAGGAACTCGGATGGACTCTACGGTCTGGATCGGCTCCCCTGACATCCTCCTATTGGATGCACTGTGATAACCCAAGGTTTCTATAGGGGCCCCCTTTTCTTCTGTGCTATCAGGCAAGTCTAAGCAGGAGGAGGAGACGCGGGTTTCTATGCGGTAGTGCTCTTCTTGTTGCTGCTGATCAGTGGCGGTCAAGCTGGGTTGGGTGAGGTTTGAGAGACTGACACCATCACTTGGAGTGCCCTTGCTGGGAGCCTGGCCAAAATGCTTATCATCTGAGGGCTTACGTGAGGCGTTTTTAAGCATATTCTTAAATTCAATCGTCGACGTGGTGGAAATGGTGGAGGCCAGGACTTTCTCCACGCCTGACGTGGGTGGGTGACCCGTGGGAGCGGCAAGGGTGTTCTGCGGAGAGAAAAGGGAACGATGTGGGACTGGGTGAGGAGAGTCTGGGTACTGCTTCTGTGGCAAACTGAGATGCCCAGTGGTAGATTGAGACAAGCTATTGTGGTTGGAGTCAGGGGTGAAAAATGAATCATTCTTACTCGGTGATGGTGACCGGTCAGACCCAGGTTCATTCCCTCTTACGCTGAAGGCACCAAATAGCCCAGGGGAAGATGAGAGACGGTCACAGTTCTCACTAGAGTCCAGGAGGGCCCTTACAGATGGAGGGAAGGCAGACTTTACCCCAAATTCTTGGGCTCTGTGGCTATAACTGGACAGAATTGGCTGGTACTCGGTGGTATCAGACAGCTTGCTTGATTTCAGGATAGATTTGGCTGGTTTCTTCTCTAGGTTCATCATGGCAGAGGGTGGAGGCCCTGAATACTCAAAATCTCGGTAATCCTCATCTTCTTGGAAAGAAGTATCTGGGTAGAACTTTTCCTGTGAAGAGTCCATCAGGGAAGATGGTCTCTCCATTCCATCAGAAGGCTGCTTATAGGGAGATTCACTGCCCAGACCAAAGGGTCGATATGTAGATACAGAATTGGAGAGCTCTCGGGGGTAGCTTTCATCTCTCCCAGGGGGTGGTGATCTTGTACTGCTGGGTGTTGAGGAACCAGGGCTAATGATCTTAGAAAGCAGGGACATAGTATCTACACTGCTGGATGTGGGCTTGTCCATCATCTCATCCTGGGTGGGTGTCCCACTCCGTTCATCCCGTACAGGGGTTCCATCAATGTTGTCGATTGAGGTGCTAGTAGGGCCACGCTGGAAGTCTGAGGGATGGCTCTCTGATGGGGCGCTGGACCCCAAACTGCTCAGGATTGGGATGTTTAAGTTTAAGCCACTGAAACCAGGATTACCTTTTAAGAAGTTGTGAATCTTCATTTCCAGGCTTGGGGAGGTGGACTCTGACTCCAGCTTTGGCTTGGAGACCTCTGAAGATTGGCAGATGGTAACTTCAGTAGGTGGGGCAGCAGGGCTAGTATTGTGGGTAGCTGTAAACCCCAAAGAGTTGGAAGGTAGTTTAAAAGTAGTGCTTGGGAGCCCTGGGCTTTGCCCAATTGAGGCCTTGCTGGCTGAAGTTGAAGAGACTTCAGAAGTTGATGAGTTAGGAGAATAGTTGAAGCTTTTGGGAATAAAAGGTTGGGCACTGGAGGGCAGATTTCTTCCCTTTATGGTAGAGACTGTGGTGTTGGCAGGGGAGGCTGAAGTGCTCTGTGAGGCAGCTTCACTGGCTGGAACTGGGTTCCCAGTAACACTCTGAAGTAAAGATGACAGGCCTGTAGAAACAAAGATTAGAGGGGTTAAAAAGAACAACTCCCTATCATACAATGCAAACAATGTAGGCTAATCAGATACTCTCATTCATTTTGGTGGGAACCAGATAGACAAAGTGTAAGGCCAAAAGGAATCCAGACCAAACAAGCAATGGCTAAATGTCACAGAAAATACAGGGCCTATTTTATCAATAAAGAGCAAATCACTGAAATGTTTCCAGTACAGTCCAGAAATCAGCCCAACATGGCACAATAAAAGGCAACAGGAAGGGGGAGATTTTAATGTCAGAATCATTCATAGTTTAAGTTAGGCAAAGCAGGAAAAGAAAGGAGGCAAAGTTATTCTTAAAACAACACTTTAAGCCAGTATTTCTTAATGTTTGATCTGTGGAAGTGTTTCTCTAAATGCAAACAGATCTGTTCTACCTTTCCTGTCCAACCTTCAAACCAACCTTCAACCTTCAAACTTATTATCTCTAATAAGTTAATATACATTGTTATTTTCAAGCGGGAGACAGGCAAATGCAAATTTCAGAAACTTATCTGAACAGCAAACACCTTTTTCAAGAAGCACCTCTTGGTAGACTGTTGTTACTTTTTGAAAAACAATGCTTTCAACCATCCGTTTTGGTTGTAAAATGTAGCTATAACAAACATACACCACAAAGACTTACAAAGACAGACCACCAGGGACACTGGTCCTTTCACAAGAAAACACACAATCCCCATTTTATAGTGTGGAAAATCCAAGGATTATTTAGTCCAGATTGACAATGATGGAATTTAACTGTGTTCACTGACAGTCAAAACTTTCTCAGAAGCACTGAGAAAGAATTCTTTGGGGCAAAGGCTGAAGTTCAACAAAGCAAACTGCTCCTGTAGAAAATTTTTTAGAAAAATATTTGACAAAAAGATAACAGAAGGTTCTATAAATTCAATCATATTTTTAAAAATTTACCCAATTTCTGGTCACAAATGAAGACTTTTGGCTGGGCACGGTGGCTCATGCCTGTAATCCTAGCATTTTGGGCAGCAGAGGCAGGAGGATGGCTTGAGGCCAGGAGTTTGAGACCAGCCTGGGAAACACAGAGAGACTCTGTCTCTAAAAAAAATTTAAAAATCAGCTGGGCATGATGGTGCATGCCTGTAGTCCTAGCTACTCAGGAGGCTGAGGCTGGAGAATCACTTGTGCCCAGTTCAAGGTTACAGTAAACTAACTATGACTCTGCCACTGCACACCAGCCTGGGTGGCAAAGTGAGTCTCTGTATTTAAAAATAAATTAATTAAAAAAATTTTTAATATACATTTCACCCAAATTTATAGCTTTTAGTCACTGAATACACTAACATTGTTCCTTAGTAATTATATGATTAAAGAAAATACTTCATGTGATATTTCAATTAACATTTCTTCAAAATTTCAATTTTAACCCATATTCTAACAGATTTGGCCTAAAGAATTTCAAGTCCCCTCCATCCTTGTAACATTTTAAAGCCATTTATTTCTAAATAATGTTGGATGGTCTTTATTGTTATCCAATATTCAGTAATATCCAAACAACTGAAATAATGTTTACTTTAGTTATGATCCTTCTGAAGAAAAAAAAAAATCGGCATGTTTCATTCCAAAAAAAGTTCCCTAGCCACATAATTCATCCCTACTAATAGTTTCCTTTTTTTTTTTCAAGAGACAGGCTCTTGCTCTGTCACCCAGGCTGGAGTGCAGTGGTGCGATCATAGCTCACTGTAACCTCAACCTCTTGGGCTCAAAAGATTTATCTGCCTTAGCTTCCTGAGTAGCTGGGACCACAGGTGTACATCACTATGCCCAGCTAACTTTTTTATTTTTAGTAGAGACAAGGTCTCACCATGTTGCGCAGGCTGATCTCAAAATCTTGGGCTCAAGTGATTGTCCCACTTCAGCCTCCCAAAGTGCTGAGATTACAGGCGTGAGCCACCATGCCCAGCCTGATTTAATTCTTAGTAATCACTGTTCTCACAAAACCCAGAAGTCCTCAAACACTAGAATGTGATATATAATAATGTAATATGATTTTTAGAAGATATTTCAGCATATTTTTCAGATATTTTGGGATAACTTCTTCAAAAGAACATCTTTTTAAGATAGATATACTACTCAGATTTCTGGTAATAGGTAAAATTGTCTCTCACCACTAAATATTACTGTTCTCCAATCTTTTTTTTTTTTAATTATTTTTAAAAATTCTTAAAAACAATAGAGATAGGGGTTTTGCTATATTGACCAGGCTGGTCTCAAACTCCTGGCCTCAAGTGATCCTCCCATCGTGGCCTCCCAAAGTGTTAGGATTACAGGCATGAGCCACTGCGCCCAGCCAAAAGTTTGCTCTTTAATCATAACAAGTCATACTCTGCTCCTTTGCCCACTGAAGTTTCTCTTTTTTTGAGACAGAGTTTTGCTCGTCGCCCAGGCTGGCTCACTGCAACCTCTGCCTTCCGGGTTCAAGCGATTCTCCTACCTCAGCCTCCCAAGTAGTTGGGGTTACAGCTGTGAGCCACCACGCCCAGCTAATTTTTTTGTATTTTTTTTTGGAAAGACAGGTTTACCCTGTTGGCCAGGCTGGTCTTGAACTCCTGACCTCAGGTGATCCACCCGTCCCCAAAGTGCTGGAATTACAGGTGTGACCCACCACACCGGGCCTGAAGTCTCTCTTTTGTGTTATAAATCTGTCAATACCTAGGGCTGTGGATGACACAATCAGAACAAAGTTCTGGGATTTCATTAACAGTCTTCGAGGAAATACATCTATTTAACTTGCTAGATACAATCCTTTTAAAAGTCAAAGAGAATTCCACATTCCATAAGGAACCTAGTTCTGTTCAAATTTTGCCTCATCAGAAATTTCACATCGGCCAGGCACGGTGGTTCACACCTGTAATCCCAGCACTTTGGGAGGTCGAGGCAGGTGGATCACGTGAGGTCAGGAGTTCGAGACCAGCCTGGCCAACATGGCGAAACCCCGTGTCTACTAAAAATACAAAAATTAGCCGGGCATGGTGGTGTGAGCCTGTAATACCAGCTACTCGAGAGGCTGAGGCAAGAGAATCACTTGAACCCGAGAGGCAGAGGTTGCAGTGAGCCGAGATCACACCACTGCACTCCAGCCTGGGCAACAGAGCAAGTCCCCGTCTCAAAAACAAACAAACAAATAAAAATAAAAAGGGAGAAAGCATAAACATGTCAAACTCTCAAATTGTCCCTGATATTAGTAGTACAACATGTGCTGCAGTCATCATCAATTCTTTATTGCTGATGCCAATAGATAGGGGCTGTGGATTATTACTTAATACTATTTAGTTCTGTGTAACAAAATTCTTCTGCACCTCCAGACAAAGTTCACTATAATATGCTTGAATGATCCACTTACATAACAGTTTAGGAAACTGTTTTACACCACTCCTTTGATAGAGAGCAGGGTTTCTCAACCTCAGCACTACTGACACTTTGGGCTAGATAATTCTTTATTGTTGGGGCTGTCTCACACATTGTAGGATATTTAGGAGCATCCTCCTGGCCTCTACTCACTAGAGGCAGTAGCACCCCTACCATTACCCCAGTTGAGACAACTAAAAAGGTCTCCAAATATTGCCAAGTGTCCTCCCTGGAGGCCTTTGGTTGAGACTACTGATATAGAGTAAATCACTACACTGAATATATTGCCCTGGTATTTGTAATTCATTTCATAATTATACTACGGTACTTAAAAAGGATTTCATTGGTATCTGGAGCATAAGAGAGTAGAGAGTAGGAAAGATTTATGAAAAAAGGTTAGAAACAGGCAGTGTCATGCACAAAACATAATTAGTAAAGCTGAACAGAAAGGGTCAAATGAGAGAGATTATAGGTAGGTGAAAACAAAAATACTACATCTAAGACTCTAATAAAATAATAAATAAAATAATAAATAATGAAGCCTCTATAAAACATTAGGACAAAAAAAGATATATTCATGTCTCAGAAATTTTTTTTTTTTTTTTTTTGAGGCAGGGTCTCATCACTTAGGTTGGAGTACAGTGGGGTGACCACAGCGTACTGCAGCCTTGAACTCCTGGGCTCAAGTGATCCTCCTGCCTTAGCCCCCTGAGTAGCTGGAACTACAGGCATGCACCACTATGCCCAGCTAATTTTTTTTTTTTTTTTTTTTTTGAGACAGAGTCTTGCTCTTTTGCCCAGGCTGGAGTGTAGTGGGGCAATCTTGGCTCACTGCAACCTCCACCTCCTGGGTTCACACCATTCTCCTGCCTCAGCCTTCCAAGTAGCCAAGACTACAGGTGCCCGCCACCACGCCCGGCTAATTTTTTGTATTTTTAGTAGAGTCGGGGTTTCACTGTGTTAGCCAGGATGGTATCGATCTCCTGAACTCATGATCCGCCTGCCTCAGCCTCCCAAAGTGCTGGGATTACAGGCGTGAGCCACCGCGCCCGGCGCTAATTTTTAATTCCGTTGTAGAGACAGGGTTTCACTATGTTCTTGAAGCGTCATAAAAAAATTTTTTTTTTTTTTTTTTTTTTTGGACTGAGTCTTGCTCTGTCGTCCAGGCTGGAGTGCAGTAGCGTGATTCCGGCTTACTGCGATCTCAGCACACTACAGGTGTGTGTCACCACACCTGGCTAATTTTCATATTTTTAGTAGAGATGTTATTTCACCTGGTTGGCCAGGCTGGTCTTGAACTGCTGACCTTAGGTGATCTGCCCGCCTCAGCCTCCCAAAGTGCCGGGATTACAGGCGTGAGCAACTGCACCTGGCCATATTTTTTGATAATAAATGGACCCTTCCTACTGTCTTCAGCTTTGGTTAACACTGAAATTAATAAAACTCAACATATATAAACCTGTATTAAAAGCTGGGACTAATGCAGCCCCTAGGGTGTCATGGTGTAGGTGAAAGAATACTGAACTCCAGTCAAGAAATCTGGCCTTCAGTCTTGGCTCATACTGAATAGACAGATAGGTATGTGACCATAAGCAGATCTTTTCACCTTACTGAGCCTTAGTTTCCTTACCTGAAAAGTAAGGGATTAGACTAGATAATACTTAGTCTCTTTCAGCTTTCACATTTTATAATTCTTCAGATGTCAGCTCATAGATGATAAATATAAAAAAAATAGGAGGGGCGCAGTGGCTCACGCCTGTAATCCTAGCACTTTGGGAGGCTGAGGTGGGTGGACTGCCTGAGGTCAGGAGTTCGAGACCAGCCTGGCCAACATAGCAAAACTCCGTCTCTACTAAAAATACAAAAATTAGCTGGATGTGGTGGTGGGCACCTGTAATCCTAGCTACTTGGGAGGCTGAGGTTGCAGTGAGCTGAGATTGGGCCACTGCACTCCAGCCTGGGCGACAAGAGTGAAATTCTGTCTAAAATAAAAAAAAGGATAATGACCACCAGGCATGGTGGCTCATGCCTATAATCCCAGCACTTTGGGAGGCCAGGAGTTTGAGACCAGCCTGGCCAACATGGAGAAACCCCATCTCTACTAAAAATACAAAAATTAGCCAGACATGGTGGTGTGGGCCTGTAATCCCAGCTGCTAGGGAGGCTGAGGCAGAAGAATCACTTGAACCAGGAGGCAGAGGTTGTAGTGAGCCGAGAGCACTCCACTGCACACCAACTAGGCAACAGAGTGAGACTCCATCTCAAAAATTTTAAATAAATAAATAAATAAATAAATAAAAAGAATAATGAATTAACTGTGTTATACATTTTATGGCTCTGGATTCATCAGAAATGGAATCCAGGATTAATTTAAGCCAGAGACAAACATTCACAATTCGAGTCCCTCTGGCATATGTCAGTTACCTTGCAGTGCAGGGGCTGACTGTGTCTGGGTTTTGGAAAGTGCAGACAGAATGCTCTCTGGGGTGATCTCCACCTTGGAGAGGATATTTGCCAGAGGGTTGTGAGATGTTGTCGTGGCAGGTGCAGGTGTTTTCAGGCCACTGGTGAGGTTGCTGGGGCTGGTGGGCGTTCCTGGAGAAGGTCTTGATGCAGGACTGACCCCTGGTGGCAGAAAGATGAACTCAAGAAAATGCAATTCAAAATGACTTCAATTTCCGATACTTCCCCTCACTTCAATGAGTTTGATATATTTAACAGGAATTCTTCTGTGGTTGATCCACAAATGGTCCATCATAACATGACATGTACAAAAAAAAAAAAAAAAACCCTGAAAAGATTATCTCCTTTTACTTGGAACACCATTAAAACAAACAAGTATTGGCCGGGCGAGGTGGCTCACACCTGTAATCCCAGCACTTTGGGAGGCCGAGGCAGGCGGATCACCTGAGGTCAGGAGTTCGAGACCAGCCTGACCAACATGGGGAAACCCTGTCCCTACCAAAAATAAAAAATTAGCCGGGTATGGTGGCAGGCGCCTGTAATCCCAGCTACTCGGGAGGCTGAGGCAGGAGAATCATTTGAACCCAGGAGGTGGAGGTTGCAGTGAGACAAGAGTTGAGACACAGTGAGACTCTGTCTTGAAAAAAACAAGTATTAAGTGATTTTCATAGTTTTGAGAGCCCCAATATTTCTTATTTATTTTTAAAAAATAGAGACAGGGTCTTGCTACATTGCCCAGGGTGGTCTTCAACTCTTGACCTCCAGTGATCCTCCCACCTTGGCTTTTCAAAGTGCTGGGAATTACAGGCATGTACCACCACACCTGGACAATCTTTTTTCTCCACCAAATGGCACCTACAGTTCAGAGCCCTGTAGGCGCTCAATAAATACTGCTGGCTGACTGGATGCTGAGAGCCACTGCAGTTGTATAACTCAGCCACTGCATAATTTCATGTGACTGGTAAGTTATATGCTTTTGAAATAGCTTTTAAAATGAGATTATTTAAGAAATTTCCTTTATATTTTTACATTTAAAAACACTGGGTTGATCTTTAACACAGGAAATAAAATATATAAAGAGAAAAACATTTGTTATTTTAAAAAAGATAAATATGAACAGATATTTCACAAAGAAACTTAAGTGAGAAGCAAAGGAAAAAAATTTTTAACATCTTTCATAGAAGAAATGGAAATTAAACAACTTTTTAAGGCTGGATTTGTAGACTGCACAAGGCAAGTAACTGGAGAAGGTAAGGAACAACAGAAGCTTTCATATATTAGTCATATAAAATAGCACTTTTTTGGATATCAATTTAGTTATATATTAAAATACTTTATTTTTATTTAGTTTTTGAGATATGGTCTCACTGGGTTGCTCAGGCTGGAGTGCAGTGGACATTCACAGGCGTGATCACAGTGAACTACACGTCCTGGAATTCCTGGCTTCAAGTGATCCTCCTGCATTTGCCTCCCGAGTAGCTGGGACTACACGGTATCCCACCTTGCCTGGCAAAATTTATTTAAAAAATTTCGGGCTGGGTGCAGTGGCTCATGATTGTAATCCCAACATTTTAGGAGGCCAAGATGGGAGGAACACTTGAGCCCAGGAGTTCAAGATCAGCCTGGGCAACATAGTAAGACACTGTCTCTACCAAAAAACCCACAAAACTTAGCCAGATGTGGTGGTGCACACGTGTGATCTCAGCCACTCAAAGGCTCAGGTGGGAGGATCACTTGAACCCAGAAGTTTGAGGTTACAGTGAGCCATGACTGCACCCCTGCACTCCAGCCTGGGTGATGGAGTGGGACCTTGTCTCAAAATAAATAAATAAATGGCCGGATGCGGTGGCTCACGCCTGTAATCCCAGCACTTTGGGAGGCCAACGCGAGCAGATCACGAGGTCAGGAGATCGAGACCATCCTGGCTAACATGGTAAAAGCCCGTCTCTACCAAAAATACAAAAAATTAGCTGGGCGTGGTGGCAGGCACCTGTAGTCCCAGCTACTCAGGAGGCTGAGGCAGGAGAATGGCGTGACCTGGGAGGCGGAGCTTGCAGTGAGCTGAGATCGCGCCACTGCACTCCAGCAGCCTGGGGGACAGAGTGAGACTGTCTCAAAATAAATAAATAAATAAATAAAAATAAAATTCCATTAAAAAGGTTTTATATACTTAACCCTTGCAAAGGGTTATTCATAAAATTTTTATAATTTACAGGTTTTTTTTTTGTTTTTTGTTTTTTTTTGAGACAAGAGTCTCGCTCTGTCAACCAGGCTGGAGTGCAGTGGCTTGATCCTGGATCACTGCAACCTCTGCCTTCTGGGTTCAAATGATACTTATGCCTCAGCCTTATGAGTAGCTGGGATTACAGGTACGTGCCACCACAGCTGGCGAATTTTTTCTTTTTTTGAGACGGAGTCTTGCTCTGTTGCCCAGGCTGAAGTGCAGTGGCGTGATCTTGGCTCACTGCAACCCCCGCCTCCCAGGTTCAAGTGATTGTCCTGCCTCAGCCTCCCAAGTAGCTGGGACTACAGATGCATGCCACCATGCCCAGCTAATTTTTGTATTTTTAGTAGACAGGGTTTCACCAAGTTGGCCAGGCTGGTCTTGAACTCCTGACTTCAGGTGATCCGCCTGCCTTGGCCTCCCAAAGTGCTGGAAATACAGGCGTGAGCCACCAAACCTGGCCTAATTTTTGTTTTTTGTTTTTTTTTGAGACGGAGTATTGCTCTGTCGCCCAGGCTGTGCAGTGGCGCGATCCTGGCTCACTGCAAGCTCCGCCTCCTGGGTTCAGGCCATTCTCCTGCCTTAGCCTCCCGAGCAGCTGGGACTACAGGCGCCCGCCACCATGCCTGGCTATTTTTTTGTATTTTTAGTAGAGACGGGGTTTTACCATGTTGGCCAGGATGGTCTCGATCTCTTGACCTCGTGATCCACCCGCCTCGGCCTCCCAAAGTGCTGGGATTACAGGTGTGAGCCACCACGCTCGGCCATAATTTTTGTTTTTTTAAGTAGAGATGGGGTTTCGCCATGTTGTCCAGGTTTGTCTCCAACTCCTGGCCTCAAGTGATCAACCTGCCTCCACCTCCCAAAGTGGTGGCGTGAGCCACCACACCTGGCCCTATAGTATTCTTCATAACAGTAAAAAACTGGAAACATACTAAGTGCCTAATAATAAAGGATTAGATAAGTTACCACATGCTATGCAGCTATTAAAAATGATGTAGAGAAATATTTAATGATTCATAAAAACATTCAAGATATGTAATTAACTTTTAAATAGCTAGTTTTGAAACAGTATATGCAATACACTTACTTTTTTAAAAATTGTTATACATATTTAATTCTCCAAAACATTCATATACACATATACTTTTAAGGGTAAACACAAGTGGTTTCCTTTGGGGTAACAGGATTATAGATATTTATTAAAAAATTTTTTTCATTTAAAATTTTTTATTTAGAGATAGGGTCTCACTATATTGCCAAGGCTGGTCTCGAACTCCTGGCCTCAGGCAATCTACCATCTCAGCCTCCCAAAGTGCTGGGATTACAGGCATGAGCCACCACGCCTGGCCTAGATATTTATTTCATTCTCTTTGCTTATTTTCTAATTTTTCTATAATGACCGATTATTGGATTATTTTTTAATTTAACAATTAATTTAGCTGGGTGCGCTGGCTCACGCCTGTAATCCCAGCACTTTGGGAGGCCAAGATGGGTGGATCACCTGAGGTCAGGAGTTTGAGACCAGCCTGACCAACATGGTGAAACCCCGTCTCTACCAAAAATACAAAATTAGCTGGGCATGGTGGCACATGCCTGTAGTCCCAGCTATTTGGGAGGCTAAGGCAGAATTGCTTGAACCTGGGAGATGGAGGCTGCAGTGAGTGAAGTTTGCACCATTGCACTCCAGCCTAGGTAACATGACTGAAACTCCGTCTCAGAAAAAAAAAAAAAAATCATTAATTAAAAAAAATCAACAACAGACTGGGCACGGTGACTCACGCCTATAATCCCAGCACTTTGGGAGGCCGAGGTGGGTGTATCACCTGAGGTCAGAAGTTCAAGACCAGCCTGGCCAACATGGTGAAACCCCATCTCTACTAAAAATACAAAAATTAGCCGGGCGTGGTAGCAGGTGCCTGTAATCCCAGCTACTTGGGAGGCTGAAGCAGCAGAACACTTGAACCCGGGAGGCAGAGGTTGCAGTGAGCCAAGATTGCACCACTGCACTCCTGCCTGGGAGACAGAGCGAAACTCTGTCTAAACAACAACAACAACAACAACAACAACCCCCCCAAAAACAGATTAATGATTCAATTTAAAAAGATGGAAATTAACTTTTTATCCTCCTTACTGGGCTTACTTACCAGTATTTTTCATGACTGATGTTAAACTGCTAAGGATGGAACTGATCTTTGCCAGATCCACATTAGCCAGGTTTGGCAAAGCCAATGCTGGGGAAGGGGAAAGAGAAGTATTCACAGGCTTTGGAAGAGGTGGAGTTGCTGTCATGGTCACAGGCACTGGGGTACATGAAGAGGCCTTTGAGATATTTTCTGTTGGCTTTGTAGGTACAGAAGTGGATACAGCTGACTTCTCTGCAGGTTTTTCCTTCCTGTCCTCGACTGTTTCAACAAAGAAAAGAGATATTACATCCTACTACTTTCCAGACTTTGCTTCCTATATGAAATAACATGTCCTAATATTTCCGGACTTGGGGGAAAAGGCACTACTTTAGAGAAAACAACGACTCACTTCATGCTTTTTTGAAAAAGTCATACTCTTCATAATTTATGATAATTCCCACCTTTAATATCTGCTTAAAAGCAATTTCCAGCTGGGGACAATGGCTCATGTGAGGTCAGGATTTCGAGACCAGCCTGGTCAACATGGTGAAATCCTGCCTCCACAAAAAATACAAAAAATTAGCTAGGTGTGGTGGCAGGCGTCTATAATCCCAGCTACTACAGAGGCTGAGACACGAGAATCGCTTGAACCCAGGAGGCAGAGGTTGCAATGAGCCGAGATTGTGCCACTGCATTCCAGCCTGGGCAACAAAGCGAGACTCCCGTCTCAAAAAAAAAAAAAAAAGCAAGCAATTTCCAGAATTTATCTTGTATCTTACTTTTCAATGATTCCTTTGCATTTTCTTAGTATTTGTGTATTAAATCTGTACAATTCAAGAAGCATGTTATTATTTGGTACACATTTGTGTTCTGTCTTTTGGAAATGATATTTTTCATAAATTGTCCTGTGTTTTTCTTTTCCATTAACCTGAGAACTTTCTAAGAACTTCTGTTCTTAGAAACAGAACCTCTATAGTGTTCATTGTATTTTCCTCTGGCTTCCTGAAATTGCCCTATTGGGGGGTGCAATCAGGCACTAGCTAATTTGAAACTACAATGTTTTAACTCTCAATCACCTTGAATAATTATTTTTAATGCTTTAAGGGCTGTATCAATAGTGCATTGAATTCAACAGGAGTCAAACTATCTAATAAGATTTATGAAGGCTGGGGATATAAGAGAAACAATTCACCAAATCAGGTTATTTCTGAAAGTGTGATTAACAAACTGACTTTGGAATTCTTGATGGTCAAAAGTGACAGAGAATAAGGAATTCCAGTATAAGTGACCCCTCATCCCAAAACAGTGCTATTTAACATGAATACAATTTAAGCCACATATGCCACATATGTAAGTTTAAATTTTCTAGCAGCCAAATTAACAAAAAAAGAATCAGGGCCGGGCATGGTGGCTCAAGCCCACCTCCCAGCACTTTGAGAGGCCGAGGCAGGCGGATCACTTGAGGTCAGGAGTTCGAGACCAGCCTGCCCAACATGGTGAAACTCCGTCTCTAATAAACATACAAAAAATAGCCGGGTGTGGTGGTATGCACCTACAATCAATCCTAGCTACTCGGGAGGCTGAGGCAGGAGAATTGTTTGAACGCAGGAGATGGAGGATGCAGTGAGCCAAGATTGCGCAACTGCACTCCAGCCTGGGCGACAGAGGGAAACTCTCTTTTTCTCTCAAAAACAAACAAATAAAAAGAAACAGACACATGTAATTTAAAAATTCTATTTTATTCATCCTAATATATCCCAAATATTTTCATTTCAGTGTTATAAATAAAAAATTATTAATGAGATATTTTAACTCTTTGGGAGAGTTTCTGCCACCATGCTCGGCCTAGTTTCTGGACTCCAATGTGTCTGGTTTTTTTTTTTTGGAGAGAGGGTCTCCCTCTGTCATCTAGGCTGGAGTGCAGTGACATGGTCTTGGCTCACTGCAACCTCCGCCTCCCAGGCTCAAGTGATTCTCCTGCCTCAGCCTTTCCAGCAGCTGGGGCTACAGACGCATGCCACCACGCTGACTAATTTTTATATTTTTTGTAGAGACAGGGTTTCACTATGTTGCCCAGGCTGGTCTCAAAGTCCTGGGCTCAAGCAATCTGCCCGCCTCAGCCTCACAAAGTGCTGAGATTACAGGCATGAGCCACTGCACCTGGCCTCAATGTGTATTTTATACTTATAGCACATCTCAAGTTGGACAAGCTTCATTTCAAATGCTTAGCCACAGGTAGCTAGTAGCTACTTTCCCCCGACCGTCCCCCCAAGACGGAGTCTCGCTCTGTCTCCCAGACTGGAGTGCAGTGGCATAATCTCAGCTCACTGCAACCCCTCTCTCAGGTTCAAGCGATTCTCTTGCCTCAGCCTCCCGGGTAGCTGGAATTACAGGTACCTGCCACCATACCCGGATAAGTTTTGTATTTTTAGTAGAGACAGGGTTACACCATGTTGGCTAGGGTGGTCTCGAACTCCTGACCTCAGGTGATCCACCTGCCTTGGCCTCCCAAAGTGCTGGGATTACAGGCATGAGCCACCGCCCATGGCCTAGTAGCTAGCATTTTAACAGTGCAGATACTGAGCAATGATTCTTAACACATTTGGCATATCAAATCCTCAACAACTGCTCTAGAGATTATAATGCTACCTTGGTGTTCTATCTTTTAAGAAATGAACTATCTTTCAATACCTGCCTGTGATGTATTCATTGCTGAGAAGGCAAAACAGATAAGGAATAAGTTGTCTATTAATCACATAAAGACATACCAATGATTTTTGACCCATCATCTTCCACATCTGAGAGTTCCATGTCTTCCACATCACGATTATCTGTCACAGGTTCAGGTGTGGCAGATTTCTCACTCTCCATGGTTGGTGACTGGGATTCCTCACCTCCCATTCCCTGAAAAGGAGACTCAGAACCAGTCGGGGAGGGAGCGTCCATGCTTGGGGAAGGAACTGGTGATTCTTCAGGATCTGGAAGGGTTGACTTCAATTGATCCAACTTCTTCTTTAAATTGTTTACTCGGTTAGCAAAGGTTTTATATGCCTAAAAGAGAAAAAAGGAGTTTACTCCTTGGAAAAAGACCAGAAAGTTAACATTTTTTCTTTTTGAGGCAGAGTCTCACTTTGTCACCCAGGCTAGAGTGTAGTGGCACAATCTTGGTTCACTGCAACCTCTGCCTCCTGGGTTGAAGTGATCCTTCTACCTCAGCCTTCCAAGTAGCTGGATCCACAGGAACACATCACCATGCCTGGCTAATTTTTGTATTTTTAATAGAGATGGGGTTTCACCATGTTGGCCACGCTGGTCTCGAACTCCTGGCCTCAAGTGATCCACACGCCTCAGCCTCCCAAAGTGCTGGGATTATAGGCATGAGCCACCAAACCCAGCCTCTTCTTTTTTTTTTTGAGAAGGAATTTCGCTCTTGTTGCCCAGGCTGCAGTGCAGTGGCATGATCATAGCTCACTGCAACCTCTGCCTCCTGGGTTCAAGTGATTCTCCTGCCTCGGCCTCCCAAGTAGCTGGAATTATAGGCGTGCACCACCACACCCGGCTAATTTTTGAATTTTTAGTAGAGACGGGGTTTCACCATGTTGGCCAGGCTGGTCTTGAACTCCTGATGTCAGGTAATCCATGCACCTCGGCCTCCCAAAGTGCTGGGATTACAGGCTTGAGTCACCGTGCTCGGCTGCTTTTTTTTTTTTTAAATAAAATTTTATTCTCTTAAATGAGAGATGAGGTCCTGCTATGTTATCCAGGCTAGTCTTGAACTCCTCGGCTCAAGTGATCCTCCCACCTCAGCCTCCCAAAATGCTAGGATTGCAGGCATACACCATCATCCCTGGCGACCCATTTTGACTCTGATTAGATTTTCTATTATTAATCACGTACATTGCTGGCACAAAACAAGATAATATATCATCTGTCAAGCATGCAGTAGTTTCTAGTTTCTGCTTTTTATACTCCCTAAGTGAATATTACCATCCACACAGTTGCCTGAGTTAGAAACCTAGCAGTTATCTGTAATTTATATTCCCTTGCTCCTGTTTATCTATCCAACCAACCAATATTTATTGAGAGCCTAAATGTATCTTCTAGGTACTGGAGATACAGCAAGAAATGAGACAGACAAGAAAAAAAAAATCAAATCCAAAAATAAAGCAAAGCCTGGGAGGTCAGATGCTATTGTTTTAAAAAACAGGGGCTGGGCCTGGTGGTTCATGTCTGTAATCTCAGCACTTTGGGAGGCTGAGGCAAGGAGGATCACTTGAAGCCAGGAGTTCAAGACCAGCCTGGGCAACATAGGGAGATACTGTCTCTACAAAAAAATAAAAAAAAATTAGCTGGGCATAGTAGCATGCGCCTGTAGTCCCAGCTGCCTGTAGTGCCAGCTACTTAGGGGGCTGAGGTGGGAGGACTGCTTGAGCCCAGGTCAGGGCTGCAGTGAGCAGTGATCACACCACTGCACTCCAGCTTGGGTGACAAAGCGAGACCCTATCTCAAAACAAAAATAGTTTGTTGTAAAAGAAGTTTTAGGTGTTAGAAAATCATTGCAAAGATAGTTCCCATATACCCTATATCCAATTTTTCCTATTACTAACATCTTATATCAGTATGATACATTTGTCACATTAATGAATCAATATTCATAATTATTAACAAAAGTCCATACTTTAGATTTCCTCAGGTTTTTTTTTTTTTTTACCTAATGTCCTTTTCTAACCTAGGATCCCATCCAAGATACCACAGAACATTTAGTAGTCATGTCTTCTTTCTCCTTAGACTCCTCTTGTTTGTGACACTTTGCTGGACTTTCTTTCTTTTTTTTTTTGAGATGGAGTCTCGCTGTGTCGCCCAGGCTGGAGTGCAGTGGTATGGTCTTGGCTCACTGCAACCTCTGCCTCCTGGGTTCAAGTGATTCTCCTGCCTCAGCCTCCTGAGTAGCTGGGATTACAGGCGTGCGCCCCCACACCTGGCTAATTTTTGTATTTTTAGTAGAGACGGGGTTTCACCATGTTGTCCAGGCTGGTCTTGAACTGCTGACCTCATGATCAGCCTGTCTCGGCTTCCCAAAGTGCTGGGATTACAGGCGTAAGCCATCGCGCCCGGCCTGGACTTTCACTGGTTTTGACGATCTTGACAGTTTTCAAGAGTACTGGTCAGGTATTTTGTAGACTGTCAATTGAGATTTGACTGATATTTTTCTAATGGCTAGACTGGGGTAATGAGTTTTTGGGTGGAAGGCCACAGAGGTAAACTGCTACTGCGATCACACCATATCAAGGGCACATACAATCAATACGACTTACCACTGTTGATGTTAATATTGACCACTTGGCTTAAATCCTATTGATGTCCTGATAGTCTTAATTGCTAATGTCTTAAAGATATCTTTTGAATTTTTCATTTTTTTGAGAGTTGATGACCATTAGATTGTGTTATTATTTTGTTTTGTAAATTCAAGAACCTTTATTTTATTTTATTTCAGACAGGGTCTCGTTCTATCACCCAGGCTTGAGTGTAGTGGCACGATCAGAGCTCACTGCAACCTCCACCTCCCAGGTTCAAGCGATCCTCCCACCTCAGCCCTCCAAGTAGCTGGGACTACAGGCACATACCACCACTCCTGGCTAATTTTTGTATTTTTTGTTGAGACAAAATTTCGCCATGTTGGCTAGGTTGATCTCGAACTCCTGACCTCAGGTGATCCGCCTGCCCCAGCCTCCCAAAGTGCTGGGATTACACGTGTGAGCCACTGTGCCCAGCCAAGAAGCATTATTTTTAAAAAGATATGAATACATTAGAATCTAGCTTTTTGCTTTTGATATAACTCAGTAGCTTATAGTAGACTAATGCTCCCATCAAGAACAAGTAGAAAAGCCAGATACACAGACACACTTGTTTGAATATACTGGAGAGTGCTAAGGCCACCAAAAACTAAGTGGCAAATACTATCAGAGGGAAAGCATGGAGAGCTAAGCTGACATTATTTTCTCTTAGGATTCTGCTGATTCTGGGGAGCTAGGCAAGAAGCTGAGAATTAAGGCAAAAAGGACAAGAGAGGGCCACTATTAAATAAAAAGAAAAAAAGCAGAGCTTTTAACAGTCTTGCTGGTCTTAACAGGCAAAAATTAGAGGACTGAAAGGCCAAGATTCTGATGAAAGAGAGAACTGGCTCAACAATTTTTCCTTCAAGATATTTGCTGAATTCTGAAGCTGCTTGAGAGGGAAGAAGCCAAGCAGAAAACCTTGGAAAAAGCAGTGGTCTCATAGTGATGAGGAAACAAGGACTAGAGAGTTCAAATCATGCCATGGAGAAGGGGGCTTAGTGATCATTCCAGGCTCTCTGTGGGAAAAATCTACATTCCAGAAGCTGGAGTGAACCAGAGGTGGAACAAGGCTTGCTTAAACTGCAATTCAGCCTCGAGTCAGTTAGGTTTCAGATTTAATTAATATGACCAGCCTCAATATCTGCCTAGCAAAACAAGGGTGAACTGTCTCTAAAGGAAGAAAAATCATCCAGAGACTCCATAATCTTTTAATGTTCAGCATTCGATAAAAAATTAGCAGGCATGCTAAGAGATAGGTCCAAATGGCTAAAAAGAAAATGCAGACACTACATTAGCAGCTACCTCTGGGCACTAAACAAAACAAAACAAAAACACCAAACACCACTAACATACCCGTAACAGGTGAAGCCAATATTGGAACTATATGACAAAAACCAAACAGCTATGATTAATATGTTCATGAAAATAGTGAAAAATTTCTTTCCCTTCCTCTGTGAGCAATTTAGTCCACAACCCATTAGCTGGAGCTGAGGGAAAAAACTCAGTGGCTTAGAGAGAATGGACCCAAAAATGAGAAAAATGTCTGCATGGGAGGGAGGCATTGCAAAGGATGTTGGAGTCTAAGCAGGATAAAAAGAAAACCCATAAAGGTGGTTGGAGAGAGATGGAAGTGCTGGGAGACTGGCCACAACTGATTAAGTAAAAACACTGAGGCCAGGCGCGGTGGCTCACGCCTGTAATCCCAGCACTTTGGGAGGCCAAGGAGCACAGATCATGAGGTCAGGAGTTCAAGACCAGCTTGACCAATATGGTGAAACCTCGTCTCTACTAAAAATACAAAAATTAGCTGGGCGTGGTGGTGTGCGCCTGTAGTACCAGCTACTCAGGAGGCTGAGGCAGGAGAATCGCTTGAACCCGGGAGACAGAGGTTGCAGTGAACCAAGATTGTGCCACCGCGCTCCAGCCTGGGCAACAGCACGAGGCTCCGTCTCCAAAAAAAAAAAAAAAGTAAATATATTGAAGACAAGGGAGCAAGGTTTTACACTGTTAGAAAAGTAATTAGTAGTGTAAAAAAGTGGTGCCAGTGGCTCACGCCTGTAATCTCAGCACTTTGGGAGGCAGAGGCAGGCGGATCACCTGAGGTCAGGAGTTTGAGACCAGCCTGGCCAACATGGTGAAACCCCATCACTGTTAAAAATATAAAATTAGGCAGGCGTGGTGGCGAATGCCTGTAATCCCAGCTACTTGGGAGGCTGAGGTAGGAGAATTGCTTAAACCTGGGAGGCGGAGGTTGCAGTGAGCCGAGATCGTGCCACTGCACTCCAGCCTGAGCAACAAGAGTGGAAAGTTCGTCTCAAAAAAAAAAAAAAAAAAAAAAAAAGGGGATATGTCAAAAGAACACAGAAAGGAGCTCACATTGACCAAAACTTTGTCAAACTGAGCATCAAAGTAAATATTAGTAGTAATGAATTAAAACAGTGAGTAAATAGGATTCAAGTCCATTCATATAAATAAATGAATACATCGAAAGTCTGGTAAGGAACAAGATATTTACATAGTTTCAAAATACTTCCTCACAAAACATTCATTAATTGGTATATTAGTTTCTTAGGGCAGTGGTTAATTAAGTACTACAAAATGAGTGGCTTAAAACAACAGAAATTTATTGTCTCTGAAGGCTAGTGGTCCAAAATTAAGATGTCAGCAGGCTGTGCTCTCTCTGACACTGGGCAGAATTCTTCCTTGCCATTTCCTGGTTTCTGGTGGTGCCCATCAATCCTTGATGTTTTTGGCTTGTAGCTGCATGGCTTCAATATCTGCCTATGCTGTCACATGATGTTCTCCCTGTGCTTTTGTCCAGTTTCTCAGTTTCTCTCTCTCTCTTTTTTTTTTTTTTTTTTGAGACAGAGTCTTGCTCTCTTGCCCAGGCTGGAGTGCAATGGTGTGATCTCGGCTCACTGCAACCTCTGCCTCCTGGGTTCAGGCGATTCTCCTGCCTCAGCCTCCCAAGTAGCTGGGATTACAGGCACCCGCCACCATGCCTGGCTAATTTTTCCTATTTTTAGTATAGACGGGGTTTCACCATATTGGCCAGGCTGGTCTTGAACTCCTGACCTCAAGGGATCTGCCTGCCTCAGCCTCCCAAAGTGCTGGGATTACAGGTGTGAGCCATTGCACCCAGCCAGTTTCCCTCTTCTTATATGGACACCAGTTATATCGGATGATTAAGGCCCACCCCAGTGAACTCATTTTAACTTGATTATATCAGCAAAGACCCTATTTCCAAATAAGGTCACATTCACATGTACTGAAGGTTAGGGCTTCAACACATCTTTTTGGGGTGGACGATTTTTTTTTTTTTTTTTTTGAGACGGAGTCTTGCTCTGTCTCCCAGGCTGGAGTGCAGTGGCGCGATCTCGGCTCCCTGCAAGCTCCGCCTCCCAGGTTCACGCCATTCTCCTGCCTCAGCCTCCCAAGTAGCTGGGACTACAGGTGCCTGCCACTGCGCCCGGCTAATTTTTTGTATTTTTTAGTGGAGACGGGGTTTCACGATGTTAGCCAGGATGGTCTCGATCTCCTGCCCTCGTGATCCACCTGCCTCGGCCTCCCAAAGTGCTGGGATTACAGGCTTGAGCCACTGCGCCCGGCCTGGGGTGCATAATTTAACCCATAACAATCACCAAGGGAAAACTTTATAATGGACAAGCCTGGAAGATGCCACATTAATCAGAATATCAAGGGGAACATTACAGGTAGTGAGATAAACCAAACTTGTGTGCCATCTGACAAGACGAAACATGAAGAACACAGAATCACTTCTGTGATATTCCTTCTAAAGATGCATAACCTCAACCTGATCACAAAGAAATATCAAATAAACTCAAACTGGGAAACATTATACAAAATATTTGACTTGTAATCTTCAAACATATTTAGGTCACGAAAATCAAGGAGAAAGCTAAGAAACTGTTCCAGATCAAAGGAGAATAAAGAGAGATGACAACCGAATGCAACTTGTGATTCTGGATAGGATCTTTTCCTATAAAAACTGGCCAATATGAATCGGTTCTGAGGATTAGATTATAAGTGTGTCAAAGTATCAATTAATTTCCTGATTATATAACTACACCTGGAGGGGCACGGTGGCTCACGCCTGTAATCCCAGCACCTTAAGAGGCCGAGGCAGGTGGATCACCTGAGGTCAGGAGTTTGAGACCAGTCTGGCCAATATGGCGAAACCCCATCTCTACTAAAAATACAAAAAGTGGTGGTGGGCGCCTGTAGTTCCACCTATTCGGGAGGCTGAGGCAGAAGAATCGCTTGAACCCAGGAGGCGGGGGTTGCAGTGAGCCGAGATTGCGCCACTGCACTCTAGCCTGGGTGACACAGTGAGACTCGTCTCTAAATAAATAACTTTTTTTTTTTTTTTTTTTTTTGAGACGGAGTCTTGCTCTGTCGCCCAGGCTGGAGTGCAGTGGCGCGATCTCGGCTCACTGCAAGCTCCGCCTCCTGGGTTCACGTCATTCTCCTGCCTCAGCCTGCGGAGTAGTGGGACTACAGGCTCCCGCCACCACGCCCACCTAATTTTTTTTAATTTTTAGTAGAGACGGGGTTTCACCGTGTTAGCCAGGATGGTCTTGATCTCCTGACCTCGTGATCCACCCACCTCGGCCTCCTAAAGTGCTGGGATTACAGGCGTGAGCCACCGCACCCGGCTAAATAAATAAATACATACATACACCTGATGGTTATGTAGAAGAGTATGTCCAGTAGGAAATACACACTAAAACATTTTGGATAATGGGGTACAAGCAACTTATTTTCAAATAATTCAGGAAAAAAAGGTCTTCATACTGGACTTAAGATCTTTCATAATGGTGAGATTTAAAAAGATGAATAAATTTTACCAGAAAATTGAACTCTTTCTTTAAAAAAATTCAGTGGCAATTCTAGAACTGAAAAGTAAACCAACTAAGAACAGATGGGTTTGGTTTAATCATAGATAAGATTCAACAGAATAAAGTATTAATGAATTACAAGACTAGTTAGTAGAATATCTAGAAGGAAGCAGAGAAGAGAAATAAAAGATGGAAAATTCAGAAAGGACTATAAAAAAAGGCATTTGGAACACAACAATGAGATCCAATATACATACTAATGTGAGTTCCAAGAGGAGAGGAGGGAGATGAAACAGTAACAATAATTGAGATCAATAGCTGAGAATTTTTGAAAATTTATAAAAAACACGAAGCCATTTGTTATGGGTGAATTATCTATCTCTGCACCCCCTGACTCATATGTTGAAGTCCTCACTCCTAGTACCCCAGAATTATTTGAAGACAGGATTTCTACAGAGGTAATCAAGTTAAGTGAGGTCATCAGGATGGGCCCTAATCTAATATGACTGGTATCCTTATAAAAAGGTGAAATCTGGGAGATGGAAGGAGGGAGAAAGAAGGAAGGAGGGAGAGGAAAGGAGGGAGGAAGAGGGATGGAGAAAGGAAGAGAGGAAGAGAGAGTACATGCAAGCAAAAACAGGAGACAAAATAGAAATCTAAAAATTATTTGATTAATTAAAAAAAGCAAAAAAGGAGTAACAAAGAAAAGGACACATAGGACAAATAGAAAGATGGTAGACTTAAACCCAAGCATATCAATAAGTAGACTAAACACTGCAAAGTCAAAGATTTTCAGACTAGATCAAAACATAACAATAAAACTAAAACAAGATCCAACTATATGCTCTTTGCAAAAGATATACTTAAATATAAAAACTCATGGGATGCAACTTAGAAGGAAATTTACTGTATTAAATGTATACATTTCCTAAAAGCTGAAAATCAACCTGCTTATCCATTAGCCAATTCGGGGTTGGGCAGGGGGAGAAAATCAATGATCTAAGACATTTTAATGTATTTTTCCTTTTCTTTCTTCTTTTAATGTATAGAAGGGTCTCACAATGTTGCCCAGGCTAATCTTGAACTCCTGGCCTCAAGTGATCCTCCTACCTCAGCCTCCCAAAGTGTTGGAATTACAGGCATGAGCCACTGTGCCCAGCCTAAGACATTTCTAAATATAAGGTCAGACAAAATTTCCCTCTCACAAACACTTTTTTTTTGGGAAATTACTTGAGACTGCTCCAGTACAATGATAGAAACCAAGAAAAAAAGACATGGAATCTGGAAAATAGAGGACTCAACTCAGGACAACAGTTAAGAGCTATTTTAGCCTAAGACTTAGGGAATAACCTAAACTGGGGACGGAAAATGAAAATTCAGGTAGGGAGGACCCAGGGGGAAAAGGGAATTCAGAATAGCTGGTGTGATGGAGAATTTAGAAAGGCTATGCAAGGGCAAACAATAAAAGAGAAAACAAAACTCTAGGAAAAAACAAAACTTCTAGTACAACTATAGTTACCACAAAACCTTGCAATGAACAATGTTTACAGAGTTATAATGTAAGCTTTTTGAAAAATTGTTTTTCAACCTTTAGAGTAGCAAAGAGTAATTAAGTATGATTATAGAACAGAATGTAAATATTACCAACTTTGACAATACAGAAGTAAATATAGTTGGCTGGGTGTGGTGGCTGATGCCTATGGTCCCATCACTTTGAGAGGCTGAGGTGGGTGGATCACTTGAGGCCAGGAGTTCAAGACGAGCCTGTCCAACATGGTGAAACCCTGTCTCTACTAAAAAACCAAAAATTAGCCAGGCATGATGGCATGCACCTGTAATCCCAGCTACTCGGGAGGCTGAGGCAGGAGAATCACTTGAACCTAGGAGGTGGAGGTTGCAGTGAGGCCAAGAGTGCGCCACTGCACTCCAGCCTGGGTGACAAAGCGAGACTCCATCTCAAAAAAAAGACAACAACAACAAAAAGTAAATATAGTTGATTGAAGCTGGAAAATTGAAGGGATAGATGAAAACTAATGGGAGCAAATAGGGATGCTACTAACCAAATTTTACGAAGTAGGGAGTCTAGTGTTAATGGTCAAAAAATAGTAAATACAGTCCTTTAATTTATAGATAACAGATTTAAAACAGTTACACAACAAAACTGGGAGAAGGAGAAAGGCGGGTGAGTATAAGCTAAATCCACATCTGTCATATCAGGAAGTTAACAGCTATTTCTAAAATAGGATAAATCAAGAAAGAATAATATGGGCAAATCATTTACAAATATGGGAGCAAATGCCAGAAAAAAATAGCAAAATTCATTAAAAGGGATTGCTTCTACGAAGTAGGACTGGTGGGACCTACAGTACCATATGCTTTTACGGCGATACACAGTGATTAAAACTTAAAAAAAATTCATTATGGAACAGTTAGTTTCTTTCAGAGGTCATTAGACACATGCCCATTTATCACCTCTCTCCCTTTCTTGGGGGAATAAAAAGAAGTTCCCTGGCTGGGTGTGGTGGCTCATGCCTGTAATCCCAGCACTTTGGGAGGCCGAGGTGGGCGGATCACCTGAGGTAGGGAGTTTGAGACCAGCCTGACCAACATGGAGAAACCCCATCTCTACTAAAAATATGAAATTAGCTAGGTGTGGTGGCACATGCCTGTAATCCCAGCTACTCAGGAGGCTGAGGCAGGAGAATCACTTGAACCCAGGAGGCGGAGGTTGAAGTGAGCCGAGATCACGCCATTACACTCCAGCCTAGGCAATAAGAGGGAAACTCCGTCTCAAAAAAAAAAAAAAAAAGTTCCTTAATTCAGTCAATTTACATGAAATTTGGTAACAGGATGTTTCCATCCAGTTTTCTGGTTAAGAAAAAAAGTAAGGCCAGGGACGGTGGCTCACACCTGCAATCCCAGCACTTTGGGAGGCCAAGGTGGGCAGGAGTTCAAGACCAGCCTGACCAATATGGAGAAACCCCATCTCTACTAAAAATACAAAAATTGGGCCGGGCACGGTGGCTCCTGCCTGTAATCCCAGCACTTTGCGGGACCAAGGCAGGCGGATCACCCGAGGTTGGAGTTTGAGACCAGCCTGACCAACATGGAGAAACCTCGTCTCTACTAAAAATACAAAATTAGCTGGGCATGGTGGTGCATGCCTGTAATCCCAGCTACTCAGCGGGGCTAAGGCAGGAGAATCGCTTGAACCCGGGAGGCGGAGGTTGCTGTGTGCTGAGATTGCACCACTGCACTCTAGCCTGGGCAACAAGAGCGACAAACTCCGTTCCAAAAAAAAAAAAAAAAAGACCCAGGTCTTATTCTACCACTTACTAGCTGTATTACCTTGTACAAGTTTACTAATCCTCATAATTTCTTCTTCTATTTTTTTTGAGACGGGTCTCACTCTTGTTGGCCAGGCTGGGGTGCAGTGGCGTGATCACAGCTCATTGAAGCCTGAGATCACACTCAGATAATTTCTGTACTTTTTTGCTAGACACATGGTTTCACCATGGTGCCCAGGCTGGTCTCAAAGTCCTGGGCTCAAGCAATCCTCCTGCCTCAGCCTCCCAAAGTGCTGGGATTACAGGTGTGTACCACAGCACCTATCCCAAAAGTAATTTCATCTGCGATAAGGAGATAAAAATGCATATCCTAACAGAGTTAGATAATGCATGTTAACAATCTCTGAAATATAGTAACAAGCATT
This sequence comes from Homo sapiens, assembly GCF_000001405.40. Classification (NCBI taxonomy): domain Eukaryota; kingdom Metazoa; phylum Chordata; class Mammalia; order Primates; family Hominidae; genus Homo; species Homo sapiens. The sequence continues at coordinate 150,446,431 of NC_000001.11, read as the reverse complement.
CAGTATAAGACAGCTTTAATTATTACTTACATTAGCCACCACTTTTACTTCTTTGTATTGTGCTTCATAGAAAATTCCAGCATTTTCCAGTGCTTCTGTTAATGAGGGTCCGTTTTTCACCTGCTTATCTAATCCATTCACAAATTCTTCCAGCTTGGAGCTTGCCTCTTCAAATTCTTTGGAGAACTTCTTCCCACCTGTTTTATCTAAAATGACATGGGAAATATTCATTTCAGGATAAAATAAAAAATAAAAAAATTTAGTCTTTTGACTTTTGAAGAAAACCTCTCTTTGTGAACATACTCTTGCTGCCTTACTGTGCAGTACTCTAATACTCTTAGTTTCTTTCTTTTTTTTTTTTTTTGAGACGGAGTCTCACTCTGTCGCCCAGGCTAGAGTGCAGTGGCGCGATCTCAGCTGACTGCAAGCTCCGCTTCCCGGGTTCACGCCACTCTCCTGCCTCAGCCTCCCGAGTGGCTGGGACTACAGGCGCCTGCCACCACGCCCAGCTAATTTTTTGTATTTTTAGCGGAGATGGGGTTTCACTGTGTTAGCCAGGATGGTCTCGAGCTCCTGACCTCGTGATCCGCCTGCCTGGGCCTCCCAAAGTGCTGGGATTACAGTTGTGAGCCACCGTGCCCGGCCTCACAATTTTATCTTAAACAAGTTTCTCCAAATCACAAAATCACAAAACAGATTATTAAAATTCTTTACAGAACAGACTCATGTGAACCTGCCAGAGTGAAGGCACTTGTAATTAAGGTAAAGAAAAGAAAGTTCAACTAAAAGAGTTTGTTGATTAATTATTTTCTTCACAAATTGGATTCCACACTGCTACTTACTTAGGAATAACAGAATGAAGCTCAACTGTATTCGCTTATACCATAACTTTTGCATTACAGAAGGTAGTAAGATGTTATCTCTTAAACGAGAAAAGTAACGTTCAGAAAAGTAAAAATAAAGTGACCTCTGTATGCATCACAATAAAAGTTCTTCTTTCCTATCTGAAAAAGATTCGTGATAATTCAGTATATCTACTTCTTTCCCAGTGACTGGCAGAATATGGCTTTGGATATGAGTATAAAGTTTGGCTTTGCCTCTTATCAGTTGTGTAACTTGGGTAAGCTACTAATCTCCTTACAAGACCTCAGATCTCTCATGTGATAAAATAGAGATTTTTAGTATGTTTTCTGTTATGAGGATTGAATTAGGTAATATATGTTAAATTGTTTGTTTTTAAAAAATTTTTCTTTAGAGACGGTCTCTTCTGTCACCCAGGCTGGAGTGCAGTGACATGATGAGAGTTCACTACAGCCTCCTGGGGTCAAACAATCTGCTTGCCTCAGCCTCCCAAGCAGCTAGGACTACAGGTGTGTGCCACCAAGCTCATTAATGTTTTAATTTTTTTGTAGAGACAGGGTCTCACTATGTTGCCCAGGCTAGTCTCAAACTCTTGGTCTCAAGCAGTCCTCCTGCCCTGGCTTCCCAAAGTGCTGAGATTACAGGCACTGTGTCTGGTCTGTTAAATTTAAAGTACGGCACAGGAATAAAATTGGTGCCAAAATTAATAGCTAGTAGTCATTTACTTATTATTTCAAAAATATTCATCAAATATCTATTATGTGCCAAGCATTGTTCTAGGTGCCAGGGTATAGCAATGAACAAATCAATATAATTTCTGCCTTCATGAGGCTTACATTATAATAAATTATTAGTATGATTTACAATTTACAATGCAAGGAAACTAGATGGTCTAACTAGATTTTATGAGGCATTAGAGTGACTTCATTAAAGAGCATACCCATACCAATTAACCATACATGTGAAATACAACTGTCTATATATAACCTAGTACACCAAGAAAGTACTAGAAATGAGAACAACAGAATTTACTTATGAAATTTATATGCATGAAATAACTACCTGGGAAACCAGAGGTGCCACAACTGCTTTCTACCCAAGGATCTCCTTATGAGGTAAACCAGTATGATTACTGGAAAAATGACACATATGGAAAGAAAATCTGACTTACTCTAAAAGGATGTAAGCATTACCTTTTAAGCATTTGAGAGTTTCTGTGCTGCACACATCCACCCTCATAGTTGACAACTGCTTTTCCTTCAGTTCTATCTGATCTTCTGAGCGCTTGTATAGCAACAGCTCTTCAATTAGGGCCTGAGACTAAACACAGACCAGAGTCATATTTCATTTACAAGATCATTCAATTATTCTCATTCTCTCTCTCCTCATTTTGTAAAACAAAACAAAACAAAACAAAACAAACACCCTAAAGCTTAACAAAACCCTGGGAGGAAAAAAACTTTTCACTTTTTCTCATGGTGACAGATATTAATGATCAATTATCATGTCAAAACCATGTTTAGTTATAGACTTCATTTATTTATTTATTTTTTGAAATGGAGTCTCGCTCTGTCGCCCAGGTTGGAGTGCAGTGGCACGATCTCGGCTCACTGCAAGCTCCGCCTCCCGGGTTCATGCCATTCTCCTGCCTCAGCCTCCTGAGTAGCTGGGACTACAGGCGCCCGCCACCACGCCCAGCTAATTTTTGTTTTTTTTTTTTTTAATTTTTAGTAGAGACGGGGTTTCACCGTATTAGCCAGGATGGTCTCGATCTCCTGACCTCGTGATCCGCCCACCTCGGCCTCCCAAAGTGCTGGGATTACAGGCGTGAGCCACCGCGCCCAGCCTAGTTACAGACTTTAAAAGATCCTTTTCCTTCATTACACAAAGCTAATTTATGGATACAGAATTAAGACTAAAACAGACAAAGGTCCATTTATATAGCCTCTCTAAATTTTAATTACATAAACATAGCCTTCTGTTATTCTAAGCAAATTCTAATTTAGAAAGAGTTTCACAGGAAAATAAACTCTCTTGCTGGCATAAATTGAATATGCAACTCAGCTGATAATAGATATACTGGAAGAAGGTTATTTCTACCATTAGGGGAACAGATAAAACGCCAAGCAATCTAATCCCAATCTGGGTTCCTTTAGAACAGTTCATGCATGTTTAAAACATGACATGTGTAATTGAATACAGATAAATCTTATTGGACTATACAGGAAACTATAATACAAAAGGGGTGAATAATACTTTGCTATATTAAACAAATTCTGTAACTTACTCGAAATTCAGCAACTATCTTAGACTTGAGAGCAGCTTTTGGATTTGTAGATGCTGTTGGAATTAAACAAAAGGTCATTAAGAATACAGACACAAAAAGTTGACTAACAGGAAAAATTTTAGCTCTATAGTTAAAGATATACTCTGAACATATGGCAAACATGCACATTTAAGTCATAATTCCTAAAATAAATAATGGACTAGGAAATTTAAACATTCCTAAATGTGGTCAATGTAAAAATACGCTATTTAGACAGACCTAACCTACTTACCTCCAACAGACCCTTCAGGTCATAAAGTCCTAGAATTATTGATTTGGAGACACCGAGATACATCAAGTACCTTTTTTTCCTAGTCTGGGTGTAACAGGATCTAAATACCTCAAATTAAGAGTGTTCAGGAACAGGACATCCAATTAATCCTGAGCACTGGCTGAAGAAAATTGGTGACAAATAACTCTATTCCTATAAATTTATCCTTTGAATTTCTTTTTCTGCTGACTCAATTCATAGCAAAAATAGGCAAGGAAACTTCTAGGTATATTAATACTGTGGTGGAACTTTGGCTGAAATGACGACTCCTGTTGTTCCTAAGCATGCAACTTATGACCAAGAAGATGTCTGAGGACTCCCTTAATCATGATGGATATCATATGCTCGCTGGAGCAAAACCATCCCAAGTATCTCGTTTCACCTCCCAATTCTCACTGTCTTTTACTTTGTTCCCTCCACACCTTCAAGTCTCTCTCAATATTCCTCAGTTTGCCCACAGCAGCCTATCACATGCAGTATTCCATTCCCTTGATCTCATGCTGGGTAAATACGATAAATATAACAGGAGCTCCCATTACAGAATGAGCTTCTGGCCAGGATCTGAGGTCCATGTCTAATTTGGTAGAGTATATCCCCCAAATCTGGAGATTTCATGGTTCCCACAGAAATGCTTCTTAATGCCTAGTCTCCTCTTCAGATCTGTTGTTTAATGCCAGCTGCCTCTAACATCATATATCCTTGAACCTGAAAATTATCCTGGACACTATCAAGTATTTTTTTCTTCTTGCAATCCCCCAACTACTCTTGAATCTTCACTCAATTAAACCCTTTTCTGCATTTCCTTTGTTTTAAAGTGTAGTTTTTGTTTGCTTTTTTTTTTTTTTTTAGAAGTATCTCCATGATGGCTTGTTTAGCATAGGTCACTGGGAGCCTCCCAGACCTGGAAAACAGGCTTGCCCATGGTTTATGCCAGGTACGATGTCAAATGGTCTACATTTTCTTCTGCTCCAAAAAGAGGAGGTAATTTTATATTAGTTGAGATTTTGTTCCTTACTTTGTGATTTCTTCCACTGCTTATTCGGTTGTTTGTTCAGATTTTCTTTCAGCTGCTTCTGAGTTTTGAAAGTGGTACCTGGAAAACATTTCAGTTTTTGCAATCTGGCATTATGGGAAGCTGTTCTGTCTGTCCACTTCAGTGCCAAAGTTGCAGCATGAAAAAAGGCAATCCGAGACTGTGTGTTGTTTCTTTCTTTCCTTTTCTTTCATTTTTATGAAAAAATAGAAATTCCTACCCGATCTAAGAAGCTGTCAAATAAACACGATTTTTATCATCAGCGAAATTACCAATTCTGAAAAGAATAGGGGAGGAGGCTTAAAAATACCAATTAACAAATTAAAATGAAGAATTTAACAGCTTCTTAGAAGATGCCATTTTTAAAGCAAATTTCTAGTAAAATGACGGTCATGGTAGCAGATTATCACAAACTTCTGTTCAATAACTTAATTACATGCATATAATACATAATTCCTTTTAACAAAACAGTACACCACTTACTGTAAATCTAAATCAAAAGACAGTCTAAAGACTGCTGATATATGCTTACTACCAAACAGCTTAGTAAGAACTGACACCCTGTGCAAAAATTCTCCAACAGTAAGGGCACAGGGCAGTATTTATTAACACAAACAATGAACCATTTGAAACACTCAACGCAAATGCAGGAAAATAACCAGATGGCTATTACCACTTAACATGCTTGACTTTTGTAGTCACTAAAAAACAAAATCCGACCCCATCCCTAAAACCAATTCTACTTACATTTTAATTCAAACAGATCTAGATTTTTCATAAATATTTAACTTTAAACAAATAGGGCTAGATTCAAAACTTAATTTTTCACTATTATACAACATGACCAGATCTATAAAATTATGTAATTGTAAAGACTGACTCAAAAATTTTCTTTTAGGAGAGAAAAAGACACTTACTCAAAGCTTCTCTCAATGCCACAATCATTTCTTCTGGGTATACATTTCTATCTTCCCAGATTTTAAAGATTCGTTCTACAGACTTAGAGACAGATGGATCCCTGAAAACAAAGAAAAAGTAATACAGACTATAAAAACCTTGACTTCTACTCCAAACTAGAAATCTGAAAATAAAGTTATCAATAAAATTATTTTCCAAATTTCTTCTGATGTTTATTTCAAAACCTTTTTTCTATAATATCCAGGACTAAAGAAATCTTAAACTTTAAGATTATTTTAACTTAAACTTAAAATAATTACCAATTCAACACTTTTGTAAATGACATAGATGAAGCTACAGATGACATACTGACAGCTTTGATGGATATGAACTTGAGAGGGCTGGGAATGTGCAGACACAACTGGCATTCTAAAACACAATTACACTAGTACTGAATGAGAAGACAAGGTTTAGCAATGCTGTATTTTTTCATTTTTTAAAGGTTTAGAAAAAATCATGAACCAATCACATACTGTAACATGTTTTCTAAAAAACTATTACATAATACTATGAGAATACATAGTAACAATGAGGGAAGTAAAGGGTATTGGTTTATTCTGTTTGGTTCACAGATGAGCTTCAGGTTCAAGTTGGCTACCTAACTTTAAACAATGTTGGCTGGGCACAGTGGCTCACGCCTGTAATCCCAGCGCTTTGGGAGGCCGAGGTGGATGGATTGCCTGAGGTCAGGAGTTCGAGACCAGTCTGGCCAATTGTGGGAGGCCGTAGTGGATGGATTGCCTGAGGTCAGGAGTTTGAGACCAGTCTGGCCAATTCTGGGAGGCCGAGGTGGGAAAATCACTTGAGCTTGGAAGTTTAAGACCAGCCTGAGAAACAGAGAGAGACCTTATCTCTACTAAAAATGAAAAAATTAGCCACATGTGGTGGCACACATTTGTAGTACCCGCTACATGGGAGTCTGAGGCAAGAGGATCTGTACTGTACTGACTGGTGATCACAACACTGCAACCCAGCCTGGGCCACAGAGCAAGACCTTGTCTCAAAAAAAAAAAGTGTTAAAGTAGAAGTGAATGAGAAATAATTACCAATAAAGTTAATAATTTAAGTAAAGATTTTAATTATGTCTTACGTGAAATGCAGAAGAAATAAAAAACAATGCAGGAAGGGCGTAACCATTGTCAGGGAGAGGAATCAAACTGGTGTGATCTCAGGAAGCAAAACAAGGACAAAAGTATGAAGCCGTAGAGAAAAGAAATTTTATTCTAGCAGATCTGCCAAAGAACAGAAACCATTCTAATAATTTCATAGATCTATCAAAAGACAAAACAGGAATGTAACCTCTCCTTAAGTGAATCCACCAAACCATATGGAGATTGAAGACAAAAAAAAAAAAAAGCTATGTCAAACTTAAGGCCTCTTTCAAGGATGAGAGCCTATGAATCCATAACATCATGTGTTCACAAAGAATTTTTTTCTTGCCTAAGAATGGCTTATGTAAGAAACAGAGAAAATTGTATTAAACCTTACAATTTTCTTTTTTTTTGAGACAGGGTCTCACTCAGTTGTCGAGGCTGAACTATGGTGGCATGATCTTGGCTCACTGCAGCCGCAGCCTCAGCCTCCTGGGCTCAAGCGATCCACCTGCGTGTGACATGCTTTATTGCAATATTTGCTTTATTGTGGTGGTTTGGAACTGAAATCTCAATATCTCTAAGGTATGCCTGACTATGTGTGTGACTGGTTTCAAATACAATACTAACATTTATAGAAGAAAAAGACTGTAAGATAGTAATGCTGAAATTGTTATCTTGTAAATCTCCATTTGGTGAAAGTGAGTGGATTTTTCTTTATACTTTTCACAATTTTCTGTGTTCTATAATGTTTAGATACGGCCGGGTGTGGTGGCTCATGCCTGTAATCGCAGCACTTTGGGAGGCCGAGGGAGGCGGATCACAAGGTCAAGAGATCGAGACCATCCTGGCCAACATGGTGAAACCCCGTCTCTACTAAAAATACAAAAATTAGCTGGGTGCGGTGGCACATGCCTGTAATCCCAGCTACTCGGGACGCTGAGGCAGGAGAATTGCTTGAACCAAGGAGTCGAAGGTTGCAGTGAGCTGAGATTGCGCCATTGCACTCCAGCCTGGAGACAGAGTGAGACTCCGTTTAAAAAAAAAAAAGTTTAGATATGTACTTACCATTGTTACAGCTGCCTATAGTATTCAATACAGTGACATGCAGTGCAGGTTTACAGCCAAAGAGCAATAGGCTACACAACATAGCTTCGGTTTTTAGTAGGCTATGCCATCTACGTTTATTTAAGTACACTCTAGGATGTTCAAAGGATAAAATTCCCTAATGACACATTTTTCAGAACATACTCTTTTTTTTTTGAAGACAGAGTCTTGCTCTGTCACCCAGGCTGGAGTGCAATGGTGCGATCTCGGCTCACTGCAACTTCCGCCTCCTGGGTTCAAACGATTTTCCTGCCTCCGCCTCCGGGGTAGCTGGGATTATAGGCGCCTGCCACCACGCCCAGCTAATTTTGTATTTTTTTTTAGTAGGGACGGGGTTTCACCATGTTGGTTAGGCTGGTCTTGAACTCCCGACCTCAAGTGATCTGCCCGCCTTGGCCTCCCAAAGTGCTGGGATTACAGGTGTGAGCCACCGCACCTGGCCTCAGAACATATTCTTGATGTTAAGCAACGCATGACTTTTTTTCTTTTCTTTTCTTGAGATGAGTCTTGCTCTGTCGCCCAGGCCGGAGTGCAGTGGCACCACCTCCGCTCACTGCAACCTCCGCCTCCCAAGTTCAAGCGATTCTTCTGCCTCAGCTTCCCAAGTGGCTGGGACTACAGGCCAGTGACACCATGCCCGGCTAATTTTTGTATATATATTTTTTTAGTTGAGATGGGGTTTCACCGTATTGGCCAGGCTGGTCTCAAACTCCTGACCTCATGATCTGCCTGCCTCGGCCTCCCAAAGTGCTGGGGTTACAGGCGTGAGCCACGGTTCCTGGCTCAACTTTTTTTTTTTTTTTTTTTTAAATAATGACAGAAAGAATCTCAGCATAAAAAATATAAGAAGTGACAACAGAGTCTGTTCTTTCTGGTTAATAAACCTCTAGAAAATTGTAAAGTTTAGGCTGGGCACGGTGGCTCACGCCTGCAGTTCTAGCACTTTGGAAGGCTGAAGCTGGCGGATCACCTGAGCCCAGGAGTTTGAGACCAGCCTGGGCAACGTGGCGAAACCCCATCTCTGCAAAAAATACAAAAACTTGCCAGATGTGGTGGGGCACACCTGTAGTCCCAGCCACTTGGAGGGCTGAGGTGGGGGAATCGGTTGAGACCAGGGGTTCGAGTCTGCAGTGAGCCCTGACAACACCACTGCACTCCAGCTTGAGTGACAGAGTAAGACTCTGTCTCTAAAAACAAACCAATAAATTTTTAAAAAGTTACATTTACACTATACTATAGTCAATTAAGTGTGCAATAGCATTATGTATTAAAAACAATATCCATATGTTAGTTAAAAAAATACTTTATAGCTAAAAAACTCTTAACAATCATCTGAGTCTCCAGCAAATCATATTCTTTTTGCTGGTGGAGGGTCTTGCCTTGATGATGACTGATCATGGTAGCTGGGACTGCAGGCATGCACCACCACACCCAGCTAATATTTGTATTTTTAGTAGAGACAAGGTTTCACCATGTTGGCCAGGATGGTCTCGATCTCTTGACCTCGTGATCTGCCTGCCTTGGCCTCCAAAGTGTTGGGATTACAGGTGTTAAAAGCCACCATGCCTGGCCTTAATGTTGATATTTTGACCTCTCCCTATGAATCACAAATGTTCTTCATGCCATCTAGAATGGTGAATCCTTTCCAGAAGGTTTTCAATTTCCTTTGCCCAGATCCATAAAAGGAATCATTATTAGCGGCAACTATAGCCTTACAAAATGTCTTTCTTTCTTTTTTTAATAATAGAGACTACGTCTCGCAATGTTGCCCAGGCTGATCTCAAACTCCTGAGCTCTAGAGATCTTCCCATCTCGGACTTCCAAAGTGCTGGGATAACAGGCGTGTGCCACCGTGCCCAGCCTGTATTTTTTCTTTTTATTTGAGACGGAGTTTTGCTCGTTGCCCAGGCTGGAGTGCAATGGCGCGATCTCAGCTCACTGCGACCTCTGCCTCCTGGGTTCAAGCAATTGTCCTGCCTCGGCTTCCTGAGTGGCTGGTATTACAGGCGTGTGCCACCATGCCTGGCTAATTTTTATTTTTAGTAGAGACGGGGTTTCACCATGTTGGCCAGGCTGGTCTTGAACTCCTGACCTCAAGTGATCCATCCACTAGCCTTGGCCTCCCAAAGTGCTGGGATTACAGGTGTGAGCCACCATGCCCAGCCCTGTATTTCTTTTTTTTTAATTGAGACGGAGTCTTGCTCTGTTGCCCAGGCTGGAGTGCAGTGGCGATCTTGGCTCACTGCAAGCTCCACCTCCAGGGTTCACCCCATTCTCCTGCCTCAGCCTCCGGAGTAGCTGGGACTACAGACGCCTGCCACCACGCCCAGCTAATTTTTTGTATTTTTAGTAGAGACGGGGTTTCACGGTGTTAGCCAGGATGGTCTCGATCTCCCGACCTCGTGATCTGCCTGCCTCGGCCTCCCAAAGTGCTGGGATTACAGGCATGAGCCACCATGCCCGGCCGGTTTGTATTTCTTAAACAACAAGAATTGAAAGGTCAAATTACTCCTTTAACCATGGGCAGAATAAATGTTGTGTTAGCAAGCAAGAAAATAACATCAATCTCCTTATACATCAGAGCTCTTGGGTGACTGGGTGCATTGTCAATGAACAGTAATATTTTGTAAAGAATCTGTGTTTTTTTTTTTTTTTCCCTGAACAAGAGCAGGTCTCAACATTGGGCTTGAAATATTCAGCAAACCACACTGTAAACAGATGTGCTGTCACCTGGGCTTTGCTGTTCCATCTACAGAGCACAGACAGAATAGATTTAGCATAATTTTTAACAGCCCTAGGATTTTCAGAATTGTATATGAACAGTGGCTTCAACTCAAAGTTGCCAGACAGCTGTATTAGCTCCTAACAAGAGAGTCAGCCTGTGCTTTGAAGCAAGGACTGACTTCCTTCTAGCTATGAGAGTCCTACATGGCATCTTCCAACAGAAGGCTGTTTCATCTACCTTGAAAATCTGCTGATTACTGGAGCCACCTTCATGAGTGATCCTAGCTGAAGCTCTGGACAACTTGCTGCTGCTTCTACATCAGCACTTGCTGCTTCATCTTACACTTTTGTGTTATAGAGATGACTTCTTTCCTTAAATCTCATGAACCTATTTCCACAGCTTCCTCACCTCTCTCAACCTTCATAGAATTGAGGAGAGTTAGGGCCTTGCTCTGGATTAGGCTTTGGCTTTATGTTGTATCTGGCTTGATCTTCTATCCAGGCCACTAACTTTCTCCATATTAGCAATAAAGCTATTTTGCTTTCTTATCATTCATGTGTTCACTACAGTAGCATTTTTAATTTCCTACAAGAACTTTGCATTCACAACCTGGCTAACTGGTGCAAGAGGCCTAGCTTTCAGCCTATCTTGGCTTTCAACATGCCTTACTCACTAAGCTTAATCTTTTCTAGTTTTTTATTTAAAGCAAAAGATGTGTGACTCTTCCTTTCACTTGAACACTGAGAGGCCACTGTAGGGCTATTAATTGTTCTAATTTCGATATTGTGGTGTCTCAGGGAATAAGGAGGTCCCAGGAGATAGAAAGAGATGGGGAATGGTGGGTTAGTGCAATCAGAAAACACACGACATTTATCAATTAAGTTCACGGTCTTACATGGACGAAGTTAGGAATATGTAAAAACAATTATAATAGTAACATCGCTGATCACAGATCACCATAACAGATACAATAAAAATTTGAAATGTTGCAAATATTACCAAAATGTGACACAGAGACATGAATGAGCATATGTTGGAAAAATAGCACCAATAGGCACAGGGTTGCTACAAACCTTCAGTTTCTAAAAACAACCACATTACCTGCAATGCACAATGAAACAAAGTATGCCCTCTCTTCACACAAAAAAAATTCTATTCTGTTATTTTCACTTAACAAACATTTCCCCATGTTCCAATCAACTCTTTATAACTATTCCTTTCTTTCTTTTTTATTTCTATTTTTGGAGATAGGGTCTCACTCTGTCACCCAGACTGGAGTGCAGTGGCGTGATCCTGGCTCACTGCAACCTCCACCTCCCAGGCTCAAGTGATTCTTCTGCCTCAGCCTCCCGAGTAGCTAGGATTACAGATGCACACCACTACCACCTGGCTAATTTTTGTATTTTTGGTAGAGACAGGGTTTCACCACGTTGTCCAGGCTGGTCTTGAACTCCTGACCTCAAATGATCCACCCGCCTCGGCCTCCCAAAGTGTTGGGATTACAGGTGTAAGCCACAGGGCCCAGCCCTAAACATTACTTTTAATGACTACACAATACTCCATTAGTATTTATAAATTTATACTTAACGTTCCTAAACTTTATTCATAAGAGTTTCTCATATTTTCTGTTAAGGCTGTTCTTAAATATCTAAGAACAGCTTTAACTGTTCTTAAAATTCTTAAAAACTGTTTACATATATATATACATAGACAGTCTTGCTCTGCCGCCCAGGCTGGAGGGCAGTTGCACGATCTCAACTCATTGCAACCTCCGCCTCCCAGGCTCAAGCAATTTTCTTGCCTCAGCCTCCCCAGCAGCTGGGATTACAAGGCATACACCACCATGCCCAGCTAATTTTTGTATTTTTTGGTAGAGACAGGTTTTGCCACGTTGGCCAGGCTGGTCTTGAACTCCTGGCCTCAAGTGATCTGCTCGCCTCAGCCTCCCAAAGTGCTGGGATTACAGGCATGAGCCACCATGCCTGGCCAGATATTTCATGTATTTTACTGCTAGCATGACTCACCATCCTTATTGCTAACTTCTCAGAGTAAAACTCACTTATTAAGTCTATTGATGGTTCAGTGCTTCTTCTTGGTTAAAAAACAAATTATATGCCTCTGTGTGTGTGTGTGTGTATACACACTATATATACATACATATGTACATATACACATAATATAACTATATATAACATTATGTATATATAACATATATATAACATATTATGTATATTATATTACATATATTATACATATTATATATATTGCTAACTTCCCAGTGTAAAACTTATTTAGAAGTTTGGTGATGGTTCAGTGCTTCTTGGTTAAAAAAAAAACTATGGTAATCCCAGCACTTTGGGAGGCCGAGGCGGGCGGATCACGAGGTCTGCAGATTGAGACCATCCTGGCTAACACTGTGAAACCCCATCTCTACTAAAAATACAAAAAATTAGCTGGGCGTTGTGGCGGGCGCCTGTAGTCCCAGCTACTCGGGAGGCTGAGGCAGGAGAATGGCATGAACCTGGAAGGAGGAGCTTGCAGTGAGCTGAGATTGCGCCACTGCACTCCAGCCTGGGTGACAGAGCGAGACTCCGTCTCAAAAAAAAAAAAAAAAAAAAAAATTATGTCTGTGTGTGTGTGTGTGTATATATAGTATATATATATTATATATTATATATACAGACAGAGAGAGAGAGGGTCTGTCTGTTGATGGTAAATTTCTGTTTTTGTTTCTGTCTTTATGTTTTCCTGGTTCTTGAAAGTAGTTTTGCTTTGTATGCAAATCTACACTGACAGCTACTTTCTATCAATGCTATAAAAATATTTTTCACAACTGCCTCTGGCTTCCACTGCCGCTGCTGAGAAGTCTGTCATCAGTTTAATTGTAGTCCTTTTTAAAAATTTAAAAAAATTTTTATGGGTACATAGTAGGTATGTATCTTTTGGGGGTACATGAGATATGTTGATATAGTGTGTAATAATGACATCAGAGTATATAATAGGGTAGCCATCACCTCAAACATATATCATTTCTTTGTGTTACAATCATTCCAATTATACTTTTCCCCCAACCCCCTCACCTTGAGACAGGGTCTCACTCTGGTCCCCCAGGCTGGCGTACAGTGGTGCAATCTCGGCTCACTGCAGCCTTAATCTCCCAGGCTTAGGTGATCCTCCCACCTCAGCCTCCTGAGTAGCTGGGACTATAAACACATGCCACCACACCTGGCTAAATTTCATGTTTTTTTAGAGACGGAATCTCACCATGTTGCCCAGGCTGGTTGCAGACTCCTTGGCTCAGGCAATCCTCCCACCTCAGCCTCCCAACTTGTCAGGATTACACGTGTGAGCCACCATGCGCAGCTCCAATTATTACTCTTTAATTGTAGTCCTTTTATACTGATCTTTTTTTTTTTTGGCTTTTTTTTTTTTATCATTTTCTTATTGTGATTAAATATATGTAACATAAAGTGTGCCATTTCAGCCATTAAATGTACAATTCAGTGGCAGTAACTACATTCACAATGTTGTGCAATTCTCACTACTATTTCCAAAATTTTTCACTACCTCCCTTAGACCTCATCACCTCCCAAAGGCTCCACCTCTTAATACTACCACATTAAGGACTAGGTTTCAACATATGAATTTCGGGGGGACATAAATATTCAGACTACAGTACTCTGTACCAATAACTCCCCCTTATCTCTTTTTCCCAGCTCCTGATAACCTTTAATCTCTCTCTATGGACCTAACAATTCTAGGTATTTTGATAAATGTAATCATACAATATTTGTCCTTTTGTGTCTGGCTTATTTCAGCATGTTTTCATGGTTCAACCATTTTGTAGCATTTATCAGACTTTTCTTTCTTTTTTTTTTTTTTTTTAAGATTTAGGGTCTTGTTCCATCACCCAGAAGAAAGTGTAATGTCATTCCTTTTTTAAGGAAAATTGTGGTAAAATACACGTAAAATTTACCACCTTAACCATTTTTTTAGTGTACAGTTCAAAAGTTAAGTACATTCACACTGTTGTGCAACCAAACTCCAAAACTTTATTTTCCCAAATTGGTATACTATATCCACTAAACAATAACTCCCAATTCTCCCCTTTCTCCAGCAACCATGATTCTACTTCCTGTCTCTGAATTTGACTACTGAAGGTGACTGATGTAAGTGGCATCATATAATACTTGTCTTTTTGTGACAGGCGTGTTTCACTTAGCATAATGTCATCAAAGTTCACCCATGCTGCGGCATGTATTAGAATTTCCTTCCTTTTTGGCCGGGCGCAGTGGCTCACGCCTGTAATCCCAGCACTTTGGGAGGCTGACATGGGTGGGTCACCTAAGGTCAGGAGTTCAAGACCAGCCTGACCAACATGGTGAACCCCTGTCTCTACTAAAAATACAAAAATTAGCTGGGTATGGTGGCGCGCGCCTGTAATCCCAGCTACTCAGAAGGCTGAGGCAGGAGAATTGCTTGAACCCGGGAAGCGGAAGTTGCAGCGAGCCGAGATTGTGCTGTTGAACTCCAGCCAGGGCAACAAGGACAAAACCCCGTCTCAAAAAAAAAAAAAAAAAAAAAAAATCCTTCCTTTTTAAGACTGAATAATATTCCATGTTTGTATACATCACACTGTTTATCCATTCATCCACTGACAAACATGTAGACTGTTCTTCCTTTTGACTACTGTGAATAATGCTGCTATGAACATGCCTATACAAATATCTGTTTAAGTCTCTGTTTCCATTTCTTTTGGGGTATATATCTAGAGGTAGAACTGCTGGATCATGTGGTAATTCTATGTTTAATTTTTGAGGAACCACCAAACTGTTTTCCACAGCAACTGCACCATTTTACATTACTACAAGAAATGTAAATGGGTTCCAATTTTTCCACATCCTCTCTAAGCCTTGTCATTTTCTAGTTGTTTGTTTGTTTTGAATTATAGTTACCCTAGTAGATGTAAACTCTGGATGCTTTTAAAACTGCTTGTTTTATAATTTCATTACAATAACTAGGTATAAAATTTTTATTTATGCTATTTAGTATATGTTATTGCTTCCTTTATCTTAGATTCATATTTTTCATCACTTTTAGGGTGTTCTCAGCCCGTGTTATCTTTTTTTTTTTGAGATGGAGTTTCGCTCTTGTTGGCCAAGCTGGAGTGCAACGGCGCGATCTCAGCTCACCGCAACCTCCACCTCTCGGTTCAAGCGATTTTCCCGCCTCAGTCTCCCGAGTAGCTGGATTACAGGCATGCGCCACCAGGTCCGGCTAATTTTGTATTTTTAGTAGAGACGGGGTTTCTCCATGTTGGTCAGGCTGGTCTCGAACTCCCAACCTCAGGTGATCCGCCTGCCCCAGCCTCCCAAAGTGCTGGGATGACAGGCGTGAGCCACCACGCCCAGCCAGACAGTGTTATCTTCTAAAGAACTCAAAAGTTCTCTCCTTTTGTACAGAATCTCCCAGGCTCAAATGATCCTCCCGCCTCAGCCTCCTGAGTAGCTGGGACTGTAAGTACACACCACCACACCTGCCTAATTTGTATTTTTTTTATAGAAATGAGGTCCCACTGTTGCCCAGGCTGGTCTTGAACTCCTGGGCTCAAGTGATTCTCCCACTTTGGCCTCACATGATGGGATTATAGGTGTGAGCCACCACGGCTGGCCTTCATTTTTCATTTTCCCCACTCCTTATTTCTCCTGTTGCATTCTGATGTCTTCAGAACTACATTCTTGCGTATTCTCTTTCAAGAGTTCCTATAGATTATTTTTTTCCATCTGTCCAAATATCTTACCTGTTGTTCATTTTGTTATTCCATTTAATCTTCCTCTAACATTTCATATACATTACTCTACACATTCTGTCTGATAATTCCAATCTCTGAAACTCATTTGGGAAGGAACTAAATCGATGGATTGTCAATTGTGGTGGTCTGTTTTTCTGTGTGTTCAGAGATCTTTCACTGTGAGCACGTTTGTTTTTAACCTATGGGATTCCTTGTGGCCTAAACAGAAAATGTGTTCATATAGAACAACTATATCTCAGAAGCCAGGGGGAGCTAATTACACAAGAGCACATTTGCCCTTCTCCAGAGCCTAGTTTAAATGCCAAAATCACATAGTATTAATGTTATCGGCATGCTGGTTAATGTTAGCTTTGCCATTCTAATACATCCACTGTTTTTGGTTCTGCTTAAGTTTTGTCAAGGATGTAGTTATTTTATAACAAAATGACTCCTTGGAATAGATGGTTGACTATTCTGCCAGAAGTCAAATCATAATTATATACAAACAACTGTTTCTTCAACTAGACTACAGAACTTCTTCAAAACAGTGATTATAACTTATTTGTTGTTGTTTCTTTGCTGTTACTAAATAGTAGCTGAATGAATGACAACAGGATATTATCATTTTCTTTTTTTGAGAAAGGCCTCGTAGTTTGGTAGGTCGAGGTGGGAGGATCGCTTGAGGCTAGGAGTTCGAGACCAGCCTGGGCAACATGGTGAAACCTTGCCTTTACAAAAAATACAGAAATTAGCCAGGTATGGTTGTGCGTGCCTGTAGTCTCAGCTATCTGGGGAGCTGAGGTAGGAGGACTGCTTGAAACCCAGAGGTCAAGGCTGCAGTGAGCCGTGATCGTGCCACTGTACTCCAGCCTGAGAGGTTAAAAAGCCACTACTGGCTGGGTGTGGTGGCTCACACCTGTAATCCTAACACTTTGGGATCAACTGAGGTTGGGAGTTCGAGACCAGCCTGACCAACATGGAGAAACCCCGTCTCTACTAAAAATACAAAATTAGTCAGGCGTGGTGGCGCATGCCTGTAATCCCAGCTACTTGGGAGATTGAGGCAGGAGAATCGCTTGAACCCGGGAAGCAAAGGTTGTGGTGAGCTGAGATCGCACCACTGCACTCCAACCTGGGCAACAAGAGCAAAACTCCATTAAAAAAAAAAAAAAAGCCACTACTGACCACAATGTCAATTTTCACAGAATTTACAATCACCACAAACCATGTAACATGCTTAGTTACATAACCTTTTCTTCTTTGATTTTTAAGTTAAAAAAAAAATTGGCTGACCTTGTAGAACTGCTAGGATGTTCAACAGCGACCTTATAGAATTGCTAGGATGTTCAACAGATGCTTTCTTTGCTAATGACACCCCCCCTTACTCTTATAACAGGAAGGTACTAGCAAATTATTTTAAAGGGGAAAGTTGATAAAGTACAAGAGGAGGTGTCCAGATGTCACAGTTACATAAAACTAAACACCACAATCTTGTACCTCACTCAGAGGGGTCTCTTTCCTTTATCAATACCTCATTACTGGGAAGTCATCAGAATAATGTGCTGTCTTACAGGTCCTTAGTAACATTTGCTAATTGTCTGAATAAAAGACTAAGTAATGGGTTGACTCAGGCCAGGTAGCACACACCCCTAGTGCCAGCTACTTGGGAGGCTGACGCATGAGAATAGCTCGAGACAGGGAAAGGGAGGGAGGAAGGATCACCTCAAGAGAGAGGCAGTCAATACTTAGTCAAAAACCCTTGAAGCTGAAAAACAGTGAATGAGGATAGATTTTTTTTTTTTTTTTTTTTTTTTTGAGACAGAGTCTCACTCTATCACCCAGGCTGGAGTGCAGTGGCGTGCAATCTCGGCTCACTGCAACCTCCGCCTCCCAGGTTCAAGCGATTCTCCTGCCTCAGCCTCCCGAGTAGCTGGGATTACAGGCGCCCGCCACCACACCCAGCTAATTTTTTGTATTTTTAGTAGAGACAGGGTTTCACCATGTTGGTCAGGCTGGTCTCGAACTCCTGACTTCAGGTGATCCACCCACCTCGGCCTCCCAAAGTGCTGGGAGCCACCACGCCCGGCGAGGATAGATTTTCATTCTAAAAATTCAAAAATTTGCCACTCTGTATCTCCTAACATAATTCCCATTCATATAACTTAGTCTACGACAAATATCTTCCGTAATGTACCACTTTAGTTTTATGTTATCTTTTGTAATGCAGAAGTTTAATTTTTATGTAATCAAACTCAAAAATTTTTATTAGTTTTTTGTGTCTTAAGAGCCTTTATTCCCTATAATCATAAAAATATTTATATTTTCTTCAAATATTTTAAAGTTTTGTTTTACACACCAAAGTAATTCACTTGGAATATATTTCTGTGTACAGTGTAGGAAATCATTTAACTTTATTTTTTCTATACAGAAAGTGTTATACCCCAGAATCCTTTACTAAAGAGTTCATATTTGGGACAGAGACTCGCTATGTCACCCAGGCTAGAGTGCAATAGCATGATTATGGCTCACTGCAGCCTTGACCTCCTGGGCTCAAGAGATCCTCCCGCCTCAGCCTCCTGAGTAGCTGGAAACACAGGCACGCGCCACCATATCCAGCTAATTTTTGTATTTATTGTAGGGATGGGGTCTTGCCATGTTGCTTAGGTTGGTCTCAAACTCCTGGGTTCAAGCAATCCACCCACCTTGGCCTCCCAATGTATTGGGATTACAAGTGTGAGCCACCACGCCACACCCAGTTACCTTAACATTTTCTTTTCTTTTCTTTTTTTTTTTTTTTGAGATAGAGTCTCGCTCTGTTGCCCAGGCTGGAGTGCAGTGGGGCAATCTCGGCTCACTGCAATCTCTGCCTCCTGGGTTCAAGCAATTCTCCTGCCTTAGCTTCCCAAGTAGCTAGGACTACAGGCACGCGCTACCACGCTCAGCTACTTTTTGTATTTTTAGTAGAGATGGGGTTTGACCATGTTGGCCAGGATGGTCTCGATCTCCGGACCTCAAGTGATCCACCCGCCTCGGTCTCCCAAGGTGCTGGGATTACAGGCGTGAGCCACAGCACCCGGCCTTTTCTTTGTTTTTCTTTTTTAAAACTTTTTATTTATTTATTTATTGAGACTCAGTCTCACTGTATCACCCAAGCTGGAGTGCAGTGGCGTGATCTCAGGTCACTGTAACCTCCACTTCCCGGGTTCAAGTGATTCTCCTGCCTCAGCCTCCCAAGAAGCTGGAACTACAGGCGCATGCCACCATGCCCGGCTAATTTTTGTATTTTTAGTAGAGACAGGGTTTCACTATGTTGGCCAGGCTGATCTTGAACTCCTGACCTCATGATCCACTCGCCTTGGCCTCCCAAAGTGCTGGGATTACAGGCGCGAGCCATAGCACCCGGCCTATCTTAACCATTTTCAAGTGTACAATTAAATGGCATTAAGTACATTCGTATTGTGCAACCATCACCACCATCCATATCTCCAGAACTCTTCCCATCCTGCAAAACTGAAACTCTATACCCATTGAACAATAACTCCCCATTCCCTGCCCCCTACCCCAGTCCCTGGCAAACACTATTCTATTCTCTCTTACAATGAATTTGACATTGAAAGTACCTCACTGTGTATTTGTTTTAAATTTAATTAGTTTCTGCTCTTATTTTATTATATCCTTCCTTTCTTGGGCTTATTTTGCTCTTCTTTTAAAACTTCTTGAGATGGATACTTAGCTCACCGATTTTTAGAGCATTTTCATGTTCCTTTATAATGCTTTACATATATTAGCCTATTTAATCCTCACAGCATCCCTAAGAGACAAACTGTACTATTATTCACATTTTACAGATGGGAAAACTGAAGCACGAGAAAGTTAAATAAACTACTCTACCAAGTAAGAGATCCAGGATTTAAACCCAGGCAACCTTGCAAGTTTGACTCCAAACCTTGCATTTTTAACCTCTAAGCTCTGCTGCTTCCCAAGGAGGAAGAGCTACTCCATGAAGAAAAATTCATAAGCACTTATATTAAGATACACAGTATGAGCGTTTGGCTAGAGCAATGTCTCATTACTGGGATTCAGGAGAGCTGGTGGTAAGGATGGGAAGACTGAGATTTGACTGTAGAAGGCTTTAAGTGGCATCCCTTTTTTTGTTTGTTTGTTTGTTTGAGACAGGGTCTCACTCTGTCGCTCAAGGCAGAGTGCAGTGACACCACCACAGCTCACTGTAGCCTTCACCACTCAGGCTCAAGCGATCCTCCTGCTTCAGCCTTCCAAGTAGCTTGGACCACAGGCATATGCCACCACACCCAGTTAATTTAGTAGAGATGAGGTCTCCCTATGTTGCCCAGGGTGGTCTCACACTCCTGGGCTTAGGTGATACTGCTGCCTTGGCCTCCCAAAGTGCTGGGATTATAGGCATGAGCCACCACACCCAGCCCTCTCTTACTTTTTAATGTTCAGTTTCCTATCTCCAAGTAGATTTATATGATTTATTTTATCATCAGTATCCTCATCTGTAAAATGAGGATAATAATCTTTGCCCCTAATTATATCATATATTTGATTTGAGAATCAAAGAAGATAATAAAGATGGAAGGAAATTTATTTTTCTTTTTTTTTTTTGAGACGGAGTTTTGTTCTTGTTGCCCAGGCTGGAGTGCAATGATGCAATCTCGGCACATTGCAACCTCTGCTTCCCAGGTTCAAGCAATTCTCCTGCCTCAGCCTCCCGAGTAGCTGGGATTATAGGTATGCGCCACCACGCCTGGCTAATTTTGTATTTTTAGTAGAGACAGGGTTTCTCCATGTTGGTCAGGCTGGTCTCAAACTCCTGACCTCAGGTGATCCACCTGCCTCGGCCTCCCAAAGTCCTGGGATTACAGGCGTGAGCCACCTCACCCGGCCAGAAATTTCTTAAATCATAAAGCAATATAAAAATATATTTTAAAGGTTTTCAGAGTATGCCTTGCTAATATTAATTTGTTAATAATAATAATGGCAGTAGTAGGCACAGTCATCTTCCTCATCATAGCAGCAGCTAATATTTATTGTTTATTAAATGTCAGTTACTGTTCTAAGCCCTTTATATATATTATTAACTCTTTAGTTTCCACACTTTATGAAGTATGTACTATTACTGGATTCATTATACAGACGAGAAACTAATTTTATTTATCTAAAGTTATAGAGTTATGAGGTGACAGAGCCAGAATTCAAATCTATGCACACTGGTTCCAGAGACTATGGTCTTAAACCATTGTATCTCTAGACATCTGTGTGTATGTAGTCTGAAGTGAATGAAAAAGGTAACACAAACCGGGAAACTAGTTAGCAGGCTATAATATTAATATAAATATATCAAACAGAGCAACAATAACAGAAAATTGAAAGGCAGAGAGAAAAGGAGGAAGAAACTTTAACAGAAGAATCAGTCCCTGGTAAATGACTAAGAAATAAGAAAGAAAAATTAAAGATTACTAAGGTGCTGTTATAAAATAAAAAATTGTAAGTTAGATTAGGAGGGCTATTTGGCAGAACAGAAATAATAGAGGACTGAGAGTCAGAAAAATCTGGGTTCTAGTCCCAGGACTTTTACTAAATTGTCATTTTCCTTTGGGTGGTATCTTAACTGCTCTGGACTTCAGTTTTTCTCATTTTGTAGAAAGAAATAATAAAATCTGGGCCGCGTGCGGTAGCTCATGCCTGTAATCCCAGCACTTCAGGAGGTCAAGGCAGGCGGATCATGAGGTCAGGAGTTCAAGACCAGCCTGACCAACATGGTGAAACCCTGTCTCTACTAAAAATACAAAAATTAGCTGGGCATGGTGGCGCTCGCCTGTAATCCCAGCTTCTCAAGGCTGAGGCAGGAGAATCGCTTGAACCCAGGAAGCGGAGGTTGCAGTGAGCCGAGATCGTGCCGCTGCACTCCAGCCTGGGCGACGGAGTGAGACTCCATCTCAAATAAAAAGAAAAAAAAAATAGAAATAATAAAATCCAATCTGCTTATCTGCAAAGTTAGTTACCATTTATATAGCAATTTTCAATTTATATTGAACATATTTTCACATAAATTGAAACTGTAGGAGTAGGACTTCACACAAAGTAAGGCATGTTAGTGTTTCAGGCATTCTGAACTGAATATGGACATATAACATTTAAGTAGAAATTCTCAACTGGCCGGGTGCTGTGGCTCACACCTGTAATCCCAGCACTCTGGGAGGCCGAGGCGGGTGGATCACCTGAGGTCAGGAGTTTGAGATCAGACTGACCAACATGGAGAAACCCCGTCTCTACTGAAAGTACAAAATTAGCCAGGCGTGGTGGCGCATGCCTGTAATCCCAGCCTCTCAGGAGGCTGAGGCAGGAGAACTGCTTGAACCCAGGAGGCGGAGGTTGCAGTGAGCTGAGATCGCGCTACTGCACTCCAGCCTGGGCAATAAGAGCGAAACTCTGTCTCAAAAAAAAAAAAAAAAATTTGTTTTCAGATTTCGGAATATTTGCATTATCCTTACTGGCTGAGTATCTCTAATTTGAAATCCAAGATGCTCCAATGAGCATTTTCTGTGTGCATCATGTTGGTGCTCAAAAAGCTCCAGATTTTGGAGCATTTTGCATTTCAAATTTTCAGATTATGGGTATTTAACTGGTACCAAGCTCATTATTTCCTCAAAATCTGTCATGACACCTTTTCCCAAAAAAGATCATGCATATAATTCTCTATACACCCTTAAGAGTCAATAAAATCACATTAAGCTCTTATATAACAACTAGCATAAATTCATTTTTCAGTTCAATTAAAGATGAAAATGTATAAGCACAAATAATTGCCTTTTACGAAAACCTGGGATAGGGACAGGATTTTGGAAAGCACTACCCACATTAAAGATATACCTACTCTTACACCATCCTGACACAATACAAGCAAACCCTCAGTTCTTAAAGGGATTCTTCTATAATCTATATATAACTTATTGAAGTCGTTGCTGGTTGCAGAGTAGTCCACAGTTTCCCAAGTGTAACTCAACTCTGACATTCATAGACACTTTTCCTGTGCTTCAAATTAGTGTTTCAACTATTCCGGTCTCATGGTGATGTATATTCAGATAAACTGGCATTTCTGTCCCTTAGCTAGGACCTCTAGGACACAAATGGCAAATACCAGGTTGGTTTAACTTTCATTTTTACCCCTCCCTCTCACATACATATTTTCTTACAATAATAACTAGTATATCTAAAATACAATCTCCAGGTTTCCAGCCCATGGAATTTCCAACCTGTGATGGAAAAGATAAACTGAAATTTAATAAAAAGAACTGAAATAACTGGATAAGTACTGGAGAAAATAGTTTCCCAACTTATCTGAAAGTCCTACTTTCCCTTATTTGGGCACCTCTTTTAACATGTGGCCGTGAGTCCACCCCATACCAATTTTTAATCAAGTGAAATCAATAAACACCTTAAAGGCATTCAAGGAATAAAATTAATGTCCCTAATAAGTTGCCCATGGTTCAATATGATCATCAAATGTGTTTTGTCAGCAATATTATTTTTTAAATCTGACAATGTCACACATATAAAAATGGTGTGACTTCATATAAAAATCCACATTTCTGTCCTGGTTTAAAAGCGAGAAAAGTTTGGCAGCATATGTTAATGTTGGGCTCATATTTCTTCATGGCCATCAGCCTAGGACTGAGTAACTGCTGTCCCTATTAAGTGAATTTTTTCTCACACTCAACCTACTTCACTCATCTATATTACCTGCCAGGAACTTCTAGACATTTGCCCCCCTTGAATTAAAGGAATCAAAATAGCCTTAAGAGAAAAAAATTCAGAAAAGGAATCAGTGTATAGTAGTATTGTGAATAAGAGTTTTATTTTTTTATTTTAATTTTATTTATTATTATTATTATTATTATTATTATTTTGAGACAGAGTCTTGCTCTGTCACCCAGGCTGTAGTGGCATGATCTCGGCTCACTGCAAGCTCTGCTTCCCGGGTTCATGCCATTCTCCTGCCTCAGCCTCCTGACTAGCTGGAACTACAGGCGCCCGCCACCACACCTGGCTAATTTTGTGTGTGTGTGTGTGTATGTGTGTTTTTAGTAGAGACGGGGTTTCACTGTGTTAGTCAGGAAGGATGGTCTCGATCTCCTGACCCTGTGATCCACCCTCCTTGGCCTCCCAAAGTGCTGGGATTACAGGTGTGAGTTTTAAAAGGGGAAGTGGTGGTTAGGATGGGGCTGTTTAAGGAATACTTAAGTTCTGTATTTGTTTATTTAAGAGATAGCGTCTTGCTCTGTCACCCAGGCTGGAGTGTGGAGTGCCATGGTATGATTATAATTCACTTCAGTCTTGAATTCCTGGACTCAAGAGATCCTCCTGCCTTGGCCTCCTGGTAGCTAGGACTACAGGCACATGCCACCACACCTGGCTAATTTTTAATTTTTTTTGTAGAGACAGGGTCTCGCTATATTGCCCAGGCTGGTCTCAAACTCCTGGCCTCAAGTGATCCTCCCACTTCAGCCTCCTAAAAGTGCAAGGATTACAGGTGTGAGAACCATCACACCTGGCATTAAGCTCTTATTTTAATATCCTCTGATTTACCATATACTTTATAATTTATTTATTTATAAGCAAGAGTATATTCTGTTTCACTAATACAATCTTCTATTCCTGCTTCCATTATTGTTTTAAGATATATTTGATAACCGGTAGGGAATTTTAACCTTACTTTTCTTAAAAAAAATTACCTTGGATATTTATCCTTCCACAGGAAATCCTACTGAGATTTTGACTGGGATTACAGAGTATAAATAACATATTAGGAAATAAATGTATTTTTAACAATACCAAATCTTTTCCTTCAAAAAACCCTATATATCTTCATTTATCCAGATCTTCTTTAATATCCTTTAAATTTTTGAAATTTTATAAAAGCCTCACATACTTCTAATATTTATTCTTGGGTGGGGTTTTTCTTTTATTTTTTGTCTTGCAAGATAAATCTTTCTTCCTAATTACAGTTTAAAATAAGTTGCTGCTGGCATACATAGGAAAGCTACTGATTTTGTATGTTCAACTTGAATCTGGCTATTTAGCTGAGTTATCTTATTAGTTGATCATCATGACTTTCTATGTAGGCTAAGGGCTGGCAAATTATGAACCTCAGACCAAATCTGGCCTGCTGCCTATTCTTATTGGAAGATAGCCATACCCATTTGTTTCTGTACTGTTTGGTGCTTTCATGCTAGAATGGCATTGTTAAGGAGCTGTGACAGAGACACTATGGCTCAAAAAGCCTAAACTACTTAACTATCGACCCTTTACAGAAAAGGGTTGCCCCCCTGATGTAGATAATTATATTACCTGCAAGTAATGACAATTCTGTCTCTTCTAAATGCATTTTATTTATTAATTCATTCCTTTTTTCTTTTTCTTGAGACGGGGTCTTGCTGTGTTGCCCAGGCTAGAGGGCAGAGGCATGATCTCAACTCACTGCAACCTCCACCTCCCAGGTTCAAGCGATTCTTGTGCCTCAGCCTCCCGAGTAGCTGGGATTACAGGTGTGCACCACCACATCCAGCTACTTTTTGTACTTTTACTACAGATGGGGTTTCACCATGTTGGCCAGGCTGGTCTTGAACTGCTCACCTCAAGTGATCTGCCTGCCTCGGCCTCCCAAAGTGCTGGGATTATAGGCATGAGCCACTGCACCTGACCTATCTATTCATTCATTCATTTCTAAATAAATGGAACCTCCAGCATAATGATCAATAGTAATGATAATGAAGGACTTCTGTCTTGGAATGCTTTGTTTCATCATTACGTATCATGTTTACTACAGGTTTCTGAAGACATGTTTCACTGAGTTAAAACATTCTTGGGGGCTTAAGGTTTTAACTTAAGAACTGTACTTTATTCCGAGATTATGTCCTTCTCACTTTTTTCCATGAAACAATGGTAGTAACACACAAAGTAGTTGTTTTTAAACATATCTTTACATGGTTTAAAAAAAAAAGGTTGGCAACTGTATATTAATCCATGAAATAGGTCATGAAATTCAAGTCAAGGAAACACTAGGCTAAGTTATAGATACTACAGTGATATTTATAGCAGAAACTCTGGTGTATTGTTGTTCTTATTCACAATTATACTGGGTTTTATACATAAAGAGGCAGCATGGATTAGTGGTTAAGTGGCAAACAACATGGGCTTTGGATTTAGATAGCCTGAAGTGGGAATCTGGCTCTCTGCCTCCAGGCAGCTCTGAGAGTTTAGGCAATTTACCTAATCTCTCCAAGCCACAGTTTCTTCTTCCTTAAAATTAGGGTAACAAGGCCAGGTGCGTTGGCTCACTCCTGTAATCCCAGCACTTTGGGAGGCGGAGGCAGGCGGATCACCTGAGGTCAGGAGTTCGAGACCAGCCTGACCAACATGGAGAAACCCGTCTCTACTAAAAATACAAAATTAGCTGGGCGTGGTGGCGCATGCCTGTAATCCTGGCTACTCGGGAGGCTGAGGCAGGAGAATTGCCTAATTGCTTGAACCCAGGAGGCGGAGGTTGCGGTAAGCCGAGATTGTGCCACTGCACTCCAGCCTGGGCAACAAGAGCGAAACTCCATCTCAAAAAAAGAAAAAATTAAGGTAACAATAGTGCCCACGGTATAAAGTTGTTCTCAAAATTAAATGATAAAGCACTTTGTATAATATTTAGTCAATTATAAATATCCAACAAATGGTAGGTGTTATTATTTTATGCACTTATTTACTTAGTACATTCAAGTAGTACCATATTTTAATCTTTTCTAATAGCAAGGTAGACATTTTAAGTTAACAATCCTAAGGAAGAGGGATCAGTCAGTTCTTTTATTTCTTATTTTCAATATATTCCATAATTTGACAGGATCATTCAGTTCTGACTGGGTTAATACTAACAAATGGGTCAATGATAATAAATATATAATCTGAGGAAGCATTTAGCTATTATGGTTGTTCCATATAAGTGTTTATATATTGCTCTATATATTGTTTATCCTGTAACTGTGTGTGCCTCTTATAGAAAACAATTTACAAATATGGATGCAACACAAAGAACACAGTATTAATACAGGGCAAAAATAAGATCAGATATAAGTTTGTACTGTATATACACCAGAATTCTCCCCGAATGTGGGGATGTTCAATAGGCATTCAAAAAGAAGGGCCCATGGTCAGAGTTTAGGAAATGCTGTGGTTTTGTTTTGTTTTGTTTTGAGACGGAGTTTCACTCTGTCGCCCAGGCTGGAGTGCAGTGGCGTGATCTCGGCTTACTGCAAGCTCTGCCTCCTGGGTTCAAGCCATTCTCCTGCCTCAGCCTCCTGAGTAGCTGGGACTACAGGTGCCTGCCACCACGCCTGGCTAATTTTTTTGTATTTTTTAGTAGAGACAGGGTTTTACCATCTCTTGATGGTCTTGATCTCCTGACCTCATGATCCACCACCCGCCTTGGCCTCCCGAAGTGCTGGGATTACAGGCGTGAGCCACCGTGCTCAGCCAGGAAATGTTTTGAAATTAGTTTTGTAAAGCTCCAAAAAGAAATAAAATTATTGATATGGTAATGTGAACTTTGAATCTTCAGGAAAGGAAAAGTAGTATGGATCATTTTCTAAACTTTTTTGAGCACAGAACCCTTCTTCCTCTGATCATTTCATAGGAATACACTGTGGGAAGTGCTGGATCCAACTACCGCTAAAAATGAAATTAAATCAACATGGAGTTGGGAGTATGATGGTGGGAAATAATTTCCGTTTCTCTTTACAGATTTCATGGAGGGAAAAAAATTTCAGTAAGACTCAGAAAGAAGAAATGAAATGTGTTAAAACAAACAAACAAAACAGACACAGCAGTTAGAAGGAAGCACATTCAGAGATTATCACCAGGAGACATACATGGTCAAGTAAGGATAAACAGGAGACCAGCTTTTGAAAACAGAAGAGAGAGCTTTTAAAAGAAAAACATGGCCAGGCACAGTGGCTCACGCCTGTAATCCCAGCACTTTGGGAGGCTGAAGCAGGTGGATCATGAGGTCAGGAGATTAAGACCATCTTGGCTAACATGGTGAAACCCCATCTCTACTAAAAATACAAAAAATTAGCCGGACATGGTAGCACGCACCTGTAGTCCCAGCTATTTGGGAGGCTGAGGCAAGAGAATTGCTTGAACCCGGGAGGCGGAGGCTGCAGCGAGCCGAGATCGCGCCACTGCACTCCAGCCTGGGCAACAGAGCGAGACTCTGTCTCAAAGAAAGAAAGAAAGAAAGAAAAGAAAGGAAGGAAAGGAAAGGAAAGGAAGAAAGAAAGAAAGAGAGAGAGAGAAAAAGAAAAGAAAAGAAAAGAAAGAAAGAAAAACGTGTGTTAACAAGAAAGTAATAATCAACCATTTAGGCAAATTATCCTTAATCTTCAAGCATGTTCAATTATTACAGTTCTTAATGGGTTAAGAAACTAAAATTCTAAGTTGTCTAAGTTTAGATCCCATAGAGCAATAAAGATTTACTTACTTCACTAGAGCAGCTGCTTCAGGAAGTACATCAGCAAATGATTCACGGAATATGATTGCATTTTTCCTTTTACAGTTCTGTATGACATCATTGGCAAGGTAAAAGAGATTCAAACGGTGGGGATATGCAGCTAGAGATGACAAAAGACAATAAATAAAACCAAATGAGTCAATTTGCACTTAGTTCAACTTATTCCAAATACAGTGTTCTCAAACTGTAACTGGTTATTTTTTTTTTCTTACATGGATATAAAAAGATGAATGTAATTACATGGATGGAAGGGAGGAAGGATGGATGGATAAACCGACAAATGAACTAATGGATGGAAGGGAGGCTGGATGGATAAACTGACAAATGAACTAATGGATCAGTTTACCAAACATACTAAAAACCTTGACTACTTCACGTTAAGTTTCTGTTCAAGGTACTCCTCAAGGACATTTCTCCCTCACTTTGTAGATGTTTGGCACTAAAAAAAAAGACCCAGTAACTCTGGAGAAGCTAAAATAAAACAAAATTATAGTCTCAAACATCTGAGAAGACAAAAAAAAAATGAGTTGAACATGCTCAACTTGTTGCAGAAATACCAAGGTTAGTAGAAAGAGCATGGGCTTTGTAATCAAATCAGAATGTGACCTCAAGCAAATTGCTTAACATTTATTACAGATAGACCCTCTCCCCATCAACCAATCCAGATACTACTCAGATACGTCTTAGTCTTCCCATCTACTGGAGGGAGGCTCTGCTGCTGCTTTCATCACTAGACGAATGTCCTGCAAAATAATATGATCCTATGTATGCATCTAGGTTAAGCTTTTCTTCTTCTTCTTTTTGTTTTTTTTTTTTTTTTTTTGGAGATGGAGTCTCACTCTGTCGCCCAGGCTACAGTGAAGTGGCGCAATCTCAGCTCACTGCAACCTCCGCCTCCTGGGCTCAAGCAATTCTCCTGTCTCAGCCTCCCAAGTAGATGGGACTACAGGTGTGCACTACCACGCCCAGCTAATTTTTTTGTATTTTTGGTAGAGATAGGGTTTTATTATGTTGGCCAGGCTGATCTCAAACTCCTGACTTCAGGTGATCTGCCTGCTTTGGCCTCCCCAAAGTGCTGGGATTACAGGTGTGAGCCACCACACCCAGTCGGTTAAGTTTTTCAATGGTTCATGACAAAGCCCCATCAATGTACTATCTGGAACCCTGAGCAAAGTCACCTTAAATTTCATTATTATGCTGGGTAATTTCAATGTCTATATGGATGATCTACCATGTTTTCTTGTCTCTCAGTTCCTTGACCTCACATTCGGTGACCTCCAAGAACCACTCCTTTGTACATTTTAAAATCTCCTTCTCTGATCACAACCTCCCACTCCTATTATACTTGTTCTTCAATTTCATCAAGATCTCAGCTTTTTATTTTCTCTAACTCTACATTCTCTTCTCAGTACTCAATTCTTCATCAATTCCAGAGTCTCTGTCC
The DNA here is from genome assembly GCF_000001405.40 of Homo sapiens. Taxonomy (NCBI): domain Eukaryota; kingdom Metazoa; phylum Chordata; class Mammalia; order Primates; family Hominidae; genus Homo; species Homo sapiens. The sequence continues at coordinate 150,416,251 of NC_000001.11, read as the reverse complement.
ATTATTTAAACCAATATTTTATTAAAACCCTCATACTCTTGTCCTTCTCCCTAATTCAGCCTTCTATCTCATGTGCTCAATGAAATCCCAAATTTGGATCAATCTAACTAACTGCATTTACTGCACCTTTATTTCTGCTGCTGGGTTCTAAAATCACATACAAAAAATTAAATCATACGAATTAAAAGTCTCCTTCTTCACCTGGGCCCGCAATGCTACATACAGTCCCTCCACATGTGCTTAGTCAGCATCCTCTCTCAAAGAACTATTTCAAATTTTAACCACTTGTCAGGCCCGAATCTTTACCACATCTCTTCTTCTCACTCTCAGGAGATAAGCTTATATGCTGTTTCACAGAGAAGGCAAAAATCATTAAATGGAAATTATCTTGTCACAAAAAATGTATCCATATTTAAACTCACCTAGATCAATTTACCTAGTAAAAAGCATCACTCCTATTAAAGAGTAATCCTTCCACTACGTACTGTTTCCTAGACTCTATTCACACCTTGAGAACCTTATGCTCCATTAACTATGCTTGCTTCTTTTTTTGTGTTTTTTGTTTATTTGGAGACAGGGTCTCACTCCTGTCACCTAGGCTGGGGTGCAGTGGTGCGATCACAGTTCACTGCAGCCTCCTTGGGCTCAGGTGATCCTCCCACCTCAAGCCTCTCGAGTAGCTGGGACTTCAGGCATGCCACCATGCCTGGCTAATTTTTTTTTGTATTTTTAGTAGAGACAAGGGTTTGCCATGTTGCCCAGGCTGGTCCTGTACTCCTGGGCTCAAGCAATCTGCCCGCCTCAGCCTCCCAAATTGCTGGGATTACAGGCATGAACTACTGCACCTGGCTTATCCTCGCTTCTTGTATTTTAATTTGATTCTTATTTGTATTTACTTATTAATTATTATTATTATTATTTTTGAGACAGTTTCACTCGTCGCCCAGGCTAGAGTGCAATGGCACAATCTCGGCTCACTGCAACCTCCGCCTCACGGGTTCAAGCTATTCTCCTGCCTTAGCCTCCCGAAGTAGCTGGGATTACAGGCACCTGCCACCAAGCCCAGCTAATTTTTTTGTATTTTTAGTAGAGATGGAGTTTCACTATGTTATGCTGGCAGGCTGGTCTTGAAATCCTGACCTCAGGTGATCCACCTGCCTTGGCCTCCCAAAGTGCTGGAATTACAGGCATAAGCCACCGCACCCGACCTCTTATTTATATTTATATATTTATATTGTATTCCTTCAGGCTGTCTCTCAACATATGTATATGCACGTCTCTCCTATCTTAAAGTTTTCTTGTGACCACCTTAGGTTACCCCTAGCCTTTCCTTCCTTGCCTAATGTTAGTTAAGACCTTTTAGGGTGAAGAGTCTGAAAGAGTTTTGTATACTCACTGTCTACACTTTTAACTCCCATTAACTCCATAATTATAGGAGCCACTCTTTTATTGCACTTATGCAATCTACCATGCTAAGAGCTTTTTATAAATTGTTATCTCATTTATGTTGCGAACAGTTCACTCAAACACCAATTTTCAAGGTTACTAACAAATTCCAATTTACTAAACTCAATGGAGATTTTTTTTTAATGTTATTTCTTTATAGCTTTGGCGCGCAGAATAATCTGTCACAGTACTTTCTCCTTTGGCTTCTCTCTTAACCACTCTCCTGGTTTTCATCCTACCTCTCCGGGTCCTCCTCTAGAATCATGTATAGGTAGCCAGTCTGGCCGTGATCATCCTCATTTAAATGTTGATGTTCTCCAGGATTCTCTCCTGAGCACTCTTCTCTACTCATAGCATAGTGTTTTAAGATTTCAGGCTGTAAGTCAATCTTTTCCATTTCTGGCTCTGTCACTTGTTAGCTTTGGAGTCTTTTACATTACTTAACTCTTCTCTATGTTGCTTTCCTTTGTAAAATGACAACCTTACAGGATTGTTAGAAGAACTAAATAAAACAATGTATGTAAAACAATTAAGATAGGGCTTAATACACAGCAAATGGAATGCTATCAGCATAATCACCTCCTTCTAGTTGCTTTAACTACTTCAACCTATGTATCAATGACTCCCATATCTGTAGATATCAAGCCTGGATTTCCCTTTACCAGTCAATGTACACATCCACTTCAAAGTCTCCGAGGCACCCTGAGCTTGATTTTAATTTTTTTTTTCTTCTGTCACCCAGGCTGGAATGCAGTCACAATCTTGGCTCACTGAAACCTCTGCCTCCTGGGTTCAAGTGATCCTCCCACCTCAGCCTCCCAAATAGCTGGGACTACAGTCACATGCCACCATGTCTGGCTAATTTTTTTTTTTTCTTTTTGAGATGGAGTTTCGCTCTTGTTGCCCAGGCTGGAGCGCAATGGCATGATCTCAGCTCACCGCAACCTCTGCCTCCTGGGTTCAAGCGATTCTCCTGCCTCAGCCTCCCGAGTAGCTGGGATTACAGGCATGCGTCACCATGCCTGGCTAATTTTGTAGTTTAAGTAGAGACGGGGTTTCTCTATGTTGGTCAGGCTGGTCTTGAGCTCCTGTCCTCAAGGAATCCACCAGCCTTGGCCTCCCAAAGTGCTGAGATTACGAACATGAGCCACTGCACCTGGCTGATTTTAATATTTTATTTTATTGTAATTTATTTATTTATTGAGACAGAGTTTCACTCTTGTTGCCCAGGCTGGAGTGCAATGGCACGATCTCAGCTTACCGCAACCTCTGCCTCCCAGGTTCAAGCGATTCTCCTGCCTCAGCCTCCTGAGTAGCTGGGATTACAGGCATGCGCCACCGCACCCAGCTAATTTTTTTGTATTTTTAGTAGAGATGGGGTTTCTTCATGTTGGCCAGCCTGGTCTCAAACTCCCGACCTCAGGTGATCCGCCTGCCTCGGCCTCCCAAAGTGCTGGAATTACAGGCGTGAGCCACAGCGCCTGGCCTTATTATTTTATTAATCATCTTCCTCTTTTTCTATCTGTTACTACTCTTTAGTCAGAATTTTAGCAATTCTGACTCCTTCTCCTCCTTATCCCCCTACACCTATTAATAAATCTCCAAACTCTAGCCAATTTTGTCCCCAATAATATTTCTCAACTTTATCCCCTCTTGTCTTTCCCTTCCTACTATTGCTGTTTTCTGGGTTTCATCACCGTTGACCTGAACCACCCCTGCAACAGGTTCCTAGTCATCTGCCCCTAGACTTGCTCCCCTTAAATTTCCTCCCTATATTGTTGCCAAATTTATTTTTCTTTTCTTTTTTTTATCTTCCTTCCTTCCTTTTTTTTTAAGAAAAGATCAGATTTATTTGGAGAAAACAAAAAACCCACAGCCCAAAGGATGCGATTTTATATCTCAAGACATCTCCCAGGTATTAAGTCTACAGATTACAAATCATTTTCATAGAAAGTATTTTTGTATAAATTTTACATGCATTCAGGAATGGGACATAAATCAATCCCCGTTTCTATTTTAACAGGGGAGCAAGGTAGGGAAGTGGGAGCCAAATTCATTTTCAAATATGCAAAATTGTCCAATTATTTATCATATCAAATCTGTCAATGATTTCGCACTGCTCAATGGAAAAAGCTGAAACACTTTAGCTTCCTTTATAATCTGCATCCTGCCTTCTCTTCCAGTCTCATTTCTTCACCCTCAAATTCAAAGTTCCATCTTTAATGAATTACTCACAATTGCCAAAAACCCTGCTACCTTGTGTTTTCTCTTTTAGTCAGAATTTTCCTTTTCTAGGATAACTCATCCTAAACCGTTTTCAGTGGTTTTCTACTCATCCATAGGAAAACGTCCAAAATTTTAAATTTAACTCATGTCAGTTTCTGACCACCCCCATGTTAAATCTCTACTTCTTCCCGCAAACCACCCCAAACTATTTTATTACTATTTCTCCTCAATGCAAACTCTCCACTCTAGTCAGAGCACTTTGGAAATTCTGGAGGAATGAAAAAAAGTGGTTGAGGTAATCTGGGAAAATGCTTAAAGGCAGTGGTCTTTAAGCACCCTATACTTTTACCTACTATAGCATTTATCACATTGTAGTGTACTTGTCTGTATCCTCACTGGATTATAAGCATCCAGAAGACTGGAATTTCTCTTGTTTACTGCCTTATTCTTTTTTTTGGAGACTTAGTCTCACTCTATCGCCCAGGCCAGAGTGCGGTGGTGTGATTTCGGCTCACTGCAACCTTCGCCTCACAGGTTCAAGTGATTCTTGTGCCTCAGCCTCTCCAGCAGCTGGGATTACAGGCGCTTGCCACCATGCCCGGCTAATTTTTGTATTTTTAGTAGACAGGGTTTACCACGTTGGCCACGCTGGTCTCGAACTCCTGACCTCAAGCAATCCACCCACCTTAGCCTCCCAAAGTGCTGGGATTACAGGCGTGAGCCACCGCGCCTAGCCTACTGCCTTCTTCTTTTGTTTGTTTCGTTTTTTTTTTTTTTTTTTTTTTTTTTTTGAGACAGTCTAGCTCTGTCGTCCAGGCTAGAGTGCAGTGGCGCGATCTTGGCTCACTGCAACCTCCGCCTCCCAGGTTCAAGCAATTCTCTTGCTTCAGCTTCCTGAGTAACTGGGACTATGGGTGCGCATCACCACGCCTGGCTAATTTTTGTATTTTCAGTAGAGACGGGGTTTCATCATGTTGGTCAGGCTGGTCTAAAACTCCTGACCTCAGGTGATCCACCTGCCTTGGGCCTCCCAAAGTGCTGGGATTACAGGCGTGAGCCACCGCGCCTAGTGTACTGCCTTCTTCTTTTGTTTGTTTCGTTTTTTTTTTGTTTTTTTTTTTGAGACAGTCTAGCTCTGTTGTCCAGGCTAGAGTGCAGTGGCGCGATCTCGGCTCACTGCAACCTCCGCCTCCCAGGTTCAAGCAATTCTCTTGCTTCAGCTTCCTGAGTAACTGGGACTACGGGTGCGCATCAGCACGCCTGGCTAATTTTTGTATTTTTAGTAGAAACGGGGTTTCATCATGTTGGTCAGGCTGGTCTAAAACTCCTGACCTCAGGTGATCCACCCGCCTTGGACCTCCCAAAGTGCTGGGATTACAGGCATGAGCCACTGCGCCCCGCCTATAATTTTTAACTTATTTAATACTTTCTATATGCCAGGGACTGTTTAAAGAGGATACAGATATTAACTTACATCCTCACCACAATTCTATGAGGTTGGTACCAGCCTGAGCAACACAATAAGACGCTATCTCTCCAAAAAAAAATTTTAAGTTAGCCAGGCGTAATTGCATAACTGTAGTCCTGTTACTCAGAGGCTGACGTGGGAGGATCACTTGAGCCTGCGAGGCTGAGGGTGCAATGAGCCACAATCGCCCCACTGTACTCTAGTCTGTGTGACAGACTAAAGCCAGGAAGGAGCCCTGAGCCCTCACCAGAGACCAAACTGGACCTTGATCTTGAACTCTGCAACCTCTAGAACTGTGAGAAAATCGATTTCTTTGTTTAAGCCACCCAGTCTGTGGTATTTTGTTATGGCAGCCAAGCTGACTAATGCAACTGTTTAAGGAATATCCTTGTTTTTAAGAAATGAACACCAAAGTACTAAATAGGGCAGCATGTCTGCAACATATGCTCAAACAGTTCAGAAAAAAAAAGTGTGTGTGTGCCTGTAGAGAGAGCAGTAAGAGAGATAAAGCAAATATGTTAAAATGTTAATAATGGGAATCTGAGTGGAAAGTACACAGAAGGTTTCTGTAATACTCTTGAAACTTTTTTAACATCTGAAATTATTCAAAAATAACAAGTTTAAAAAACATATACAGACTCCAACCACTACTTACTACCTCCATCACTGCCTGTGGTCTAAGTCACTATCATCTTTTGCTTGAATTATTGCAGTAGCCTCCTACCTAGTCTCCCTGCTTCTACCTTTGCCTGGCTTCAGTCTAATCTCAACTCAGAAGAGAGGGTGATCCTTTAAAAATATAAATTGATCATATTATTCTACTTCTTAAATCCCTCCCATAATGGTCCCCTCTTTAACAAGAGTAAAGTTCAAAGTCCTTACAATGGCCTAGAAATCCTAAACAATCTGGCACTGTGTTATCTTCCTGACCTAATTTCTTCATCACCACTGATTCCATTGTAGCCACAGAGGCCACCTTGCTGTCTTTACAAGGCCTCCAACACACCTGGGTGAGTCCTTGCTTCACGGTCTGTTAAGCTCACTGTTCTGGAACTTTCTTCCCCCGTTTTTCTCATGGCTCGTTCAATCACCACCTTTAAATCTTGCTCAAATGTTCCTTTCTCAGTGAATATGTTCCTGACTACCTTACTTAAAACTGCAACATCAGGCCAGGTGCGGTAGCTCACGCCTATAATCCCAGCACTTTGGGAGGCCAAGATGGGTGGATCACCTGAGGTCAGGAGTTCAAGACCAGCTTGACCAACATGGTGAAACCCCCTCTCTACTAAAAATACAAAAATTAGCCGGGTGTGGTGGCATGCGTCTGTAATCCCAGCTGCTGAGGAGGCTGAGGCTGAATCGCTTGAACCCAGAGGCGGAGGTTACAGTGAGCCAAGATTGCGCCACTGCACTTCAGCCTGGGTGAAAGAGCAAGACTCCGACTCAAAAAAAAAAAAAAAAAAAGAATTGCAACATCAAGCCAACAACACTCTTACCACCCTTCTTTGCTTTATTCTCCCAAATAACACATAATTTTCCAATATACTATACAATTTATTTTTTGCCTATCTCCCCCACGAGAATATAGGCTCATAAGGGAAAGGATTTTTGTCAGTTTTATTTACTGCTGAATTCTCAGCACCTAGAATAGTGCTTAACACTTAGTTGGCGTTCAGTAACTACTTCTTGAATAAATAAATTAGGAAAAAAAAAGAGAAGGAAGACAAGAAAAGGGGAAAAATAGAGTAGTCCTCTATTCAGTTTGGCTAACAATCCCCTAAGACTTCTCTGTAAATGCACAGCATTAGGTAGGGGCTAGGTACAATGAGGTATTCTAGGGGCTGTTGCAGAAGTTAATCTAGATATAGTCAGTGTTCTCACAACATCAATTCCTCAACAATCTACAAGCTAAGCATTCAGCTTTAATTATTATGCAGAAGGGGAAAGGAATTAACAATAGGAAACTGGAAGGTTACTGATTTAAGTCTAAGTACCTACAAAATAAAACTGTTAACTTGGTAGGAGACGGGTTAGATAATTTTTAACTTGAATTATTTACATTTTATGTCTACCTTGCCTTGTTCCAACAATGGGCTAAGACAGCTGATACAGTGTTTTCAATCCATGTAGTCTTTACAGAAAACAAGCATTATGGTATAATGGAAAGGGCATCAGCACGAGAGTCCAAAGATCTGAGATGTAACCCCTGAAAAAGATTCATTTTCATTAGCTTAGGTCTGTCTTCATTTGCAAAACAGGCTGTAGAAAGGAAAAACAAAAAGAAGAAAAAGCCACATGGACAAAAATGTTATTTATAGTTGTAGAAAAACTAGAAGCAACCTAAAGAATAGTAACAGGGGAATAGTTAGGTAAAGGTGCATCCATATTACGTGGATAATAAGTACATGTCTATAAATAACATGAAGATGCTTGCATGAGAGTTAGTGAAAACACAGGAAAGAAAAATGTACATATACCATTATGTAAAACACTATTTAAATGTATATGTAAAGGTACATCCATATTATATGGATGATAAGTACATGTCTGTAAATAACATGAAGATGCTTGCATGAGAGTTCGTGAAAACACAGGAAAGAAAAATGTACATATACCATTATGTAAATTATGTAAATACACTATTTAAATGTATAGGCGGGCCAGGCGCGGTGGCTCATGCCTATAATCCCAGCACTTTGGGAGGCCGAGGCGGATAGATCACCTGAGGTCAGGAGTTTGAGCCCAGCATGACCAACATGGTGAAACTAAAAATACAAAAATTAGCTGGCCGTGGTGGCGGGTACCTGCAATCCCAGATACTCGGGAGGCTGAGGCAGGAGAATCGCTTGAACCTGGGAGGCAGGGGTTGCAGTGAACCAAGATTGCGCCATTGCACTCCAGCCTGGACGACAGAGTGAGACTCTGTCTCCAAAAAAAAAAAAAAAAAAAAAAATCATATGAATATTTTAAAATAAATGTTATTTTCTAAACTTTCTATGTTACAATTATAATACCTTTATATAAAAAATAAAAGCATAGGCCAGGTGTGGTGGCTCACACCCATAATCCCAACATTTTGGGAGGTCAAGATGTAAGGATCGGTTGAGCCCGGGGGGTCAAGGCTGCAGTGAGCCATAGTTGTGCTACTATACTCCAGGGTGAATGACAGGGCAAGGTCCTGTCTCCACACACACAAAAAAACCCATATAAAATAACTAGTTTAGATTAGATCGTCCATAACATACCCTCTGGCTTCAATATCCTATGATTAAATAAATATTTAACTGTAAGGACACTCAGTACAAATAATGGCAGTGTCACTTGAATATTTAAATAGAAGAAAACAACATCTTTTTTCAAAGAATCTACATCTTCTCTTTAAAAAGATAAATCTCCCAACTTCCTTAAAATCACTTAGTTGCTTTGTTGAGGGTTAACAAGAAAAAATTATCTGAAAAAGTATCAAGGTAGCAGAAAGAACACTGAACTACGTAGAAAATCTGAGTGCCATACTCCTCCACCACTATGTGAGGATGAGTACATTATCATTCAAACTGTTACATTTTGAGAGTGAAAGGGCATCACATCAGGTCAGGTGGTCACATACGTTAGGCTGAGCTAAGACGCAACTAGCCTAAGTCTATGTAAAATGAATGTACTCAAAAAAGTTTCTAAGGCCCCTTTTGGATCTAAATGTTATAATTTTATTTCTTTTTTAAGAACTGAAAACACTGAACAAATGGTGCTGTATGTATAGAAGTCAGAGATGCTTTGTTTACTAAATAATGTATTTTTTAAAGGAGTACCTTAATTTCTTGCTTAGGGATTCAGACTTACAATTAAGTTTATCTGGGGAGATACTAATGAATGAACTTAAAATGTACCTTAAACTCCTCTGATGAGATGTTCTTGTTGGGACTGAGAAACAATGAGAACCCTAGCACTGTATGTGCCATACCCAATAACCAAAAGTATTATGTGAATACCATATGCTCTACAGAATGAAGTACAAAGAATATACTAATACAGAAATTAGAGACATCAAGAGATGTACATTACTAGAGGTCATACCATATTCGAACTTACAAGAATTTACTGGCTAGGCATGGTGGCTCACGCCTGTAATCCCAACACTTTGAGAGGCCGAGGCGGGCGGATCACCTGAGGTCAGGAGTTCGAGACCAGCCTGATCAACATGGAGAAACCCTGTCTCTTACTAAAAATACAAAATTAGCCGGGCGTGGTAGCACATGCTTGTAATCCCAGCTACTCGGGAAGTTGAGCCAGGAGAATCACTTGAACCCAGCAGACGGAGGTTGCAATGAGCCGAGATCACGCCATTGCACTCCAGTCTGGGCAACAAAAGCAAAACTCCATCTCAAAAAGAAAAAAAGAATTTACTTGTAAGTACTTGGCAGGGCGTGGTGGCGCATTCCTGTAATACCAGCACTTTTGGAGGCCTAGGCAGGAGGATCATTTGAGGTCAGGAGTTCAAGACTAGCTTCACTAACATGGTGAAACCCCATCTATAGTAAAAATTAGCCAGGCATGGTGGCAAATGCCTGTAATCTCAGCTACTCAAGAGGCTGAGGCAGGAGAATCACCTGAACCTGGGAGACAGAGGCTCCAGTGAGCTGAGATTGTGCCACTGCACTCTAGCCTGGGCAACAGAGAGAGACTCTTGTCTCAAAAAAATTTTTTTACCTGTAAGTACTAAGCCAGAGTGTGAGAGAGAAAACAATTAACAAGAACCCTAAACAAATATTCAGGGGTAAAGGCAATTACAGTAGTCCCTCCTTAACATGGGGGTATATGTTCTAAGACCCCTAGTGGATTCCTGAAACCAGACAGTACAGAACCTGACTGCTGTCAACGGAAACACATATCTGTTCATATATTCCACCAAAAATTTAATGCCCTTTTCATCTTAACCAAGCAGTTAATCAAGCACCGTGGCCATAACTTTTGCAGTATGAGGTGCAACAGCAAAACTAGCACGAATTTCTTTTTCCTTCTTCATCATTTCACAGATAGGAGATTCATTCTTATCACAGATCTTAGCAACTTCAGCATATGATTCATTGTCTTATTAAGAACTTTAACCTTTTCACTTAAAGGAAGCACTTAACGGCTTTTCTTTGGCATATCCAAATTAAAAGCATCACTATTCTTGCGCTTTGGGACCGTTATTAAGTAAACTAAGGATTACTTGAACACAAACACTGCAATACCCTGGCGGTCAATATAACAGGGGCACTAATGGGTGGGAAGCGTCAACAGCATGGATACAAAGGACAAAGAGAGGATTCCTGTCCCAGGCAAGATGGCATGAGATTTCATTATACTACTCAGAATGGTGCACAATTTAAAACTTATGAACTGTTTATTTCTACAATTTTCCATTTAATATTTTAGGCATGGTTAACCAGGAAAGTGAAACTGTAATTATCAGAAAGACATTTGAGGCCATAGAGAAATACTCACTGATGAAGAACCAGAAGAAATATTATCTTCATAAAGATGATGAGAGAGAGAGAAACCAGGAAGTTTGACTCTCCCTAAATCGGCTTCATGTTCCAAGCATCAAAACATTCAGCTGATTTACTCTCTTAATATGATTCAGCCTACGGAATTATATGCTACCAAATATAGCACAAATCATGCATATATATATTTCTGTACTAGGCTATTTACCAAAAAAAAATAAAAAATTTTGTCATTACTAAAAATTTCCAGTATTTTCAAGCCTAATTTCATTTTATGTACTGACTTTAGAAGCCAAGTCCTGAGTAAAATAACTTCAATATACACTGAAAGAGCCATATCTAAATTAAAAATCTGAGTAGTATGTTAACATTCATAAGGTATCAATCCACCAGTTACTTAATTTACTACTCATTTCTGTTAAACATTGTTACATATGATTATCTAGAAATCTACTAAATCAAATAGTATACATTTTCACCCAGGATCTGCGAATCACAAAAATCTGTAACAAACCATACCAAATCCTCCAAAGGAAAAACTCCAAGCATCAATTTTTCTCTATCCTGCAAACAACCCTCAGCAATACTTGACAAAATCCGTGAAATATTGGTAGATTCAATAAATTTTCATGAACTACCCGCTTCATGCAAAGCACATGCTATAATAGGTAAGAATAAGTAAGATATGGTAGTCTGAATTCAAGGGACTAATAAGCACTGAAATAACAATATGTAATAATGGAGAGACATGCACTAAAGGTGCAATAAATATTAAAATGAGGTCTAAAACCAGACTGAATTCTGGATAGGAACTCTTGAATGTAAGTTATACAGATTTTTAAAAAATATGTGACGAGGCCGGGCACAGTGGCACACACCTGTAATCCCAGCTACTCAAGAGGCTGGGGAAAGAGTACTGCTTAGGCCTACGAGTTCAGAGTTCAAAGTTTGAAGTTTGAGACTAGCCTGGGCAACATAGGGAGACCCCATTTCAAAAAAAATTTTTTTTTATTTGGATGAGATCTGATACAGCCTAGCAAAGACATCCACTTTAGCTATAAGAAACAGACTTCTTAGGCCAGGTGTGGTGGCTCACACCTGTAATCCTAGCACTTTGGGAGGCCGAGCGAGGCAGGAGGAATGCCTGAGCTTAGAAGTTCGAGACCAGCCTGGGCAACTTGGTGAAACCCTGTCTACCAAAAATACAAAAAATCAGCTGGATGCGGTGGCAAGCACCTGTGGTCCCAGCTACTCGGGAGGCTGAGGTGGGAGGATCACTTGAGCCTGGGAGGCAGAGGTTGCAGTGAGTGAAGACTGTACCACTGTACTCCAACCTGAATAACAGAGTGAGACCCCATCTCAAAAAACAAAAACAAAAAGAAAACAGCCTTGTTTAAAATTTTGAGCCTAAAAAATTATTTCAAACTAATATTTAACCACAAAACACGCGTTAATAAAAGCAAACACAAACACATAATCACACAAGTGTGGCTGCTAAATCAGCTGGGTCTTAGGTCTTTTTCAGGTTTTCTACTTCTCCTGGAGTCAATAGGGTTAATATTTTTATGGACACTTTCTCCATTTCCTCTAGGCTTTCAAATTATTAACGTAAAGTTGAACATTTATTTGTCTATAATTTTAAAAATCTCTAGACCTACAGTAAGCTTTAAGAAAACATTGGGTAAAAGAGGCCAGGTGCAGCAGTGGCTCATGCCTGTAATCCCAGCACTTTGGGAGGCCGAGGTGGGTGGAATACCTGAGTTCAAGAGTTTCAGGCCAGTTTGGGCAACCGGGCGAAATCCCATCTCTACTAAAAAAACAAAAATTAGCACACCAGTAGTGCCAGCTACTCGGAAGGCTGAGGCATGAGAATTGCTTGAACCTGGGAGGCAGAGGTTGCAGTGAGCTGGGATTGTGACACTGCACTGCAGCCTGGGCCAGAGCAAGACTCTGTCACACACAAAAAAAAATATTGGGTAAAAGAATGTGGACGCATACAATGGAATATTATCCACCCATAAGAAGGAGAAAATTCTGACGTACGCCATAATATGGATGAACCTTGCAAAGTCATTATGTTATGGAAATAACCCAGTCACAAATGAACAGATACTATATGATTCCATTACCATGACGTATCTAGGAGTAGAAAAATTCAGAGACAAAAAGTAGAATGGTGGTTGCCAGGGGCTGGGGAATGGAGAGTTATTGTTTAATGGGTATATGCGTTCAGTCTGGAAAGTGAGACGAAGTTCTGAGGATGGATGGTGGTGATGGCTGCGTAACAATGTTAATGTTCTTCATGCCACTGTACCTACACTTCAAATTGGTTAAAATGGTCAATTTTATGTTATGTGTACTTTACCACAGTTTAAAAAAACTGATAATATATATGTATGCAAGTATTAAATCACGCTATAATAATATAGCAGACATTATTCAAAATGGAACTGGGTATGTAGAGAAAGAAGGTGAAGGGTAGCTTACTTTTCATTTTATAACATATACTTAGGTTGGTACATTTATTTCACTGCAGTAAAAGATTTCACTATGAATACACCACAGTCTTATCCATTGAGCTGCTGATGGACTTTCAGGTTGTTTCCACATTTTCTTTGCTTTTCTGAAACGGGGATCTTTTTTGTTTTTGTTTTTTTGAGGCAGAGTTTCGCTCTTGTTACCCAGGCTGGAGTGCAGTGGCGCGATCTCGGCTCACCGCAACCTCCGCCTCCTGGGTTCAAGCAATTCTCCTGCCTCAGCCTCCCGAGTAATTGGGATTACAGGCCATGTGCCATCATGCCCGGCTAATTTTCGTATTTTTAGTAGAGACGGGGTTTCTCCATGTTGGTCAGGCTGGTATCGAACTCCCGACCTCAGGTGATCTGCCCACCTCGGCCTCCCAAAGTGCTGGGATTACAGGCGTGAGCCACCGCGCCCGGCTGAAACGGGGATCTTGATTTGCCACATTGTTGCCTAGGCTGGAGTGTAGTGGTGCAATCACACTTCACTGCAGCCTCAACCTCTTGGGCTTAAGTGATCCTTCCATCTCAGTCACCTGAGTAGCTGGGACCACAGGCATGTGCCACCACATGTGGCTGTTTTTATTTTTGTGTAGAGAGAAGGTCTCACTATGTTGCCCAGGCTGATCTCAAACTCCAGGGGTCAAGCGATCCTCCCATCTTGACGTCCCAAAATGCTGGGATTACAGGCGTGAGCCACCATACTTGGCTTGTTCTCTACATTTTTATATGATAAATAAAGCTGACATGAATATTTTTATATCTGTATTCTGGGGCACATGTGCAAGAGTAGAACTGCTGAACTGAAGATAGGTATGCAAATGTTTGACTTTACAATTGCCAATGTTTCCATTTAAAACCCCATCAAGGCCTGTAATCCCAGCACTTTCAGAGGCCGAGGCCAGTGGATCACAAGGTCAGGAGTTCAAGACCAGCCTGGCCAAGATGGTGAAACCCCGTCTCTACTAAAAATACAAAAAATTAGCTGGGTGTGGTGGTGGGAGTCTGTAATCCCAGCCACTCGGGAGGCTGAGGCAGAGAACTGCTTGAACCCGGGAAGCAGAGGTTGCAGTGAGCCGAGATTGTGCCACTGCACTCCAGCCTGGGTGACAGTGAGACTCTGTCTCAAAAAATTAAAAAAAAAAAAATTAAAAAAAAAAACCCCACTGGGCACGGTGGCTCACGCCTGTAATCCCAGCACTTTGGGAGGCCAAGGCAGGCGGATCACGAGGTCAGGAGATCAAGACCTTCCTGGCTAATACAGTGAAACCCCATCTCTACTAAAAATACAAAAAATTAGCCGGGCGTGGTGGCGGGTGCCTGTAGTCCCAGCTACTCAGGAGGCTGAGGCAGGAGAAGGGCGTGAAACCAGGAGGCGGCGTTTGCAGTGAGCCGAGATTGCGCCACTGCACTCCAGCCTGGGTGACAGAGTGACACTCCGTCTCAAAAAAAAAACAAAACAAAACCATCAAAAGTACTATGAAAGGGGTAATCCTAGCATGTTGGGAGGCCCAGGCAGGTGGATTGCTTGAGTCCAGGAGGTCAAGGCTGCAGTGAGCTACGATCATGCCACTACACTCCAACCTGGGCAACAAAGTAAGACTCTGCCTTTCTTTTTTGAGACGGAGTCTCGCTCTGTTGCCCAGGCTGGAGTGCAGTGGCGCAATCTCAGCTCACTGCAACCTCCGTCTCACAGGTTCAAGCAATTCTTCTGCCTTGGCGTCCCGAGTAGCTGTAACTACAGGCTTGCACCACCATACCCAGCTAATTTTTGTATGTTTAGGAGAGACAGGGTTTCACCATGTTGGCCAGGCTGGCCTCAAACTCCTGACCTCAGGTGATCCACCTACCTGAGCCTCCCAAAGTGCTGGGATTACAGGCATGAGTCACCATGCCCAGCTAAGATGCTATCTCTTTTTTTTATTTTTATGAGATGATGTCTCGCTCTGTCGCCCAGGTTGGAGTGCAGTGGCGTGATCTCGGCTCACTGCAAGCTCCACCTTCCCGGGTTCACACCATTCTCCTGCCTCAGCCTCCTGAGTAGCTGTGACTACAGGTGCCCGCCACCACACCCGGCTAATTTTCTGTAGTTTTAGTAGAGACGGAGTTTCACCGCGTTAGCCAGGATGGTCTCGATCTCCTGACCTCGTGATCCACCCACCTTGGCCTCCCAAAGTGCTGGGAGCCAGCGTGAGCCACCGCGCCCAGCCCTCTTTTTTTTAAAAAAAAAAAGTACTATGAAAGGCTCAATAAAATTCCACATTCATTTATGATAAAAAGTCTCAGAAAACTAGAAATATAAGGGAACTTCCTCAAACAAAGGACATTTATTAAAAACTTACAGCTAACATCATATATAATGGTGGAAAACCAAAAGCTATCCCCCTAAGAACAGCGGAAAAGGAAGAATGTTCACCCTCACCCTTCCTCTACACAGGGTTTCCCAACCCCAATGGCCTGTTAGGAACTGGGCCACACAGTAGGAGGTGAGTGGTGGGTGAGCGAACATTAACCCCTGAGCCCCAAATCCTGTCAGATCAGTGGCATCATTAGATTCTCATAGGAGCATAAACTCTATTGTTAACTGCGCATGCCAGGGATGTAGGCTGTGCACTCCCTATAAGAACAACGCCTGATGATCTGAGGTGGAACAGTTTCATCCCAAAACCAACCCCATCCCAGTCTCTTCCAGTTGGGAACTGCTGCCACCATCATCCTAGAAGTTTCAGCCAATGCAATAAGGCAAGGGAAAGAAAGAAAAGGTATATAGATTAGAAAGGAAGAAACTAAACCATCTCTATGTATAGACATGATTTATCCATATAGAAAAATCAGAGACCCTACAAAATAGGTACTTGAACTAATAAGTAAGTTTAGTAAGGTTGCAGGATACCAAAGTCAACTATATTCTTACACAGCAACAAACGGGGAAATTAAATTTTTCTTTAAAGAAAGTAGTACCATTTATAAGAGCATGAAAGACTTAGATTATCACCTAGTAAAATACATGCAAGATCGCTATGCTGAAAAGCAAACACTGATAAAAGAAATCAAAGATGACCTAAATAAATGGCGAGATATACCATATTTATGAAAGACTAAACATATTTAACAATTCTGCCCCCAAATTAATGTCCACATTCAATTTAGTCCTAATCAAAATCCCAGCAGGATTATTTGTAGAAATCAACAAGCTGATCCTAAAATTTATAAGGAAAAACAAAAGACCCACAATAGACAACATAGTTTTGAAAATTTTGTTAGAAGATGCATACTACCTGATTTCCATACAAGCTACAATAATCAAGGCAGCATATATATACGTGGGCAATCAATTTTTTTTTTTTTTTGAGATGGGGTCTCACTCTGTCACCCAGGCTGGAGTGCAGTGGCGTGATCTCTGCTCACCGCAACCTCTGCCTCCTAGGTTTAAGCAATTCTCCTGCCTCAGCCTCCCAAGTAGCTGGGATTACAGGCGCCCACCATCACACCTGGCTAATTTTTCTATTTTTAGTAGAGATGAGGTCTCACCATGTTGGCCAGGCTGGTCTCGAACTCCTGACCTCAGGTGATCCACCCGCCTCAGCCTCCCAAAATGCTGGGATTACAGGCATGAGCCACCGCGCCCAGCCGGCAATCGATTTTTTACAAAGGTGCAAGATGCATAGACAATTTAATGATGAAAGGACTGGCTTCTCAATAAATGGTGCTCGAACAATTGGATACCCATTTTAAAAAATTGAGCCATATCTCATGCTATTTGCAAAAATTAATTCAAAATGCATTATAGACCTAAGGTAAAACCTAACTATAAAACTTCTATGCCTGTAATCCCAGCACTTTGGGAGGCCAAGGTGGGAGGATTGCTTGAGCCCAGGAGTTTGAGACCAGCCTAGGCAACATAGGAAGACCTTTCTCTATAAAGAAAAATTAAAAGATAACCGAGGTGAGGAGGCTTGCGTCTGTGATCCCAGCTACTCCAAAGGATGGGGTGGGAGGATCCCTAGAGCCTAGGTGGTTGAGGCTGCAGTGAGCTATATGGCACCACTGCACTCCAGCCTGGGTAACCAAGTGGGACCCTTTCTCAAAAAATAAACTAATTAAAATAAATAAAACTTCTGTAAGAAAATATAGAAGAAATTCTTTATGACTTTGAATTAAAGGATTTCTTATATGTAACGAAAATATCATCTGTTAACATTTTTAAAATAAACTGGACTTCATCAAAATTAAGAAATTATTGCTTTTTTAAAAATGCTGTTAAGGCCGGGTGTGGTGTCTCATGCCTGTAACCACAGCACTTTGGGAGGCTGAGGAGGGTGGATCACTTGAGGTCAGGAGTTCGAGACCAGCCTGGCCGACATGGTGAAACCCGGTTGCTACAAAAATACAAAAATTAGCTAGGCATGGTGGTGCGCACCTGTAATCCCAGCTACTCCGGAGGCTGAAGGAGGAGAATGGCTTAAACCCAGGAGGCGGAGATTGTAGTGAGCCGAGTTCACACCACTGCACTGCAGTCTGGGTGACAGAGTGAGACTCTGTCAGAAAAAAGGGAAAGGGAAAGGGAAAGGAAGGAAGGAAAGAAGGAAGGAAATAAAATAAAATAAAATAGGCCAGGCACGGTGGCTCACGCCTGTAATCCCAGCACTTTGGGAGGCCAAGGTGGGCAGATCACGAGGTCAGGAGATCGAGACCATCCTGGCTAACACAGTGAAACCCCGTCTCTACTAAAAATACAAAAAATTAGCCAGGCGTGGTGGCAGGCACCTGTAGTCCCAGCTACTTGGGAGGCTGAGGCAGGAGAATGGCGTGAACCTGGGAGGCAGAGCTTGCAGTGAGCCGAGATCGCGCCACTGCACTCCAGCCTGGGCAATAGAGCGAGACTCCGTCTCAAAAAAAATAAAATAAAATAAAATAAATATAAAAACACAAAAATTAGCCAGGCATAGTGGCAGGTGCCTGTAATTCCAGCTACTGCGGGGTGGGGGTGGGGTGGGGTGCTGAGGCAGGAGAATGGCTTGAACCTGGGAGACAGAGGTTGCTGTGAGACAAGATCATGCCACTGCACTCCAGCCTGGGCAACACAGTGAGACCCTGCCTCAAAATAAATAAATAAATACAATTAAAGATGCTGTTAAGAAATGTTTGTGTGTTGCTCAAGGCCCATCTCTACTAAAAACAGAAACAAATTAGCTGGGCATGGTGGTGGATGCCTGTAATTCCAGCTACTCCGGAGGCTGACTGAGGCAGGAGAATCGCTTGAATCCGGGAAGCAGAAGCTGCAGTGAGCGGAGATGGCGCCACTACACTCCAGCCTGGGCAACAGAGCAAGACTCTGTCTCAATAAATAAATAAATAAGAAATGTTTATGGTGGCTTTATTCATAATTACCAAGAACAAAACAACCCAAATGTCCTTCAACAACTGTGAAACATCCTTAAAATGGAATACTATTTAACAACAAAAAGAAACAAAATTTTGCTATGTATGTTTTACTACAATTGCATCATGCTAAATGAAAGAAGTCAGACTCAAAAGGTTACATCACTCCATTTACATGACATTCTGGAAGAGTCAAAACTATAAGGTCAAATAGTGGGTCACAGACGAAAGGGGTTCAATAAAAATGGGGAAGAATTTGGGGAGTAACAGAACTTATATAAGTTCTATATGTTAATTGTGGTGGCTACACAATTATAAATTCATCAAAATTTATAGAACTGTACATTTAAAGGGTAAACTTTGGTGTATGTAAATCATAACACAATAAACCTGACTCCCCACCACCCAAAAAAAGCAAAACACCAACAGAATCAATAAGACTTGCTGTTGTGGCCGGGTGCAGTGGCTGACGCCTGTAATCCCAGCACTTCCAGAGGCCGAGGCAGGTGGATCATGTGAGGTCAGGAGTTTGAGATCAGCCTAACCAACATGGTGAAACCCCCTCTCTACTATAAATACAAAAATTAACTGAAGGTGGTGGCAGGTGCCTGTGATCCCAGCTACTCAGGAGACTGAGGTAGGAGAATTGCTTGAATCTGGGAGGCAGAGGCTGCAGTGAACTGAGATCATGCCACTGCACTCCAGCCTGGGCGACAGAGCAAGACTCTGTCTCAAAAATAAAAATAAAGAAAGAAAATTTTAATTTTAATAATGCTGAATTTATATATTTATTATGGTAATCATTATTTTTATTATGGCTAGCATAGTGTGTCTCGTTTGAGAATTCTTTCCCTACATTATTCCGTTCCATTGGTCTATGTGCCTATTTTTATGCCAGTACCATGCTGTTTTGGTGACTATGACCTTAGAGTATAGTTTGAAATCAGGTAATGTGATGCCTCCAGATTTGTTTTGCTTAGTGTTGCATTGGCTATGTGGGGTCTTTTTTGGTTCCATATGAATTTTAGGGTTGTCTTTTCTAATTCTGTAAAGGATGATGGTGGTACCAACTGATCTTTGACAAAGCAAACAAGATAAAGTGGGGAAAGGACACCCTATTCAACAAATGATGCTGGGATAATTGGCAAGCCACATGTAGAAGAATGAAACTGGATCCTCATCTCTTACCTTAAACAAAATAAATTAACTCAACATGGATCAAGGACATAAATCTAGAACCTCAAACTATAAAATTCTAGAAGATAACAATGGAAAAACCCTTCTAGACATTGGCTTAGGCAACTATTTCATGACCAAGAACCCAAAGGCAAATGTAATAAAAACAAAGATATAAAGCTGAAACTTAATTAAACTAAAGAGCTTTTGAAGAGCAAAAGGAACAGTCAGCAAGAGTAAACAGACAATCCACAGAGTGGGAGAAAATCTTCACAATCTATACGTCTAACAAATGATTAATTTCCAGAATCTATAATAAACTCAAACAAATTACCAAAAAAAAAAAAAAACACACAGACGATCCCATCAAAAAGTGAGTTAAGGACATGAATACACGATTTTCAAAAGAAGGCATACAAATGTCAAACAAACATATGAAAAAATGCTCACCATCCCTAATGATCAGGGAAATGCAAATCAAAACCACAATGTGATACCACCTGACTCCTCCAAGAGTGGCCATGATCAAAAAATCAAAAATTAATAGAAGTTGGCATGGATGCAGTGAAAAGGGAACACTTCTACACTGCTGGTGGGAATGTAAACTAGTACAACCACTATGGAAAACAGTGTGGAGATTCCTTAAGGAACTAAAAGTAGAACTACCATGTGATCCAGCAATCCCAATACTGAGTATCTACCCAGAGGAAAAGAAGTCATTATATGAAAAAGATACTTGCGGCCGGACGCGGTGGCTCACGCCTGTAATCCCAGCACTTTGGGAGGCGGAGGCAGGCAGATCACGAGGTCAGGAGTTCGAGACCAGCCTGGCCAACATGGTGAAACCCCGTCTCTACTAAAAATACAAAAACTAGCCAGGCGTGGTGGCATGTGCCTGTAATCCCAGCTACTTGGGAGGCTGAGCAGCAGAACTGCTTGAACACGGAGGCAGTGGTTGCAATGAGCCAAGATGGTGCCACTGCACTCCAGCTTAGGTGACAGAGCAAGACTCCATCTCAAAAAAAAAAAAAAAAAGATATTTGCATACACATGTCTGTAGCAGCACAATTTGCAATTGCAAAAACGTGAAATCAACCCAAATGCCCATCAGTCAATGGGTAAAGAAACTGTGGTGCTGTGATGTGTATACACACACACACACACACACACACACACACACACAATGGAATACTACTCAGCCATGAAAAGGAATGAATTAATTGCATTAGCAGCGACCTGGATGAGATTGGAGGCTACTATTCTAAGTGAAGTAATTCAGGAATGGAAAACCAAACATCATATGTTCTCACTCATATGTGGGAGCTAAGCTATGAGGATGCAAAGGCATAAGGAAGACACAGTGGACTTTGGGGACTCAGGAGGAAAGAGTGGGAAGGGGGTGAGGGATAAAAGACCACAAATTGGGTTCAGTGTATACTGCTCAGGGGATGAGTGCACCAAAATCTCACAAATCACCATTAAAGAACTTACTCATATAACCAAATACCACCTGTTTCCCAATAACCTATGGAAATAAAAAAATTTAATTTAAAAAAAAGAATTATTTCCCTATACTATGGTCATAAAGATGTTCTTTATTTTCTGATAAAACCTTTGTTTTGTTAGCCTTTTGTATTTGCCTTTATCCTATGCAGAAGCAATTTTTGTGGCCAGGCGCTGTGGCTCACGCCTGTAATCCCAACACTTTGGGAGGCCGAGGAAACAGATTGCTTGAGCTCTGGAGTTTGAGACCAGCCTGGGCAACATGGTGATACCTGGTCTCTACAAAAAATACAAAAATTAGCCAGGCATGGTGGTGTGCACCACCTACTCTGGAGGCTGAGGTGGAGAATTGCTTGAACCCGGGAGGCTGAGGTTGCAGTGAGCCGAGATCATGCCACTGCACTCCAGCCTGGGCGACAGAGCAAGACTTCGTCTCAAAACAAAAACAAAACAAAAAAAAACTCCACAAAAAGGTTGAAAGTTCAGTAAACATTCCTATATTTTACCTACATTTAGCAATCGTTAATATCTTGCCGCATCAGCTCTATCTCTCTATATATACAACATTTAGTTCTCTTTTGCCAAACCATCTTAAAGTAGATTGTAGAGAGCAATATAATTTATCCCTAAATATTTCAGAAGGAACATTCTCTCATACAATCATAGCAGCATTATATCTTAAAAAAACTTAATTCAGGCCTGGTGCAGTGGTTCACGCCTGTAAACCCAGCACTTTGGGAGGCTGAGGCGGGCGGATCACCCGAGGTAGGGAGTTCAAGAACAGCCTGACTAACATGAAGAAACCCTGTCTCTACCAAAAATACAAAATTAGCCAGGCGTGGTGGTGCATGCCTGTAATGCCAGCTACTAAGGAGGCTGAGTCAGGAGAATCGCTTGAACCCAGGAGGCGGAGGTTGCAGTGAGCCGAGATCGCGCCATTGCACTCCAGCCTGGGCAACTTTTAAGAGTGAAATTCCGTCTCAAAAGAAAAGAGAAGAAAACAACAACAACAACAAAAAACATTAATTCAGCAACACCAGCCGATATAAAGCGCATCATCAAATTTTCCCAACAATCACCAGACTGTTTATAGTTGGGGTTTTTTTTTATATACTGTTATTTTTACCTTTGTTTTTTTCACTCCAAGAACCAAAGTTCTTATGTTTGATTTTCATTATCTCTCAATGTAGGAGAGTCCCTTTACCTCTCCCTATTCTTCATGACTTTGATGATCCAAGCCAGATGTCCTGCAGAACATCCCACATTTCAGGATTCATTCATTTTCTCAAGAGTAGGTTCAGGTTAAACATTTTTGGCAAGAATACAACTTTGTTGGCATTGTATACCACCCACTACCTTCCGTAAGAGACATATAATTTTCATGCCATCCCACTACTATTGATGCCAAATTCTCTCTGCATTATAAATGCATGTTTTTCCCTCTACAATAAAGTAATAATCTATAATTATCAATTTGTAACTCATAATCTATGGGGTGATACATTCACACTGTAGGAATACTATATACTGCTCCTCAACAGTCTTTCACCCAATGTTTTTTTTATTGGTTTTTTTTTTTTTTTTTTTTTTTGAGACAGGGTCTCTCTGTTGCCCAGGCTAGAGTGCAGTGGCAGATCACACTTCACTGCAGCCTCAACCTCCTGGACTCAATCGATCCATCCACCTCAGCCTCCTAAATAGCTGGGACTGTAGGCATGTACCATGCCCAGCTAATGTTTCTGTAGATGCGATTTTGCCATGTTGCCCAGGCTGGTCTTGAACTTCTGGGCTCAAGCGATCTGCCTGCCTTACCCTCCTGAAATGCTGTGATTTACATGTGTGAGCCACCGCACCCAGCCCTCTTTAATAATGTTTTGGTTTGGGTCTTAACGTCTTTATTCATGCAGCTACTATAGCGGTATGTTTTTTATTGTTTTTGGTTAGTAACTGCCTTTTAACTTTTCTATTTTAGATATGTCTCTCTATATAGCCACATTTTTAAAAAAAATCTGAACTGATCATCCCTATCTTTTAACTGCTAAAATTATTCTTTTATGTTTAACTGTGATTGATATATTTGAATTTGTTTCTATCATTTTATGTTGTGCTTTTATTTGCCCTGCCTTTTTCTATGCTTCATACTTCTTTATTCCCTTCATACCTCTGTACCTTTTGGGGAAGTTTTCTTTTCTTTGTTTTTTTTCTAGACAGGGTCTTGCTCTACTGCCCAGGCTGGAGTGCATGGCGAAATCATAGCTCACAGAAATCTGCAACTCCTGGGATCAAGCAATC
This sequence comes from Homo sapiens, assembly GCF_000001405.40. Lineage (NCBI taxonomy): Eukaryota > Metazoa > Chordata > Mammalia > Primates > Hominidae > Homo > Homo sapiens. The sequence continues at coordinate 150,392,753 of NC_000001.11, read as the reverse complement.
CTCCCTCCTCAGCCTTTCCAGTAACTGGGACTACGGGTACTTGTTACCAGGCCCAGCTATTTTTTATTTAGTAGAGACGAAGTCTTGCTATGTATGTTGCCCAGGCTAGTCTTGAACTCCTGGCTTCACGCGATAGTCCTGCCAAAGCGCTGAGACTACAGGGATGAGCCATGGCCAAGAAATTTATTTTTTAAATTGTTCTCCCCCTTCTAGTGGCTGAAAGTTATACATTCTATTTTTACCCAATTTTTTTTGGAGTCTCACTGTGTCACCTAGGCTGTAGTGCAGTGGCGCGATCTCAGCTCACTGCAGCCTTCGCCTCCTGGGTTCCAGCAATTCTTCTGCCTCAGCCTACCCGATAACTGGGATTACAGGCATGTGCCACCACGCCCAGCTAATTTTTGTATTTTTCGTAGAGATGGGGTTTCACCATGTTGGCCAGACTGGCTGGAACTCCTGACCTCAGGTGATCCACCCATCTTGGCCTCCCAAGTGCTAGGATTACAGGCGTGAGCCACTGCACCCACCCCTAAATCACTCTATTCTTCTCTCTTTTCTTTTTTTTTTTGAGATGGAATCTTGCTCTGTCGCCCAGGCTGGAGTGTAGTGGTGCGATCCTGGCTCACTGCAACCTCCGCCTCCCGGTTCAAGCGATTCTCCCGAGTAGCTGGGACTACAGGTGCCTGCCACCATGCCTGGCTAATTTTTTTCAATTTTTAGTAGAGATGGGCCTTGAGCAACACACAAACATTTCTTAACAGCACACCACCATGCCCAGTCCACTCTCTTCTTGAACTACAATACCGAACAGAGATAGTTTTGTCCTTTTTTTTATTTTTATTTTTTGAGATGGAGTCTCATTCTGTTGCCCAGGCTGGAGTGCAGTGGTGCGATCTCGGCTCACTGCAACCTCTGCCTCCCAGGTTCAAGTGATTCTCCTGCCTCGGCCTCCCAAGTAGCTGGGATTACAGGTGCCCACCACCAGGCCCGGCTAATTTTTGTACTTTTAGTAAAGACAGTGTTTCGCCATGTTGGCCAGGCTGGTCTCAAACTCCTGACCTTAGGTGATCCGCCCGCCTCAGCCTCCCAGAGTGTTGGGATTACAGGCGTCAGCCACTGATCCCGGCCTGTCCTGGCTTTTTAAACTATACTAATTAAATATCTCATACAGGAAATGTTCATTCAGATTTACTCTTATGGTTACCAATTTACTTGCTTAGCACTGCATTTTATCTCTTAGATTTTTTTCTGGGATTATTTTCCTTTCCCTGAAGTATATGTCCTTTTAAAGGTCATTAATGGGCCAGTGTGGTGGCTCACACCTATAATCCCAGCACTTTGTGAGGCCAAAGCAGGAGGATCACTTGAGCCCAGGAGTTTGAGATAAGCCTGGGCAACACATGAGACCCTTATCTCTACAAAAATAAATAAATGAATTAAATAAAATAAAGGTCATTAGGTGAAGATCTGTTGGTTTCTAGCTTTTGTCTTTATGGAAATGTCTTTATTTTGCCCTTGTTCTTAAAACTTAGTTTTGCTAGGTAGACAATTCTAATTTGATGGCTGTTTTCTCTCTGCACTTTGAATATTTTATTCCAATGTCCTCTTGCTTCCATAGTTATCAATCTGTCATTCCTTTGTAAGTAATTAATAATCTATAATTATCAATTTGCATTTCATGATCTGTGCAGTGATAGTTTCATACTGTAAGAATACTGTATACTGAGGATAGAATACCCATCCTCTCCTACTGTTTTTAAGAGCTTCTCTTTGACTTTGATATTCTTCAGTTATCTATAAAGTATGTACAAGTAGATTTCTTTTTATTTAACCCCCTTCCTTCATATGCATATGGTCCCTATATATATTCACATATTTCATCAATTATTCCATTTTCTCCATTATTCCTTTAAAATATTGCCTGTTCTTAATTCTCTCCTTATAAGACTTCAATCACACATGTTAGACTCATTATGCTCTTCCTTTTAACTTATTTCTTAACATTACATTCTGGGAAATTACTTCAGATCTTTCAGTTCATGAATTCTCCCTTTGCCAATGGTCTTATCTGTTGTTCAAATCATCCACTAAGTTTTCAATTTCAACAGTTATACTTTTATTTCTAACATTTCTCTTTGGTTCTTTTTCAAATTTGCATAACTGTCTAAGAGTTGTTCCTTGATATATTTTAGATTCCTTTATTAATTTAAATATTTTATACATGGTTCTTTTTATTTATTTATTTATTTATTTTTTGAGACGGAGTCTCACTTGTCGCCCAGGCTGGAGTGTAACGGCGTGATCTCGGCTCACTGCAACTTCTGCCTCCCAGATTCAAGCGATTCTCCTGCCTCTGCCTCCCGAGCAGCAGGGAGACTACAGGCATGTGCCACCACGCCTGGCTAATTTTTTAATATTTTTAGTAGAGATGGAGTTTCACCATGTTGGCCAGGCTGGTCTTGGAACTCCTGACCTCAGGTGATCTGCCTGCCTCGGCCTCCCAAAGTGCTGGGATTACAGGCGTGAGCCACTGTGCCTGGTCAGTTGTTTTATATTTCATATCTTATTATTTCAATAGTTTAAGTCTTTGGGGTTTGTTTCTATTAAATCTCACCCACAGTTGTTTATTTCTTTGTGTTTGGCAATTCTTTTATTGTAAGCTTATATTTTGTTGAATTTTATCTATGGGAATTCTGAAAGCCTAATCAGAGAAAGCTTTTTCTAAAAATGTATTTGCATTTACTCTGGCAGAGAGTCAAGGGCAGTAGTGACCCAGGTTCAATTCAGCATCTTTCTCAAGGGGCTTTTCAACGTTTCTGGGGGCCCAAGGCTTAGTCTCCCATTAGTGCTGATGTGAGCGTTTGCCTTCAGGAAAACGTTGCCAGTCTTGTTTGCTCACAAGCTTACTCACTGCTCCTGTTTCAGCTGACTCTTTACTTCTGTGAATGAACAGACCCTTGGAAACCTCCCTTACTTTTTTAGTACACCCAGTAATGCATTAAAATGTGTGCTTGTTAATGTCTACACAGAATTCTGAAAAATTTACATAGATGCTGCCTCCTCAAGGAGGTAGACGGCATAACTCCCCTAAATTGTGGGCTGTGCAGTGACTTCTTCCCAAAGAGTACAATGTGTAAGAGGCTTCAAAAAAGAAGAAATCTGAAAAAAACTATCTCAGCCAGGTGATCAAGGTTAGTATCATTAGCGGTAAAACATGTTGATAGGATGGACACTCTTGATATCATGTGATGAAAATGGAACTTTACCTCTGTGGTCTTCCTCCAAAGAAACAATAACCCCAGCTAATCATTAAAACAAAAAACAACCACAAAAAAACAGACAAACCCACATTGAGGGACATTCTACAAAATATCTGACCAAATCTAGGGAAGCTTAAAAGAAAACTGTGGACACAGTGGCTCACACCTGTAATCCCAGCACTTTGCGAGGCCGAGGCAGGCAGATCGCTTGAGCTCAGGAGTTTGAGACAAGCCTGGGCAACATGGTGAAACCCTGTTGCTACAGAAATTACAAAAATTAGCCAGGTGTAGTGGTGCATACCTGTGGTGCACACCTATAGCCCCAGCTACTCGGGAGTCTGAGGTGGGAGGATTGCTTAGACCCGAGAGGTCGAGGCTGCAGTGAGCTGTGATTGTACCACTGCACACCAGCCTGGGCAACAGAGCAAGACTCTGTCTGCAGGGAAAAACAAAACAAAACAAAACAAAACTGTCAAAATCTAGAGGAGCCTAAAGAGATATAATAATTAAATGTGGAGTTATGGAGAAAACAACAGTAGGTAAAAACTAAGGCAATTCATAAAATATGGACTCTTAATAATTACATATTAGGCCAAGTGCAGTGGCTCACGCCTGTATCCTAGCACTTTGAGGGGCTGAGGCAGGCAGATCACGAGGTCAGGGGTTCAAGACCAGCCTGGCCAATATGGTGAAACCCCGCCTCTACTAAAAATACAAAAATTAGCTGGGTGTGGTGGTGTGTGCCTGTAGTCCCAGCTACTCAGGAGGCTGAGGCACAAGAATCGCTTGAACCCAGGAGGCGGAGGTTGCAAGATCGCGCCACTGCACTCCAGCCTGGGCGACAGAGTGAGACTCCATCTCAAAAAAAAAAAAAAAATTACATATCAATATTGATTCATTGGTTTTAATAAACGTAACATACTAATGTAAGATGTTAACAACAAGGGCAACAGGATGCAGGGTGTATATATGTGTGTGTGTGTGTGTGTGTGTGTGCGCGGGTATATATATATAGTGTATGTGTATATATGCATATACATATATATGTGTGTATACATGTATATATGTATATATATACATGTGTATATACACGTATATACATGTGTATACGTGTATATGTGTATACATGTATATATGTATATGTGTGTGTATATACACATGTATATACACATACATATATACACACACATACAAGCACTCTCTGTACTATCTTCACAACTTTTCTATAAATCCAAAACTACTGCAAAGCTAAAATTTTATTTAAAAATTATGTCTGGGCCAGGTGCAGTGGCTCATGCCTATAATCCCAGCACTATATGAGGCCAAGGTGGGTGGTTTGCTTGAGCTCAGGAGTTTAAGACCAGCCTAGGCAACATAGTGAGACCCCGTCTCTACAAAAAAATACAAAAATTAGCTGGGCGTGCTAGTGCACCCCTGTAGTCCCAGCTACTTAGGAGGCTGAGGTGGTAGGATGGCTGAAGTCTAGGAGGCAGAGGTTACATTGAGCTGAGATCACACCACTGCACTCCAGCCTGGGTGACAGAGTGAGAGACACTGTCTCAAAAAAAAAAAAAAAAAAAGAGAAAAGAAAAAAAGAAAAAAATGGCCAGGAGCAGTGGCTCACGCCTGTAATCCTAGCACTTTGGGAGGCCGAGGCAGGCAAATCACCTGAGGTCAGGAGTTCAAGACCATCCTGGCCAACATGGTGAATCTCTGTCTACTAAAAATGCAAAAATTAGCCGGGTGTCATGGTGCCTGCCTGCAATCCCAGCTACTGGGGAGGCTGATGCAGGAGAACCACTTGAACCCAGGAGGCAGAGGTTGCAGTGAGCCAAGATCACGCCACTGCACTCCAGCCTGGGTGACAAGAGTGAAACTCCGTCTCAAAAAAAAAAAAAAAAAAAAAAAAAAAAAAAAAAAAAAAAAGGTCTGTTGCAACTTCTGTAAGATTTAGTTGTATTTCTGGTGGAAGGATCCTGCAAAATATCTAGCCTGTCACATGACTAGAAACAGTACAGTTTCACCTGCAACCCAGTACAATCATGCTCCTTCCCTCTGGCAAACTTTCTCTTCTCTTAGTTTCTGAGAAACCATTTTGTTCTGATCCTCTCTCCTTTCCCTAACACACCTGTTTTTGCACTAACCTTGAAACTCTGGTGCTCCCAAGGTTCTTTCATTGGCCCTATTCTCTTCTCACTTAACACACTGTGGTCTGAAGTGCTTATCCATTAACTAGTAAACATATGCTTAGACAGATGACCCTTGAACAACACAAGTTTGAACTGCACAGGTCTCACTTATACGTGGATTTTTCAATAAATACATTTTCAAAATTTTAGGAGATTTACAACAATTTGAAAAAACTCACAGATGAACCATGTAGTCTAAAAGTATTTTAGAAATTGAGAAAATTAGGTATGTCATGAATGCATAAAAACTATGTAGACACTAGTCTATTTTCTCATTTACTACCATTAAATATACACAAATCTATTTTAAAAAGTTAACATCTATCAAAACTTATGCACACACTTAAAAGACATACGTGCAGCCATCCAGTTGAGAGTAATGTAAACAATCATAAAAATTCAGTATTATATCATAACTGAATAAAATTCACTACTGTACATACTATACTGTAATAATTTTGTAGCCATCTCCTGTTGCTACTTCAGGGAGCTCAAGCATTGTGAGTATCCACTCAAAACACCCTGTGATGCTAATTATCTCTATGTAAGCAGTTCATCTCTCCAGAAAATTGCATATGTCAGTAAAAAGTGATCTCTTGTGGTTCTCATATTTTTCAGGTTTAGTGCAATATTGTAAACCTTAAGTAAACACCATGAGACCCACACAAAGTGCCACTAGTGATGTTAAAAGTGCTCCAAAGAAGCAAAGAAAAGTCATGACATTATCAAAAAAAGTTGGACTGCTCAATATGTACCACAGATTGAGGTGTCCAGCCGCAGGTGCCCACCATTTCAGATGGTTCATTTTGTAAAAAGTGACATAAACTTATGGTATTGATAAATGCAGCACCACCAAGCCCAGCTAATTTTTTTTGTATTCTTGGTAGAGATGGGGCTTTGTCACGTTGCCCAGACTAGTTTCGAACTCCTGGGCTCAAGCAATCCACCTGCCTCGGCCTCCCAAAATGCCGGCATTACAGGCATGAGCTACCACGCCTGGCCAACTGTGCTATTTCAAATACCAAAATACAGGCCGGGTGCGGTGGCTCATGCCTGTAATCCCAACACGATGGGAGGCCAAGGTGGGAGGATCACTAGAACCCAGGAGTTCGAGACCAGCCTGGGCAACATAGTGAGATCCCCCACCATCTCAAAAAAAGTAAAATAAATAAATAAATAAAAATAGGTAAGAACCAAAATATGGTATTTTTCTTGGCATAATACAAAATCAGCTTTATTTATCTTTCTTACCTTAATGTCTTCTCTCTATCTAATCATACACCACACCCCTCTCACTTTCAATACAAACTCTACCCTACTTACCTACGATTTATTACTCAACTCAGGAAACTCCCCTAACTCATTCCCCTCTACCCTTGTCACCACCTACTTAAAAGATTGAGAATATGCACCCAAGGGGGAAAAAAGCCCTCTATAACAAAGGATTTCTCCTTGGGGAAAGAAAATATTCAGATTTCTATTAGGGCATCTTAGTCAAGTTGGCCAAGAGAAAAATTAAAAGTTCAGCAATTTTGAACCACTCAACAGAGACAGCTCTGAAAGCACTACTCAGGGGAGTTAAACATGGCAAGATGATACTGAAGTCCAACCTAACCAGCTACATCACATATGACAACACTAAGGGTACCTCTAGCAAAAAGACCAAAGTCAAAGGACATGGCAAAGCCAGTAGGAGCTAATGATTTGTATTATGATAACCCATACTTAATATTTACATATTTACAGTTTTGTAAATTTATATTTTGATTTGATATTCTAGAATGATAATACTTAAAATATTAAATATATTAACTACTTATTTATTTATTTAAAGGCAGGATCTTGCTTTGCCGCCGAGGCTAGAGTGCAGTGGCACAATCATGGCTCACTGCAGCCTTGACCTCCTGGGTTCAAGTAATTCTGTCTCAGCCTCCCGAGTACTTGGGGCTACAGGCACATGCCACCACGCCCGACTAATTTTTTTTTTGGTGGGGGTGGTGCGGGGTTAGATATGGACTCTTAAATATGTTGCCCCAGCTGATCTCAAACTCCCAGGCTCATGCAATCCTCCCACCTCAGCCTCCCAAAGTGCTGGGATTACAGGCATGAGCCACCGCACATCCAGCCACTTCACTAATTTCAATTTTATGAATTTCAAAAGCTTTGAATAAAACCCAAATGTTATATTAATACTAGTATTACAAAAAGTAATCTTGGCTCAGTGTTACAATCACCATTTATTGTAGCTTTTATGTGTACATGTAATTACCTTTTTTAAGAGATGGAGTCTTGCTATGTTGCCCAGGCTGGAGTGCAGTGGCTATTCACAGCCAGAATCATCATGCCTTATAGCCTTTAACTCCTGGGCTGAGTGATTTTTCTGCTTTAGTCTCCCAACTAGCTGGGACTTCACACGCCACCACCACACTCAGCTAGTTACCTTCTTTTAAATATATTCCCCTACCACAACTCTTAATGTCTTAAAAATCATGCCTTTTGGCTGGGTGCAGTGGCTCACGCCTGTAATCCCACCACTTTGGGAGGCCGAGGCAGGTGGGTCACCTGGGGTCAGGAGTTCAAGACCAGCTTGGCCAACAGGGTGAAACCTGGTCTCTACTAAAAACACACACACACACACACACACACACACACACACACACACACAAATTAGCCAGGCGTGGTGGCAGGCGCCTGTAATCCCAACTACTTGGAGGCCGAGGCAGGAGAACTGCTTGAACCCAGGAGGCGGAGGTGGCAGTGAGCAGAGATCGTGCCACTGCACTCCAGCCTGGGCAACAAGAGCTCCATCCCTAATAATAATAATAATAATAATAATAATAATAATAATAATAATGATGATGATGCCTTTTATTCCTTCTGTCTTTTCCATTCTCACTTAGCTATGCATGCGTGCCTTCTGGTTATGACTCCTCTCTGATTCTTTCACACTTTTGCTTATATATCGGATGTCTTCTTTCACCTGTTTCACATAGTTTTTGAAAAACCGTTTCCTCCATGAAGCCTTTCTTACTGTATACAAATATAAATTGGTACTCCCTGCTCTGCAACTAGGATTTTCCCAGAAACTCTTACATTACCAAAGTTTTCCCCAAGCACGTTCCAGGAAACAATAGTCACATGAGATGGCTAAAAACGAAAGGGATTCCATGGTCAAATAAGTTTGGAAAATGCTGAATATCCTACCCACCCCTTCCAGAAACTCATAGGTCTTTGTATTAAGGGTACTAAAGTCCAGCAGCATGAAAGCAGGTTTAACTTTAATTTGGTAGTTCCTAAACTTTGACAGTGAAACCCTAAACTATCACCACTTTTTGGGAAATTCTGTTGCACAAAGTACAAATTTGTACTGTTATTTTTGTTCACTACTATAGTATGGTATATTTTCTCCATATCTTATCACATTTGTCAGTTGATGCATATGTGCTACATATGGCAATCTGAGAAGCCTAAGAGGACAGAAGTGAATTCTTATCCTAGTTGATACTAAAAATAGCATGCATGTGTGGGGATGTCCTATGAATGAATTTCAAAAGCTCTTCACTTTTCTATTATCAGGTTTTTTAAGTCTTCTTAAAGTGAAATTGTTTTATACTCCTTGTTTCTATTATTTATTTTTAAAAATCCAGTGACACCAAGAATACTGATGTCCTTTTAAAATCTCTTCTTTGGCTGGGCACGGTGGCTCACACCTGTAATCCCAGCAAGTTGGGAGGCCGAGGCAGGTGGATCACCTGAGGTCAGGAGTTCAAGACCAGCCTGACCAACACGGCAAAACCCCGTCTGTACTAAAAATACAAAAATTAGCTGGGCGTGGTGGCACGCGCATCTGTAATCCCAGCTACTCAGGAGGCTGAGGCAGGAGAATCGCTTGAACCTGAGAGGTGGAGGTTGCAGTGAGCCAAGATTGCGCCACTGCACTGCACTCCAGCCTAGGCAACAGAGCAAGACTCCGTCACCAAAAAAAAAAAAAAAAAAAACCTCTTATTTGAGGCCAGGTCTCGTGGCTCACACCTGTAATCCTAGCACTTTGGGAGGTCAAGGCAAGAGGATAGCTTGAGTCCAGGAGTTCGAGACCAGCCTGGGCAACATAGCAAGACATCATCTCTACAAAAAATTTTAATAGTTAGCTGACCATGGTGGCCTGCACCCATAGTCCTAGCACCTCAGGAGGCTGAGATGGGAAAGATCAACTGAGTCCGGGATGTCAAGGCTGCAGTGAGCCATGATCGCACCACTGCACCCCAGACTGGGTGACACAGTGAGACTCTGTTTCAAAAAAATAAAAATAAAAAATCCCAGCCGGGCACAGTGGCTCACTCCTGTAATTCTGGCATCTTTGGGAGGCTGAGGTGGGCAGATTGCTTGAGCCCAGCAGTTCTAGACCAGCCTGGGCAACGTGGTGAAACCTTATCTCTTATTCATTTATTTTTAAAAACTAGAAAGGTGTCTTCCTATGTTGACCAGGCTGGAGTTCAGTGGCTATTAACAGGCATGATCAGGGTGCACTGTGGCCTCAAACACCTGGCCTTAAGTGATCCTCCCATTTCAGCCTCCCAAGTAGCTGGGACTATAGGCAAGTACCACCGCACCCAACAAGATGCATTTATATTAGCACAATAGCTATAGGCCAGGTGCAGTGGCTCACGCCTGTAATCCCAGCACTTTGGGTGACTGAGGCAGGCAGATTGCCTGAGGTCAGGAGTTCAAGACCAACATGGCCAACATGATGAAACCCCGTCTCTACTAAAAATACAAAAATTAGCCGGGCATGGTGATGGGTGCCTGTAATCCCAGCTACTCAAGAGGATCACTTGAATCCGGGAGGCAGAGCCGAGATCGCCATTGCACTCCAGCCTGGGCAACAGAGCCAAACTCTGTCTCAAAACAAACAAACAAATTAACAAACAAAAAAGCTATAAAAACATAAAAAATTCTTAAGTTCTCAATGAATTTCTAGAACTACAAGATGTTGCTATATGAATAGGTCCTTGAAATAATCAAAATAGGAAAACAGCTTCCAAATTATATGTTCTTTTGCTATTTGCTAATATTAATAAGAAAGGGCTCAAAAAAAGCCATGTCCACTCCTTTACATTATTAACCTTAATAAACATTTCACATAGAGTACGCAGGATTAATCGGAAGAATTTAAAAAGCTTATGCAGACAGGCCTGCATAAAACGTTATAATAACTGTATATCATAACTGCATTTTAAATGACAAGTTATCATTTGCTGAATTTTCTAAATGTCAGGTAGTTTGCCAAACACTTCATATGAAGCATCTTATTTAATTCCAACAATCATATAAGGTGAGCTATACAATTATTATCCCTATTTAAAAGCTTTCAGAGGTTAGTAGCAACCATAATGTCTATTTGAGATCGAAGCCCATGTTCTTTACCAACTAACCAACATACAACAGTACAATACAGTATGTCTCCCTACATACATAAATCTAACAAAAACATTGTGTCCTGTGGCCGGGCGCGGTGGCTCACGTCTGTAATCCCAGCACTTTGGGAGGCTAAGGCGGGCGGATCACGAGGTTAGGAGATCGAGACCATCCTGGCTGACACGGTGAAACCCCGTCTCTACTAAAAATACAAAAAATTAGCCAGGCGCAGTGGTGGGCGCCTGTAGTCTCAGCTACTCGGGAGACTGAGGCAGGAGAATGGCATGAACCCAGGAGGCAGAGCTTGCAATGAGCTGAGATCACGCCACTGCACTCCAGCCTGGGCGATAGAGCAAGACCCTGTCTCAAAAAAAAAAAAAAAAAATTGTGTCCTATTGCAGCAGTTCTCAACGTGTGGTCTGGGGTCACACTTAAGGAAGATTCATTGATTAAGCACTTTTGTGTTTTTGGAGCCAGGGTCTTGCTGTTTTCCAGGCTGGAGTGCAGTGGCACAATCACAATTCAGTGTAGCCTCAACCACTGAGGCTCAAGCAATCCTCCCACCTCAGGCTCCTGAGTAGCTAGGACTGCAGGTACGCGCCACCATGTCTACCTATTTTTTTTTTTTTGTAGAGATGGGGGTCTCACTATGTTGCCCAGGCTGGTCTCCAACTCCTGGACTCAAGCAATCTTTCCACCTTGGCCTACCATAGCGCTGGGATTACAGGCATAAGCCAGCACACCCTGACAATTACAGCACTTTCTATGTTCCATGCCTTCTTCTAGGTGCTGAGGATGCAGTGGTGAACAAAACAAATAATCTGTTGTTAGCAGTTTACATTCTTTTTGGGGGTGAGGGGGGCCATGTGTCTCAATAAATAAGCAAATAAATAAACAAGGCAGTATCTTATAATGAGAAAAGCCATAAAGAAAATAAAGGCCAGGCGTGCTTCACGCCTGTAATCCCAGCACTTTGGGAGGCCAAGCCGGGCAGATCACAAGGTCAAGAGATAGAGACCATCCTGGCCAACATGGTGAAACCCCGTCTCTACTAAAAATACAAAAAAGTTAGCTGGACGTGGTAGCGAGCACCTGTAATCCCAGCTACTCGGGAGGCTGAGGCAGGAGAATCGCTTGAACCCAGGAGGCAGAGGTTGCAGTGAGCCGACAGCACGCCATTGCACTCCAGCCTGGCGACAGAGAGAGACTCCGTCCCAAAAAAATAAAAATAAAATAAAATAGGAGCCGGGTGTGGTGGCTCACGCCTTAATCCCAGCACTTTGGGAGGCTGAGGCAGGTGGATCACCTGAGGTCAGAAGTTCAAGGCCAGCCTGGCTAATAGCAAAACCTCATCTCTACTAGAAAAATACAAAAATTAGCTGGGCATGGTGGTGTATGCCTATAATCCCAGCTACTTCAGAGGCTGAGACAGGAGAACTGCTTGCCATGAGACAGGAGAATCGCTTGAACCCAGGAGGAAAAAAAACAAAAAAAAATAGGGTAATATGATAAGAGAATGATGGGCGAGGGAAAGAGGTGGGCTCTCAGACAACCACCATAAGGTCAACCTCCAAGGAGATGACACCTGAGCTGAGATCTGAAAGACAAGGACATCAAAGCAAATTTTTCAAATAGCTAAATTTATGTAGTTTGAAGGTTTATCCTTTATTCTGAGAAAATGTCCTTCTAACACTTTTGGAATTAAAGTATAACCTTTTTAATAAAGTGATAGTTTATAAAATGGTGGGTAGTGATGCTATAAATGTAGTATATTTTTATGTCCATTTTTGGCAAAATAAAAAGCTAACAAACTTATGATCTCACAAATTAAAAATAAAAATTAACTGGTTGATAAAATAAAGCCTAGAGACGATCGGGCAATATGCGATGTTAAGATGAGAGACAATGGATATCTACATTGCAGAAAATTGACAAAGGTCATTCTATATTTTGGTTTCAGAAACCCTTTATATTGGTAAAAATTACTGAGGACCTCAAAGAGTTATGTTTTTGTGGGTTATAGCTATGGCTATTTACTATATGAAATTAAACCTGGCCGGGTGCGTTGGCTCACGCCTGTAATCCCAGTACTTAGGGAGGCCAAGGCGGGCAGATCACAAGGTCAAGAGATCGAGGCCATCCTGGCCACACATGGTGAAATCCCATCTCTACTAAAAATACAAAAATTTGCCAGGCGTAGTGGCTCACACCTGTAATCCCAGTGCTTAGGGAGGCCGAGGCGGGCAGATCACCTGAGGTTGGGAGTTCGAGACCAGCCTGACCAACATGGAGAAACCCCGTCTCTACTAAAAATACAAAATTAGCCGGGCATGGTGGCACATGCCTGTAATCCCAGCTACTCAGGAGGCTGAGGCAGGTGAATCGCTTGAACCTGGGAGGCGGAGGCTGCAGTGAGCCGAGATGGCGCCATTGCACTCTAGCCTAGGTAACAAAAGCAAAACTCGGTCTCAAAAAAAAATACGTAAATAAAAATAAAATAAACAGAAATTAAACCTAAGAATTTAAAAACATCCATTAACCCATTAAAAACAATAAATCCATTACAATCAATAAATTATTTCTTTTCTTTCTTTTTGTTTTTTTTTTGAGATGGAGTCTCGCTCTGTCGCCCAGGCTGGAGTGCAACGGCGTGATCTGGGCTCACTGCAACCTCCGCCTCCCAGGTTCAAGCAATTCTCCTGCCTCAGCCTCCTGAGTAGCTGGGATTACAGGCGCACGCCACCATGACGGTCTAATTTTTGTTTTTTTTTAGTAGACACAGGGTTTCGCCATGTTGGCCAGGCTGGTCTTGAACTCCTCACCTTGTGATCTGTCTGCTCGGGCCTCCCAAAGTACTGGGATTACAGGCATGAGCCAATTCAGCTGGGCCTTTTTTTTTTTTTTTTTTTTAATGAAGTCTCACTCTGTTGCCCAGGCTGATGTGCAGTGGCACCATCTCGGCTCACTGCAACTTCCACCTCCGGGTCCAAGGGATTATCCTGCCTCAGCCTCCCAAGTGGTTGGGATTACAGGCGCGCACCACCATGCCTGGCTAAGTTTTGTATTTTTAGTAAAGATGGGGTTTCTTCATTTTGGCCAGGCTGGTCTCGAACTCCTGACCTCATGTGATCCACCCGCCTTGGCCTCTCAAGTTGCTGGGATTACAGGCACTCAGTGAGCCACCCTGTCTAGCCAATAAATTATTTCTTAATTAAAAATAACTATATTTTGTAAAACAAAAATTTAGTGGGAGCAAATTGTTTTTCATTTTTGCAAATCTGTTTAATGGTCTGGCTTAAAAGGAGAGAAGTGTGTTCTTCTACTTGCTTCTATATGAGAATGGGCAGGTGCAAGGCTGTTTGGGAACTTTTATCCTGTATATACCACACTGTCCATGGAACACTATAAAATACCAATATACTCTGAAAGAAGCAGGAAGCCGTCTACCATAATGGTAAAGTGTAGGCCTTGGAGTCAAGACTGCTTAAGTTTGCAACCTGGCTCTATTGTTCATTAGTTGTGTACCTTGAACAAGTTATTTTAACCTCACTGAGCCCTCAAGTACTTAATTTATTGTCATTTATAGGGTTTATTATTTTACCTGTCACCAGTGTAATTTACATATACATCACTAATAGATTTACTCAGTAATAATACATTAACTAATGAATTGTTATATTAAATGAAATCACATAAGAACTCAGTAAATGTTATTTTCTTACTAAACTATTAGTGTTATGTTTGTAAAATTAACTACATTAATGACTGGAAATATAAGATTATTAAGTAATAACAACATACTTGTAAGCAACTTGGGCTTTGAATCCACCGTATTTCTTTTCTTTCTCCCACTTACCTTCACGTGACTTCTGCTTATATAAAACAAAATTAAGCTTATGCTTAGCCACTCTGAAACCAGGCACGTTTCCTTTTCCTACACTATAAATGTTCTGACAATTTCCCCAAAATAATCAATTTACTTCTCTGAGACTCAATTTATAAATTTTTAATAAATTTATAAATTCAACTGTTACACATCTATATTTTATAAATTCATATTTTTTATAAATTTACAAATTCATATTTTGCAGAGCTGACATCAAGATTATAGGTAATACATGTATGATAGCTAGTAAGGATCCTCAGTAAACAATAAGGATCCAGCAATCCAACCAAAGTGATACCTATTCTAAACTGTTAGAGCATATAAAACTCATATTATTATACTTCCCAGAACCAGTTATATGTGTTCAATTCCTATCTTACTTACTAAATGTTTTTTTTTTTTTTTTGAGACGCAGTCTTGCTCTGTCGCCCAGGCTAGAGTGCAGTGGTACGATCTCGGCTCACTGCCAGCTCTGTCTCCCAGGTTCACACCATCCTCCTGCCTCAGCCTCCCGAGTAGCTGGGACTACAGGCGCCCGCCACCACGCCTGGCTAATTTTTTGTATTTTTAGTAGAGACGGGGTTTCACCGTCAGCCAGGATGGTCTCAATCTCCTGACCTCGTGATCCGCCCGCCTCGGCCTCCCAAAGTACTGGGATTACAGGCGTGAGCCACCGCGCCCGGCCCATTTACTAAATGTTAAGTTCCTTATAATTCCATCTCTTTCAGCACCCAATACAGGGGTTTACATAGAGGAAGTACTCAATATTTCCTTTCTTTTTTTCTTTTTTTTTCTGGAGATAGTCTCGCTCTGTCACCAGGCTGGAGTGTAGTGGCGTAATCTCAGCTCACTGCAACTGCTGCCTCCTGGGTTCAAGCAATTCTCCTGCCTCAGCCTCCCGAGTAGCTGAGACTACAGGCACATGCCACCACGCTCAGCTAATTTTTGTATTTTTAGTAGAGACAAGGTTTCACCATGTTGGCCAGGCTGGTCTCAAACTCCTGACCTCAGGTGATCTCCCCACCTTGGCCTCCCAAAGTGCTGGGATTACAGGCGTGAGCCACAGCGCCCGGCCAGCACTCAGTATTTCTAAGTTCATTTTCTCATTCTGTATCTTTAGGCATAACATATTATAAGAGAATTTTAATCTTTCAAGTAATACTGCCTCCTAGACACAAAGATCATCATTTTAAAAGACTGTATCGGCCGGGCGCGGTGGCTCACGCCTGTAATCCCAGCACTTTGGGAGGCCAAGGCGGGCGGATCACGAGGTCAGGAGATCGAGACCATCCTGGCTAACACGGTGAAACCCCTTCTCTACTAAAAATACAAAAAATCAGCCGGGCGTGGTGGCGGGCGCCTGTAGTCCCAGCTACTCAGGAGGCTGAGGCGAGAGAATGGCGTGAACCCGGGAGGCGGAGCTTGCAGTGAGCCGAGATGGCGCCACTGCACTCCAGCCTGGGCAACAAACAGAGCAAGATTCCGTCTCAAAAAAAAAAAAAGACTGTATCATGCTACACTCTAAAACTATGATGACAGTAAAGGAACACAAAAACAGCTCAGGATCCATTCTAGGTTTTTTAAAACAAAAAATGTTAAGTTATAATCCCAAACATTAAAAGATCCTTTTTTCCTTTCACAGTGCAACTTTTACTAAAGGGTAATAAAGAATCACTCTCTCTCTCTGCTAATGGATTCCAGAGAACTAGAAAGTGCAAGTAAGTGAAATTAATTATAAGAGAAAGAAGTGAAGAAAGAGAGATGAGGGAGAGATCAAGGCCTCAATCAAACACTAGTAAAATTTAAACCCAGCAAACCAAACATTTTCATTTCCTTCATCAAAGAGCCTCTATTTCAATATTTCTCTAAAAACAAGAGAATAAGAATGAAGCATTTTTAAAAACTATCTTTATCTTAGCCAGAAAAGCTTTAATATTTCAAAGCACAGATGGAATTGTTGCCTTTTCTCAAAAGGAATAACTAGGTTCTACTACTTTCTCCCTAAGATGTACATTCCTCCAGTGTTCTATAATTAATATCTGTGGGGGCAGTGGAATTTGAAATCACTACGAAACACAACTACTTTTTGTTTCCTTGACAAATAGATGAGAAAGTCAGTCAAGCTGGTTTGTAAATTGTTCTGTTCTTGGGTAATTTTTATTAGGGTCTCTGAGTTCCTTCAACAAATTAAACCTCATGTATCCTTAATTCTCAATTGAAATTTTAAAACAACTGACCAAAATCTCCCCTTTTGACTTTTAAAAGTACTGCTGTAAAACAATAAACACCTGGAAAAAGTGGGAGGAAAAAAGAGAACATAACTGACAAAAGCCTAGGAGGAAGAAAGAATTTTGATGCAACTATTATTTATTAGTTTAAGAAAGGCAGGAAGCCAAATCATTAAGAGTAAAATCATTCAACCCAAGGAAGCTGATAACAACAAAAAAGAATAAAATCAGTAAGCTTCTACTCCCTAAAAAATTACGCACATACATACACTCGTCCCTCCTCTACAGACAAAACTAACATTAAAGTAATTCTGGGTGGCCTCTGTGAGCAAATTTTAATATTAGTGTTTTTCCACTGCTATTGTAATTTTCCTTTCAAGATACCTCCATGTCACAGAACCATGTGAAGTTTGTCAGTAGTGTTTCACACTTTTAGTTATGGGAATGTTTATTTGCTACAAAATTTACTCTTTAGCTTACTATGGAATTTGGTATAGTAAAATTATGTTTTACATATTGCTTCAAACCCACCTAAGGCCATGGATGAAATCACCCTTCTGCTGTAAGAGACTAAGCAGCTAAAAGGAAGAAGATAACAACTGCTTGGAAAGTCTCACAATACAGACAAAAAGGCTTAATATATACCATTACAATAATTATAGTTTATAATTAAGACAGTTCCATGTTTCGAAACATTGCCAGAAACCTGGAAAAATACCACCTATAACTCTATGAACCTAGAGCAATGGAATGAAAAAAAAAAAAGGTGACTTAGGCATCTAAAGGGGAGGGAGAGGGTGGATAATAACCAATTATAACAGAGCTCCTGCTCAATGAATACAGAAATGCCATTAAGCGTAAACCAAGAGTAAAAATACGCAAGAGACCAAAATAGATTTATTACTTCTTTGGGGGGCTGAGACAAAGTTTACCTTGAACCTCAAAAAGAACCTAAGCCAATAACACACTAGACTAAGTAGAAAGAGTCATCTAAAATACTAGAATGCCCCAACAGCCTTCTGAGAATAGAGAATAAACAAACTTAAAAGTGCTTTTCCTACATTCTCATTCAACAATCAACAAAGACTTCTTTGACCAAATGTATGAGAGTTCTCCCCACACACACCAAGCAAGCAATTCTGCAATGAACACCAGCTAGGTGCCCTCCAATTCAATTCTGACACTGGAAGAGAGCATCAGATCCCACAGACTGAGTGCTCAGTCTCACAAGACTGCCCCCCACTTCCCATGCCAATCACAAATCTCAGGTTAACATTTGCTCTGACCCAACCACCATAAATCGGGGCTCACACAACCCCCTTCTTGGGTTCCATTAATTTGCTTGAGCAGCTCACAGAACTCAGGGAAACACGTTTACTGGTTAATTATAAAGGACATAACAAAGGACACCAATGAACACCAGATGAAGAGATGGAGGGGGCAAGGTAGGGCTAAGAGTGCAGAGCTTCTAGGTTCTTTCTGGGCATGCCAACCTCCAGGAACCTCCATATGTTTTGCTGTCTAGAAGCTTCCCAAAACCAGTCCTTTTGGATTTTTATGGAAGTTTCGTTATGAAGGCATAATTAATTAAACCACTGGCCACTGGTGTTCAGTTTACCCCTTCAGCTCTTCTCCCTTCCCCAGAGGTTAGATGGTAGGGCGGAAAGTCACAACCTCTAGTCCTGCCTTATTCTTTCCAGTGACCAGCCCCCATCCTTAGGCTACCCAGGGGATGCCAACCATCAGTCAACTCATTAGCATACAAAATGACACTTATCACCTTGAAGACCCAAGGATTTTTGAAGTAGTATGCCAGGAAATGGGACAGAGACCAAATAGAGATTTCATAATACCATAGCCTTCTCTCTGGACCTCTTCTATATCTGTACTTGCTGCTCTATCTTACTAGACTTACTTCCCTATCTACACTCTCTCTCTAGTTGATCTCTTCCAGCTTCCTGGCTCTAAAAACAATCCATATACTAGACACGCTATGGTGATTGCTGAACAACTCTATGAATATACTAAAACAATTGAATTGTACACTTTAAATGAGTATATTTTTTGTGAATTATATCTTTAAAAAAGATTTCTTAAAATAGACATCCCAAACCTAACACATCCAAAACTAAATTTCTCATCTTCTTCCCAAAATCTGCTCCACTCACAGCCTTCCCCATATCAATAAATGTCAACTCTTATCTTTCTAGTTGCTCAAGCTAAAAAAAAAAAAAAAAAAAAAGTCATTCTTGATTATTCTCCTCCTCTCTCACCCCACATTTAATCCACCTAGAAATCTGGCTGGACCTACTTTCAAAATAGATCTAGAATTAAATTACTTATCACTTCCGCTGGCCATAACCTGGTCCAAGCCATCAATATTTTACACTGGATTACAATAGCCATCTAATTGGTATCCCTGTTCCAGCAGAAACAAGAATAACCTTTTAAAAACAAACGAGTGCCAGGCGTGGTGGCTCACGCCTGTAATCCCAGCACTTTGGGAGGCTGAGGCGGGCGGATCACTTGAGGTCAGGAGTTCGAGACCAGCGTGACCAATATGATGAAACCCTGTCTCTACTAAAAATACAAAAATTAGCTGGGCATGGTGGCATGCACCTGTAATCCCAGCTACTCAGGAGGCTGAGACAGGAGAATCGCTTGAACCCGGGAGGCAGAGGTTGCAGTGAGCCGAGATGGTGCCATTGCACTCCAGCCTGAGCAACAGAGCAAAATTCCGTCTCAAAAAAAAAAGAAAAAAAAAGAGTTCATCTCCTTTTGCTTAAATGGCTCACCATCTCACTCTGAATAAAAACCAAAGTCCTTACAATGCCTATAAAACCCTTGGTGAATCCCATTTCACCCCTCCCCAACACCACCCACCATAATCTCTTTGAACTCATCCACTAATCTTCATTTTAACAACTCCTTTCCAGTCACAGAAGCTTTCTTGCTGCTCCCTAAACTCACCAGGCACACTCTAACCTCAGGACTTTTGTTTTTTCTGTTCACTTAGTCTTGAACATGCCCACCTCATACCCTCATGTCTATATTGCTTAATATCATACCTCCTTACTCAGATGTCACCTTCTCAGTGAGGCCTTCCCTTACCATTTAATGTAAAACTGCAAACCCCTCTGTTTCCCCCTTCCCTGCTTTCTATTTCTCTAGAGCATTTATCGCCTTCTATTATGTTTAATATTTTACTTATCTGTTTGCTGTCTGTCTCCCCTTACTAGAGTATATGCTGTCTTTGTGTGTGTGTGTGTCTGTGTGTGTGTGTGTGTTTCTTTTTTCAGACGGAGTCTCACTCTGTTGCCCAGGCTGGCATGATCATGGCTCACTGCAACCTCTGCCTCCCGGGTTCAAGCAATTCTCCTGCCTCAGCCTCCCAAGTAGCTGGGACCACAGGTGTGCACCACCAAGCCCGGCTAAATTTTAAGCTCTGTGAAGGCAAAAAATTTTGTTCATTTTGTTCTCCTGCTGTATCCCCTGTGCCTAAACAATGCCTGGCACAGTAGGTGTTTGATAAATATTGAAAAAACTGAATGGAAACTAGGGATTTATAAACAAATTTCATCTTAGAGCTCAAAGTTAGGGTCTGTATCTACCCACCTGTATTACTAATTTGTTTATGTATGATATGTGATTAAAAAGCTGTATGCCTATGGCAATACTGTTACACTCTACAGGTCATCAATCTAAATGAACCTTACATTTAGAAAGGTTTTTACCTAGACGATAGCTTCAATAATTATGTTCCATTTTTTTCCCTTTTTTTAATTAATCAAAAACATAAATAAATGCCTATCAGAACTTCAAATCACTAAGAGATAGTTATGCCACAGAGGGGGAAAAAAACAAAAAACACAAGAATTTAAAATCTTGATAGTCTAGTTAATCTATATAGTCTAAATCTTGAATAAATAAGCAAGCTATCAAAATTTTCTTGCACTGTAGAAAATATTTTATGAATAAGAAAGGCTGTGTAGGATGGTGGGTAAGAGTGTATACTGTAGATCAAGAATGCCTGGGTTTGAATTCTGTCTCCATCTCCACCACCTATTAGCTGTGTAACCACGGGCAAGTTACTTAACCTCTTGGCACAGCCGGGCACGGTGGCTCATGCCTGTAATCCCAGCACTTTGGGAGGCCAAGACGGGCGGATCACAAGGTCAGGATATCGAGACCATCCTGGCTAACACAGTGAAACCCCATCTCTACCAAAAATGCAAAAAATTAGCCAGCCTGGTGGTGGGTGCCTGTAGTCCCAGCTACCAGCTACTCAGGAGGCTGAGGCAGGAGAATGGAGTGAACACGGGAGGCGGAGCTTGCAGTGAGCCACGATCGTGCCACTGCACTCTAGCCTGGGTGACAGAGAGAGACTCCGTCTCAAAAACAAAAACAAAAACAAAAAACCTCTTTGTGCCTCTGTTTTCTAATCTGTAAAATGGAGATCATAATAATACCTAATTAAAAGAGTTGTGAGAACTGAATGAATGAATACACGTAAAATGCTTAGAACAGTGCCTGGCATATAGTAAGCACTTAACAAAAGTTAGCTATAAAATTATTACCAGCTTCATGGTCCATCTAAGGATCTCGATATCCAAACTGAGAAACCATTGGCATACATTAACCGTACTTTGTAAATTCTCTGCAAAACCAAATCCTGTATGAAGAGATTTTTTTCTAGTCCATGTTTATATGTTTCATTTTGAAAAACATACCAGCTTGCATTGAGATTTACTTCAAAGTACTAAGGGAGAGGAGGTAAAGTGAAGGAGATAGGTGAAAAAAGACTGTTATGTGATAACTACTGAAGTGGGGAGATCAGTAGAAAGGTGGTGTGTCATTACCCTTCTATTTTTATACATAAAGTTTCTATGAAAAATAGCTAAGAAGAGTGCGGTGGCTCATGCCTGTAATCTCAGCACTTTGGGAAGCCAAGGAGGGTGGGCTGCTTGAGCTTAGGAGGTTGAGACCAGACTGGCAAACATGGCAAAACCCCATCTCTACAAAAAAATACAAAAAATTAGCTGGGTGTGGTGTGTGTACCTGTAATCCCAACTGCTTGGCAGGCTGAGGCAGGAGAATCACTTGAACCCAGGGGGCAGAGGTTGCAGTGAGTCAAGATCATGCCACTGCACTCCAGCCTGGGTGACAGAACAAGAATATGTCTCAAAAAAAAAAAAAAAAAAAAGACAAAATGGATGTCATTAACACAATATTTTCCATTTTGTCCTCCTAGTTCTTCAAAGCATATGCTAATTTACTACAGAGAGGCTAGTCCAATTCGTCTCTCACAAACTGGGAATGTAATTTCCAGCACTGTAGACAGTGTCTGGAATGTAAATTCCAGACAGAATTATCTCTACTTGTAGATTGTAGAACTTTCATCTACAGGTACAGAACTACTTATAGATGAAAAACTGAGGTTCACAGTTTAAGTACTTTGCAAAGTGTCATCCAGTATTAAGTGACCGGAGTTAACATGTTAACACAGGCCTCTTTTATATTTTTCCATATTGATTCCCATTTTACCATTAAAAATGGGAAAGAAGGTCTGGGCCTGGTGGTTCACGCCTGTAATCCTACCACTTTGGGAGACCAAGGCAGGCAGATAGCTTGAGCCCAAGAGTTCAGCCTGGGCAACATGGCAATACCTCGTCTCTACAAAAAACATAAAAATTTGGCCGGGCGTGGTGGCTCACGCCTGTAATCCCAGCACTTTGGGAGGCTGAGGTGGGCGAATCACTTGAAGTCAGGAGTTTGAGACCAGTCTGGCCAACATGGTGAAACCCCATCTCTACTAAAAAATACAAAAATTAGTTGGGCGTGGTGGCATGTGCCTGTAATCCCAGCTACTCAGGAAGCGGAGGCATGAAAATCACTTGAGCCCGGGAGATGGAGGTTGCAGTGAGCCGAGATTCCGCCACTGTACTCCAGCCTAGGCGACAGAGTGAGACTCTGCATCAAAAAAAAACAAAAACAAAAACATAAAAATTAGCCAGGTGTAGGCCGGGCACAGTGGCTCACGCCTGTAATCCCAGCACTTTGGGAGGCTGAGGCGGGCGGATCATGAGGTCAGGAGATCCAGACCACGGTGAAACCCCGTCTCTACTAAAAATACAAAAAAAAAAAAAAAAAAATTAGCTGGGCGCGGTGACGGGCGCCTGTAGTCCCAGCTGCTCGGGAGGCTGAGGCAGGAGAATGGCGTGAACCCGGGAGGCGGAGCTTGCAGTGAGCCGAGATCGCGCCACTGCACTCCAGCCTGGGCGACAGAGCAAGACTCCGTCTCAAAAAAAAAAAAAAAAAAAAAAAAAAAAAAAAATTAGCCAGGTGTGGTGGCATGGTTCCAGCTACTCAGGAGGCTGAGGTGGCAGGATTGCTTGAGCCCAGGAGGCGGAGGTTGCAGTGAGCGGAGATCATGCCCTGCACTCCAGCCTGGGCAACAGAGCCAGACTCTGTCCCTCCCCCACCTCCCCACAGAAAAGAGAGAAAGAAGAACGAAGTACAGAAATGATAATCTGGGCAAATTGCACATCAAGTCCATATGCCTCCAACTGCTGCACCTGTAATTTCTTTCACTAAATTATAAATGCTTCCTTCTGATAAACAGAAATTAAAGCAATTCTGTTCCTTAAGTTCTTGATTAGCTATTTCACATTATGTTGGCAAACATTTACTGATTGCTAACTGTACGCCAGCACTATCCTAGTTGTTTGGGGACAGGGCAACAAATAAGACAAACTTGTCATCTGGTGGAGGGAAGCCAGACAATAAACGTGTAACAAACAAGGTAATATCATATACTGAAAATAAGATGATGTGACAGCAATTGAAGGCACTACTTGAAATAAAGCGAAGCCGGGTGCAGTGGCTCACGCCTGTAATTCCAACACTTTGGGAGGCTGAGGTGGGTAGATCGCCTGAGATCAGGAGTTCAAAACCAGCCTGGCCAACATGGTGAAACCCTGTCTCTACAAAAAATACAAAAATTAGCCAGGTACCGGGTGCGGCGGCTCACACCTGTAATCCCAGCACTTTGGGAGGCTGAGAGGCAGGTGGATCACCTGAGGTCCAGAGTTCAAGACCAGCCTGGCCAACATGGTGAAACCCTGCGTCTACTAAAAATACAAAAATTAGCCAGGCATGGTGGCGCATGCCTGTAATTCCAGCTACTTGGGAGGCTGAGGCAGGAGAATCACTTGAACCTGGGAGGCGGAGGTTGCAGTGAGCTGAGATCGTGCCATTATACTCCAGCATGGGTGAAAAGAGTGAAACTCTGTCTCAAAAAAAAAAAAAAAAAAAAATTAGCTGGGCTTAGTGGTGCACGCCTGTAATCCCAGCTACTCAGGAGGCTGAGGCAAGAGAATCACTTTGACCTGGGAGGAAGAGGTTGCAGTGAGCTGAGATCACGCCACCGCACTCCAGACTGGACGACAAAGCGAAATTCCATCTCAAAAAAATTAAATTAAATTAAATTAATTTAAAATAAATAAAAAACAGATACATGTAATTTAAAAAAATCTATTAAGACTCCGTATTAAAAAAAAAAAAAAAAAAACAAGAAATAAGGTGATCAAAGTAGGTCTTTCTGAGGAGGTAATAGTTGAGATTTGATCTAAACAATGAGAAGGAGGCAGGATGTGAAGAAGCCCGAGGTAGGCAGAGCAGATGGTACAGGACTTACAGATCAATGTAAAAGAAATTCAGACCTTCAACTTGTTGCAATGGGATATCACTGCAGGGTTTTAAAGCAGAGGAATGACATTTGTTTATGCTACAGAAAGATCACCTTAGAAAATGATGGTCTGAGGTCAGGAGTTCGAGACCACCCTGGCCAACATGGTAAAACCCTGTCTCTACTAAAAATACAAAAATTAGCTGGACGTGGTGGTGCGTGCCTGTAATCCCAGCTACTTGGGAGGCTGAGGCAGGAGAATTGCTTGAACCCTGGAGGTGGAGGTTGCAGTGAGCTGAGATCGCGCCACTGCACTCCAGTCTGGACGACAGAGCGAGACTCCATCTCAAAAAAAAAAAAGTAAAGAAGGATAAAATAAAAATATCTCTGGAACATATCCTTAGATAGCCTATTTCTCTAAATTATTTCCTTTTATATGAACAAAAGTCTCATTACACACTGAAATAAAGGATAAAATTAAAATATCTCTGGAATCTAATAGTTACTTAAATTTATACTGAGGTCTAAATATAAATATAAATTACTAAATAACGGATGTCAGAAGAAAAAAGAGAAGCAAAGTGGCATCAGGAAAATGGACAGAAAGGCTGGGAATGCCAAAGATACCTGCTTCACAATTTTTCCTAAAGCTGACTTAGAAACCAAACTCAGAGTCCAAAGATACCTGCTTCACAATTTTTCCTAAAGCTGACTTAGAAACCAAACTCAGAGTAAACTAAGTATAACTGTAAAGAAATAAGAACTTAAATGAAAACAAGGCCCATGCATAAACTGTTTTCATTGCGCCCCACACCATTCTGCTGAATATTTCTCTCAAAACGCTTTATTTACAATGAGACCAGTGAAGTTCATTAAATGTAAATACAAAACGACTAAAATTACCCTTAATCATTTTAGAAAGTTAAATTCCATTCCACTAGAAAAACAACATCATATTTAGCCAAAAGCACTTAACTATATAAACTATACACAATGCACTTCAACTGACACACTGCCCTCCTGGAGCATTCATTTTTTCACTCTTAAGATATCAATAAAGGAAATAAGCTCAGGCACAATAGCAACAACAGCTGAGGTAAAAAATTCTGGCTTCATTTTATCTCATTATTGCTGACTAGAAAAAAAACTGTAATTGTCGCTTGTGATCCCACACAGCAGAGACGGGACAGGGACCAACTTATTCTTGCAAATGATGTAACCATACAGTTAAAGCCCCAGAGCCCAAGGTGAGGAAATGTAAAATGCTTGCATAGGTCAGTAAAAATGTTTTAAAATAGGGTGGAGAAGAGGTTCTCTCACTCACATTAGAACTGTTTGCAATATATCACTGGTATACCAAGAACGTTAAACATTATTTTACAAAGTTAATGATGAAGTCAAACCCTAACCCCACCATTTTACTGAGTAACCTTAAGCAACTTAATTTCCGAGTCTTAGTTTCCTCGTTTGTAAATCAGTGATTAAAAAATCTACTTCTCAGACGATTTTAAGGTACAATGAGATGACTGGGCACATAGCAGATACTTAACATGTGAGTCTTCAATGATGACTGTTATCATATTTGATGTTTTTGCACGTTATAATTTTACCTCTGGGCAAGAAAATAACTCTTTGATCGGTTATTGGTAAACACAGGTAATTCTGTCCGGTATCTACTAATTTCTCTGCATTATTATTCAAAGAACCACAAAACATCCCTCCCAAAACTTTAAACACAAATAGTTCGAAGCATGGGGCCTATAATTTTGCAAGTTTTATCTATCTGTTCTCTAAAAGGTAAACAAATCAAAACACTACAGGAGCAATGGCAGAAGTGGAATAAGGCAGAATAACTGGATGATGGGTCTCACTGGTGAAATGCCGCAGGCAGGAAGCAAAGAAAAATTCTAATAGATGTATATGGAGTATGAGTTAACCCTCTCTTCTCAGCAGGAAACAGTAACTTCTCCACACTTCCTCCTATAAGATTTGAAACGTTCTGCAAACAATCCATGCTTTAACAGAGCTCGTTTCTGCAGTAAAGCAGCAAAATGGAAAAATCTCCAGGATAAAGACAAAAAAAACATAACTGGAGAAAAAGGTACTACATATTCAAAAAGCACATTTCCTGTGCACATTACCCATGAGATCAACTCAATTGTGTAAAAAGGTATTTCAGGTAATTAAAAAGTAACGGGGCCGGGCACGGGGGGCTCACGTCTGTAATCCCTGCACTTTGGGAGGCCGAGGCAGGTGGATCACCTGAGGTCGGGAGTTCGAGACCAGCCAGGCCACAATGATGAAACCCCGTCTCTACTAAAAATACAAATAATTAGCCGGACATGGTGGCGGGCGCCTGTAATCCCGACTACTCGCGAGGCTGAGACAGGAGAATCGCTTGAACCCGGGAGGTGGAGGTTGCAGTGAGCCGAGATCGCGCCACTGCACTCCAGCCTGGGCGACAAGAGCAAAACTCCGTCTCAAAAAAAAAGAGGAACTGGACACGCTTTATATTTGAAGGTATTAACGATGATACTGACTACTGTATCGCAGTTGTTTCTGGTCAGTATCCAAGAAACCTGTATTTTATTGCAGCAAACACAGGTACAGGGAAAACCCGGTGGTGCCTCAGATCTATGTAGAGCTCATGCTGCTTCTTAACATTCATCCAGGTAAGGCTCTCCTTACTACACATCACAAGTTTTAGATACATTCATCCAGACAAGGCACTCCTCATTAAACATCACTGGATTTACTACTGCTTAAAACCACAGCTCGCCTACCATCAGGAAAGCCAGAAATCATTAACACGTCAAGGCCTGTAAGAAATAAACAGACGCTACAATTTCCGCGAAGGTTCGGAAAAATCAATACACCTTACAAGGCTCTGAAATATTAAAAACAATATACGTAAATCTCCATGGATCTGGGCCCAACGGCCCAAGGTCACAACAATTCAATGGCTAAAAAACCCAAGAAATGAGTCTCCTGCAATTCAGGACAATCCTGGCTAGGAATGGAGTCTGGGTTTGGGACCACTGGGGTCAAACCTTTAATGTGAACAACCCCAACCAAATGCTGCGGCTCCGTGGGAAAACCCCAAGCGTTTCAGGCCACACTTCCTTCCATTTCCCCAGTCTTCCCTTCCCTAGTCACCCCCAACACTCACATCTCCGGAGCCACTTCATCCAATGATAGACGATAGTACTGTGGTGTTTTTTGTTCTCTATACACCAAGACGACAAGCCTTGAATGGACTCCATGGTGTTGGTTACCGACTGGAATTTTCGATCCAACGAGGACTCCAGAGCCCCTGCCGAAGAGGCCGACGAGGAGGAGGCCTTACTGCTGCCTCCGCCGCCGCCGGCCGCCATCTTCCCGGTTTGCACAAGCGCTGCTGCTCCTCTGGCGGCGGCGGCGGCGGCGGCGGCGGGAGCGGGCAAAACAATCACTGCGAGTGCGTGAAAGCCGTAGGTGGGGAGGGAAGCTAGGGGGTGGGGATGGTGCACGCGCTGGGCTCTTCTGGAGGTACGGACGGGAACACCAGCTGCTGGGCACGCTGGCAGCTCCTACACGCTGCAAGGAGGGGCTGCGGGTCTCGGAGGTTTTATCAATATTGTTCAAGGGGTCGTGTTTAAACCAGTCAGTAATCACGGAAAAATTACGCAGAAAACAGGACCTGCAAAGCCTTTCAAAACGCCTGACGCCGAAACTAATCGTTTTATACTTTTCGGCTCTCAGTGCTAAGGCCCTTCCCCGCCCCTGTTCCCACACTCCTGTGAGCCAGGTCGGGCGTTAATATCTTAAATGTAATACTACCCGACTGCCCCTTCAGTTGCAGAAATCTTTCTTTCCTTTAGACTCGCTAGCACAGAAAAGGTCCAAGGCTACCTAGTCAGGATTTTTTTTGCAACGCAATAGCAGCAAAGGGGCAGCAACAGTATCGCGCACGCGCCACTTGGCCCCACCCCCCTACCCCTGCTTCCTTCTCAACCTTGAAAGCAGAGGGAGGCGTGATGGCGGGGCAACCTGACCAATCAGGAGTGGAGAACCACAAGCGCGCGCAGGAGCTCTGAAGCCCCCAGGGCCCAGGAGGCGCTACGATTATTTTTGCGCCTGCGCAGAAGATAAGCGTGTAACGGGATGGAAGGAAAAACTGGGAGGGATGGGTGAGGGAGCTGGTATAACTAAGGTTAGCCGGGTGGGGGGGTTCCCCTGCCCCGCCCTTTGCTGCTTTTGGCCGCTCTCTTGGGTGTGTTCAGCTCACACAACAGAGACAGAAAATTCCCACCACTGAGACCACTGTTAGTCTTCAGGGGGCTGCAGCCATCGCCCCCAACTCCTCGGAGGAGCAACGCGCGACAAAATGGCTGGCAGCCATCTTGCGGCACCACAAAAGATGCGCATGCGCCAGATCCAGTGAGCCATTCACTACGCAGACTCCGACACCAAACCGTATTTATTGCTGCCCATAGAAGATAACATTCACAGCCGCTTGACCATTTAGGTTACAGGAAAAGGAAATAAATGAGGAAGTGAAAGGAAATTTTCCTCATAAAATTTTTCGAGGCGAAAAAAGAATGGCAAGATGTGACCTCATTTTCGCCAGCTATGATACAATCTTAAAATTGCATAATACATTACAGTTTTCAAGAGTCTTACGTAACTATTATATGAACCTTATACGAACCATTTTATCGCAGGTATCTATGTAAATCCTCTGAGCTAATTTAAAGGCTCCTGTGTTCCCACTAAACATATACAGTTTTAATTCTTTTAACGTCTCCTCACTGCGGCCATGCCTCTTGAGGCAGGGAACCTGTTTTGTCAAGTTCATGTCCACTATTCATTAATTCAACGAGTTGTTGAACCTCTTGTGCCAAGTACTGTTTTAGATCATGGGGAGCAAAACAGACAAAAATCCGTTCCCTCCGGGATTTAGTGGCAGGACACCACCAACAAGTACATTTCAGACAGTATTAAATTCTGTAAAAAGGTGAAGCAGGGTAAGGGAGAAAGGGGTGTGTGTGTGTGCGCGCGTGTGTGTACGTGTGCACGGCACGCACGCGCCAGTATAAGAATGGTGGTATGGTGAACCAGGAAGTCTTCTCGAAAGAAATAACTCGATCTGAACATTGAGAAAAAAGCAACCAAGCAGATATGCGAGACGGGGAGCGGAACATGCTGGCATTAGGAACAGCAAGTGCAAAGGCTCTAAAATACAGTCTCGCTCTGTCCCTGCCAAGGCTAGAGTGCAGTGGCACTATCATATCGCACAGCAGCCTCAATCCCCCAGACTCAAGTGGTCCTCCTGCCTCAGCAGCACAAGTAGCTGGGACTACAGGCCTGCACCACCACACCTAGCTAAAAAAACAAAACAACAACAACAACATTTTTTTGAGAGGGGGAGTCTCCCTATGTTGCCCAGGCTGGTCTCAAACTCCTAGCCTCAAGCAGTCCTCCTGCTTTCAGCCTCCCGAAGTGCTGGGATTATAAGCTTGAGCCGCCATGCCTGGTCCTGACCCCACATTTTTTTTTTTTCTGTAACTCTAGCCAAAGACCCACTTTTTTATAGACTATTTTTAGAGCAGTTTTAGATTCACGGCAATTGTGTGGAAAGCACAAGGAATTCCATATACCACCTGCCCCCACACATGAATACCCTCCCCCATTATCAATGTCACGCACCAGAACGATACATCTGTTACAACTGACAAACCTACACTGACACATTATCACCCAAAGCCCATAGTTTACATTAGGGTTCGCTCTTGGTGTTATACCTTGAGTTTGGACAAATGTGCATGTATCCACCATTACAGTATCATACAGAGCAGTATCACTGCTCTAAAAACCTCTGTGTTCCACCTATTCATCCTTCCCTCCCCCTTATTCCCCTAGCGACTACTAATCTTTTTACTGTCTTCATAGTTTTGCCTTTTCCCGAATGTCATATAGGTGAAATCATTCAGTATGTAGCCTTTTCAGACTGGCTTTTTTCACTTAATAATATGCATTTCAGGCGGGGCACGGTGGCTCATGCCTGTAATCCCAGCACTTTGGGAGGCCGAGGTGGGTGGATCACGAGGTCAGGAGTTCGAGACCAGCCTGGCCAACATAGTGAAACCCCCGTCTCTACTAAAAATACAAAAATTAGCCGTGCATGGTGGCGCACGCCTGTAGTCCCAGCTACTCCGGAGGGTGAGGCAGGAGAATCACTTGAACCTGGGAGGCGGAGGTTGCAGTGAGCCAAGATCAGGCCACTGCACTCCAGCCTGGGCAACAGAATGAGATTCCACCTCAAAAAAAAAAAAAATGCATTTCAGTTTCTTCCATGTCTTTTCATGGCTTGATAGCTCATTTCATTTTAGTGCTGAATAATATTTCACTGTCCAGATGTGCCAGTTTTATTTATCCATTCACCTGAAGGACATCTTGGTTGCTTCCACATTTTTGCAAGTATGAATAAAGCTGTTACAAACATCTCTGTACAGCTTTTGGGGTGAATATATTTTCAACTCCTTGGGTAAACACGAAGGAGCACAATTGTTACATCATATGGTAAGAATATGTTTACTTTTGTAAGAAATCATCAACCTAAGGCCGGGCGCGGTGGCTCATGCCTGTAATCCCAGCACTTTGGGAGGCCGAGGCCGGTGGATCGCCCGAGGTCAAGAGTTAGAAACTGGCCAGCCTGACCAACATGGTGAAACCCCATCTCTACTAAAAATACAGGGCCAGGTGCGGTGGCTCACACCTGTAATCCCAGCACTTTGGGAGGCCAAGTGGGGTGGATCACAAGGTCAAGAATTAAAGACCAGCCTGACCAATGTGGCGAAACCCCCTCTCTACTAAAATTACAAAAAATTAGCCGGGCGCAGTGGCACATGCCTGTAATCCCAGCTACTCAGGAGGCTGAGGCAGGAGAATTGCTTGAACCTGGGCAGCGGAGGTTGCAGTGAGCCAAGGTCGCGCCACTGCACTCCACCCTGGGTGACAGAGTGAGACTTTGTCTCAAAATAAGTACATACATACATACATAAAATAAAATAAAACAAAGCAAAATTAGCTGGACATGGTGGCAGGCACCTGTAATCCCAGCTACTTGGGAGGCTGAGGCGGAAGAATTGCTTAAACCTGGGAGGCAGATGTTGCAGTGAGCCAAGATCACGCCATTGCACTACTGCCTGGGCAACAAGACTGAAACTCCCTCTCAAAAAAAAAAAAAAAAAGAAAGAAAGAAATCGGCCAGGCGCAGTGGCTCATGCCTGTAATCCCAGCACTTTGGGAAGCCGAGATGGGCAGATCACCTAAGGTCGTGAGTTCGAGGCCAACCTAACCAACATGGAGAAACCCCGTCTCTACTAAAAATGCTAAATTAGCTGGGCATGTTGGCGAATGCCTGTAATCCCAGCTACTTAAAAAAAGAAAAAATCATCAACCTACCAAAGTGGATTTACTATTTTGCATTTCCATCAGTTCTACATCCTCACCAGCATTTAATGTTGTTAATCTTTTGGATTTTGGCCACTCTAATAGGTGTGTAGCAGTATCTAATTGTTGTTTTAACTTGCATTTCCTTAATGACATATGATGTGGAGCATTTTTTTATTTTTTTGAGACGGAGTTTTGCTCTTGTTGCCCAGGCTGGAGTGATCTTGGCTGACCACAACCTCTGCCTCCTGGGTTCAAGCAATTCTCCTGCCTCAACCTCCTGAGTAGCTGGGATTACAGGCATGTGCCACCACGCCCAGCTAATTTTGTATTTTTAGCAGAGATGGGGTTTCTCCGTGTTGGTCAGGCTGGTTTTGAACTTCCAATCTCAGGTGATCCACCCGCCTCGGCCTCCCAAAGTGTGGGGATTACAGGCATGAGCCACTGTGCATGGACTTTTTTAATTTTTGAGAAGGAGTTTTGCTCTTGTTGCCCAGGCTGGAGTGCAATGGCACGATCTTGGCTCACTGCAACCTCCGCCTCCCAGGTTCAAGCGATTTTCCTGCCTCAGCCTCCCAAGTAGCTGGGATCACAGGCATGCGCCACCATGCCTGGCTAATTTTGTATTTTTAGTAGCCACAGGGTTTCTCCATGTTGGTCAGGCTGGTCTTGAACACCCGACCTCAGGTAATGTGCTCACCTTGGCTTCCCAAAGTGCTGGGATTGCAGGTGTGAGCCACTGTGCCCAGCCTGATGTGGAGCATCTTTTCATATGTTTATTTGCCATCTCTGTATCTTTTTTTGATGATGTGTCCGTTAAGGTCTTCGGCCCACTTTTTTTTTTTTTTTGAAACGGAGTCTCACTCTGTCGCCCAGGCTGGAGTGCAGTGGCGCCATCTCGGCTCATTGCAAGCTCCGCCTCCTGGGTTCACGCCATTCCCCTGCCTCAGCCTCCCGAGTAGCTGGGATTACAGGCGCCTGCCACCACACCCAGCTAATTTTTTGTATTTTTAGTAGAGACGGGGTTTCACCATTAGCCAGGATGGTCTCGATCTGACTTAGTGATCTGCCTGCCTTGGCCTCCCAAAGTGCTGGGATTACAGGCGTCAGCCACCGTGCCGGGCCCTTTTTTTTTTTTAAACGGAGTCTGTCTGTTGACCAGGCTGGAGTGCAGTGGCAGGATCTCAGGTCACTGCAACCTCAGCCTCCTGGGTTCAAACAATTCTCCTGCCTCAGCATGTCAGGTAGCTGGGATTACAGACATGTGCCACCATGCCCGGCTAATTTTTGTATTTTTAGTAGGGACAGGGTTTCGCCATGTTGGCCAGGCTGGTCTGGAACTCCTGACCTCACATGATCCGCCCACCTTGACCGCCCAAAGTGCTGGGATTACAGGTGTGAGCCACCGCGCCAGCCCCACTTTTTAATTGAGTTGTTCATTTTCTTAGTGTTGAGTTTTAGGAGTTCTTTGTATATTTTGGATAAGTCCTTTATCAGATACATCTTTTGCAAATATTTTCTTCCAGTATGAGGCCTTCTTTTTTTTTGGTGATGG
Organism: Homo sapiens; assembly: GCF_000001405.40. Taxonomy (NCBI): domain Eukaryota; kingdom Metazoa; phylum Chordata; class Mammalia; order Primates; family Hominidae; genus Homo; species Homo sapiens. The sequence continues at coordinate 150,359,099 of NC_000001.11, read as the reverse complement.
AGTCTTGCCCTGTTGCCCAGGCTGAAGTGCAGTAGTGTGATCTCGGCTCACTGCAACCTCCGCCTCCTGGGTTCGAGCAATTCTCATGCCTCAGTCTCCTGAGTAGCTGGGATTACAAGCGCCCACTATGATGCCCGGCTAATTTTTTGTATTTTTGGTAGAGACGGGGTTTCACCATATGGGCCAGGCTGGTCTTGAACTCCTGACTTCAAGTGATCCGCCTGCCTCACCATCCCAAAGTGTGGGAATACAGGCATGAGCCACCACACCCAGCCCTTCTTTTCATTTTCTTGACAGTGTCTTTTGCACAGCAGAATTTTTCATTTTAATTAAGTCCAGTTTATAATTTTTTCTTTCATAGATCATGCCTTTGGTGTTGTTTCTAAAAAGTCAAGGCTGGCTGGGCACGGTGGCTCACACCTGTAATCCCAGCACTTTGGGAGGCCAAGGCAGGCGGATCAGGAGGTCAGGAGTTCGAGACCAGCCAGGACAACTAAGTGAAACCCCATTCCTACTAAATATACAATTAGCTGGGTGTGGTGACACACACCTGTAGTCCCAGCTACTCGAGAGGCTGAGGCCAGAGAATCGCTTGAACCTGGGAGGCAGAGGTTGCAGTGAGCAGAGACCACACCATTGCACTCCAGCGGGGGTGACAGAGTGAGACTCCATCTCAAAAAAAAAAAAAAAAAAAAAAAGTCAAGGCCAACCCCAAGTCAGCTACATTTTCTGTTATCTACTAGGTACTTTACAGGTTTGCATTTTACATTTAGGTCTGTTACCTATTTTGAGTTAATTTGTGTCTAGATTCACTTTTTTGCATGTGAACATCCAGTTGTTCCAACACCAATTTTTAAAAAAGATTATCTCTCCTTTATATTGCTTTTGCTCCTTTATCAAAGAGCAGTTGACTATGTGAGTCTATCTCTGTGATCTCTACTCTGTTCCACTGATCTATTCTTTCACCAATACTATACTACCAGCTGGGCATGGTGGCTCACTCCTGTAATCCCAGCACTTTGGAGGCCGAGGCTGGTGGATCACCTGAGGTCGGGAGTTCAAGACCAGCATGACCAACATGGTGAAACCTCATCTCTACTAAAAATACAAAATTAGCTGGGCATGGTGGCACATGCCTGTAATCTCAGCTACTTGGGAGGCTGAGGCAGGAGAATCACTTGAACCCGGGAGGTGGAGTTTGCAGTGAGCTAAGATTGCACCATTGCACTCGAGCCTGGGCAACAAGAGTGAAACTCCGTCTCAGAAAAAAAAAAAGCCAGCCACGGTGGCTGACACCTGTAATCCCAGTACTTTGGGAGGCCGAGGCGGGTGGATCACCTCAGGTCAGGAGTTCAAGACCAGCCTGGCCAGTGTGGTGAAACCCCATCTCTACTAAAAATATGCAAAACTTAGCTGGGCATGGTGGCAGGTGCCTGTAATCCCAGCTACTCGGGAGGCTGAGGTAGGAGAACTGCTTGAGCCCGGGAGATGGAGGTTACAGTGAGCCGAGATTGCACCACTGCACTCCAGCCTGGGCAATAGAGCGAGACTCCGTCTCAAAACAACAACAACAACAACAACAACAACACCACCTTCATTACTGTAGCTTTACAGTAATTCTCAAAGTTGGGTAATGTCAGTCCTTCAACTCTATTGGATTTTTTTTTTTTCCTTGAGACAGGGTCTCACTCTGTCACCCAGGCTGGAGTGCAATGGTACTTCCCAGGCCCAAGTGATCCTCCCAGCCCAGGTAGCTGGAACCACATGCACATGCCACCATGCCTGGCTAATTTTATTTTTAAATTTTTTGTAGACCGGGTGCAGTGACTCATCGCTGTAATCCCAGCACTTTGGGAAGCCAAGGCAAGAAGATGACTTGAGCTCTGGAGTTGGAGACCAGCCTGGGCAACAAAGTGATACCTCGTCTCTACAAAAAAATTTAAAAACTAGCCAGGTGTGGTGGCATGTGCCTGTAGACTCAGCTACTCGGGAGGCTGAGAGGTGGGAGGATTGCTTGAGCCTGGGACGTCAAGGCAGCAGTGAGCTGAGAACATGCCACACCACTCCAACCTGGGCAACAAAGCGAGACCTTGTCTCAAAAAAAAAATAAAAATAAAAAAAGTTGCAGAGATGGGATCTCCCTATGTTGTCCAGGCTGGTCTCAATGATCTTCCAGCCTCGGTCTCCCAAGGTGCTGAGATTACAGGCATGAGCCACCACATCCAACCAGAACTGACATCTTTACAATACTGTCTTCCTACCATGAATGTGACATACCATTGCATTTATTTAGTTTTTTTTTTATTAGAGTTTTGTAGTTTTCTTCATATAGATCTTACATATATTTGGATTTATCCCTAAGTATTCCACTTCCTTTTGGTGCTAATGTAAATGGAATTGCTTTTAATTTCAAATTCTACTTGTTCATTACTCGTATACAGGAGAGCGACTGATTTTTGTATTGTAACCTTATATCCTGCAACCTTACTATAATCATTTATTAATTCCAGCCAAAGGGTTTCTAAAACTCTTTCCAATGAAAATAAAAAATGAAAAAAATGACTCTTCCAAAACTAATAACTGCCGTTAACTAAAGGTATTCAAAAAGGACTGGAAATAGATGAAATTACCAAAATTCACAAAGTTTTTGTTTTTTTTTTTTTTGAGATGGAGTCTTGCCCTGTCGCCCAGGCTGGAGTGCAGTGGCGCGATCTCGCTTACTGCAACCTCCGCCTCCTGGGTTCAAGTGATTCTCCTGCCCCAGCCTCTCGAGTAGCTGGGATTACAGGCGCGCGCCTCCATGCCCAGCTAATTTTTGCATTTTTAGTAGAGACGGGGTTTCAACATGTTGGTCAGGCTGGTCTCGAACTTCTGACCTCGTGATCCGCCCGCCTTGGCCTCCCAAAGTGCTGAGATTACAGGCATGAGCCACCGCGCCCAGCTCACAAAGTATTTTCAGTGATAACAGCATCCCCAGGTAAGAACTATCCTGAGAATAACATTCATTTGAAAGAACATATCTGTCCCTACCTCTTTATTGTACAAATGAGGCAATATACACTTAGTGGCTCAGTTTGGTCTGTACTCAAACAAATCTGGGTTCAAATCAAGCTCTACAACTTACTAAGTCATAAACTTGGGCAAATTATTTACTCTAAGCCTCAGATTCCTCACCTCTAAAATGCATATCTCTTATAAGTTTGTAAGGAGAAATAAGGAGGTAATGCTTGAGAAAATTTAACAACAATTAACACCTGGAGGCACAGAGAGACGAGTGATATACTCAAGACAAGTTTGAGTCTCATTATGGGTACATTACAATAAACTATAGCATATTGTAATATAAATATTTCTTTTAGATCTTATGCAATCAATTCATTTTTGAAGTAGTGTATAAATTATTTACACATATACTTGTAACAAATCCTTTAACAGAACAAAAACACTCATTTTTATGACAATGAATTTTTCCCCTGCATTTGCTTAAATCAAGAAATACTAAAATAGCTAGTTCAATTCTCTAGCTCCCAAGTTTCATAGATATAATTACTAGTAAGCACTCAAAATCTTCATTGCTGTGTCCTGGTAAGCTAGAGTTATTTCAAAGATTTCATCCTGTACCATCCTTCAGATGATGAGCCTCACTCATCTGGGTTAGTTTGCTTTTCTCTTTTTTTTTGAGATGGAGTTTTGCTCTTGTTGCCCAGGCTGGAGTGCAGTGGTGCGATCGTGGCTCAGGGCAACCTCTGCCTCCTGGGTTCAAGCAGTTCTCCTGCCTCAGCCTCCCGAGTAGCTGGGATTACAGGCATGCACCACCACGCTCGGCTAGTTTTGTATTTTTAGTAGAGATGGGGTTTCTCCATGTTGGTCAGGCTGGTCTCAAACTCCAGATCTCAGGTGATCCACCGACCTCAGCCTCCCAAAGTTCTGGGATTATAGGCGTGAGCCACTGCGCCCAGCCGTGCTTATCTCTTTTTTTGGCTTTTTTCTTTTGAGACGGAGACTGGCTCTGTCGTCAGGCTGGAGTGCAGTGGCGCGATCTCGGCTCACTGCAACCTCCGCTTCCCAGGTTCAAGTGATTCTCCTGCCTCAGCCTCCGAAGTAGCTAGGACTACAGGTACGTGCCACAATGCCAGCTAATTTTTGTATTTTTAGTAGAGACAGCGTTTCACCATATTGGCCAGGATGGTCTCAATCTCTTGACCTCGTGATCCACCCGCCTCGGCCTCCCAAAGTGCTGGGATTAGAGGCGTGAGCCATCACTCCTGGCCTTTTTTTTTTTTTTTTTTGAGAAGGAGTTTTGCTCTCGTCGCCCAGGCTGGAGTGCAGTGACACGATCTTGACTCACTGCAACCTCCGCCTTCTGGGTTCAAGCAATTCTCCTGCCTCAGCCTCCTAAGTAGCTGGGATTACAGGTGCCCACCACCACACCCAGCTAATTTTTTGTATTTTTAGTAGAGATGGGGTTTCACCATGTTGGGCAGGCTGGTCTCGAATTCCTGACCTCAGATGATCTGCCTGCCTCGACCTCCCAAAATGCTGGGATTACAGGCAGGAGCCACCAAGCTCAGCTTGCTTATCTCTAAAAAAGGAGAATCCTTTGAGCTGGAGCTCAAAAAAATTAAAATCAGGCCAGGCGCGGTGGCTCACACCTGTAATCCCAGTACTCTGGGAGGCCGAGGTGGGCAGATCACGAGGTCAGGAGATTGAGACCAGCCTGGCCAATATGGTGAAACCCCATCTCTACTAAAAAATACAAAAATTAGCTGAGTGTGGTGGCGTGCGCCTGTAGTCCCAGCTACTCGGGTGGCTGAGGCAGGAGAATTGCTGGAACCTGGGAGGTGGAGGTTGCAGTGAGCCGAGATCACACCACTGCACTCCAGCCTGGCGACAGAGCGAGACTCGGTCTAAAAACAAAAAACAAAAAAAAAAAAATTAAAATTAAGAAGGAGAGAAGTTGCACTAGTTTTACCTCAAAGCCCTGTGTGGTCCCCTATCTCTTCCCACCTCCTTGATGGTAGTGCTCCCTAATACTACCTTAAAGTTGGAACTCTGACCAGGACCTGAAATACAGATTTTTTTTTTTAAAGGGGGTTAATTTTATAACACAGAATGTTTTAACTTTTTGTCAAACATCCATTCTCCAATACCAATTCATAGCATGCTCCACCTAGCAAGAAGGTATGGGAGCTCTATTGACTTGTTTGATCCATTCCCAACAGAGGCAATATGAAACGGAAGGATAGGTATGGTAAAAATTTTGGACTTCAAATACTCCTAAAATCAAACCAGAAACATTAAATGCTGAAATAAAACCACCCACATGTAGTCGGATTCATAGATAGAAAAAAAAAAAAAAAAACTACACAATTTCTATTAGAAGCGGATTTTTAAACTAGTAAAAGAGACAAAATGGGCTAAATTCTTAAATCCTATTCCACTTTACAAACTGACCCATAGCATCCTCCTTGGACTTTCCCTGTGTCCATTTCACCCACAACACACATTCCCACATATGCATCCCTTAGAGGAACTGATTTCCTGGAAAGACTACTTAGCCAAGTCCTGAGGTAATCTGTCTAACCTGGTGATTCTCTTGGTTAAGGGATGGATACTCATTTGTCCCTCCTTCCTCCCTTACCACTTTACACATCTCCCTGCTTCATTCTGCTCCAGGAAAACAGTATTTATCATTCTAGCTCCAGGATGAGATCAAACATTTCCACTAGACTTCAAAAATACACATCCATCTATCCATCCATCCATTCATCCATTTATATATATAAATAAATGTCAATGACAAAAAATGTTTTTTTCCACAGCAATTGCTAAAAGTCCGGAAAAAAGATCACCTGTAGACCCAAACTCTAATACTTACGAATGTGTGAAAAATATCACACCAAGTTTAAAAATAACTCTTTAATCATATGCACATAAGGGGAATAAAGGGCAACACCAGGCTGACTCAGGAGGGGAGCAAGATATTCTCCCTTTGTCCCAGTGTCTGCTTGGCACAGTTCTGAGATCACACAAACAAGTGGGAGGGGGTTGGGAAATAGAATAAGTGAGAGGACTGAAGAGACAAAGGCAAGGGAGGAGAGGCAAGGGCTTGCAGTAGTCTCAATCAGTGGACTCTAACACAGATTCACTCAGCGCAAGGTCCCAGTAGTGTTCAGCCCCATGCTTTTTGAAATGCTCACGAGCCATGTTCTCTGTAGGACACTGTTTAAACTTCATCTCTCCAAAGCTCCGGTCTTTGGCTGTACCCTAGAAAAGAGATATATAATAAAAACACTTCAATTTCTTATTTAAATCAGATAATATTCTTTTATAAGAAGACCTAGTAACATTTGTGAGACATGTGCCCAGCTGAACGTGATTTTATGGTTAAAAAAAAATTGTGACCTCCATTTCCTTGGATATTTGTGTTTTTCTGAGACAGAGTCTCGCTCTGTCGCCCAGGCTGGAGTGCAGTGGCACGATCTCGGCTCACTGCAAGCTCCGCCTCCCGGGTTCACACCATTCTCCTGCCTCAGCCTCTGGAGTAGCTGGGACTACAGGCGCCCGCTACCACGCCCAGCTGATTTTTTGTATTTCTAGTAGAGACGGGGTTTCACCGTGTTAGCCAGGATGGTCTCGATCTCCTGACCTCGTGATCCTCCCGCCTCAGCCTCCCAAAGTGCTGGGATTATAGGCGTGAGCCACCGCGCCCGGCCTCCTTGGATATTTGTATGAGATTTTACGAATTCATATGCATAAGGCTTTTAGTTTTTTGAAATGAAGTGAGGAATTATTTGCTCTGGTGCCTGGGTGGAACAGCAAGTCAGGAAGAACTATGGAAGGTGGAATGAGATAAACTTATCTCCTACCAGGCCTTAAGGACTAAATCTGAGCCTTCAAAAAGGCCCCAGAAACTATTTATATAAGCAGGAGGCTTTGGGGCCCAGCAACAAAGAACAACTGGGGGCGGGGAACAGAAGAAGAGCAGGTACCAGCAGAGAATTACAACAGAAAAAGACAGTACTGGGCAGAATGGCATTCTTGCCAAAGTTACCAGCAGCAATGGCAGTCATAAAGCAATACCTCAAGAGGCGTTCAGGGAGTAGACTCCAATAAGGAGGCTGGAGCAGAACTTGGCTTATTTCTGAACATGAGAGACAATTCCTGAAAACTAAATTCCTACAACATTAATACTGGTTCTCTAAGAAGCCGGGACTTTTTCAGTAAGTACTCTTCAGAGATAAATAGAAGAAAATTGAAAGATGAGGGTGCTGAGATATGTGAAGGTAGGGCTGGGCACAGTAGCTCATGCCTATAATCCCAGCACTTTGGGAGGCTGAGGTGGGAGGATCACTCAAGGCTAAGAGTTCAAGACAAGCCTAGGCAACATAGTGAGATCCATTTCTAAAAAAAAAAAAAAAAAAAAAAAAAATTAGCCAGGCACAGTGGTGTGGACCTGAGGTCTCAGATACTTGAGAAGCTGAGACTGGAGGATTGCTTGTCCCTAGGAGTTCAAGGCTGTAGCGAGCTATGACTGCGCCACTGCACACCAGCCTGAGCAATAGAGCAAGACCCTATCTCTAAAAAAAAAAGTTGATTAAAAAAAGATAACAAATATGCAGGTGGGAACTTATAAAACAGAGAACAAATACTATGGTTATTATCATCTAATTTGTATGCATAAATTGAAGAATCTGGGATAAGGCAGGATACATGAAAACCTTTTTTTTTAATTTTTATTTTTTGATTGCTCCTTCAGAAGAAAAACTATTAATAGCAATTACCTATAAAGACTGGTCTGAAGAGATCAGCGAATAGGAAGAGACTTTTGTTTTGAGACACAGTCTCGCACTGTCACCCAGGCTGGAGTGCAATGGTGCGATCTCGGCTCACTGCAACCTCCGCTTCCCAGATTCAAGCGATTCTCCTGCCTCAGCCTCCCAAGTAGCTGGGATTATAGGCACTGGCCACCACGCCCCACTAATTTTTGTATTTTTAGTAGAGACTGGGTTTCACCATGTTGGCCAGGTTAGTCTCGAATTCCTGACCTCGTAATCCGCCCACCTCAGCCTCCCAAAGTGTTGGGAGTATAGGCATGAGCCACTGCACCTGGCCTGAGACTTTTTCTTTTTTTTTTTTAAGACAGGGTTTCACTCTGGTGCCCAGGCTGGAGTGCAGTGGCATAGTCACAGCTCACTGCAGCTTCAAACTCCAAAGCTGAAGCAATCTTCCCACCTCAGCCTCTCAAGTAGCTGGGACTACAGGCAGACGCCACCAGGCCAGGCTAATTTTTGTATTTTTTGTAGAGACGGGGTTTCGCCATATTGCCCAGGCTGGTCTTGAACTCCTGAGCTCAAGTGATCCAACCACCTCATCCTCCCAAAGTGCTGGGATTATAGGCGTGAGCCACTGTGCTGGGTCTCAGTAAGTACTCTTCTGTATAATTAGAATTTGTTTCTAATCTTAATAAACATTTACTACTTTTGTAATAATGTACCACTTTTATAATAAAGAATTCATTAATAGAAATAAGCACATTTTACTGCTCGCTTCAGCAGCACATATACTAGAAATAAGCACATTTTAAAAATAGAAGATATATGGCCGGGCGCAGTGACTCATGCCTGTAATCCCAGCACTTTGGGAGGCCAAGGCAGTCGGACCTCAGGTCAGGAGTTCGAGACCAGCTTGACCAATATGGCGAAACCCCGTCTCTACTAAAAATACAAAATTAGCCAGGCGTGGTGGCTCATGCCTGTAATTCCAGCTACTCGGGAGGCCGAGGCAGGAGAATCACTTGAACCCAGGAGGCGGTGGTTGCGGTGAGCTGAGATTGCACCATTGCACTCCAGCCTGGGTAACAAGGGCAAAACTCTCTCAAAAAAAAAAAAAAAGAAATGGAGGGGCTGGGCACAGTGGCTCATGCCTGTAATCCCAGCACTTTGGGAGGCCGAGGCAGGCGGATCACCTGAGGTTGGGAGTTCAAGACCAGCCTGACCAACATGGAGAAACCCTGTCTCTACTATAAATACAAAAATTAGTCGGGCATGGTGGCGTGCACCTGTAATCCCAGCTACTTGGGAGGCTGAGGCAGGAGAATCGTTTGAACCTGGGAGGTAGAGGTTGCGGTGAGCCGAGATCACGCCATCGCACTCCAGCCTGGGCAACAAGAGCAACAAGAGCGAAACTCCATACCGCCCCCCGCCCCCCCGCCCCCAAAAAAAGATATACATGTACTATACCTAAAAGCAAACATGAAAACATTAATACTGGTTTTAATACTGGTTCTCTAAGAAGGCTTCAGGGGTTAAAGAACTAGATAACCATAAAAAATATTCCACTTGAAGAGTGATTCAGTCACATTTTATGAAGCACTATCACATAATTATCTAATTTCATTCTCAAAAACTTGACAATATAGAGAACAATAGCTAAGGCAACAGAATTTGACATTAAGTGTCTTGCCCAGATTGCACAGCTAATAAGCAGCACTGCCCAGCCTCCTAACTTTATATTCTTAAGTCTAGTACTTCCTTCACTATATCCAAAGGTAAATCCAACAACAATTCATTCCCGTTTCCAAGTCTCATATTCATGACTGTGAAATAAATAATTTTCGGTAGAGAATTTGTATTCCTGCTACCAGCAGCACTGTCCACGCACTTCCCCAGATAGCATATACTAAATACTCACGAATTTAATTAAACAGATGATCAGGAAGAATTTACTGCCAACCATTTAAAAATGGATTCCAAAAAGAAACATAAATTATTTAAAACATTATTCACTGATTACATCTTACATTCCATTGCTCCACTCAAATAGTATAAATATTCAGGAGTTGGCTAAAGTTTTACAATGTTTTACAAAGGATCACCTACCTCCCAGACTAGTACACATTTGTTGGTTTTCTTCACAGCTTCCTCATCAGACTCCTCATCATCTGGAAGAGAAATCTTGTTACAGACTTAGACTTGAGATTCAGGTTCTAAACAAATAATATTCAAGTCTACCCAAACTCTCTAAAATATTATCACCCTTTTTATGTGTTGGACCAAGTGTTCTCTTTTCTGTTGCTCTTTATTTTCCCCAAATTAGACTTGAAGCTCCAAGTAGGCAGTAATATTAATTGATACAATTAGCATTTACATAGCACTTGTTATGAATCAAGAGCTCCACCAGGTACTGGGAATAAGGAAATAAAAGACAAGCAGTCAAGAATAAAAACTTGTCCTAGGCACTTTGGGAGGCAGGCTTCATATGTCAACATCATATATTACTCTCAAAAAACTTTCACCCAATGGAGGAGGAGGGCAGATATACCAAATCAAAATTATCGGCCAGCGTGGTGGCTCACGCCTGTAATCCTAGCGCTTTGGGAGGCTGAGGTGAGTGGATCACCTGAGGTCAAGAGTTTGAGACCAGCCTAGCCAACATGGCGAAACCTCATCTCTACTAAAAATACAAAAATTAGCCAGGTGTGGTGGCAGGTGCCTGTAATCCGAGCTTATCAGGAGGCCGAGGCAGGAGAATCACTTGAACCTGGGAGGCGGAGGCTGCAGTGAGCCAAGATGGTGCCACTGCACTCCAGCCTGGGCAAAAGAGCAAAGACTCCATCTCAAAAAAAAAAAAAAAAAAATGCACGTGTAGAACAAAATATTTTTTATTCTCAGGTATCTTAAGATGAACTCTCTGCAGATTTTATTTATATTTTTATTTTTTTGAGACGGAGTCTTGCTCTGTCACTCAGGCTGGAGTGAAGTGGTATGATCTCAGCTCACTGCAACCGCTTCCTGGGTTCAAGTGATTCTCCTGCCTAGGCCTCCCGAGTAGCTGGGATTACAGGCGCACGCTGCCACGCCCAGCTCATTTTTGTATTTTTTAGTAGAGACGGGGTTTCACCATGTCAGGCTGGTCTCAAACTCCTGACCTCAGGTGATCCACCCGCCTCGGCCTCCCAAAGTGCTGGGATTACAGGCATAAGCCATCACACCAGGCCTCTCTGCAGATTTTAAATGCTAATCCAGGTGTTCAAAGATGAGAAGAATGAACACTAATGGGAGTATGATGGCCAGAAGAATGTCTGGCCTTCAAATATAGACAGACAGTCCTTGACTTACAATTTTTTGCCTTGAGTATAGTGTGAAAGTGATAAATATTTAGTAGAAAATGTACTTCAAATTTTAAATTTTGAGATTTTCCTGGGCTAGCAATATGCAGTAAAATACTCTTACATGAGATAAAAATAGGCTTTGTGTTAGATGATTTTGCCCAACTGTAGGCTAATCTAAGTATTCTGAGAAAGTATAAGGAAGGCTAGGCTGTTATGATGTCCTGTAGGTCAGATGTATTAAATGCATTTTTTTTTTTTTGAGATGGAGTCTTGCTCTGTCGCTTAGGCTGCAGTGCAGTGGTGCGATCACAGCTTACTGCAACCTCCGCCTGCCAGGTTCAAGCGATTCTCCTGCCTCAGCCTCCCGAGTAGCTGGGATTACAGAGGTCCACCACCACGCCCCGAATTTTTGTGTTTTCAGTAGAGACGGGGTTTCACCATGTTGGCCAGGCTGTTACGAACTCCTGACCTCAAATGATCTGCTCGCCTCGGCCTCCCAAAGTGCTCAGATTATAAGTGTGAGCCACCGTGCCTGGCCTTAAATGCATTTTTGACTTAACAATATTTTCAATTTATCTCAGGTTTATTGGAACTAACCCCATCATTAAGTTGAAGAGCATATGTGTGAGTATGTACATGTACATGTATGTGTGTGTATTGTGTGTATGTGTATGTGTGTGTACATGTGTGTATGTATGTGTGTGTGTGTGTATGTATGTGTATGTGTGTATATATATATATCAGACAAAAGAAATAGTTTGATCAAAGCAGAGCTTTTTTGACCTGAAGATCTTTTTGGCTTCAATCCTTAAAAAAAAAAAAATCAAATAATAATATAATATAGACACTGTACACATGAATGTATAGCTTACTAGATTTGCTTTTTCTTTTTTTTGAGACAGGGTCTCATTCTGTCACCCAGGCTGGATTGCAGTGGCACGATCACAGCTTACTGCAGCCTCGACCTCCCCAAGCTCAAGTGATCCTCCCACCTCAGCTTCCTGAGTAGCTGGGAATACAGGTGTGTGCCACCACATCCAGCTAATTTTTGTACTTTTTGTAGATATGGGGTTTCACCACGTTGTTTGCCCAGGCTGGTCTCGAACTCCTGGCCTCAGGCAATCTGCCCGCCTCAGCCTCCCAAAGTGCTAGGATTACAGGCATGAGCCACCATGCCTAGCTGCTTGCTGAATTTTCAAATACTGAATAAATTCATGTAACCGGTACTCAGATCCAGGACAGACACAGAAACCAGCTGGTAGAAAAGCCTTAAATGATAGGCAAAAAAATAGCTTTACCATTCATGCATATAATCATGTAGTAAATATTGTATGAATGTCTAGGAGGCTCAAAGTCTAAACGGGTCTTTCTAAAATTCCTGAACACTATCTAGTGTTATCAAGAGTGTCACAGGGAGGAAATAAGATGAACGGACAGATGCACCATCCCCACCTCCCATAGCTCTCCCCCTTAATCCCCTCTAACCCCCATTCACCATCTCCCTTTGTGTTAGATGTCTGTTCATCCCACTTTATCCGATGCAGCATAAGACGCTTAAATTTCTTCTGGGCCTTGGGGCCTGGAAACAGAGAAGAATAATTTTGCCAGAACTGTGGAAGATGATGGGGTAGAAAGAACCTCTGAGCTCAGACATTAATGTGGTAGTTGAAGCAATCTCAGGAACCACATCTTAGGGCCTTCTACTCCAAAAAACACAGAAGCAGAGACCTAGCATATTATATCAGGTATGGCACTAAAATACGATCTTTTTCTCCTTTCTCCCCACAATGCTAATCACTCTAAGCCTAGGGTTGTCTGGGGACAGTCTCCCTCAAGTTTTTCAGACTCACCCCCTTCCACTACTACCACGTTGACATCCTTGTGCAGTACCACCACCCCTGTCAGGTACAGTTGCCCAGCATTGGCTTCAATCTTGAACTTCTTGGCTGGGTTGCTCAAATTTCGAACTCTGGAGAAGGGAAAGTTTAGTTATGTCTTCCATTTTAGCATCAGCAGCTGCCTGAATGGAGTGGCAAGTAAAAAGATGAATCCAAAATGGTTTCCTCTCTATAAACAAAGGCCTCTGGAGTAAACAAATAGATGAATGCTTAAAAGGTAGAGTTGATGAGTCTAGAAATATTTCCACACTCTTACATTTCTTCAAAGTCTAGCACTTTACATTAACCATTACATTACTAACCAAAGTTTACTCTAAGAGTCAGGGAGAGGTATTTACTATCATCCAAAAATACTTACAATCTCATTGTTCTTGACAATGTAAAGACCTACAGACTTTTTGTCCTCTAGACCCTTAGACTCTTATAATATAGGATTACTTGGCTGGGTGCGGTGGCTCATGCCTGTAATCCCAGCACTTTGGGAGGCCAAAGTGGGCAGATCACGAGGTCAGGAGTTTAAGACCAGCCTGGCCAACATGGTGAAACCCCATCTCTACTAAAAATACAAAAATTAGCCGGGCGTGGGGGTGCGTGCCTGTAATCCTAGCTACTCAGGAGGCTGAGGCAGGAGAATTGCTTGAACTTGGGAGGCAGAGGTTGCAGTGCGCTGAGATCGCGCCATTGCACTCCTGCCTGGGCAACAAGACTGAAACTCCGTCTCAAAATAAATAAATAAATAAATAAAATATATATATAGGATCACTATATAGGCATGAAAATTTTCTAGGAGGATATGTGAAAAACTGTTAATAGCAATTACCTAAAGAGAGTGGTTCTAAGGGATCAGAGAATAGAAAGGAGACATTTTGAGTAAGTATTCTTCTGTGTTGTCAGACAATTTTTTAAATCTTAATAAGCATTCACTATTTTTGTGATAATGTACCACTTTTATAATAAAGAACTAGTTAATAGAAATAAGCACATTTTAAAAATAGAAGATACACATGTACTCAACATAAAAGAATAAAAACATTAAATCAACACAAAGGTAGAAAAATATTTACAACATATAAAATGCATTTTGGAGTGAGGATGAAACACAGCAATACATCAGGGTAAGGATATGACTACGGAGGAAAGAAAATTTGTAATGCTTCCATGGATGTTGGAAGCAAACTCAGACCATTTAAAAAAAAAAAGATGAAAAAAAAAAGAAATAGGATGATATTTTATAGTTCTCAAAGGACATACAATCTTTAGTTCACATCTTGGCCTGAACAAGTATATTGACTTGTTCAGAACTAATATTCTGGTAAAAAAAAAAAGAAGACTTGAGAGGGAAGAACTGGGTAACCATAAACATAAGTCATTAACTCTCGCTATTTTACAAGATTTACTAGCTCTTGATCCACACTAGGGTCATTAAAAGAGAGTAGGAACTGGTGTTAGGTATGCTTTTAGGCCACAATGATTCTGCCTCAAGCACTTGGAAAATGTTTTAGTAATTCTAAGGGGAAGTTTGGCCCAGTATGGACACCTACCTATATACAGATATGTGTACCCCCTGTGAAATGTCTTCTTTAAGCTTTTTAATTTTCTTGACCTTTCTCTGTTCTGCTGTGAGTTTTCGGGCAGCGTTGGCCTCTTCATGCGCTCTGTCGTGACAGGAAGGACATCCACAAGTGAGAAAGGCATTGAAGATCAGAGGCAGGGCTGAGGGAAAGAGAGAGCAACGGAGAACTCTCCCCTCCCTCCAAATATGGACCCCCCAGAAGAGTTTGGGAAAGGTACTTGCCCGAGGTTTCCACCCAATCCCATGGCACTTACTTCTGTCTTTTTGCCATCTGAGCTCTGACGTGGGCTTCTACCTTCGTGGGGTCTTGAACAGCTTCTGTTCCTAATACTCGCATCAAATTAGAAATTCTCACTGCAGTGAAGAGAGGACAACAATCAGTCTTTGAAGTCACTTCTCCAGCTGGAGTAACTTGTTATTTCTTCCATACCAATTCATATTATTTACCTATTTCAAATCTCTGCTCTAAACTCACTTCCTCCAATAACTCCTATCTTGAAAATCCCATCCAATCACTTCAGCATTTGCAGAAGTTCACACAATTAAGTTGAAGATTGGTATGCATTTACATTATCTGAAAATTTATGAAGGACGTGGAACTTAATTCCTTTCATATTTTTCACACTGATCACAGCATCTAGTGAAAGAGCTTATAAATAATAGTGCTCAGTCAAAATACTGCTGAACGAGAATGTAACTACAGGGTCAAGTTTTTTATCCTGTACTTTCATTGTAAAAATTAAAACATTAAGAATTATGTACATAAAAAGTCTACGCAAATACTGCAACTACTATCTCCATGAATTTCAAGACCTGTATTCTTCCAGGAAAACCAGAGTGTTGTATGATCAGTATGCTTAAAAATAAGCCATAAATGGCCTCTATAATGAATGTGTTGACCTATCTTAATATGAAAAGATGGTAGAAAACTTGGAGAAAAAGGACCCCAAGAATAATTCTTAGAAACAGAAATCACTCAAACACAGAGATGTTAAAGTTCCTCCAGGATTAAAGACATAAACTTGCCACTCTTTTTAACAGAAGAGGCCACTGAGAAATGCACCTTTGGGTTCTGGAGGAGGCATCAGGCCCAGCCTGACTTTTTCTTGTAGTTCCTTCTGTGCTTCCCTCCTTGTTTGTCTCCGAAGTTTTTTCTGTTCCTTCTTGGTAAGATATACTCCCAGAGTAACTGGTGTGTCATTGTCAACTGTCAGGCAGAGATATTAGTATACCAAAGCAGTAAGAATACATATATATATATATATATTTTTTTTTTTTCTCTCTCTCACTCTGTCACCCAGGTTGGAGTGCAATGGCACGATCTCAGCTCACTGTAGCCTCTGCCTCCTGGGTTCAAGTAATTCTCCTGCCTCAGCCTCCCGAGTAGCTAGGATTACAGGCACACGCCACCATGCCTGGCTAATGTTTGTATTTTTAGTAGAGATGGGGTTTCACCATGTTGGCCAGGCATGAGCCACCAGGCCCGGACAGCAATAAAAATATTAAAGAAACCTAGGTAAATATCAATATCATTAAAAGAAACTTTAGGCTGGACACAGTGGCTTATGCCTGTAATTCTAGCACTTTGATAGGCCAAGGTGGGAGGATGGCGTGAGCCCAAGAGTTCGAGACCAGCCTGGACAACCAAGTGAGACCCAACTCTATTATAAACATTTTATGTAAAAAATATATTGAGGCCAGGTGCGGTGGATCACACCTGTAATCCCAGCACTTTGGGAGGCACGGGTGGGCAGATCACGAGGTCAAGAGATCGAGACCAGCCTGGCCAACATGGTGAAACCCTGACTCCACTAAAAATACAAAAATTAGCTGGGCGTGGTGGCACGCACCTGTAGTCCCAGCTACTCGGGAGGCTGAGGCAGGAGAATCACTTGAATCCGGGAGGTGGAGGTTGCAGTGAGCCGAGATTGTGCCACTTGCCACTGCACTCTAGCCTGGCAACACAGCGAGACTCCATTTCAAAAAACATGTGTGTGTGTGTGTGTGTGTATAAACTTTAAATAGAAAATGAAGAAAACTCGTTAATAAGGGATCAGTAAGATTAAAATCAGTTCAGGCCTGGTGCCCGGCAATATGGCTATGTTTTTAAAAAACATTCTTATCTTTCCTTTTGTTGAGACGGAGTCTCGCTCTGCTGCCCAGGCTGGAGTGCAGTGGCGCAATCTCAGCTCACTGCAAGCTCTGCCTCCTGGGTTCACACCATTCTCCTGCCTCAGCCTCCTGAGTAGCTGGGACTACAGGCACCCGCCACCACGTCTGGCTAATTTTTGTATTTTTAGTAGAGACGGGGTTTCACCTTGTTAGCCAGGATGGTGTTGATTTCTTGACCTCGTGATCTGCCCGCCTCGGCCTCCCAAAGTGCTGGGATTACAGGCATGAGCCACCTCGCCTGGCCTCTTATCTTTCTTAAGTAGTGTTCTTAGTTGTTTTCCTTTAAGCTGTTAAACCCCCTCATTCAATGATACCTGGCAAATGTAGAAAACAAAATTAGGGCCAGGTGCGGTGGCTCACGCCGGTAAACCCAGCACTTTGGGAAGCCTAGGTGGGCAGATCACTTGAGGTCAGGAGTTCAAGACAAGCATGACCAACATGGCAAAACCCTGTCTCTACTAAAAGTTCAAAAACTAGCCAGGTGTGGTGGCAGGCACCTATAATCCAAGCTACTCCGGAGGCTAAGGCCGGAGAATAGCTTCAACCCAGGGGGGTGAAAGTTGCAGTGAACGGAGATAGTGCCATTGCACTCCAGCCTGGGTGACAAAAGCGAAACTCCAACTCAAAAAAAAAAAAAAGGCCGGGCGCGGTGGCTCACACCTATAATCCCAGCACTTTGGGAGGCCAAGGCTGGCAGATCACCTGAGGTCAGGAGTTCAAGACCAGCCTGACCAAACATGGTGAAACCCTGTCTCTACTAAAAATACAAAATTAGCTGGGCGTGGTGGCACATGCCTGTAATCCCAGCTACTCAGGAGGCTGAGGCAGGAGAATTGCTTGAACCCAGGAGGCAGAGGTTGTGGTGAGCTGAGATCATGCCGTTGCACTGCAGCCTGGACCACAAGAGCGAAACTCCTCCTCAAAAAAAAAAAAAAAAAAAAAATAGAAGCAACTTTGTTTCCCAGTTTCAACTTTGGGAAACTAACAAAAAGCCCTTTGGAATTAGCATCCCTCACAGTGGGTAGTGGAGCATATCGCATCTAATAACACACCAACCCAAGAGTTTGGCTCTTGCATTTGCATTTAGCTGTGGATGCCACAACAACATGTGGTTCTATAAAAGGAGCAAGCTGAGGGCTCTTTCCTAGGAACAACCAGGGAACTGTAAATGTAAAGCTTCATGAAATTTTGGGTTTTTTTCTTTCTTTCTTTCTTCTTTTTTTTTTTTTTTTTTTTTTGAGACAAGGTCTGGCAGTATCATCCAGGCTGGAGTGCAGCAGCACCATCTCAGCTCACTGCAACTTCCACCTCCCAGGCTCAAGCCATCCTCCACACCTCAGCCTCCCAAGAGGCTGGGACTACAGATGCACACCACCATGCCCGGCTGATTTTTTATTTTTTGTAGAGATGGGGTTTTGCCATGTTGCCTAGATCTCGAACTCCTGAGCTCAAGCAATCTGCCCACCTCAGCCTCCCAAAGTGCAGTGATTACAGGCATAAGCCACCATACCCAGCCAAATTTTTTTTCCTTGAGATGGGTCTCACTGTGTTGCCCAGACTGGTCTTGAATTCTTGGCCTCAAGCAATCCTCCTGCCTTGGCCTCCGAAAGTGTTTGGATTAGAGGCATGAGCCACCATGCTTGGCTGTCTCATGAAATTCTAAGCACAGGAATATGCACTTAAAATGTATGTTCACTGGTCAAACAACAAACTATTGTCAGGAAAAAAACTGAATTAAAAAAAAGAATTACACATGGGTAGTGGCTATTGTATTGAACAGCATAGATACAGAACATGTTCCTCACTGTATAAATTTCCAATGGGTAATGCTGCTCTAGAGACTTGATTCAGGAATCTATACATTACCTGGAGGATTGAGCTGGGCTGGATGTTCAACAAGATTTGTGATTCCAAAATAATCTTCTCTCTTGGGATTTTCCTCTGTACTAAAATTGTAGGAAGAAAAGAAAACACGATATGCGGGTAGAGATGATTCTAAGAGAGGAGTCTCAGAAATACAATGAAAAAACCCACTCTCTATAATGGGTTCTTGTGCTTGATATACCTAAAATAGCATTTAGGTACCTAAAATATATAGTTAAATTACACATAATTTTCATGATGAGAAAACTGAGTCCCTCTATGGTTGAACACACTCTCCACAGCAATCATTCTCAACCTTTTTTCTACCATGCCACAGCTGACAGACGCTATGTTCTCTCATTAGTGACAATAAGTCCCTGGAACAGTGGCTGACAAAGAAGGGGCAACGAAAGGCTAAGACAAAATCTACTAAAGCCATGTATCAGAATGATGGAGCAGGGCCAGGTGATGTGGCTTATGCCTATAATCCCAGCACTTTGGGAGATGAAGGCAGGTGGATCACCTGAGGTCAGGAGTTTGAGACCAGTTTGGCCAAATAGTGAAACTCTTGTCTACTAAAAATATAAAAACTGGCCAGGTGTGGTGGTATTTGCCTGTAGTCCCGGATACTTATGAGGCTGAGCTAGAAGAACTGCTTCAACCCAGGAGACAGAGGTTGCAGCGAGCCGAGATTGTGCAACAGAGTGAGACTCTGTCTTAAAAAAAAAAAAAAAAAAAAAAAACGCCAGGCGTGGTGGCTCATGCCTGTAATCCCAGCCCTTTGGGAGGCTGAGGCGGGTGGATCACCTGAGGTCGGGAATTTGGGACCAGCCTGACCAACATGGAGAAACCTCGTCTCTACTAAAAACACCAAAAATTAGCCAGGCGTGGTGGTGCATGCCTATAATCTCAGCTACTTGGGAGGCTGAGGCAGGAGAATCACTTGAACCCAGGAGGCGGAGGCTGTGGTGAACCAAGATTGCTCCACTGCACTCCAGCCTGGGCAACAAGAGCGAAACTCCGTCTCAGGAAAAAAAAAAAAAAAATGGATGGAGCAGATATATTTAAAGCTCTTCAAATGTGTCTTATATCCTTTTTTTTTTTGAGACAGAGTTTCACCCTGTTGTCCAGGATAGAGTGCAGTGGTCATGATCATAGCTGACTGCAGCACAGACCCTCCTGGGCTCAAGTGATTCTCTCACATCAGCCTCCTGGGTAGCCAGGACTACAGGCACAAGCCACCATGCCCAGCTACTTTTTTTTTTTTTTTAATCTTTGTAGAAACGAGGTCTCACCATATTGCCCAAGCTGGTCTTTAACTCCTGGGCTCAAGCAATCCTTCAGCCCTCAGCCTCCCAAAGTGCTGGAATAACAGGTGTCAGCCACCGAGCCCAGCCTTATATGCTATATTTACTATTATCTCACCTACCAACTAATAATCCTTGCTCTATCACAATGAGATCTTTAGGAAATGTAAACACCTATAATACGTAGCAAAAGAATGTAATTAAGGAAAATAATGCTAAAAACAGGCAACAATGTGTAACAGAGCAAAAAGAATTCTAGACTTTGCTTTTGTAGATTGTGTCCCTGGTTATCCTACATTAACCCCAAAAGCTAAAAACAGCCTATATATATGATACATCACTTACAAATGCAGGAGCTTGGCCAGGTGCAGTGGCTCACGCCTGTAATCCCAGCACTTTGGGAGGCTAAGGTGGGCGGATCACCTGAGGTCAGGAGTTCGAGACCAGCCTGGCCAACATGGCAAAACCCTGTCTCTATCAAAAATACAAAAAGCAGATGGGCATGGTGGCACACACCTGTAGTCCCAGCTACTTGAGGGGCTGAGATTCAAGGAGAATTCAAGGAGAATCTCTTGAACCCGGGAGGTGGAGGTTGCAGTGAGCTGAGATCGTGCCACTGCACTCCAGCCTGGGTGACAGAGCGAGACTCCCTCTCAAAAAAAAAAAAAAAAAAAATAACAGGACCTTGTGTACAGTTACTTATCTCTCTTGGATTTAAAAATTTTAATTAATGAATGAGTACCATCCTTCCCACTAAAACCATAGCTTTACTAAAAGGTATTAACTTGAGTCTTAAACTCAGCTGATTAAAAACTGTTTTTTTAAAAAGGTACTAAAACAAACTCACAGATCAAAGCCATTGGGGATTATGTAAGAGTCCCACCACTCAATTTCAGGAATATCTCCTTCCTTTAGCTCCTTCTTAGGAGCAATGAGGGCAAGCCTAGTCGAAGTATGGATGCCTGTTTTTCGAGCTGCTTGTGAAATCTCTGCCTGTAGCTTCTCCAGTTGAGCCTAAAAACAAGATAATCCAAGACAGAAAGATAAATTGGAGTCATAGAAAACAGAATGTGTAGAATCTCAATTTTTTTTTTTTTTTGAGACGGAGTTTCGTTCTTCTTGCCCAGGCTGGAGTGCAATGGCATGGTCTTGGCTAACAGCAACCTCTACCTTCCAGGTTTAAGCGATTCTCCTGCCTAAGCCTCCTCAGTAGCTGGGATTACAGGCATGTGCCACCACCCTCAGCTAATTTTGTATTTTTAGTAGAGATGGGGTTTCTCCACGTTGCTCAGCCTGGTCTCAAACTCCCGACCTCAGGTGATCTGCCCGCCTCGGCCTCCCAAAGTGATGGGATTACAGGCATGAGCCACTGTGCCCGGCCAGAATCCCAAATATTTTTTTTTTTTTTTGTAGACGGAGTCTCACTCTGTCACCCAGGCTGCAGTGCAGTGCAGTGTAAGCTCCACCTCCCGGGTTCACGCCATTCTCCTGACTCAGCCTCCCGAGTAGCTGGGACTACAGGCGCCCATCACCACGCCCGGCTCATTTTTTTGTATTTTTAGTAGAGAAGTGGTTTCACCATGTTAGCCAGGATGGTCTCGATCTCCTGACCTAGTGATTCGCCCACCTCGGCCAAGAATCCCAAATTTTAAAACACTTCCCCGTTGAACTCTTTACACCTAACGCAACAAGTTCATAATTTCTGAAAGCTTAGAAAGGAGTTGTTCTGCTTTATTTTATCCTTTATTTAGTTCATATACATAGATCTCACCTTCAACCCCTCCCTGCACTCCACAGTATATGCCTGCAGTAAATACGCAGAAATAGAATTTTATGGCCGGGTGTGGTGGCTCACGCCTGTAATCCCAGCACTTTGAGAGGCCGAGGCGGGAGGATCATGAGGTCAGGAGATCGAGACCATCCTGGCTAACACGGTGAAACCCCGTCTCTACTAAAAATACAAAAAAATTAGCCGGGCGTGGTGGCGGGCGCCTATAGTCCCAGCTACTCAGCAGGCTGAGGCAGGAGAATGGCATGAACCTGGAAGGCGGAGCTTTCAGTGAGCTGAGATCGTGCCACTGCACTGCAGCCTGGGTGACAGAGCGAGACTCCGTCTCAAAAAAAAAAAAAAAAGGAATTTTATGAAAACCTCACTTTGAGAGGATAAAAAGGCGGCAAAGGTCATTCAATATACAATCAATTCAACTCTCCAGGTGTACTGTCTCATTAAATTTTAACTACAGGCAAGCCTTCCTTAGTCACTCAGAATGTTTCAAATTGTTTCCCTCCACTTAGTTGTATGTGGAGAATTTTCAAACTCAATTTCATAATATTTCCACTTATGTAGAAACGAATTAGGAAGTAAAATCTGCTAAAAAAATTATGTATTATATTAATAAATATATATATATATTTTTTGAGACGGAGTTTCGCTCTTTTGCCCATGCTGGAGTGCAGTGGTGCGATCTCAGCTCACTGCAACCTCTGCCTTCCAGTTTCAAGTGATTCTCCTGACTCAGCCTCCCAAGTAGCTAGGATTACAGGCACCCACCACCACGCTCGGTTAATTTTTGTACTTTTAGTAGAGACGGGGTTTCACCATGTTGGGCAGGCTGGTCTTGAACTCCTGACCTCGTGATCCACCCACCTCGGCCTCCCAAAGCGCTGGGATTACAGGCTTGAGCCATCTTGTCCAGCACATTTTTCAAAGTATTCATTGCTTTAAATCAGGGGTCCCCAACCCAACAGTCTTTTAGGAACTGGGCTGCACAACAGGAGGTGAGCAGCAGGCAAGCCAACAGTCTCATCTGTACTTACGATTGCTCCCTATTACCTGCATTATGGCCTGAGCTCCACCTCCTGTCAGATCATCGGTGGCATGAGATTCTCAGAGGAGCGCGAACCCTATTGTGAACTGTACATGTGAGGGGGCTATGTTGCACATTCCTTATGAGAATCTAATGCCTGATGATCTGTCACTGTCTCCCATCACACCCAAATGGGACCATTTCAGCAGGAAAACAAGCTCAAGGCTCCCAGTGATTTTATATTATGGTGAGTTATATAATTATTTCATCATATATTACAATAAAATAATAATAGAAATAGGCCAGCACAGTGGCTCACGCCTATAATCCCAGCACTTTGGGAGGTCAAGGCAGGCAGATCACAAGGTCAGGAGTTTAAGACCAGCCGGGCCAACATAGTGAAACCCTGTCTCTACTAAAAATACAAAAAATTCGTCAGGCATGGCGGCGCATGCCTGCAGTCCCAGCTACTCAGGAGGCTGAGGCAGGAGAATTGCTTGAACCCAGGAGGCAGAGGTTGCAGTGAGCTGAGACTGTACCACTGCACTCCAGCCCAGGTAACAGTGCAAGACTCCATCCCCCTCCCCGCCCAAAAAAAAAAAAGGCGGGGGCGGTGGCTCACGCCTGTAATCCCAGCACTTTGGGAGGACAAAGTGGGCAGATCACCTGAGGTCAGGAGTTCGAGACCAGCCTGACCAACACGGAGAAACCCCGTCTCCACCAAAAATACAAAATTAGCCAGGCGTGGTGGCACATGCCTGTGATCCCAGCTACTCGGGAGGCTGAGGCAGGAGAATCACTTGAACCTGGGAGGCAAAGGTTGCAGCAAGCCGAGATCGCCCCATTGCACTCCAGCCTGGGCAACAAGAGCGACACTCCATCTCGAAAAAAATAATAATAATAAAGTACACAATAAATGCTATGTGCTTGAACCATCACGAAACCATCCTTACTCCAGGGGAAAAATTATCTTCCATGAAACAAGTCCCTGGTGCCAAAAAGGTTGAGGACTGCTGCTTTAAATGACCTATTTATCTAATTTCCTAGAACACAGAGATTTAACAATGTTTTCTTGTCAGCTTCTTAACTTTTTCCAAATTCTGTGTTATACTCTAAGCCAGATACCTTTGTCCGTAATCGCTGAGCAATCTTCTCAAATTTGCCCTTGTCATGGAATTTAAAAGTGCGTCTCTGGCGCTGGGAAGGGGCAATGGAGACTCGGGGGTCAAAAAAGGTATTGGATTCCATGTCTTCTGATGGCTTTTCCTTTAGTTGTTGCTTGAATTGTTCCCTCTTCACAGCACGAATATTGGCTTTCAGAGTAGGCATGCGGTGTGTCAGCTCAATCTCCTTGCCTGTTGCATCTACAGTGCGCCCTTGCTCATCCAGGATCAGTGGTGTAGGTTTCGTTTGGTCTTTTAACTCCACCTTCCTGAAAAATAGCCCGCAAAGAAATAAATCCTGTATGGAACATTAAGGCAAGCAAAAAACAAAATAAAGCCAGGCGTGGTGGCTCAAGCCTGGAACCACAGCATTTTGGGAGGCCAAGGCAGAGGGATCACTTGAGCCCAGGAGTTAAAGACCAGTCTGGCCAACACAAGGAGACTGCATCTCAACAAAAAATTTAAAATTAGCTGGGTGCGGTGGCATATACCTGTGGTCCCACCTACTCAGGAGGTTGAGGAGGATCACTTGAGCCCAGGAAGTTGAGGCTGCAGTGCCTTCTCTATAAGAGTTATTTGGATGGACGGGTGTGGTGGCTCACACTGTAATCCCAGCACTTTGGGAGGCTGAGGCGGGTGGATGGCTTGAGCCCAGGAGTTCAAGACCAGCCTTGGCAACACAGTGAAACCCCATCTCTACAAAAAATACAAAATTTAGACGGGCACTTGTAGTCCCAGCTACTGAACCTGGGAGGCAGAGGTTGCAGGGAGCCGAGATCACTGCACTCCAGCCTGGGTGACAGAGTGAGACTCCCTCTCAACAACAACAACAACAAAAAGGACAATAAAATAATTCTAGGGAACAATCTCATCAGTGAGCAATACCATCTTTTTTTTTGAGACATGGTCTCACTCTGCTGCCCAGGCTAAAGTACAGTGGCACAATCACAGCTCATTGCAACCTCAACCTCCCAGGCCCAAAGAAATTCTCCCACCTCAGCCTCCTAAGTAGCTGGAACTACACGCATGCTCTACCATGCCTGGCTAATTTTTGTATATTTTAGAGAGATGGGGTTTTGCCATGTTGCCTAGGCTGGTCTTGAACTCCTGAGCTCAAGCAATCTGCCAGTCTCGGCCTCCCAAAGTGCTGGGATTACAGGTGTGAGCCACCGCGCCCTGCCAATAGTATCTTGATTAAAAATATCAAAGTGGATATTTCAGTATACAGGACAACCAAATGAAATGAGTTTATAAATTATATGAATTTATAATCCTATCTTTCCTTATCCCTGAATTCTTATGTCACTCATGGGATGCCAGACCAACTGTAGATGCTAAAAAAAATGTAACATCTTTGACCAGTTGCAGAGGAACCTCAGATCTAGTCTCACACAATGTGGTTTAATGGATAAATCTGAGTTTGAAACCAGGAAGGAAACCTGGCTATACTCCTAGCTCCAACATTAGATGAATAACCTTAATCTCAGTTATATAAATCATAAGAAGATAATAAACCCTCCAACAGGGAAGACGAGAAAAAATTCAACTGGTTAATCAATCACACCTAAGAAATATGAAACTGTGAGAAATGATCTAGGTTCTGTGGAAAAAGAGGATCAGTAATATTTTGTTTGTTGTTTTCTTTGAGCCGGAGTCTCCCTCTGTCACCCACGCAGTGGCACGATCTCAGCTCACTGCAACCTCTGCCTCCTGTGTTCAAGCGATTCTCCTGCCTCAGCCTCCCGAGTAGCTGGGATTACAGGCATGCACCACCACGCCTGGCTAATTTTTGTATTTTTAGTAGAGATGGGTTTTCACCATATTGGCCAGGCTGGTCTCGAACTCCTGACTCCTGACCTCAGGTGATCCACCTACCTCAGCCTCCCAAAGTGCTACGATTACAGGCCTGAGGCACTGCGCCCAGCCAGATCAGTAACATTCAAAGGTATTTATTGCTTCTCAAACTTCAGAAATGAAAAGGTATTCCATGAAATAGACACTCACGGGGGAGCAATGCCCATGGCATGGAGATTAGCCAGGCCCACCATGTTGGCATTGCCGATGAGTCCTGGCTTCAGTGCCAGCTGGGCTTGGATTCGAGCTTGCAGTTCAGCTGCTTTCCTTGCCTTCTCAATGGCATCATTCATGAAAGTGGCAGCCTGGGAGGGCTGAATAGTGTTGCCAATAGGAAGTCGTTCTGGTTGGGAGGAAGAAGGAGTCTTTGGCTGTGAGATAGAGAAAAAGAAATCAGAGGAATTAAGACAGGCAGACAAACACACATACATACACACAGATATACACACACATCATGGTAGACTGTAGCAGATGATTATGAAGTGAAACATGTAGTCACCTCTTCTAGTCTCTCATTTTGAGTGGATGGCAAGAAATTCTGTGCCAAAGATTATTCTGTTCAGAGTAATCTAGACACAATACCTGAGGTGTAGGGGGGCTAATGAAGCTCAGCTGTTTTTTCCTCTCCTCGATTTGTCGTGTTGCTGCCTCCATCATCTGTTTGATCTGCTCTCCAGGAAAAAAATTGAAAAACTGTTAATTTCTCCTTCTTACTTCTCCCATTCAGGTTTTTAAACCCACAAGGCTCTCAGGTCTAGACACTTAAAATGTTTTGAATGACTATACCACATTCTGCCTGCACCACAGTGCAAAAAATTTAGTCAAGATAAGTGAGCACTGGAATTTTTCAACCCATGTTCCTAAAGCAAGATTAGCATATTAGGTAGTAATATAGTGTGATGATTGAGACTCTGGAGTCAGAGAAACCTGAGTTTGAATCTTAACTCTGCCACTTAATGCCTTTGTTATCTTGGATAAGGAACTTAGTCTCTAAACCTCCTAAGTGTCTAGAAGGGGGAAGAAAACAGTACCTACCTTACAGGTCTAGTGTTAACCACTTAAATAATGCATGCAAACCTAACAGAACCTACACAAAATATTATACTTAATTTTCTTTTTTTTTTTTGAGATGGAGTCTCGCTCTGTCACTCAGGCTGGAGTGCAGTGGTGCGATCTTGGCTCACTGCAAGCTCTGCCTCCCGGGTTCATGCCATTCTCCTGCCTCAGCATCCCGAGTAGCTGGGACTATAGGCGCCCACCACCACGCCCGGCTAATTTTTTGTATTTTTAGTAGAGATGGGGTTTCACCCTGTTAGCCAGGATGGTCTCGATCTCCTGACCTCGTGATCCGCCCACCTCGGCCTCTCAAAGTGCTGGGATTACAGGTGTGAGCCACCGCACCCAGCCTATACTTAATTTTTTTTAAAAAATCATGATATTAGTACTTGAACTACTAGTTTGGGAAACAAGAGACGATGGTGCAAAGACCTGCTCCCTAGTCTCTATAAACCCCTTCTGTCCTAAAGAAGTTCAGAATGATAAGCTTTGAGGGTATGGCCAAACAACTCCTCTTACATTTTGCAAAACAGACCTGTTCTTAAACTGCTTCAAGATATTTTTAAACATTTGTCTTTAACATTTTTTCTTGAATAGGTGATATATTCAAAATTCAAAAATTACGGAAGGGTCAGGCATGGTGGCTCACGCCTGTAATCCCAGCACTTTGAGAGGCTGAGGTGGGCGAATCACTTGAGGTCAGGAGCTGAAGACCAGCCTGGCTAACATGGTGAAACACCGTCTCTAGTAAAAATACAAAAATTAGCCGGGTGTGGTGGTGGGCGCCTGTAATGCCAGCTACTCAGGAGGCTGAGGCAGGAGAAGCGCTTGAATCCAGAAGGTGGAGGTTACAGTGAGCCAAGATCATGCCACTGCACTCCAGCCTGGACAACAGGGGGAGACTCCATCTCTAAATAAGTAAAGAAAGAAAGAAAATAAAAAAATTAAAAATTACAGGGCTGGGCGTGGTGGCTCACGCCTGTAATCCCAATACTTTGGGAGGCTGAGGCAGGTGGATCACGAGGTCAGGAGATCGAGACCATCCTGGCTAACAGGGTGAAACCCCATCTCTACTAAAAATACAAAAATTAGCTGGACATGGTGATGCACGTTCTGTAATCTCAGCTACTCAGGAGGCTGAGGCAGGAGAACTGCTGGAACCCAGGAGGCGGACGTTGCAGTGAGCTGAGATCACGGCATTGCACTCCAGCCTAGGCAACAGTGCAAGAGCGAGACTCCGTCTCAAAAAATAAAATAAAATAAAATGAAAAATTACAGGCTGGGCCTGGCAGCTCACGTCTGTAATCCCAGCACTTTGGGAGGCCGAGCCGGGCGGATCACGAGGTCAGGAGTTCGAGACCAGCCTGACCAACATGGTGAAACCCCGTCTCTACTAAACATACAAAAAAATTAGCTAGGCGTGGTGGCGCGTGCCTGTAATCCCAGCTACTCAAGGGACTGAGGCAGAAGAATAGCTTGAACCCGGGAGGCGGAGGTTGCAGTGAGCCGAGATAGCGCCATTACACTCCACTCTGGGCGACAGAGTGAGACTCCGTCTCAAAAAAAAAAAAGAAAGAAACATAACAAAAGGATATGTTGTGAATACGTCCATCCCCATTCTCCATAAAAAACATCATTGGGCCTGGCACGGTGGCTCATGCCTGTAATCCCAGCACTTTGGGAGGCCGAGGCGGGTGGATCACGAGGTCAGGAGATCAAGACCATCCTGGCTAACATGGTGAAACCCCATCTCTACTAAAAATACAAAAAATTAGTCGGGCATGGTGGTACATACCTGTAGTCCCAGCTACTCAGGAGGCTGAGGCAGGAGAATGGCGTGAACCCGGGAGGCAGAGGTTGCAGTGAGCCGAGAACGCGCCACCGTACTCCAGCCTAAGTGACAGAGCAAGACTCCATCCCCCACCCCCCAAAAAAGAAAATAATTGGCTGGGCGTGGTAGCTCACGCCTGTAAGTCCAGCACTTTGGGAGGCTGAGGCAGGAGGATCATTTCAGCCCAGGAGTTCAAGACCAGCCTGGGCAACATGGTGGAACTCAATCTTTAAAAAAAATACAAAAATCAGCCAGGCATGGTGACCTGTAGTCCCAGCTACTTGGGAAGCCAAGGTGGGAGGATCACTCAAGCCCGGGAGGCAGAGGTTGCAGTAAGCCAAGATCTCGCCACTGAACTCCAGCCTGGACAAAAAAGTGAGACCTTGCCTGAAAAACAAAAACAGGCTAGGTACGGTGGCTCACGCCTATAATCCCAGCAATTTGGGAGGCCAAGGTAGGCAGATCACTTGAGGTCAGGAGTTCCAGACCAGCCTGGTCAACATGGTGAAACCCTGTCTCTACTAAAAATACAAAAATTAGCCGTGCGTGGTGGCACATGCCTATAATCCCAGCTACTTAGGAGGCTGAGGCAGGAGAATCACTTGAACCTGGGAGGCAGAGGCTGCAGTGAACCGAGATCGCACCACTGCGCTCCAGCCTGAGTGACAGAGAGAACATCTCACACACACACACAAAAAAAATCCATTTCTTTCCTTCTGTAAATATCACATATATGCAAATCCACCCACCCATATTTCTGTATATGTTCTATTACCCCCCTCAAATATTAAATGGTAAAAGAAACACTTATGTGGTATTATTTAACAATGCCAATTGAAAAAACACAAATACTTCCTGTTAAAAAAAAATAAAGTCAACTTAAAATTATTTATCAGTGGATTATATCTTCTTTGCATTATGTTTGGAGAGTCTCCTCTGTCATTAAGATGAGTTCTGATCATTTCATTTAATTTTCTCAATGACTCAACGACATAGGTAATTAGGCAAATAATGTACATAACACACTTTGCTTGCCACAGTAAATGGCAATTTCAATACCCTTACCTAGAATACTCCTGGTCAAATCAAAGAACGCTAAAACATAAAGCAGGAAATAAAATTTTCCCAAATGCTGGCCTGGCATGGTGGCTCACACCTGTAATCCCAGCCATTTGGGCGGCTGAGGTGGCAGATCACTTGAGGCCAGGAGTTCCAGAGCAGCCTGGCCAACATGACAAAATACCATCTGTACTAAAAATACAAAAATTAGCCAGGCGTAGTGGTGTTCGCATGTAGTCCCAGCTACTCCGGAGGCTTAGGCAGGAGAATCGCTTGAACCTGGGAGGTGGAGGTTGCCGTGAGCTGAGATCACGCCACTACACTCCAGCATGGGCAACAGAGTGAAACTCTATCTCAAAAAAAAAAGTTTACCCCAAATGCTAAACACTAATTCAAATCAAGATCACAATAAGGCGAGGCACGCTGGCTCACGCCTATAATCCCAGCACTCTGGGAGGCGAAGGTGGGCAGATGACCTGAGGTCAGAAGTTGAAGACCAGCCTGCCCAACATGGTGAAACCCTGTCTCTACTAAAAGAAATACAAAAAATTAGCCGGGCGCAGTGGCTCGCTCCTGTAATTCTAGCACTCTGAGAGGCCAAGGTGAGTGCATCACCTGACATCAGGAGTTCAAGACCAGCCTGGCCAACATGGTGAAACCCCATCTCTACTAAAAATACAAAAATTAGCCAGGCTTGGTGGTGGGTGCCTCTAATCCCAGCTACTCAGTAGGCTGAGACAGGAGATTTGCTTGAACCCGGGAGGCGGAGGTTGCAGTGAGCTGAGATCGCGCCACTGTATTCCAGCCTGGGTGACAAGAGCAAAACTCCACCTCAAAAAAAAAAAAAAAAAAAAAATTCCACAATAAATACAGACCCATGCACCTTTTGCTTCTTCAACTCACAAAACCACTTTGCTTCCAGTCCCTAATCACTAACCTGGAGCTTAGTCAGCATGCCAGGGCTCTCTGATGGAGGCCCAGGGATCACCTCTGGCTCTTCTTCCACCTCCTCAAAACGGGGTATTCGTCGCTTCTTTACTCCTGATGATTCTTTAGAGATCTCAGAGTCATCACCAAACACCTCCTAAGGGAACCCAAGATGAAAGAAAAGCTGTATCCCTCCCCGTGGGGAGAAGGGAAGAATTATCCTAGCCCCTACCAGCATTTTCTGGCTATTCCCAGGGGAATATGACACAACCTTGCAAATAGCCACCTGCCAGAAGCAGGGTCTACTAGACTCTCCATCTCACCCAACTTCAACATTCTCCTAATCCAGTCAAACAAATTTCATTCCCATGTTCTTATAAATGTTCCCATCTCAAGGTCTTTGCAAATGCTACTGCTCACATTTATAATGATTTCTCTCAACTTTTCCACAACCCCTGTTCCAAATCCTGCCTAAAACTCACCTCCTCCAAGAAGTTTTCCTCATTATAACCTATCCCACTCTGATTAAACTTTTGTTTCACATTCTCTTAGCGTGTAAGAGCTTGGTTCATATTAGGTTAAATTACATTGTTGATATTCTGTTTGCCAAGTGTTAAGTATTTCAATGTTAGTATAGTTTTCCCAACTAAGTCTAAGCTCTTCCAGGACAGGGGCTTTCTCTTTCTTCTTCAGTAATCCCCATTAACACTTTGTTTTCATCAAACAATGGAAACTCAAATATGATGACTAATTTGCAAGGTGAATTTAACAGGACCGAGAGTGGCCAACTGGAAGGGACAATGGGAAAAAGCAAATGTACACACCGGTGGTAGGCTTTGGGTGACATCCCCTCTTCACTAGGAGGGCTCGTGTTTTGCAAGGACATATCCTCGGCCAGGGGCGAGCGCTTCCTGGAACTCCTACAGTTCAAGAAAAAGGACTCTCCCATAATATATTGTGTGGGGTGGGGACCTGAATGGACCAAAAATGGGACCCGTATCCCAAGGCTATCTAGACACCTCCTTCAAGAAGCCATTTTTATTAATCCCACCCAATGTAGTCACTTCATTCACAGCATGCCCTCAGCACTCATACAGAAGTATGCCCTACTGGCCAGGCGCAGTGGCTCATGCCTGTAATTCCAGCACTTTGGGAGGCCGAGGCGAGCAGATCTTGAGGTCAGGAGTTCGAGACCAACCTGATCAACATGATGAAACCCCGTCTCTACTAAAAATACAAAAATTAGCCAGGCATGGTGGCATGTGCCTGTAATCCCAGCTACTCAGGAGGCTGAGGCAGGAGAATCACTTGAACCTGGGAGGTGGAAGTTGCAGTGAGTCAAGATTGCGCTACTGTACTCCAGCCTGGGCGACAGAGTGAGACTCACCCTTAGAAAAAAAAAAAGGAAAAAAAAAAAGAAGTATGCCCTATCGTGACATAATCTTCACTGTACAGATCTGTGTATACTGTGGATCAATCATTCCACCTTAAATATAACAAAATTCAACATAGGTCTGAAATTCTATAACCAACCCTAAAATTTACATGAAACTGCTACTTAGATTTTATAATACGTGAATATATATTTTGTGATACCCCTGCCTCTTCTAAATTGTAACTCCTGGGCTCAAGAGATCCTCTTGCCTCAGCTTCCCAAGTAGCTAGGATTACAGGCACATGCCACACTGCCTGACAAATTACAAATTGTTTTAAGGCAAGGACTATCTCTCCTTCTCTGACCACCCTACAATGCTCCAAACACAAAGGGCACAAATCTCTCTGCTTTTTTTTTTAGTTCCATAGCCTGGCCAGGGGACCAAGCAGACATTACTTATTCACTCTTTTCCCTCAGGAAAAGTAATGGGATAGCCAAGGTATCAGAAGAACTTTGGAAGGTTTGATAGGAGTCACAGAACTTTTTTTTTTCTCCTAAAGAGAGATACTGGGAAATGAGTAGAAAAATAGGCTACTTGATACTGCTAATACTGAAAGAGGCCAGGATCAGTCGGCAACTACAGAATAAAAAGTGTAGTAGTTAAGGGGGTACTGACAACTCCTCCAAGTGTTTCACTCATGGCAGCAGAGGACCAGCAATATGCCATAGAGCAAATGGTAAGCTCTCAAGAATATAATAAATAATAGTTATTTTTTGGTATTCTATCTACAAGTGCATTGCAGAGAAACCTCTACAAAGAGGCAACAATGAGGTGTACAGCTCAGGTACCAGTGGAGTCACATTCTAAAACAACTTATTAGGCCTCAAATAAATCAAAGATAAAATCTTAGAGCAATCAGTTTATAAGTAACAGTAAGAAGGAAAAAAAGGAAATATGGAGAAACATGAGAATCAAAACTCCTGTTATCTAAAAAAAGACAAAGCTGCCAATTATTTCTTTGGATATTTCAACCCATGAACTTAGAGGTAGTTCAGATGGTGATGACACTAATTCATCTCTCCTACTCTAATGTCTAAGTACCTCTCTTGAACATTTGCTGCTCTAAATAGAGGATATCAACGTGTGAACTGGTAAGCTCAGCAACTCTGTTACCATTCAAAACAGTCCTGAGCTCATTAGACAGTAAATTGTAACCTACCTTTAGCTCTCGTTTTCTGCTCCTGTCACTGCTAGACTTGGAATGCCTAGAGCTTCGGCCTTCCTCCACAGCCTCAAACAGTTTGTCCACAAATCGGAGAGTAGAATCATCAAGAAAAGGTTTCAGATGATCTGACAGGAAGAAAGGCGGTGGTAGGGTTGGAAAGGTAAGAGTACACAGTCTAATACTAGGCCTATAACAGGTACCAACACTGGAATTTTATTCCCAGGAGTGAAACAAATTTTAAGTTTTTTGTAGGATTCCCATCTCTCTTACACTAAATGACCTTGCCCTGTGAGGTGAAAATAGTTATAATTTTTTGGCGTGGGAAGTGGTGCAGTTAGAGCAACCTGTTTACCTTGAACATCAAGTTTGAGATGAATAACCACCCTCACCTTTCCCAAATAGCAAGTTGTAGAAGCCTACCATTAACAAAATCTACCTCCTTCAAGCTTTTTCATGTATTTCATAAAGATTTTTGTATGTTGAGATGTTCAGTCTGAATCTGAATATGCCTATCTGACTTAAGCATACTTCCTAAGTAAATCTAACTTAGGTGACTCAGTATGGTAGCCAAACGAAGATTTAAAATCTATCATAAATAACATAAAAAATAAGCAATTAAGAGAAAAAGCAAATTATTATTTAGCCTATTTTCACTATAATACAGGTGAAAATAAAATATGGCCTGCCATTTTTTTAGATGTTCCCAACAGAGAGAATTTTGAGGAAGTTCAAAGCAGTGTTTGGGGTCACCCTATATGTTAAGATAAAAGATGCAGAAAGGTACATACCGGCTGCCTTCTTCTTGTCCATGCCCTTCCCCACACAGTTCAATGCTGCTGTGACCACCGTAGGCTCTGAGAAACCCAGGACCCTCTTCACTGTCTTCTCTATCCATGGTTTCAGCTCATCCAGCTCCCTCTTTGACAGTGCCATTTTTCAGGAAAAAGAGAACAATAGCTCAAACAGGACTCAATACTACACCTAAAAAAAAAAAAGAGACAAGTTAGAGAATAAGAAAAGACTAAAGTGGGCTGGGTGCAGTGGCTCATGCCTGTAATCCCAGCACTTTGGGAGGCCAAGGTGGATGGACTGCCTGGGGTCAAGAGTTCGAGACCAGTCTGGCCAACATGGTGAAACCCTGCCTCTACTAAAAATACAAAAAAATTAGCTGGGCGTGGTGGCATGTGCCTGTAATCCCAGCTACTTGGGAGGCTGAGGCAGGGGAATAACCAGGGAGGTAGAGCTTGCAACAAGTCAAAATCGCACCACTGCACTCCAGCCTGGGCGACAAAGCAAGACTCTCTCTACAAAAAAAAAAAAGACTAAAGTGATCCAGGGAAATGGTTAGTACATCAGGAATGCATTCCCCAGCCCTATTCTCAATCCCTAGACAAGTTTTTCCAACTCATTTGAAGGCAAATATTTTCCCCAAGA
Source organism: Homo sapiens (assembly GCF_000001405.40). Taxonomy (NCBI): domain Eukaryota; kingdom Metazoa; phylum Chordata; class Mammalia; order Primates; family Hominidae; genus Homo; species Homo sapiens. The sequence continues at coordinate 150,324,441 of NC_000001.11, read as the reverse complement.
ACCATATCTCAAAGCAGAAAGAGATCCCATTTGATTTTTAATTCTAACTCTTAAGTTGATCAATGAAATCTGCGGAATAAACAAACTCTGTGAATAAGCTAAGTCTGAGAAATTAGTTCTAGCTTCTTTCTTGATCCTGTCATATCAACAAGGACTTGCAAACCTAGTAACACTAAAACAGAACTAAAAAAGCCCATCCAGAGGCCAGCTTTTCCATTCTTCCTACTTCCAGGCAGGCATTCCCTAACCCAACCCTGACTTATGTAGGATTCCCTTCTTTTAAGGTATGCAAGTAAAAGAGGGTTTATCCAGGTCAGTCATCTTAGATATTAAATTAAATCTCATGATCTTTAAGAATGTTCTGGCCGGGCGCGGTGGCTCACGCCTGTAATCCCAGCACTTTGGGAGGCTGAGGCAGGTGGATCACGAGGTCAGGAGTTCAAGACCAGCCTGGCCAAGATGGTGAAACCCCATCTCTACTAAAAACTACAAAAAAATTTAGCTGGGCATGGTGGCAGGCGCCTGTAATCCCAGCTACTCGGGAGGCTGAGACAAGAGAATCACTTGAACCCAGGCAGCAGAGGTTGCAGTGAGCCAAGATCGCGCCACTGCACTCCAGCCTGGGCAACAGAGTAAGACTCCGTCTCAAAAAAAAAAAAAAAGAATGTTCTGTCACATTTCTCTGTGGTCATATTCATCCCAGTGGGAATTCTGCATACAGGTAATTATCATGTTCAATCTACAGGGTCTCCATCAGCTGACTTGATGATCCTTCAGCTCAGAAAAGAATACCCTCATTTTTATTTTGAGACAGAGTCTCACTCCGTCGCCCAGGCTGGAGTGCAGTGGCGTAATCTTGGTTCACTGCAACCTCCATCTCCTGGGTTCACTTGATTCTCCTGCCTCAGCCTCCCAAGTAGCTGGGACTACAGGCATGCACCACCACGCCTGGCCAATTTCGTAGTTTTAATAAAGACACGGTTTCACCATATCGGCCAGGTAATGCCTTACCTCAAGTGATCTGCCCACCTTGACCTCCGAAAGTTCTGGGATTACAGGCGTGACCCACTGCACCTGTCTCTACTAAAAATACAAAAATTAGCCAGGTGAGGTGGTGGGCACCTGTAATCCCAGCTACTTATGAGGCAGAGGCAGGAAAATCACTTGAACCCAGGAGGCGGAGGTTGCGGTGAGCCAAAATCATGTGCACTCCAGCCTGAGCGACAGAGTGAAACTGTGTCTCCAAAAAAAAAAAAAAAAAAAAAAAAGCCAGGTGCGGTGGCTCACGCCTGTAATCCCAACACTTTGGGAGGCCAAGGCGGGTGGATTATCTGACGTCAGGAGTTCGAGACCAGCCTGGCCAACATGGTGAAACCGCATCCCTATTAAAAATACAAATATTAGCTGGGCGTGGTGACCTGCACCTGTAATCCCAGCTACTCTGGAGGCTGAGACAGGAGAATCCCTTGAACATGGAAGGCGGAGGTTGCAGTGAGCCGAGATCGCACCACTGCACTCCAGCCTGGGCGACAGAGCAAGACTCCGTCCCGGGGAAAAAAAAAAAAGGTGTCTAAATGGGAGTCAATAAATTGACTGACCTCAATTTCCAAGCTCAGCTATTCCCAGCAGTGCCACTTATCAAAGATCTGGGAATCATCTTTCAAGATGTTTTAAGACATCTTTTCTCCAAAAAATCCAGTCTGATTAACTTCTACATTCTTGGTAAGTTTAGCCTCTATACTAGAGTCTATAAGACTTGATGCCAAATAGACTCACTTTTGGTATATCCAAAGGAAGCTAGTAGATTGAAGTGATGAAACTAAGACTGAAAGATTTTCTGCCTCAGTGACAAGTTACGTGAGTAATTCTATGGTGGTTCTATTACCCCACAATGAGTAGACATACAGCGTACCAATTTCTACATATTACACATGTATTGCACAAAAGCGGCATATCCAGATGCCATAGAAAGTGAAAACAAGAGTTCACACAGAAACAGTTGGGACACTGAGCCCCACCATTTACAAGCCCTTGGGCAAGTTAAGTAATTCTTTGGAGCCACAGTTTACCATCTTACAAAATGAGTACTGCCATATTTACATCCTAATTCATTCAATAAATATTTATTGAGTAACTACTAAGTGTCAAGCAATGTACTAGGTGCGGTGGATACATAAAACAGTGAGCAAAACTAACAAGAGTCCTCACCTTAACGGGTCTTATATTCCACTAGAATTGAATGATAGGCTAGAAAGTATAAGCAATTTGAAAGCCCAAAGCAATAAATGAGGTGCCACTGTTACCTCCATAAGATGACGTGCAAACTAAACAGCCAATGGATAAAAAAGTTTCAAACGGTAATTAGCCTTGTCACTAATCAAATGCTCAACAATAACTGCGAGGTGCGGGGGTAGTGGGGGTGCGGAAGGAAAGCGAGGTACAATGATCTCTCCTCTCAATGAGCAGGCAGCAGAATCCAAATCCAGTCTTCAGAAGGAATTCCTTACTCCGTGCTCTTGTTTGCTACAACCTGAGTTTCCCTCTGCAGCCCCCCACTCCCCCGCTAATCTTCATTTTTACTCTCTCCGTCACTCCAACCAGTCTCTTACTCTACCTTGTTCTACCTAAACTCCTCACCCCAGAGCTGGTCTCCCAACCCGGTCTCCTTCCCGCCCCCGCCCTTTTCCTCTCAACAATCTCATTCCAACCTCTTCTCCCACCAAACCAGGTACTCCTTTCACACTCCTTCCCGCTGAACCCTCCCGCTTCGGTCCTCCCCTTGGACTGAGTCCCCGGCCACAGTGGCGCGGACTGGAATTACCCTCTGTGGGCCCGGGGCCACTACTCACCTCACAAACTTCAGCCCCTGAGACGGAGCCCGAACGTTACACCGGAACCGGAAACCTTCTGACCGCCCTACGGCGTGCCGTCGCTACCGCCACCGCCGCCGCCACGCCGCTGTCTCCCAACACGTGACCAAGGAGGGCCGGGCCGCCAATTCGCGCAGCCGTATTTGCCACTTTCTTGGAGGCTGAACGCATGCGTCGCAGAACCGAAAAGTTTCCCTGAGCAATTTCCTTGCTTTCTATTTCCCAGGCTAAACCTATTAGCTAGATTTCTGCCAAGGTTTTTTTTTTAGCTTTTTTTTTGAGACGGAGTCTCGCTCTGTCGCCCAGGTTGGAGTGCAGTGACGCGATCTCGGCTCACTGCGAGCTCCGCCTCCCGGGTTCACGCCATTCTCCTGCCTCAGCCTCCCGAGTAGCTGGGACTACAGGCGCCCGCCACCACGCCCGGCTGATTTTTTGTATTTTTAGTAGAGCCGGGGTTTCACCGTGTTAGCCAGGATGGTCTCGATCTCCTGGCCTCGTGATCCGCCCGCCTCAGCCTTCCAAAGTGCTGGGATTACAGGCGTGAGCCACCGCGCCCGGCCGATTTCTGCCAAGTTAATGTCTTTAACTTCCTGAAGCGGAAATTGGGCTACTTGCTGTTTTCCTCATATGGAGAATAAGTGCGCAAAAGTAAACTTAGGCTAGAATGAAGAGCGAGGCTTCTGCGTTTGTGTTCAAACACAGCCTTTCTGGTAGAAAGTAAACCCTTTCTCCCTAATTTAACAGTGGTGTCAGGCCGGGCGCCGTGGCTCACGCCTGTAATCCCAGCACTTTGGGCTCAATAAATGACAAGTGAGACCTACCAGTATTGTTTTCTCCATTCTATCAATAGGTCTATATATTAACTTCTCTCCAAAATGAGGCTCTAACCTACTGACCCTTTATTTTTTATTTTTATTTTTTATTTTTTGAGACGGAGTCTCGCTCTGTCGTCAGGCTGGAGTGCATTCGGCTCACTGAAACTTCCGCCTCCCGAGTAGATGGGACTACAGGCGCGCGACCACCACGTCCAGCTAACTTTTGTATTTTTAGTAGAGACGGGGTTTCACCATGTTGGCCAGGATGGTCTCCATCTCTTGACCGCGTGATCCGCCCACCTCGGCCTCCCAAAGTGCTGGGATTACAGGGTTGAACCACCGCGCCCGGCCCCTACTGACTCTTTAAATCGATGATTCATAACAACATGTGTGTGGACAAAGATAGTTTGGAAAAAGATTGTCCAGTATTATGACACAATTTCTTATATGAGAAATGGAAAAAATTCCATTATTTTTATATTATAAACTATCCAAACTAAAGTTCCAAAATGTCTTCTTGGTGGTAGGCTGACTAGAAGATGCAGTTGTTCTTCAGGGAGGTTATTCACATTCCCCAGATAGTAGGAGATTTTTGTATCTAAAGATAACAATGTACATACCAAGCCCCACCTTCCCTGATGGGGCAGCACGACATAACAGGATAAAGCCTGGCTCTGAAGGAACAAGTTGGGGGAGTTTGAACCTACTGCTCAACTTATTCACAAATCAGTTTCCCCACCTACAGCTTCTAACACCAATGTCTCACAAAATATTCACTCAAAAAGTCTGTTGAATGGGTTAATGAGTTTCAACATTGCAGGGTTGTTGTAAATTTATTTTGTTTTGGTGCTTCTAACAGTCTGCGTTCAATTCCCTATGGAGAAATGTGTTTCTAGAAACTGGTTTTAGGCCAGGTGTGGTGGCTTACGCCTGTAATCCCAACACTTTGGGAGGTCGAGGCGGGTGGATCACTTGAGGTCAGGAGTTTGAGACCAGTCTGCCGACATGGTGAAACCCCATCCCTACTAAAAAAAATGCAAAAATTAGCTGGGTGTGGTGGTGGGCACCTGTAATCCCAGCTACTCAGGAGGCCGAGGCAGGAGAATTGCTTGAACCCGGGAGGTGGAGGTTGCAGTGAGCCAAGATCGCGCCACTGCACTGCAGCCTGGGCGACAGAGGGAGACTCCATCTCGACAAAACAAAACTGATTTTATTTCCAATTTTTAGAATTGGATACATTTAAACTGTAGCTTTCCGGTTACTAGCTGTGTTTCCTTCAGGTAATTTTTTCTGAGATTGTTTCCTCAATTATAGAATAAGAATCTCTACTTCAAAAAGGTATCGTGAGGATTAAATGTAATGTGTAAGACACAGTGTGGTACTGGCGTAAGAACAGGCAGGTAAACCAACAAAAGAGAATAGAGGGTCGGGCGCGGTGGCTTACGCCTGTAATCCCAGCACTTTGGGAGGCCGAGGTGGGCAGATCACGAGGCCAAGAGATCGAGACCATGCTAGCCAACATGGTGAAACCCCGTCTCTACTAAAAATACAAAAATCAGCTGGGCGTGGTGGCACGCGCCTGTAGTCCCAGCTACTCCGGAGGCTGAGGCAGGAGAATCACTTGAACCCGGGAGGTGGAGGTTGCAGCCAGCCGAGATTGCACCACTGCGTTCCAGCCTGGTGTCAGAACGAGACTCTGTCTCAAAAAAAAAAAAAAAAAAAAGGAAGAATAGAGAGCCCAGAATAAACACTCACATATATGGTCAGCTGTATTTTTTTTCTTTTTCTTTTTTGAGATGGAGTTTCGCTCTCATTGGCCAGGCTGGAGTACAATGGCGCGATCTCGGCTCACCGCAACCTCCGCCTCCCAGGTTCAAGCAATTCTCCTGCCTCAGCCTCTGGAGTAGCTGGGATTACAGGCAAGCGCCACCACGCCAGGCTAATTTTGTATTTTTTTTCTTCTTTGTTTTGAGACGAGTCTCGCTCTGTTGCCCAGGCTGGAGTGCAGTGGCACAGTCTCAGCTCACTGAAACCTCCGCCTCCTGGGTTCAAGCAATTCTTCTGCCTCAGCCTCCTGAGTAGCTGGGACTACAGGTGTGTGCCACCACGCCCGGCTAATTTTTTGTGGTTTTAGTAGAGACGGGGTTTCACCGTGTTAGCCACGATGGTCTAGATCTCCTGACCTCGTGATCTGCCCGCCTCGGCCTCCCAAAGCGCTGGGATTACAGGCGTGAGCCACTGCACCCGGCCTCATTTTGTATTTTTAGTAGAGACGGGGTATCTCCATGTTAGTCAGGCTCGTCTCGAACTCTGGACCTCAGGCGATCTGCCTGCCTCGGCCTCCCAAAGTGCTGGGATTACAGGCATAAGCCACCGTGCTCGACATTTTTTTTTTTAGACGGAATCTCCCTCTGTTGCCCAGGCTGGAGTGCAGTGGCTCAATCTTGGCTCACTGCAACCTCCACCTCCTGGGTTCAACCAATTCTCCTGCCTCAGCCTCCCGAGTAACTGGGACTACAGGCGCATGCCACCATGCCCAGCTAATTTTTTTGTATTTTTATTAGGGGTTTCACCATATTGGCCAGGCTGGTCTCAAACTCTTGACCTCGTGATCTGCCCACCTCAGCCTCCCAAAATGCTGGGATTACAGGCATGAGCCCCTGCACCTGGCCATGGTCAGCTGATTTTTGACAAAGGTGCCAAGGCTATTCAATGTGGAAAGGACAGTCTGTTTAACAAATGATGCTGGGAAAAGCAGATATCCACAAACATAAGAGTTAAATTGGACCCCCTACCTCATACCGTATACAAAAATTAATTCAAAATGGATCTAAGACCTAAATTTAAGAAATATACAAAAACTAGAGGTCGGGCACAGTGGCTCACCCCTATAATTTCAGCATTTTGGGAGGCTGAGGCTGGAGGATGACTTGAGGTCAGGAGTTCAAGACCAGCCTGGCCAACATGGTGACTCAATCCCCGTCTCTTCTGAAAATAGAAAAATTTACCAGGTGTGGTGGCACACTCTTGTAGTCCCAACTACTTGGGAAACTGAGGCAGGAGAATCGCTTGAACCCAGGAGGCAGAGGTTGCAGTGAGCTGGGATCACGCAACTGCACTCCAGCCTGGATGACAGAGGGAGACCCTGTCTCAAATAAGTAGATACATACATAAAAGTAGGGCTGGGCACAGTGGCTCACATCAATAATCCCATGCAACTGCACTCCAGCCTGGATGACAGAAGGAGATTCTATCTCAAATAAATAAATGTAGGGCTGGGCACAGTGGTTCATATCTGTAATCCCAGCACTTTGGGAGGCTGAGGTGGGTGGATCACTTGAGGCCAGGAGCTCTAGACCAGCCTGCCCAACATGGTGAAACCCCATCTCTACTAAAAATACAAAAATTAGCTGGGCATCGTGGTGCATGCCTGTAATCCCAGCTACTCAGGAGGGAGGCACTAGAATCTCTTGAACCTGGGAGGCAGTGGTTGCAGTGACTCAAGATTATCCCACTGCACTCCAGCCTGGGCCACAGAGTGAGACTCTTTTTTTTTTTTTTTTTTTTTTTTCGGAGACACAGTATCGCTCTATCCCCCAGGCTGGAGTGCACTGTTGCGATCTCAGCTCACTGCAACCTCTGCCTCCCAGTTTCAAGCAATTCTCATGCCTCAGCCTCCCGAGTAGCTGGAATTACAGGTGCCCGACATCACGCCCGGCTAATTTGTGTATTTTTAGTAGAGATGGGGTTTCGCCATGTTGGCCAGGCTGGTCTGCAACTCCTGGCCTCAAGGGATCTGCCTGCCTTGGCCTCCCAAACTGCTGGGATTACAGATGTGAGCCACTGCGCCCAGCCTGGGGTGAGACTCTTGTCTCAAAAAATGCCTAAAACTAAGGAGCAATAACTGTAAAACTCTTAGAGGAAAACACAGGAGAACAGGAGTGTATCTTTTTGACATTGGATTTGGCGATAATTTCTTGGATATGATGCCAAACATACAGGCAAACAAAGGAAAAACAGATGAATTGGACTTCATCAAAATTTAAAGTTTTGTGCATTAAATGACACTATCAACAGAATGAAAAGGCAACCCACAGAATGTGAGAGAATATTTGCAAGTCATATATCTGATAAGAGATTAATATCCAGAATATATTAAGAACACTTACAACTCAACAACAAAACAACCTAATTCTTTTTTTTTTTTTTTTGAGACAGAGTCTGCTCAGTCACCCAGGCTGGAATGCAGTAGCACAATCTCGGCTCACTGTAACCTCCGCCTCCCAGGTTCAAGCAATTCTTCTGCCTCAGCCTCATGCCACCAGGCCCGGCTAATTTATGTATATTTAGTAGAAACAGAGTTTTGCCATGTTGGCCAGGCTGGTCTCAAACTCCTGGCCTCAAGTGATCCACTGGCTTCGGCCTCCCAAACTGCTGGGATTACAGGTGTAAGCCATCGTGCTGGTCAAAACAACCTAATTCAAAAACAGGTAAAACACTTGAATATATGTATGTTCAAAGAAGACAAAAAATGGCAAATAAGCACATGGAAAGATGCTCCACAGCATTAGTTATTAGGGAAATGCAAAGCCAAACCACAAGGAAATACCACTTCACATCCAGTAGGATGGCTACTATAAAAATAAAATAAAATAAAATAAAATAAAAGAGGTCAGGTGCAGTGGCTCATGCTTGTAATCCCAGCACTTTGGGAGGCCAAGGTGGGTGGATAGCTTGAGCCTGAGAGATCAAGGTGGCAGTGAACTGTGATTATGCCACCGCACTCCAGCCTGGGTGACAGAAAAGGAAGGAAGAAGGATCCAGAGGGAGGAAGGGAGGAAGGGAGCGAGGGAGGGAGGAAGGAAGGAAGGAAACAAGTTGGAACTCTTGTGCCCTATTGGTAATATAAAATGGTGCAGCTGCTATGTAAAACAGTATAGTAGTTCCTCAAAAAATTAAAAATAGAATTTTCAGATGACCCAGCAATTCTACTTCTGGGTATATACCCCAAAGAAATGCAAACAAGGTCTCAAAGATATATCTGTACCCCTGTGTTTATAGTAGCATTATTCACAATAGCCAAATAATGGACGCAACCCAAGTGTCCATCAACAGATGAGTAGATAAACAAAATATGGTATATACATACAATGGAATATTATTCAGCCATAAAAACAAATGAAGTACTGATACATGCTACAACACAGATGCTAAGTGAAATAAGCTAGACAAAAAGGGCAAATATTGTATGATTCCACTTTCGTGAAGTAACTAGGATAGCCAAATAGAGACAGAAAGTAGAATAGAGGCCATGAGGCGCTGGAGAGAGATGAATGGGGAGTTAACGCCTAATGGGTACAGAGTTCCTGTTTTGGGTGATGAAAAGTTTTGGAAACAGTGGTGATGATTATACAACATTTACTTAATGGTACTGAATTGCATACTTAAAATTATTAAAATAGAAATTTCGTGTATGTATATTTTATCACAATAAAACAAAACGTATTTAGGACCGGGCCTGGCACATATTAAGACTTAGTAGATCGTATCTGTTGTCATAGATTCCTTCAATAAATATTTACTGAGCATTTAAATGTTGGGCATTATACAAAGCACTGGGAATACAGTGGTAAAAAAGGCCAGGCATGATGGCTTATGCCTGTAATCCCAGCACTTTGGGAGACCGAGGTGGGAGGATCACCTGAGGTTAGGAGATTGAGACCAGTCTGGCCAACATAGTAAAACCCTGTCTCTACTAAAAATACAAAAATTAGCCAAGCGTGGTGGCATGTGCCTGTAATCCCAGCTACCTGGGAGGCTGAGGCAGAATAATTGCTGGAACCCAGGAGGCGGAGGCTGCAGTGAGCTGAGATCTCCAGCCTGGGCAACAGAGCAAGACTCCATCTCAAAAAAAAAAAAAAGAAAGTGTGCTATTATAGAAGCAAATTTATAAAGGTAAACTCAAGACATAAAAAGATAATACAAAGTTGGTAAAGGCATCAAGGAAGGCATGTTAGAAAACATTCCAGGGTCAAGCGTGGTGTCTCACATTTGTAATCTCAACACTTTGGGAGACAGAGGTGGGTGGATCACTTGAGCCCAGGAGTTCAAGACCAGCCTGGGTAAAATAGCAAAACCTCATCTCTACAAAAAATACGAAAATTAGCTGTGTGTGTTGGCATGCGCCTATAGTCCCAGCTACTTGGGGAGGCTGAGGTGGGAGAATCACATGAGCCCAGGAGGTCAAGGCTGCAGTGAGCCATGATCATAGTACTGTACTCCAACCTAACCAACAGAGTAAGATCCTGTCTCAAAAAGAGAGAGAAAAAAAAATCCAGCTGAATGCTGGTGGACTGGGGAGGAGAGAAAACAGCATGTGCTGTGATCCAGAAGTGCATTTCAGGGGAAAAATGGGTAGAGAGAAAAGCAGGGTTCAATCATAAAGAGCCTTAAATGCCATGCTAAGTGGTTTAAAGTGGTTTAGATTTTGTTTTGAAAGCAATGGGAACCAATGGTCAGTTTAAGCAGGAAAGTGAAAGGATCAGAGTTGCATTTTAGAACAATCACTCTGGCCAAAGCGTGAATAGATTGAAGCCAGACAACACTAAGGTAAGCCGATAGTCAAATAGCTGTTGTAGTAATCCAGAAGAGTCATGATGGTAGCTGGGAGTAAGGTCGTGGCGTTTAATCATAGAGATAGCCAGAAGGGATTAAACACATGCTAGTCACGGCTGAATGGGGAGGAGGAATCAAGGATCAGGTATCTGGGCTGGGCGCTGTGGCTCACGCCTGTAATCACAGCACTTTGGGAGGCAGAGGCAGGCAGATCACTAGAGCCCAGGAGTTCGAGACCAGCCTGGGCAACATGGTGAAACCCCATCTCTACAAAAAATACAAAAATTAGCCAGGTCCAGTGGCGTGCGCCTGTAGTCCCAGCTACCTGGGAGGCTGACGCAGGACAATCACTTGAGCCTGCGAGGCAGAGGTTGCAGTGAGCCAAGATCAAGCCATTACACTCCAGCCTGGGTGACAGGAGTGAAATGCTGTCTCAAAAAAAATAAATAAATATAAATAAATAAATAAATAAATAAATAAATAAAATCAGGTGTCTGGCTGGCACAACTAGGGGACTATAATTAATTGCTCACATCCATTGTGTTCTGTGTGCCAGACACTATGCTAAGTACTTGACATGCATTCCATTATTTCATCCTCATTAAAAACCTATAGATGCTGGCCTGGTGAGTTGGCTCATGCCTGTAATCTCAATACTTTGGGAGGCCGAGGCAGGTGGATCACTTGAGGTCGGGAGTTCGAGACCAGCCTAACTAACATGGAGAAACCCTGTCTCTACCAAAAATACAAAATTAGTCGGGCATGGTGGTGCATGCCTGTTAATCCCAGCTACTCGAGAGGCTTGAGGCAGGGGGCGGAGGTTGCGGTGAGTCAAGATCACCATTGCACTCCAGCCTGAGCAACAAGAGCGGAACTCCGTCTCAAAATAAATAAAAATAAAAATAAAACATAAAACAAAAACTATAGATACCATTATCATTATTATTATTATTATTTTTCAGACGGAATCTCACTCTGTCACAGGCTGGAGAGCAGTGGCACAATCTCGGCTCAATGCAACCTCCACCTCCCAGGGTCAAGCGATTCTCCTGTCTCAGCCTCCTCAGTAGCTGGGACTACAGGTGTGTGCCACCACGCCCGGCTAATTTTTTGTATTTTTAGTAGCGATGGGGTTTCACCGTGTTAGCCAGGATGGTCTCGATCTCCTGACCTTGTGATCTGCTCGCCTCGGCCTCCCAAAGTGCTGGGATTACAGGCGTGAGCTACCATGCCCGGCCCCATTATCCTTATTTTACAGGGGACACAAGGGTTTATGTTAAATAAGATACCAAGATCATGATGGAATCCAGATTTTTTTTGACTAAGTAAAAATTATATATGTAAGGTAGCTGACACATAGTGGAAGTTCCAGCATTTCCTTTTCCCTTCAATTACCTATGTAAACACTATTCCTTAACCTTGTTAGTATACAGTGAGTGATTATTCCTTAGCATTCTCACTTAACATACAAACTCTTATTTTGTAAGTGGTGCACTTCTGAAAACTTGAAAGTGCAGTGTCAAAATTACTCAACAGAGCTGGACACAGTGGCTCATGCCTGTAATCCCAGCACGTTGGGAGGCCGAGGAGTGCGGATCACGAGGTCAGGAGATCGAGACCATCCTGGCTAACATGGTGAAACCCCGTCTCTACTAAAAATACAAAATATTAGCCGGGCATGGTGGCAGGCACCTGTAGTTCCAGCTACTCGGGAGGCTGAGGCAGGAAAATGGTGTGAACCCAGGAGGCGGAGCTTGCAGTGAGTGGAGATCATGCCACTGCACTCCAGCCTGGGCGACAGAGCGAGACTCCGTCTCACACACACACACACACACACACACACACAAATTACTCAACAGAGTCCCAATTTTAAAGGGGTAGCTGATTCCAGAGCACTAGATTACGAGATCTTTAAATTATGATTGGAGCAGGCCTGTCAGAGGCACTTCACTAAACAGGTAAGAGATTTCATAGGTGCCCAAGTTTAGGGTAGGAGGTACTTACCTATCATTCTGTAACTGGGTAAACAGCAAACCACCCCTCCTCTGAAATCAATGCAGGGATTAAAAGATTAGTGCAACCCCTACTCATTAAACTACCATGCAAATTATCTTCTAGCTTCCCAGAGCAAGGAGTGGAAAGTTTTTCTCCCTATCATCACAGCATAAGCAGATTGGAACTTTATCCAGCCACTTATCGCATTTATGAGGCCTCTCAACTGGCTAGCTGCTAAAACCCATCATTGTTCATTGCTCTAGGGGAGCATGGGCAATAGGACTGAAGATTAAAACAAGCGGGGGATAATTTTTAGAGACAAAGAAAATTTCAAATCTCAGCCACCTCTTAGTATTTTGGAGGGAGCTCAGAAGCAACTTTAGCCCCAGGAGAATAATGCCAAGTAACAGGCCTGATTCTGTTATCACAAACATGCCTTACCACTGTGGTAGATGACACTATATTATGGCTCAATATCATTAAAATGTACTAAAGACCAAATTCAGATTTATTTTATTTTATTTATTTATTTTTGAGACGGAGTCTCGCTCTGTCACCCAGGCTGGAGTGCAGTGGCGCCATCTCGGCTCACTGCAAGGTCTGCCTCCGGGGTTCACGCCATTCTCCTGCCTCAGCCTCCCGGGCGCGGTGGCTCACGCCTGTAATCCCAGCACTTTGGGAGGCCGAGGCGGGTGGATCACGAGGTCAGGAGATCAAGACCATACTGGCTAACACGGTGAAACCCCGTCTCTACTAAAATTAAAAAAAAAAATTAGCCACGCGCGGTGGCGGGCGCCTGTAGTCCTGGCTACTCGGGAGGTTGAGGCAGGAGTATGGCGTGAACCCGGAAGGCGGAGCTTGCAGTGAGCCGAGATCACGCCGCTGCACTCCAGCCTGGGCAATAGAGCGAGACTCCGTCTACAAAAAACAAAAAAAAAGGTAGTGACGGAGTTTCATCGTGTTAGCCAGGATGGTCTTGCTCTCCTGACCTCGTGATCCATCCTCCTCGGCCTTCCAAAGTGCTGGGACTACAGGCGTGAGCCACCGCGCCCGGCCTCAGATTCAGATTTAAAGGTGACTCAGAAGTGTCATATCTTGTTTGTTAAGACTAGGTTGTATAAAGGGAACAAAGTTGAAGGCAGCCTGTATACAGATTTTCTCCAAAATGAGGGAAAGGAGCAGATCTATTTCTTTTTCCTTTTTTTTTTTTGGGGACGCTCCGTTGCCCAAGCTGGAGTGCAGTGGCGCGATTTCGGCTCATTGCAAGCTCTGCCTCCCGGGTTCACGCCATTCTCCTGCCTCAGACTCCCAAATAGCTGGGACTACAGGCGCCCGCCACCATGCCCCGCTAACTTTTTTGTATTTTCAGTAGAGACGGGGTTTCACCATGTTAGCCAGGATGGTCTCGATCGCCTGACCTTGTGATCCGCCCACCTCGGCTTCCCAAAGTGCTGGGATTACAGGCGTGAGCCACTGTGCCTGGCCAGCACCAACTTTTAAAAGAGACCGAGTCTTGCTCTGTCGCCAGGCGCGATCTTGGCTCACTGCAACCTCCACCTCCTGCGTTCAAGTGATTCTCCTGCCTCAGCCTCCCAGGTAGCTGAGATTACAGGCGCCTACCACCACGCCCAGCTAATTTTTTTGTATTTTTAGTAGAGACAGGGTTTCACCATGTTGGCTAGGCTGGTCTCAAACTCCTGACCTCGTGATCCGCCCGCCTCAGCCTCCCAAAGTGCTGAAATTACAGGCGTGAGCCATGGCACCCGGCCTGGCACCGACTCTTAATAATAGCAACACGGCTGTCAGCCAACCAATGGTGGAGGAAACAGCAGGAGAAAAAGCAGAGCAGCTGGTCTTCCCACAGTGGTCAGTTTCCGCAGCTGTCAAGAGTAAAATAATCAGGAGTGACTGCTGGGTAGAGGCAGTGATGGTGGGAACCTCCACTTGAAGTCTCTTTGAGTACTGCAAAGGGCAGTGGTTGTAACTCTAGCAGGCATCAGAATCACCTGCAAGGCTTGTGAAAATAGATTGCTGGGCTCCAACCTCAATTTCCAATATCGAAGATCTAAAGTAGGGTCCCATAATTTGCATTTCAAGCAATCCCTCTGGTGAAATTGATGCTGCTGATCTGACACTTTGAGAAGCACTGCTTTGTGGGTATTTCTGGCTCTGTGCCATTCTCTCTCAACGCTCCATTCCCTCTTTCCTACTATCTACTGAGTCCCACCCATCTATTGCTTTATTTCTTCTCCACCATCCCTCTCTTAGTCTCTGTTAGGAAAACTAAAAGGACAGAAAACAGGAATGAACATTAGGGTAGATTTAAGAATTTCTTTGGGCAAGGATTCCAGCACTCTAGTCTGGTTGATAGGTGTTTTCAGAAGCAGAATTTATTCCAAATACATACATGCATCTTCTCCTCTCTACCTAACATGGAACAGTTTAATAAAAAGTAATAGATGCTTTCTCAGTAAGATTTTGCTTGGGGATTCAAAAAAATTGGGTAGGAAATGGTAGACATATTTCACTACATTAAAAAAATTTTCCGGCCGGGCGCAGTGGCTCACGCCTGTAATCCCAACACTTTGGGAGGCCAAGGCAGGGGGATCACGAGACCAGGAGATCGAGACTATCCTGGCTAACACAGATAAACCCCATCTCTACTAAAAACACAAAAATTAGCCGGGCGTGGCGGCGTGTGCCTGTAGTCCCAGCTGCTGGGGAGGCTGAGGCAGGAGAATGGCGTGAACCCAGGCGGCGGAGCTTGCAGTGAGCTGAGATTGTCCCACTGCCCTCCAGCCTGGGCAACAGAGCGAGACTCCATCTACAAAAAAAAAAAAAAAATTTACCAGCCAGGTATGGTGGCTCATGCCCATAATCCCAGCACTTTGGGAGGCCGAGGTGGGCGGATCACCTGAGGTCAGGAGTTCGAGACCAGCCTGGACAACATGGTGAAACCCCGTCTCTACTAAAAATACAAAAATTAGCTGGGCGTGGTGGCAGGTGCCTGTAGTCCCAGCTTCTGGGGAGGCTGAGGCAGGAGAATCACTTGAACCCAGGAGGCGGAGGTTGCAGTGAGCCTAGACTGCACCATTGCACTCCAGTCTGGGGGACAAGAGCGAGACTTCCTCTTAAAAAAAAGAAAAAAAAATTCCTTACTTCTCCTGGACTTTCAAAAAAGTTTTTATTGTAGTAAAACACAAAATTTACCATCGTGACCATTTAAGGGTATAGTTCAGTGGCATTAAGTACATTCAACTTTTTGAGCAACCGCCATCACCATTCATCATCCATCTCCGTTTTTTTGTTTTGAGATGGAGTCTCACTCTGTCGCCCAGGTTGGAGTGCAGTGGCATGATCTTGGCTCACTGCAACCTCTTCCTCCCCAGTTCAAGCAATTCTCCTGCCTCAGCCACCCAAGTATCTGGGATTACAGGCGTGCACCACCACGCCCGGCCAATTTTTTTTTGTATTTTTAGTAGAGATGGGGTTTCACCACATTGGCCAAGCTGGTCTCAAACTCCTGGCCTCAAGTGAGCCGCCCGCCTCAGCCTCCCAAAGTGTTGGGATAACAGGCGTGAGCCACCATGCCAGGCCATCGTCTCCTGAACTTTTTCATCTGCCCAAACTGAAACTCTGTACCCATTAAACAATAACTCCTCACTGCCCCCTCCTCCAGTCCCTGGCAAATACCATTCTACTCCTAGAGTACTTTCAGACTCAGTTTCTTCTTTCACTTAATAAAAGACAGGGTCCACTGCTGACTAATGGGATTGTTTCTATATTTGGAGGCCTTCTTGCAGACATGTGATTTGAGTTTATTGCAGAGAATGGTAATAGGAAATGGGATTGTACAAAGAAAAGAGATGGAGAGAAAACTGGATGAGGGTTTCGCACTGGGTGTCCCACCCACAGGCCTCAGCAGCCCTGCCACGGATCTGCCCGATTCTTTCGCATCAAGAAGTTGATCTTGCGAGCCATTTCCATGTTGTAGATCCGCCGGCACCTTTCATAGCTTTCCCTCTGTCGCCGGCAGCATGGCTTCTCATAATACCGCCGATGCTTAATGTCCTCAATGAGCCCATCCATAGTGAGGATTCTGTATAAAGGCAAGCAATGAGGTTAGACATTTGGGATCATCATTATTCTTTTCCAGTTTCATAAATAGAAGTCGATTGACCAAACAATTGGTATTTATAAAAAATACAGTGGGAAATGGTGGCAATAGAGCATTAACTGCCTACTTACAAAGGCCTCAATAAGAATCTGTGGGCCGGGTGCAGTGGCTCATGCCTGTAATCCCACCACCCTGGGAGCCCAAGGTGAGCAGATTGAGCCCAGGAGTTTGAGACCAGCCTAGGCAACATGGCAAAACCCTGTTTCTACAAAAAATAAAAATAATTAGCCAGGCTTCGTAATATGTGTCTGTAGTGCTAGCGACTCACGAGGCTGAGGTGGGAGCATCACTTGAGCCCAGGGGAGACTGAGGCTGCAGTGTGCTGTGTTTGCACCAGTGTACTCCAGCCTGGGTGACAGAATAAGACCCTGTCTCAAAAAAGAAAAAAAATATTGTTCAGCATGGGCAACACGGCAAAACCCCGTCTCTGCAAATAATACAAACATTAACCAGGCATGGTGGTACATGCCTGTAGTCCCCTCTACTCAGGAGGCTGAGGTGGGAGGATCAATTGAACCTGGGAGTTCATGGCTGCAGTGAGCTGAGATCCTACCACTGCATTCCAGCCTGGACAACAGAGTGACACCTTGACTCAAAGGAAAAAAAAAAAAAAAAAAAAAAGGACTGGGCACAGTGACTCATGCCTGTAATCCTAGCACTTCGGGAAGCCGAGGCAGGTGGATCACCTGAGGTCGGGAGTTCGAGACCAGCCTGACCAATATGGTGAAACCCCGTCTCTACTAAAAATACAAAAATTAGCTGGGCATGATGGCGGGCGCCTATAGTCCCTCCCAGCTACTCAGGAGGCAGGCAGGAGAAGTGTTTGAACCTAGGAGGTGGAGGTTGCAGTGAGCTGAGATTGCACCACTGCACTCCAGCCTGGGCAACAGAGTGAGACTCTTGTCTCAAAAAAAAAAAATTGGGGAAATAAAAAAGCAATTAATTACATGGCCCTTGCTCTTGGAGAGTTTATAGTCAAAGTTATGTTCTCAAATCTACTCTACCACAACACACCTGAGGGATATGATACAGTACCTGAAGAACATGTCTCCCTACAGCAATGATTCTCAACTAATGGGGCATTTCAGAGACCTCAACTGGGGAGAGCCATTTTCAGTAAGAACAGAATCACTAGGGGTGATTCTTAAGGTGATTCTCTTACTTAAAGTTCCATCCTGTCAGGCTGGTGGCTCACACCTGTAATTCCAGCACTGTGGGAGGCCGAGGTGGGCGGATCACCTGAGGTCAGGAGTTTGAGACCAGCCTGACCAACATGGAGAAACCCTGTCTCTACTAAAAATACAAAATTAGCCGGGCATGGTGGTGTATGCCTGTAATCCCAGCTACTCGGAAGGCTGAGGCAGGAGAATTGCTTGAACCCTGGGGGCGGAGATTGCAGTAAGCCAAGGTTGCGCCACTGCACTCCAGCCTGGGCAACAAGAGTGAAACTCCATCTCAAAAAGATCACTTGAGGTCAGGAGTTCAAGACCAGGCTGGCCAACATGGTGAAACCCCACCTCTACTAAAAATACAAAAATTAGCCAGGCGTAGTGGTGGGCACCTGTACTCAGTAGGCTGAGGCAGGAGAATCCCTTGAACTCGGGGTGGAGGCTGTAGTGAGCCGAGATGGTGCCACTGCACTCCAGCCTGGGCAACAGACTCTTGTCTCAAGGAAAAACAAAACAAAAACAAACTCACAGGAGGCATTAAACCTGAACTTGAGAACAAGAAAGTGGTTGTGAAGGGATCCTAAAGAACAACTCATCTGAAATGTGAATAAGTAGGTTGCCCTATTTCCACTCTCTTTTCCTACACCAATTATTGCCCTAAAACATAAATCAGATCATGTCACTCTGGTGCTAAAAAATCTTTCCTAATATACAGAGTGGCCTAAGCCACTAAAGTTCCCAGAATCATCTGCACATCAGAACTGCCCAGGGATCTTTTAAACATTCCGAACCCTGGGCCACACCCAGTCCAATTAAATCACAAAGGAGAGGGAAAGGGACATGAGCAGGTTTTTCAGTTTCCAAGGTGATTCCAATGTACAGACAGATTTTGGAACTACTAGTCTAAGCTCAAAGCCCAAACAATTGCCCCCTATATATATATCTTTTAATAACCTGCCCTACTGATCACTTGAGGTCAGGAGTTCGAGACAAGCCTGGCCAACATGGTGAAACCCCATCTCTACTAAAAATACAAAAATTAGCTGGGCATGGTGGTGCCCACCTGTAATCCCAGCTACTCGGGAAGCGGAGGCAGGAGAATAGCTTGAACCTGGGAGGTGGAGGTTGCAATGAGCCGAGATCAAGGCACTGCACTCCAGCTGGGCAAAAGATGGAGACTCCATCTCAAAAAACAAAAACAAAACACGTGCCCTATAATGCCTATGCTCTAGTCACACTTAAGTATATGCAGTTCTCCAAGCATCCTACATACTTGTTTTTTTCTTTGCTCATGATGTTCCCTTTACTTGGAATATCATTCTTTTCTTTTTCTTCCTGATGAAATCCTACTTGTTCCTCAAAGGCCCAAATCAATTGTTATCACATCTGTAAACTAGTTCAGGTGAAATCAAACTTTGGCATGCAGTAGTCATCTGGAAAGCTTGTTAAAACAGGGATTGCTGGCTGGCCATGGTGGCTCACACCTGTAATCCCAGGACTTTGGGAGGCCGAGCTGGGAGGATCACTTGAGCCCAGGAGTTTGACACTAGCCTGAGCAACATAGTGAGAACCCCATCTCCACAAAAAATAAAAATTAACCAGACATGGTGGCACACACACCTGCACTCCCAGCTACTTGGGAGGCTGACATGGGAGAATGGGAGAAATGCTTTATCCCAGGAGGTTGAGACTGCAGTGAGCCATGATTGTGGCACTGCACTCCAGCCTGGGCAAGCAAGACCCTATTTCTTTCTTTCTTTTGAGACGGAGTTGCGCACTTGTTGCCCAGGCTGGAGTGCAATGGCGCAATCTTGGCTCACTGCAACCTCCGCCTTCTGGGTTCAAGCGATTCTCCTGCCTCAGCTTCCCAAGTAGCCGGAATTACAAGCACCAGCTAATTTTTGTTATTTTTAGTAGACATAAGGTTTCGCCATGTTGGCAGGCTGGTCTCGAACTCCTGACCTCAGGTGATCCACCCGCCTCAGCCTCCCAAAGTGCTGGGATTACAGGCATGAGCCACCGCAACCGGCCTTTTTTTTTTTTTTGAGACAGAGTCTCGCTCTGTTGCCCAGGCAGGAGTTGCAGTGGCACGATCTCGGCTCACTGCAACCTCCGCCTCCCAGGTTCAAGAGATTCTCTTGCCTCAGGCTCCCGAGTAGCTGGGACTACAGACACGCACCACCACGCCCAGCTAATTTTTGTATTTTTAGTAGAGACGGAGTTTCACCATATTGGTCAGGCTGGTCTTGAACTTCTGACCTCATGATCTGCCTGCCTTGGCCTCCCAAAGTGCTGGGATTACAGGCATGAGCCACTGCGCTTGGCTGTGAAACCCTATTTCAAAGAACACCACAGATTGCTGTGCCACAGTTTCTGATTCTGTAGGCCTAGAGTAGGGGCCAAGAATTTGCATTTCTAACAATTCCCAGCTGATATTGCTGCTGATGGTCCAGGGACAACCAACACCATGGCACCATTTTTTTTTTTTTGTAGGCAGGGCCTCGCTCTGTTGCCCAGGCTGGAGTGCAGTGTCACCATCTTGGCTCACTGCAGCCTCAACCTCTCAGGTTCAAGCAATTCTCCCGCCTCAGCCTCCTGAGTAGCTGGGATTACAGGGGCGTACCACCACACCTGGATAATTTTTGCATTTTTAGTAGAGACAGGGTTTCACCATGTTGGCCAGGCTGGTCTCAAACTCCTGACCTCAGGTGATCCACCCACCTCGGCCTCCCAAAGTGCTGGGATTGCAGGCGTGAGCCACCACGCCCGGCTGATGTCTCTTTTATAGCACTGATCAAACAGTATTACATTGAACCCCTCATTGGGTTGTGTCTTTTCTAAGGTTAGAGATCAAATCTGTATTCACTTTTGCACCTAACAAAATACTTGGCAAAGAACAACTAGGAAATGTATGCCAAAAATGAGTCCTCTAGATGACTAATAAATGTCCATAGCACAAGGGATTAAGTGACCTTACAATATATACAGTTATTGGGGATATAGCTCAGAAAGCCTCAATAGTATTACCTTTACTACGATGGCATATTAGAGTTTAGATAGCATTTTTATATCCATCATCCTAACTACACTCCTATGAAATTGTTTAGGCAAATAATGTCCTCTTTTTATAGATGAGGAAACTGAAGTTCAGAGAGGCTGACCCGCCCAAGATCACAAAATGGAACTATAAACAGAATTCAGGTCTTTAGTAAAGTGCTCTACAACAGTATTCTGCTTCTCAAACAAAAACCACCCATTTCAGAAGACAAACTGTTGCAGTATCCATGGGTAAAAGAGGGAGTGAAGAGCTGGGCTAGACTCTTCAATCAGAGTAAAGAGGAAATGGAAGCCGATAAGGGACACTTGGATAAAAGAATGATCTAAACATGTAAACATTTATTTCTGCTGAGACTTTGTGTTTAATACTGTCTAATGAAGGTTGCTTTTTGGACTAGAAAGTAGTATATTGGAGAAAATATAGAAAAAAGCCCCTGAAAGAAAAAGATTGGATATATAATGTAAAAAGTACAAGGAGACTGGATTTGAGAGAATATAAAAACGACAGAGACCCTGAGTAAATATGACCTAGGAAGACGAACCTATTGGAATGACAAAGACAGTTTAAAAGTAGGATGAAACAACACTGCAAGAGGAGGAAGGGGTTGAGTATGACTCAAGGAACCCTACTGGAGTTCCAAAAGGCTTCTAAAACAAAGGTGATCATCTTACCAAGGAAATGCCTGTACTGTCAGGCAAAAGGGCAAGACAAGGAAAAAGAATAACAAAAGAACATAAGAATGGTGAAGGGAAAAGAAAGAATATAATGATGGGGGTTGGTAAATGGCATTCCCTGGATGTACTACTTACTTCCAAAACACAGACCAAATAAATTCCAAGATGCCAGGTGAGGATTCCCTCCCTTACCCGACACGTTCTAGTCATACTAAAAAAGGCACAGATTATCTTCAAATGCCCCAGAGTCCCTATAGTAGAGGTATCTACTCAACTTTACCTCTAACAGAAAAGGATGCAAGAAAAGCTTTGTAAAACACAAGAATAGAGGGGGTGTTACTAATGATGCTTCCTTCTGCTTCCAAAAGTAGTTCAAGGACTAGTACATCAAGAGCTTTAGAGTAAACAGATCAGCCTGGAGTTCGGGCGCCTGGCAACCTAATACTGAAGGAGAAACCAGCTGCCAGTTTTAGTGAAATTCAAATGATTATGTAAAAGGAGCCAAGCTGCCTGGAGCGGGGGGAGGTGCGGGTGGCAGACTCACATGTCAGTGTAGCCAGTCTACGTCAGGACAGACGTGTATGCAGAAGGACTCAATGGACCCAGAAGGTAGCCCACTAGGAGTAAAAGGAGTCAACAGGGCATGCTTCCAGTGTACTCACCTTTCTTTGCTTGGGGGCCAGCCAATCATGCAGGGCTTCCTAGCAACCCCCACTCTCCACCTTCTCATCCCGGGGCACCAATGAGGGCCCCCAGTTATATAACAGGCATTTTGTGGTGGCCTCACTGGACAGACACGTAGGCTATTTCCTTTGTAAGACTCTCTCTGTACTCCAAACATGGTAAAGCTTTAATCACCTCCCTCTAGACTCATTTGCTCTCCTACCTATTGTTGTAATTAGACCACAGAACAAGCAAATTATTTTTAAACTACCAGCTATGAGAAAGCTGAAAGAGATCAGGAGAGGCCTGGAGTGTGAGAAAGATATACAGAAAAAGTGGCTAGAGAGAGGACATTTGGGAAAAGCAGAGAAAAAGAAGAAACAGAAAAGTGCATCAGTCAGAAAATGTGTTTAACAGGCAGCAGGAAAACAGAAGATTGGATCACTCCAAAATCAGTCTGCTCACGTATGCAAGCTTGAAAGTCCTTACCTAGAAAATTATTCTAAGAGGCCGGGCACGGTGGCTCACCCCTGTAATCCCAGCGCTTTGGGAGGCCGGGCGGGCCAATCATGAGGTCAGGAGTTTGAGACCAGCCTGGCCAACATCGTGAAACCCCGTCTCTACTACAAAAAATTAGCCGGACGTGGTGGCAGGTGCCTGTAATCCCAGCTACTCGGGAGGCTGAGGCAGGAGAATCACTTGAACCCGGGAGACAGAGGTTGCAGTGAGGCGAGACCACGCAGTCTGGGCAACAGAGAGAGACTCCGTATTAAAAAAAAAAGAAAGGAAAAAGAAAATTATTCTAAGACTGAAATATTTGTTCATTTCCCCCCTGCCCCGCGAAGCTATAATACAATTTATGGGACTCTGAGTCTATGGGACTTGAATTTCTTTTCCTTTTTTGAGACGAAGTCTCGCTCTCGTCCCCCAGGCTGGAGTGCAATGAATGGCGCGATCTCGGCTCACTGGAACCTCCGCCTCCTGGGTTCAAGCGATTCTCCTGCCTCAGCCTCCTGAGTAGCTGGGATTACAGGCACCTGCCACCATGTCCGGCTAATTTTTTTTCTTTTGAGACGAAGTCTCGCTCTCGTCCCCCAGGTTGGAGTGCAATGGCGCCATCTTGGCTCACTGCAAGCTCCGCCTCCCGGGTTCACGTCATTCTCCTGCCTCAGCCTCCCGAGTAGCTGGGACTATAGGCGCCCGCCACGGCGCCCAGCTAATTTTTTGTATTTTTAGTAGAGACGGGGTTTCACTGTGTTAGCCAGGATGGTCTCGATCTCCTGACCTCGTGATCCGCCCCCCTCAGCCTCCCAAAGTGCTGGGATTACAGGCATGAGCCACCGCGCCCGGCCAATTTTTGTATTTTTTTTAGTAGAGACAGGGTTTCATCATGTTGGCCAGGCTGGTCTTGAACTCCTGACCTCAGATGATCCACCCGCCTCGGCCTCCCAAAGTGCTGAGCTTACAGGGGTGAGCCACCGCGCCTGGCCAAATTTATTTTTCTAACCACTCCTCTTCTTTCTTAAAAAGAAAAGAATATAATTCTTTTCTTTTTAAGCAATGTAAATTGCTTTTTTCCAAATCCTACTCCTACTTTGGTGTTTTAATCCCTGAAGAAAAGGTAATACTGTGCTTCTTAACCAGGGTAATTAACAGAATGCCAAAGGATACAAGTTTCTGGACAAATTTGATGCATCTGCCTGGAGGCACCAATTTTAACTCGAAGGAGTGGGGGTGTTACCCATAAAACAGATGCAATGGCAACGAATACGAAGTTCACCTTACATTTTAATTTAGGGAAGCTTCAAAGAAATTCCATGTTTGCTTATAGTAGCAGAACCCCTATAGTTCATTCACTCTCCTCTGCTGTTAACGACACTTCAGTAAAAAAGTTTGACAAACATTAAATAAGTGACAAAAAAGATAAAGGAACATTTATGTTCATTAAGTAGACATTTAATGAGAGCTTTGGATGTGCCAGACACTTTGGTAAATCCAAGAGATACACAAATGAAAAAGCATAGGTTTCTGTCCTTAAGGAGGCTACAAGCCTTTTTTTTTTTGAGACAGGGTCTCACTTTGTCACCCAGGCTGGAGTGCAGTGGCGCGATCTCGGCTCACTGCAACCTCCAGCTCCCAGGTTCAAGCGATTCTCCTGCCTCAGCCTCCCGAATAGCTGGGATTACAGGTATGCACCATCATACCCGGCTAATTTTTATATTTTTAGTAGAGACGGGGTTTTACCATGTTGGCCAGGCTGGTCTTGAACTCCTAACCTCAAATGATCCGCCCCCCTCAGCCTCCCAAAGTGCTGGGATTACAGGCATGAGTCACTGTGCCCAGCCAGGAGGCTACAAGTCTATTATAATAATTTTCAATCCTGGTGAAATCTCATGGTATGTTTTTTAAAATGCTGCCATCCAGGTTGCAACCCCTGGAGATTCTGATTCATCTCAGATTGGGCCCTGGCATTAGTTTTGTTTTCTTGATGGTTCGTTCCCTAGGTGATCCTAATAGGCAGCCAGGGTTGAAACCACAGGGTGTCACACTGACCACTCTCCGGCTCTCTAATATTAACACTTCGACCCAGGAAATAGGTTTGTGTAAAATGCCAGTCACCAACAAAAAGAGAACCATAAAAGTAGTATGTGGGCTGGGTGTGGTGGCTCACACCTGTAATCCCAGCACTTTGGGAGACAGAGGCGGGTGGATCACCTGAGGTCAGGAGTTCGAGACCAGCCTGGCCAACATGGTGAAACCCCGTCTCTACTAAAAATACCAAAACTAGCCAGGCGTGGTGGCAAGTGCCTGTAATCCCAGCTACACGGGGGGCTGAGGCAGGAGAATCACTTGAACCTGGGAGGCGGAGGTTGCAGTGAGCCGAGATCATGCCACTGCACTCCAGCTTGGGGGACAAGAGCGAGACATCGTCTCAAACAAACAAACAAACAAACAAACAAAAAACAGAAAAAAAAACAGGAAAAGCAAAAACTGAGTGTTGATTAAATTAAAAATATAGTGGCTGGACAAGGATTTTTAAAAGAGGCAGATAAAAAGGGGTATAGACAATCTTAGACAAAGAAATAAGAGTCTTCTCTCAAAAGATAAGAGCTGGCCTTATATTTTCTGCAAACCTGGTATCAGTGAAGAGGATCAGGAAGGAGATTAGAAATATTTTGTTTCTCAGATTCTGTTTCAAATTTTAGGTGTAAATGGGGATGCATTCCATATATGATATGGGGCATCACTGCAGTCTCTGCCTCCCAGGTTCAAGCGGCTCTTCTGCCTCAGCCTACGGAGTAGCTGGGATTACAGACCTGTGCCACCATGCATGGCTAATTTTTGTATTTTTAGTAAAGACGGGGTTTCGCCATGTTGGCCAGGCTAGTCTCGAACTCCTGGCCTCAAGTGATCCACCATTCTTAGCCTCCCAAATTGCTGAGAATACAAGACTGAGGCACTGCACCCAGCCGCTACTCTCTTGATACAACTGTAAGAAGTGGTTCAGCTGGGCATGGTGGCTCACGCCTGTAATCCCAGCACTTTGGGAGGCTGAGGTGGGCAGATCACGAGGTCAGGAGATCGAGACCATTCTGGCTAACATGGTGAAACCCCGTCTCTACTAAAAATACAAAAAATTAGCCGGGGTAGTGGCATGCGCCTGTAGTCCCAGCTACTCGGGAGGCTGAGGCAGGAGAATCGCTTGAACTCGGGAGGCGGAGGTCACAGTGAGCAGAGATTGCGCCACTGCGCTCCAGCCTGGGCGACAGAGGGAGACTCCGTCTCAAAAAAAAAGTGGTTCAATAAATAATACTGTACCACAAATTTTGTTGTTTTTTGTCAAAGTAGCTAATTTTCTAAAAACAAAATTCTTGCTTTTGTGTTATCTATACTTTAGGAATAAGGGAACTAAAACTGAGCCTGTTGGAAATTTGTTTTACCATTAAGCAACAGCTATCCTTTGATCTTTCAATAACAAACATCTCAACAACCATGGCCAGAAGACCTATCTAAATCTACCAAAATAAATCATACAGAAGAAGATTTACAGGGAGAAGTCAGAAAAAAAGAGTGAAGTTACACGTAATACATGCCTTTTCCCAAATTCAACATTCATCTCCCTAGCTAACTCACTGCAGGGTCTGGATGTTACCTATAAAGACGTTCATTTTAGGCCAGGTGCAGTGGCTCAAGCCTGTAATCCCAGCACTTTGGGAGGCCAAGGCGGGTGGATCATGTGAGGTTGGGAGTTAGAGACCAGCCTGACTAACCTGGAGAAACCCCATCTCTAGTAAAAATACAAAATTAGCTGGGCTTGGTGGCGCATGCCTGTAATCCCAGCTACTCAGGAGGCTGAGGCAGGAGAAACGCTTGAACATGGGCGGCAGAGGTTGCGGTGAGCCGAGATGGCACCATTGCACTCCAGCTTGGGCAATAAGAGTGAAACTCTGTCTCAAAAAAAAAAAAGTTCATTTTGTACTTCCAAGATAGCAAAGTAGGGCCAGAGAAAGGTCATTAGACATAATATACTTCTCAGACATGCCACCAGAAGGTATGAAATAGGAGAGTTAGAAATGAGGAGAAACAGAGAAAAATGAAACAGGATACCTTACAACCTGGTACTTATCTTTACTCTCAGCATAGGTGACAATGTAGAGGGAACAGCTTCAGCCCAAGGATATAATTGTTATGCACATAGAATTAAGTGATGTGGCTGACCCCAGACCAGATTTTTTTTTTTGAGTCTTACTCTGTGGCCCAGACTGGAATGCAGTGGCACGATTCTGGCTCACTGCAGCCTCTATTTCCCAGGTTCAAGTGATTCTCCTGCCTCAGCCTCCCAAGTAGCTGAGATTACAGGCGCCTGCCACCACATATGGCTAATTTTGTATTTTTAGTAGAGACAGGGTTTCGCTATGTTGGCCAGGCTGGTATTGAACTCCTGACCTCAGGTGATCCACCCGCCTGAACCTCCCAAAGTGCTGGGATTACAGGCATGAGCCACCACGCCTGACCCTAAGACCAGATCCTTTTAAAAGACATAGAAACCATTCTGAGCCTGCAACTGCTTCTCATTTACACAGCTTCTGACAGCATTTTTTCTTTTTTTTTTTGTAGACAGAGTCTCGCTCTGTTGCCCAGGCTGGAGTGTAGTGGCACGCTCTCGGCTCACTGCAACCTCCTCCTCCCGGGTTCAAGCGATTCTCCTGTCTCAGCCTCCTCAGTAGCTGGGACTACAGGTGTGTGCCACCACGCCCGGCTAATCTTTTGTATTTTTAGTAGAGACGGGGTTTCACCGTGTTAGCCAGGATGGTCTCGATGTCCTGACCTCGTGATCCGCCCGCCTTGGCCTCCCAAAGTGCTGGGATTACAGGCGTGAGCCACCGCGCCCGGCTGACAGCATTTTTTTCCTCACTGTGGTCTTCTGCCATCCAGCCTTCCACACCTAGAACTCTCTGCTTTGCTAAGAACTAGGTTCCCTTTCCTTTGCCCTCTCAGTCCTCAAGAACCCTACCAATATTTAAACCCAATCAGATGAGGATTCTGGTTTTTTTTTTAAAGCGACACCTGCTGAAATGACAAGACAAGGATTCTAAATTGGAAAATGAACCACCATAAGTCTTTCCATTTCTAGTAAGACTAGTAATAATTATTAAAGAACATTGCACTAAAAAGATGTGCTTTAGGCTCCTCTCCACCATTCAATAACTGCATAACCCAATAAAGATAATCTGATCTTCCAAGGCTTCCCTTACTTGTGAAATAAAGCTACCACATTAAAGGCCTTAATGCAGCCCATGCAATATCTTTCCTACATTTTTTTTAAGAGACATGGTCTCACTATGCTTCCTAGGTTAGAGTGGAGTGGTTATTCACAGGCACAACAAGAGTGCACTCACACTACAGTCTTGAACTCCTGGGTTCAAGCAATCCTCTTGCCTCAGCCTCTGGAGCAGCTAGCACTACAGGAGCCCCTTCCTTACAATTCTTTGATAATTCAACTCAACAAGCGTTTGTTTCTCCAAATGTTACTTCACATTGGGGAAAGAAAATGACGCGTGAGTCATACCAGAAAGTCAAAATCCACACAACTGGTGAGAAGGGAAGGTTAAGAACTTTTTGCTTGAGAATTCAGTGGTAAAGTACTACTAGGGCTGGGCCGGATGCAGTGGCTCATGCCTGTAATCCCAGCACTTTGGGAGGCCAAGGCGGGTGGATCACGAGGTCAAGAGATTGAGACCATCTTGGCTAACGTGGTGAAACCCTCTCTACTAAAAATACAAAAATCAGCCAGGCGTGGTGGTGGGCACCTGTAGTCCCAGCTACTCAGGAGACTGAGGCAGAAGAGTCAATTGAACCCAGGAGGCGGAGGCTGCAGTGAGCCGAGACTGCACCACTGCGCTCCAGCCTGGCAACAGAGCAAGACTCCGTTTTAAAAAAAAAAAAAAAAAAGTATTACTAGGGCTCTTCTACATCTCTTAGCCTGGCATTCAAAAATTTTCAATGAAGCTATAAAGCTCCTCCACCCCAGCTAGTTTGTTTCCATTTATGTATTTTTCCTTATGCTGTATCTTTCCTGAAAACTTGTAAGCTTTCCCATCTTTCTTTTTTTCCCTTTCTTCTTAATATTTTTAGAAATGGGGTCTTGCTATGTTTACCAGATTGGTCTTGAACTCTTGGCAACAAGCAATCCTCCCCACTAGGCTTCCCAAAGTGCTAGGATTACAGGTGTGAGTCATCCCACCCAGTGAGCTTTCCCATCTTTTGCCTGCTTCTCTAGGATGCCAATCTGAATTCACCTTTTCCTTTAGCTTTGTCCCACACCAATCACTCCCTCAGCTTTCTATTTATCATACTACGTTCCCGCTTCCTAGCAACTTCACATCTTGATTTTCCATTTGGGCTCTTTTTTAAGTCTTCTAAAGAATTCAGGTTCCTCATAAAAGGAGTCATTACGCTTGGGCAACATGGCGAGACTCCCTCTGTACAGAAAATACAAAAATTAACTGCGGTGGTGGCGTGCGTCACTAGACCCAGCTAGTCAGGAGACTGAGGCAGGAGGATTGTTGAGTGACACAGCAAGACCCTGTCTCAATTTTTAAAAAGCGGGGCCGGGCGCTGTGGCTTACGCCTGTAATCCTAGCACTTTGGGAGGCAGAGGCAGGCAGATCACTTGAGGTCAGGAGATCAAGACCATCCTGGCCAACACGGTGAAACCCCATCTCTACTATAAATACAAAAATTAACCGGGCGTGGTGGCGGGAGCCTGTAGTACTGGCTGCTCAGGAGGCTGAGGCAGGAGAATGGCGTGAACCCAGGAAGCGGAGCTTGCAGTGAGCCGAGATCGTGCCGCTGCACTCCAGCCTGGGTGACAGAGCGAGACTCTGCCTCAAAAAAAAAAAAAAAAATTAAAATTAAAATTAAAAGCGGGGAGGTGCGGGGGGTGATTACTTGTTGAATACAATTCATACAGTTAGGTTTGAGGAAGAACTTTTTTTCTTTTTTTTTGAGATAGAGTCTCACTCTTGCCCAGGCTGGAGTGCAAGTGGCTCGATCTTGGCTCACTACAACCTCTGCCTCCCGGGTTCAAGCGATTCTCCTGCCTCAGCTCTCGAGTAGCTGAGATTACAGGCGTTTGCCACCACGCCCGGCTAATTTTTGTATTTTTAGTAGAGACACGGTTTCACCATGTTGGCCAGGCTGGTCTGAAACTCCTGACCGCATGTGATCCACCCGCCTCGGCCTCCCAAAGTGCTGGGATTACAGGCGTGAGCCACCGCGCCCGGCCCAGAACTTCATTTTTAAGATAATAAACTGAGGGGCTGAGACGTTTTAAGAGACTGTGAACACCTGGGCTGGCACTGTTTTGAGAACAATCAACGAAAGGGGAAGGGAGAGAATAACCACCGCACTTCCCAGAGAGTCTAGGCATGATTCTGGTCCCTTAACAGTTACCTGTTTAGGGTCCTGTATGCGCTTTCCACGTTCCCTTCCTGTACCATCACAGTCCTGGCGATGAACTTCAGATGTTTTGCCATGACCTTGGATTTAAACCTTCACTCTGTAGAGCCTAAAGGATGATGGAGAAAGGGCGAGGAAAGCAGAAAGAGAAACGCAACATAATACAAACTACACCGCGCGGCTTATTTAGGATTTGGAAATTCAACATGCTCAGGGACGCGCGAGATGGAGCACATGGAAGTCATCCTAGAAAGTAGACGTGAATCGTTGTCTCTTATTCTCACTGCCAGTCCAAATCCTCGCATAGAGAAGAAAAGAGATGGCAGCAGGGCGTTACCACAAAGACGCGTCGCCGGGCATGAGAAGGACACGAGCGACAAGGATGCGCCACAGGGTCCCAACCACCACACATAGTTCCAAAAGGGGTTGAGTTGGGAGTTGGGGAAGGACTCTTTGTTGGTCTTTGGAAAAGGGGGCGAAAGCCCGCAAACCTGCCCTCTCGCCAAGCCAGCCTTCCTTTCCCCAAACCCTGCACAACTCCTCACCTCGCGCGCTCAGTACCTAGCCCACCGGAAGGGTTCTCACTACCGGAAGCGGAAATTACGGAATCGCCAGCGCCGCGCAAAGAAACAGGCCGAGGGAGACAACGTGCGTGGAAACCATAGCAACGTCCTTTCTGGCCTCTGTTGACTGCCTCTCTTCCCCGGGCCTGGACTCTACACCTGACAAAGCAAAATACTCATTGACTTAAATTCCCCCGAAACACGTTTCTCGCCCTCTCATGGAGTCGAAGTCCTTCGGCCTCTGAGAAGGTCAGCCCAATTTCATACCCCTTAATCCTGTGAAATCCTTGATAAATATTTGAGCCATTTCTCTTTCTCGATGGAAAACAAGAGAAGTAGGCGCTTCCTGAGGATGCTTCCTGTTTTCTCTTTGGAAAGGACAGACTCTTTGAGATCTGCTCTCCGGACGAAAAATAGATTGATTCATACACGTCATCTGCCTAAGTGCTAAGGAAAAGAAATAAACATACTGTGAGTTTCCTATATCATCTTCCCACTAATTTAACTACATAAAGTGAAATCAATAAAGATATATGGGAAACACCTGCAGGGTTTAGAATAAAAAATTATGTCAGCTTCTATGCCTTTTCGTGCTAATGAGACCTACTGAAAAACCTCCTTTTAAATTTCTTCTTCGCTGTGGAGACACCCGTCCTCCTATTTGTATGCTACCTGTACATATCCATTTATGGTTATTCACGTAAGTTAACATCTAATGGCTGTAGGAAAACGTACCTCCCTTAGAGAGAGAGTGCGCGCGCACGCTCACGCACACACACACACACACAGACACAGACACAGACGTGTGCATCATCAGTTGATGCTAATAACTTACACTAACACTTAAGCCCACCTCAGAGTAAGCCAGGTCCAAAGTAACGAAATAGAACTAGATTGGGACATTATTATGCTTGTCAACAAACTTTCACTGAATGACTACTCTGTGTCAGATACTGTTGATACCACTCTAGTGCCTCCTGGACCACTAGGACCACATAAAAGATACTAAAACAAAGTAGTATATAATAAATGCAAAATAAATTATATGGGCTGGACGCGGTGGCTCACACCTGTAATCCCAGCACTTTGGGAGGCCAAGGCAGGCGGATCACTTGAGCCCAGAAGTTCGAGACCAGCCTGGGCAACAAAGCAAAACTCCGTCTTTACAAAAAATATAGAAATTAGCCGGGTGTAGTGGCATGGCCTGTTGTCCTAGCTACTTGGGAGGCTGAGGGGGAGGATCACCTGAGCCTGGAAGGTCAAGGCTGCAGCGAGCTTTGATCACACCACTGCACCCTGGCCTGGGCAATAGAGTGAGACCCTGTCTCAAAAAATTAAAAATGAATAAATAAATAAATAGGGCCAGGCGCGGTGGCGCACGCCTGTAATCCCAGCACTTTGGGAGGCTGAGGCGGGTAGATCACCTGAGGTCAGGAGTTTGAGACCAGCCTGGCCAACATGGTGAAACCCTGTCTCTACTAAAAATACAAAATTAGCCAGGCGTGGTGCCACATGCCTGTAATCCCAGCTGCTTGGGAGGCTGAGGCAGGAGAATCACATGAACCTGGGAGGCGGAGGTGGCAGTGAGCCGAGATCGCACCATTGCACTCCAGCCTGGGCAACAAGAGTGAAACTCCATTTCAAAAAATAAATAAACAAACAAATAATAAATAAAATATGCCACAGCATAATGTGGTGAAAGGCACTGGCTTCAAAGTTGGGAGATCTGGATTCTATCCCAATTCTAATACTCATCAGGCCTATGACCTTGAAGAAGTCATTTAAAACCAGGGGTCTGGAGACTACAGTTTACAGGTCAAATCCTGCTCCACCTGTTTTTGTAAATAAGGCTGTTGACCTACAGTCATGCTTATTTGACTGTGTGTTATGTATGGCTGCTTTGGGCTACGATGGCCGAATTGGGTAGTTGCAATAGAGACATAAAGCCTACAAAGCCTAAAATATTTACTATCTGGCCCTTGCCAGACTCACTCTATTTCCTCATCTCTAAAATGGGACTAATTTTGCCCTGTTCAGTCTCACGAAATTTGTCATGGGAATCAAATAGAATAAAATATGAAGATATGCCGGGCACGGTGGCTCACGCCTGTAATCCCAGCACTTTGGGAGGCTGAGGCGGGTGGATCACGAGGTCAGGAGATCGAGACCATCCTGGCTAACACAGTGAAACCCCGTCTCTACTAAAAATACAAAAGATCAGCTGGGCGTGGCGGCGCTCGCCTGTAGTCTCAGCTACTTGGGAGGCTGAGGCAAGAGAATCACTTGAACCCTGGAGGTGGAGGTTGCAGTGAGCTGAGATGGTGCCACTGCACTCCAGCCTGGGTGACAGAGCGAGACTCTGTCTCCAAAAAAAAAAAAAAAAAAAAGAGAAAAAAAATATGAAGATACTTTGAAAGAAAGGAAGGGAGACAGGAACTGATGTTAATAAGTTCTGTTAACCACTACCATTGGATCAGCTGGAGAGTAACATTTTTGAGAGCCTACTATATACTAAACCCTGTACTAGGTGGGTGTTTTTTATTTTTGTTTTTGTTTTTCTGAAACAGAGTCTCACTCTTGTTGCCCAGGCTAGAATGCAGTGGCACCATCATAGCTCACTGTAGCCTGGACCTCCTGAGCTCAGGTGATCCTTCCACCTCAGCCTCCCGAGTAGCTGGGATTACAGGGACATGCCACTACGCCTAGCTAATTTTTTGTATTTTTAGTAGAGACTAATTTTTTGTATTTTTAATAGTTTCACTATGTTGTCCAGGCTGGTCTCCCAAAGTGCTAGGATTACAAGTGTGAGCCACCCCACCAGGCCCCAAACCCTGCACTAGGTATTTTATGTACATGATTCCATTTAATGGAGTAAACGGCCAAACACTGAGTGTATAGATCATGTTTAACAGAAAGAATGATAGGATGGACTTGAGTTAGTCGTTGAAAGAGGGCAGGGTTTAGATAACAGAAGCAGGAAAGGTTTGGCAAGGTGAACAGCATGAACAAGAGCTTAGGGGCAAAAAGGTGTAGTGTTCAGGAGTCAAAACAAAACAAAACAAAAACCTGCAACAGAGAGATCATGCAGGGGAGCACAGGGAAAAATAGAGACTGTGACTAAAGATTTTGGACTTTCTTCTCAAAGCATTCGAGAGCCATTGAAGAATTTGAATAGGATATGATATGCAAAGCACTGTTCTAGGAAAATTAACTTGGTTATCAGCGAAAAGGGATTAGAAGAGAGACTACTGGTACAGTGAAGTCTAGACCAGACTGGTGGCAATGGAATGGATAGGAAGAAATGGATTTTAAGAGATATTCCAAATAAAGAATAAAAAGGATCTGGTGACCAGATGGCACCAAATTTTAAGCCTAGTTATCCAGGAAAAAACAAAACAAAACAAAAAACTATGGTACTTAGTGATACCACAGATAGCACTAACAGAAGAGGAGACTGTAAAAAGTGGTAGCTGGCTGGCACAGTGGCTCACGCCTGTAATCCCAGCAGGCGTGGGATTGGGAGGCCGAAGTGGGTGGATCATGAGGTCAGGAGTTCAAGATCAGCCTGGCCAACATGGTGAAAGCCCATCTCTACTAAAAATACAAAAAATAGCTGGATGTGGTAGTGGGTGCCTGTAATCCCAGCTACTCAGGAGGCTGAGGCAGAATCATTTGAACTTAGGAGGCGGAGGTTGCAGTGAGCCGGGATCGCACCATTGTACTCCAGCCTGGGTGACATGTGAGACTCTGTCTCAAAAAAAAAGAAAAAAAGTGGTAGCAGGACATGTTTTCAGGAAAGAATAATTTGATTGGTGATTACTGGAAAACACATCAGACTGGAAACCGAGTTCTGTCCACATATTGTGTTGTCCTAGATAAGTCTCCTAAGTTTCGTTTCTTTTTTTTTTTTTTGAGACGGAGTTTCACTCTTGTTGCCCAGGCCAGAGTGCAATGGCTTAATCTTGGATCACCGCAACCTCCGCCTCCCAGGTTCAAGGGATTCTCCTGCCTCAGCCTCCAGAGTAGCTGGGATTAAAGGCATGCACCACCATGCCCAGCTTAATTTTTTTTTTTTGTATTTTTAGTACAGATGGGGTTTCTCCATGTTGGTCAGGCTGGTCTTGAACTCCCGACCTCAGGTGGTCCACCTGCCTTGGCCTCCCAAAGTGCTGGGATTATAGGTGTGAGCCACTGCACCTGGCCCTAAGTTTCTTTATGTATCAAATGAGGAGGTTGGGTTGAACTGGATATACAAGAGGCATTTTTTTTTTTTTTGAGAGGGAGTCTTACTCTGTCACCCAGGCTGGTGTGCAGTGGCGCATCTCAGCTCACTGCAACCTCCGCCTCCCGCGTTCAAGCAATTCTGGTGCATCAGCCTCCTGAGTAGCTGGGACTACAGGTGTGCACCACCACGCCCAGCTAATTTTTGTATTTTTAATAGAGACAGGGTTTCCCTATGTTGGCCACGCTGGTCTTGAACTCCTGACCTCCAGGGATCTGCCTGCCTCTGGTGTGGGATTACAGGCGTGAGCCACAGCGCCCGGCCAAGAGGCTTATGTTGGCTCTAAAACACTGAAAGTTTCAATAATGTTTAAGTACCAGCAATATGTAAATAAAACTGTCCAACAGAAATTTAAACAGTATGCCATCCCAGGGGAAAGATTGGGACTAGAGATAAAGCTGTAGCAGTCTTCTAAGTTGAAGCAATAATTAAAGCCATGAAAGGATATAGTCAGAGAAAAGGGCCAAGGCCTGAGTCTAGGGGAACACCCACACTTTGGAGTAGGTTGAAGTGGGGCCCTTAAGAGACCTAGACATTGCTGCCAGATAGGTAAGAGGAGGATTAGGGTAGTGTGCTGTCATGGGATCTGAGGGCGGAGAGTTTCAGTAGGCAGCATCGAGTGTCAAATGATACAGAGAGCATAATGTACGTAGCCTTTGTAAAGGGTATAGCTGTTGATTAGGTGGAAGCTAGATTATAATACTGGTTCTGTGGGCTCATTAGTGACCTCGGAAGGTGCAACAAGGTGAAAGCAGCAGAAGCTAGGCTGCAAGGGGTTAAGGACTGAGTGGCAGAAAGGAATCAGAAAGAGTATAAATAGACTACATTGTCAAGAAGTATGGAGAAAATAAGAGGACAATCAGCCTTAAGAGATGTTTTCAAGGAGGAAGGATCTGATCATATTTGTGATCAAACCATTCCATTGCCACCACTCTGGTCTGATCATACTTGTGATACTTGGACAAATAATTATTGTTGGGACAAACTGAAGTTACAAGATAAAGAGGGGATATGTGACACAGCAAAAGTTCCAGAGGTGAAGGTAATCAGAAGCACAAATGGATAGGTTTGCCTTTAAAAGGAGGTCATACTCTCTGAAAATAAGGCGAGACAATTATTCACTGAGAACAGAAGACTTGAGAAATGGGGGAAAGATGTGTAACTACTTATGAGAAACACACTAAAGAGCCAATAAGCAATGACTAAGTTGTCAGAGAAGCCTGATGCCCTACACAGGATTAGGATGGGAGAGGAAATGGTTTTGGTGGAAAGTGAGACACATCAGAAAGAGGATAAAATACAAAGAAGGGCAGTTATAGATCCATTCATGGTCTTCATTTTTGCCTCCTTCTAACTCTGAGTTGCCTCCCTTAGTCTAGCATACATCTAGCACCTGCAGCTTTTTTTTTTTTGAGACAGAGTCTCATTTTGTCACCCAGGCTGGAGGGCAGTAAACCTCCACTTCCCAGGTTCAAGTGATTCTCCTGCCTCAGCCTCCCGAGTACCTTGGATTACAGACACCCACCACCATGTCCGGTTCATTTTTTTATATTTTTAGTAGAGACAGGGTTTTACCATGTTGGCCATGGCTTGTCTCAAACTCCTAACCACAAGTGATCTGCCCACCTCAGCCTCCCAAAGTGCTGGGATTACAGGCATGAGCTACTGCGCCTGACCTAACTGCAGCTTTTTGAGTAAGTATGAAGCCTAGTGTCTTGAGGTGTTCCCATGTCTGACAATTCTAAGGAGCCCTTTCCTCTTTAAAACTGGCAACCACAGTGGCTGTTTTGGCTCTTGTGTTCTTCCTCTGGCAGCAGAAACCTACATATGCATTTACCACGGGCATCAACAGCTCCCATCAAAGCAAAGAGCTAGCCCGGAGCAGAAGAACCTGCAAGTCTGGGCCAGCTGGAAGATTACAAAGGTGTCAAAACAAGGGGAAAGGTAGAGTCTCTGAGCCTGAATGAAAACATAAACCTGGCTGCACGTGGTGGCTCACGCCTGTAATCCCAGCACTTTGGGAGGCTGAGGTAGGTGGATCACTTGAGGTCAGGAGTTTGAGACCAGCCTGGCCAACGTGTAGTGAAACCCCGTATCTACAAAAATATAAAAATTAGCTGGGCATGGTGGCATGGGCTGTAACCTCAGCTACTCAGGAGGCTGAGGCCTGAGAATCACTTGAACCCAGGAGGCGGAGGTTGCAGTGAGCTGAGATCGTGTCATTGCACTCTAGCCTGGGAAACAGAGCGAGACTGCATCTCAAAACACAACAACAAAAAAACCCCATAAACCCAACTCTGAACTCTGTAACTGTTTCAAGGATGTCCCAGGAAAACAGCAGCACAGTCCCCTTCTCCTATAAGTCTTATATTGTCATCCAGACTCTAACTTGGTAGAGCTCATGTTCACAAACATCCCCATCCCTTTTCTACTTTTCTGCAGCTCAGAGGATAAGGATTGGTTTTGGAAGCAGAAAGTTTTCAATTTCCCCCAATCAGCAAACTGTTTAGGTATAAAAAAATTTCTTTAATCAGAAAGGATTTATCTTCCCTCAACACAAATGCACACATTAATAGTAAAAATACATATATACATAAATATTTACACAAATTAGAAGTCACAGTGGACAGCTGTATGCCCTGGGCTAGAGGTTGAGAAGATGAGCATCAGCAGCAACTGGAGGATGGCTTCTCTGCTGCTCCCGGTGTCCTATGGTCATCTTTCTGGCCAAGGTGGGTAGACTGGGAGGGGATAGGGTATAGCTCCAGTCTGATGGCAGAGTTACTGGCAAACTGTAGCAACGAGGACCCTCTCCAGATAGTTTCATAGGCTCACCAGGGATGACAGGAGATGCTGTAGTAGGTGGGACTGGGGTGGTTGGGGCAGAGTGGGTGAAGGGTTGCACTCCATGCTGGAGGAAAAGAATGACGCCAATGCCGGTTCCAGTGCCTAAAGGACCATGGCTAAAGGAGATAGTACCTGGGGAGCTGAGAGGGGGGTTGCAAATTGGAGTGGTGTGGATCCAGGTGAGGTTCATAGCTGGCCATTGTGTGAGGTGCCAAGGCTGCTTTGGTTTTAAAGCTAGATGTCCTAGCTGTGTCTGGTCCATCTTTTCCATAGGAGATGCAGGAGAGGAAGCAGCTGAATCACTGTGGTGGCTTGGAAAATGCTAGAGAGGGGAGAAATGAGAAAAAAAGAAATGTGGAGAAAGCATTCAGATGAGCTCCACCTGGTTACTTAAACCTTTGCATTCCTTGGGAACTCAGTTTGCAATGCAAACATACCTCGTTTTATGCAACAGATATGATCTTGCCAGGCCATGATTAAGTAAAAGTTTTGGTAACTAAATTATACTTTCATTTATTAAACAAATAAATGGCCTACTATGGACCACATACTATATTAGACACTGGATATCCAGAGATGAAGAAAAAACAAACAGTTCCATAGGTTCTCACTATTTATAAAATAATCCCTTTTAGAATTTCTTTGAAGTCTATTTTTAATTGGAATCATCATTTCCCAAATTCTGTATTTAAATTCGAATATTCTATCTTGAGTTCTTTAAGAAGTGTAAATTAATA
This sequence comes from Homo sapiens, assembly GCF_000001405.40. Lineage (NCBI taxonomy): Eukaryota > Metazoa > Chordata > Mammalia > Primates > Hominidae > Homo > Homo sapiens. The sequence continues at coordinate 150,286,014 of NC_000001.11, read as the reverse complement.
TTCAGGCAAGATCCTCCTACTGTTTTTTTAAAATTTTATATTTGAGACAGGGTCTCACTCTGTCAACGAGGCTGGCACAATCATGGCTTACTGCAGCCTCGACCTCCCAAGCTCAAGAGATCCTCCCACCTCAGCCTCCCACCCAGCCTCAGCTGGGACTACAGGTGCACGCCACCATGCCCACCTACTTTTTGTATTTTTTGTAGATAGCAGCCTTCACCATGTTGCCCAGGCTGGTCTCAAACTCCTGGGCTCAAGCAATCCTCCTGCTTTGGCCTCCCAAAGTGCTAAGATTACAGTGAGCCACTGTGCCTGGCCTACTTATTTTTTAATAGATTAGTCACAGCAATAATAACCATGGCTGATTGAAAATTAGGACTGGTGATTATCTACAGGAGACTCTCCTTCTCCGTCATTTGAATGCCCTCTACATACCCTATTATTTGAGGACAGAAAATAGGTCACTTTTTTTTTTTTTTAGATGGAGTTTCGCTCTTGTCTCCCAGGCTGGAGTGCAATGGCACGATCTCGGCTCACCGCAACCTCTGCCTCCCGGGTTCGAGCAATTCTCCTGCCTCAGCCTCCCGAGTAGCTGAGACTACAGGCGTGCGCCACCATGCCTGGCAAATTTTTGTATTTTTAGTAAAGACGGGGTTTCACCATCTTGGCCAGGCTGGTCTCGAACTCCTGACCTCATGATCCACCCGCCTTGGCCTCTCAAAGTGCTGGGATTACAGGTGTGAGCCACCGCTCCCGGCTGAAAATAGGTCACTTCTATACCAGGTCTAAGAATCTATCAACACTGCTGCTATTGGTGCCCCCCTCCCCTACTTCCAGTGAGGTACCTCTTATGACCAGTCCTTGAAACCCAGTGTAGACTCAAAAACTGTCAAAGGGTTTGGCACAAGGATACGTGGGCAGAAATGAAAAGAAGGAGAAGGGAAGGGTTTGGGGGCAGTAGGGAAAAAAGAGTTTGCAGAGAGAAGCTGAGGTGTATTCCCGCATGAATCATTTGGCCAGGTAAAAAGCCTTTTGTATCTACGCAGAAAGCAGATAAGCTGTGGCATGAGGGATAGGATTAAACTTCATGGAGTTCCTCCCAGTGATTCAAACAAAACAACAACAACAACAACAACAACAAAACATGTAGGAATCAAGACAATGCAGAAAGTTTAGGAATTTCCTTCCCTGAAAAGAAACTTGAAGAAAAGACTCAAAAGAAAATGGCAAAAGGGGCCATTTCTGCATGCACATTTCATTTTCTTGGCTATTTTCCCACCTCTTCCTCGTGTTCTTAAGTTCTTACCTTGGTCAGCTGATGCTTGCCACCACCCAATGATGACTTCTGGGCAGCTATTTGTGGAAACCAAGTCTTTAACATCCCTTCTACCTGTAGCAAGGTTCCTAGGTAACGTTCCCTGTGAAAATGACGTTGCTTTAAAAAACCAGCAACAGGATTGGAGAAATCTCCTTTTTATGAAGACCCAAGCAAAGAACCAGCGGGACTTACCCCATCTGTGGCTTCTGCAAAACACCTACAATACGCTGGATCCTGTCCATTGCCACACTCTGCTGAAAACTGCTTAATCCTGGGGACAGGGACAGAGAGAGATTAAGGATTGAGATTCAAGCATGTAGTCAGGTAAAGGAAGAACAGAAGGGGGTTAAAATTGATTGATCTAAAAAAATTAAGTCGGGCCAGGCAAGGTGGCTTACGCCTGTAATCCCAGCACTTTGGGAGGCTGAGGTGGGTGGATCACCTGAGGTCAGGAGTTTGAGACCAGCCTGGCCAACATAGCGAAACCCCATCTCTACTAAAAATAACAAAAATTAGCTGGGCATGGTGGTGGGCGCCTGTAATCCCAGCGACTGGGGAGGCTGAGGCAGGAGAATCGCTTGAACCCAGGAGGTGGAAGTTGCAGTGAGCCGAGATCGCGCCATTGCACTCCAGCCTGGGCAACAAGAGCAAAACTCCGTCTCAAAATAATAATAATAATAATAATAATAATAAAGTCATAGTAGCAAAAAAGGAGTAATATAGGCCCCAAACAAGAACTTCAGAGAAATACACGTCAAAAGAGGGAAAGAGAAAGAGAAATGAACCTAGCCCAAATGAATGCAACAATAAGATTACCTCTCTCAAAACGACCCATCTTCAGCCCATTGAGTAGGTCTGTGAGAGGAGGTATAAATCCTTGGAGTTCTTTACACTGTAGGAAAATAGGACAAAGGCTGTAAGAAGACAAAAAACTGCCCACACCAGCAGTGGCTCTTCCTTCACCTCCAAATCTGGGAGTCAATACTGTCCTCACAGGGTCCTTATCAACCAGCTGGGTGCTAAGGCACTCCAGGAGAATCTCCTTTCACCTGCTTTCTCTTACCTTCTGGGCAAACAGCAGGTCTCCCTCTGTGGTACAACCTTGGGTGTTTAGACTGGTCTCCAGTTCACCATCTCTTGATCTTTTCGCCCCAGATCCTGCCATAGGAGAAGCCGAACCCCGCTGTTTCGGATGAGATGGTGTATGCTGGTTACCGGAAACCTTCGATCGATGCCTGCAGCGGATAGGACCCGGGCTGGGCCGTGAACCTCCCCTCTGCCCAACAGTGTCTGGCCTGGGCCCATGGGCCCCCTTGTCCTCCCTCTCACTATCAGAGGGGAAGCCAAAGTCACTGTTCACTGGGGAGGTGGGAAAAGACGAAGAGAGAGAGTAGGAGGAATAGGAAGAAACGCTAGATGGAGAATCCATAGGTCCAGAAGCAGGGGCTATAGAACAGCTCCTGGAGTACCCAAAGATCGGAACCTGCAACTGAAGAGCAAAGCGAGGGAGTTTGAAACCAGAGTTTAAGGATTAGGAAATGAACTGGGAGATTGGGGTGTACTGCGTGGGATAATACTTGTTCTCCCCCTCCCCAATATTACCGGTCTCAAACACAATAGAAAAAGACATTTCTACCCCCACCCCCGCCCATTAAGAGCTTGGGATTCCCTCTCTGGCCGCCGCAGAGCAGCTCTCGGTCTGACGCGGCCTCCGTTCTTTTCTTCCCTCAGTTCAGAGTAAATACCGACTTGAAAGACACCTTCCCCTCCGCCCGTTGTTCGCCAGGGCTATTCGCCAGCCTGAGTCCGCAGCAAGCCTCTCCACCTGAGGCCATGCCACCCACAAGCAGTCAATCTGGGCACGCGAACCCACCTGGTGATCCTACGGGAACCGCCCCCATAGAGACTGGCCTCCTGCCCTCTCCCAATCTTTCAAGATCAGGATCCCTGCGCCGGTCTCTCTGGGCTCGCACCTGCCACGTGATGCAAACCCTCCCAATACCAAGATCTGCATTCAGCCCCCAAATCCACTCCCAAATACTCCCTAACAGCTCGCTTTGTCCTCCGAATCTCCTTACCTGTTGTCAGCCGGCTCAGCCCTGGCTCGGTTTCCAGCTCCTTCGCCGTCTCTCCGGGTCTATCTACCCACCTCCGCCTCTCTCAGTGGGCCCCGCCCCTTCCCCCCCCTCCCAGACACGTGCGGCCCGGCACGTGCCTCCCCCTGCTTACACAGATCTCGCGCCCTCATTGGTTGTGTCGCCGGTAACACGTGACTCTAGTTACTGAAGTCCATAGCCCATTTGCTACAGTACAAAGGGGCTCAGCCAGTAGAGAGGCAGCCAGGTGATGATTGGCTGTAAGGGAAGCATTCCGTGCTCCTCCCCTACATGCGGCTGCTGGAGAGGACCCGGTGATGAGAAAAGGAGGAGGATGGAAAAAGAGTGGAAAAGAAGGGAGGGGAGGAAAAGGGCGGAGCCCGTGGCCTTAAATAGGATGGTGATGCGCCAGAGATGCGCGGTTTGAGTGTTCAGAGATTGGTTGTGCTACTGAAGGCGGCGGACGTGGGACCCCCGGTTCCGTCTCGGGAAGTAACTCATCTGCCCCCTCTTTGAACACCTCCGCTCACGAGCGCAGCACGTGGAAACCGTCAGTGATTTGTGTCTGCAACGTGTGTGAGAGAATGGAGGTGTGTGACACGGTATATTCTCCTGCTCTCGGCGGCCCAGCCCTCGTGACTCTCCGGTCTCTGTTTCACCTCCCCCACCCCTTTCTCCTCCAAGTTGGGTGCCTCCTGCCCTGCTGGGTGAGGAGGGTGGGGATTGCAACCGAGAACACCGCGTCCTTTCTGGCTCCCGCTGGGGCGGCTCCTCCATCCCTTTTCTTACATAACCTACCACGCACGTTACCAGCTCAGATGCCAGCCCGCCACGACGCTAGAGGTCAAAACGAAACTCAGTTTTTCCTGACTTTTTTATCCAGGCTTCTCGGGCCCGGCGTCCTAAATTATCTGATTCCAAGCACGGGGAACAGAATGGGGTAGGTCCCTGATCTCCTAGGTTATGGTTTTGTCCAGCTTCAGTCCCTTCATTTGTCCGCTGGAGAAGATTCGAAAGACTTTGAAGGAGGGGAGGGAGGCAAGTCCAGAGTTTAGAGAGTCTCAGAAGTAACTGGGACGTTACTATTGTCGTTGCGCCTTGCATTTTGAGAGTACAATGGAGAGGAGAGCAGGGCCCAAGGACTGTGAGCTGGTTGAAGATAGGACGTCGGAGAGACCGCAAGGGGGCAGCCCAATTCTAATTAGGGTCCCGAGGATAGCGAATTAAAAAAAAATTTAAGTGAGTTTGTCCCTGCCATAATTACCAACTGCAAAAGGCACATTGTTGGACAGAGGTGTGGGTAGGGGTGGGTAGGTGTGAATATTTTAAGTCTATTCTAAGTAGTTTTTGATATTTTACCTTATGTTTTAACAATGTGCTTATTCTTATAAAAAGAAAAAAAGATTCTAAAACCTCAACCTCGTTTCCCCAAGCACACTGTTTCAACACCATACTTAATAAAATAAAACAAGAGAATTACCAATATGGACTGTGAATAAACCTGTTGTCTGTGGGTGCCCTTCTCCAGTCTTCTCCAAACTGCAGGTTTATTCAGTCCATAATGCCCTCTAATTCAATTGTCACCCACCTCCCCTTCCAATCTACGCTTGCTGCCTCTAAATCCTGGCGCTCTCTTTAGTTGTGACTTTAGAACAGACTCATGAAGGAGTAGATGGTAACCAGATTATTTCACTTATTATTTATTTTATCTTCCAATTTCCTCTTGCCAGACTCCCATCCAAAGAGTCATAGCAGCCTTCTTCCACCTAAAAAAGCAGAGAAAGAAAGAAAATAAAAGGAGTCAGGAGACCCGAGAAACCCCTTCATGCCCCCCACACTCTATGGAAACTCCCCAGATATTCTGAGCTGGGATTGCTCTGTGATAGCTCCTGGGAAAGATGTGTGTGTACCCCTCTCCTCCACAGTCCTTTCACCTCCTGCTGAATCTCTCTATGATCAATGGTTATTTAGCATCCCAATTTAAAAATTCTTTTCCTATAATACGGCTTTCTCTTCCCTTCTCTCCCACCGCCCTGCCATACATCAGAGAACCGCCATCCGTTCTGCCTCTGAACTTTGCCTCTTGACTCTACCAGGTTGTAAGACCCACCCACTTTGCCCTCTGGCATTCGCCATGACTTGAAACGTGGCCAGGCTGGAACTAGCTTTGATTGTTCAGACATTTTGGAAGCTTGGAGAAGTATTCCCCCAACCCCATCATCTATCTGCTCTAGGAGATCCTGAAGTCCTCTTAGTTCAGAAAAAGTAATGACTCATCACAAAAGTCTGCCTCAGCATCTCCTAAACTTCTTTAAGACTGAATAAGAAGATTTTTCTAAATGTGATCCCTCTTCTTTCATTTTACTTGTTATTTTTTGAGACAGTCTCACTGTGTTGCCCAGTGGCAACAGTACAGTGGCCAGATCATGGCTCACTGCAGCCTCCAATTCTTGGGCTTAAGGGATCCTTCCACCCCATCCCCCCCAATAGCTGGGACTGCAGGCCTGTGCTACCACACCCAACTAATTTTTATTTTTAATTTTTTTAACGTCTTGTAGAGGAGTTCTTATTTATTTATTTTTAATTTTTTTGTAGAGACAAGGTCTGTTGCTCAGCCTGGACTTAAACTATGTTGCTCAGCCTGGTCTGGAACTCCTGGGCTCAAGCGATCCTCCCACGTCACCATCCCAAAGTGCTGGGATTATAGGGATGAGCCTAAATCTCTTCCTTCAGTGGCTGATAATTGACCAGGCTGGAAACACTAACTAGAGATACTGGTAAGAATTACTTCGGTTTAGTGTGGGAAGTTAAAAAATATTATTTCACAGACTCCCCCAAAGCCAGTGGCTGCACTCTTACCTTCTACATGAAATACATCCCCACCTGAACAAAGGCACACGACAGGAGGAGGGGAATAGGACTTCGCAAACTGGACACGGCATCGTTCAGATCTGGACTCTGCTAAAATACCGACATCCCCACACAGTAGGCTGGTGTCATTCCTCCTACCACTTCTCTGTCCCCCTCCAGAAAGACTGCCACCTCTTTACAACAACCTCTGTCTTCCTTTCCTTTGGGCTTAGAGAAAGATCCATCCTTCCCCATCACTGTAAGGAGTCCTTCTGTGCCTTTCAGCTATCCCTGACCATACCAGGGAGGCCAATTCAATTCAATTGTTTCTATTTTTTATCTATTATGTGCATTATACTATACTAGTCACTGTGCTAGGTGCTATAGAAAGGGACATAAATATGAATAAGACAAGATTCCTGTCCTCAAGGAATTTACAATCTAAAGAGAGTCTACTCTATATTTTATTTATTTGTTTGTTTATTTATTATTATTTTTATATCCACCAGGCTGGAATGCAGTGGTGCAATCTCAGCTCGCTGTAACCTCTACCTCCAGGGTTCAAACAGTTCTCCTGCCTGCCTCCCAAGTAGCTGAGATTACAGGCACCCGCCACCATGCCTGGCTAATTTTTGTATTTTTAGTAGAGACACAGTTTTGCCATGTTGGCCAGGCTGGTCTCAAACTCCTGACCTCAGGTGATCCGCCCACCTCAGCTCCCAAAGTGCTGGGATTACAGGCGTGAGCCACTGCGCCCAGCCTACTGTATACTTCAAAAAGAATTAACTGCCCTTATTGTCAATCTTTCACTTCCATTCTTACTGGCTTCTTTCATCTGTGCTCAACTATATGCAGGCTGCTCTTTGGTCCTATTCCCCTTTCCAGCCGTTGCTTCTCTTTTTCATTACCAGATTTTTTAGATGGTTGGTCTGTACTCACCTCCCTTTCCTCATAATGTACTCACTCTTTAACTCCACAAAAATCTAGCTTTTCTCCAAGCACTCAGTTAAAACTACTTTCTTGAGAGTTACAAGTGACCTCCTCCTCCTTGGCCTCTTGGTAGCTTTTGATGGATTATATTAAACTTTCTCTTCTAGACTCTATAATACAAACTTGGCTATCTGCCTACTTCTCCAGTCAAATCCTTCTCCATTCCATTCATTAATTTCTCTTCCTCCCACTCACTACAGGCACAGTCACTGGCCTTCTGAGCTTGTGTGTACTGGCTCTGTTGAGCTCATTTACTTTCATATCTGTGACTTTGCACTTAGAACTCTAGCCCTGATCTAGTTCAGTGACCTTTAGGACACCCTCATAGGGCTGTCACCATAAACTCAGCTTGGCCATTACCAAATTAATAACTTCTGTCCTAAACCACTCTGGCCTCCCATAGTTCCCACTTTGGTCAACCATTTTCCCAGACATCCATGTTTAAAACCCATGAGTTATTTTAACTCACTCCTCATTTATACTTCATATAAAATTATCACTCAAGCAAGGTATTTTCTTCATAATATTTATTTTTCTCCTCTCCATTCATAATGCCAGAGTACAGATTGTTTCTGGAACAACGCAAATCTCATGAGTTGCTTTCCACTAAATTATTTACATCCTGCATACAACCTGAAGAGTGGTTTTTCTTTTTCTTTTTTTGAGATGGAGTTTCACTCTTGTTTCCCAGGCTGGAGTGCAATAGCGCGATTTCGGCTCACTGCAACCTCCGCCTCCCAGGTTCAAGCGATTCTCCTGCCTCAGCCTCCCAGGTAGCTGGGATTACAGGCATGTGCCACCACACCCAGCTAATTCTGTATTTTTACTATAGACAGGGTTTCTCCATGTTGGTCAGGCTGGTCTCGAACTCCCGACTTCAGGTGATCAGCTCACTTCAGCCTCCCAAAGTGCTGAGATTACAGTCGTGAGCCACCACACCTGGCCGGTTTTTCTAAAATATCACTTTTCATCGTGTTTTTACCATAATGAAGAACTTACTAGGCTCCTTGTTGATTATGAGTCCAGACTTCAGCCTGACACCTGAGACTCTCTGAAATTTGCCCCTATGTTGCCACATGTGAAATTACTAAGCAAGTATTAGGAGCCTTGTAAATTTTATATTTTTCTTAATTCCCACTGTTCCCTTCCATATACCCTCTCCTTCAATCATACCCTATTTGCTAAACATATTATGCTTGTTCTATTCCCCCCTCCTGTGCAGCTCTTTCACTCTTTTTTTTTTTTTTTTTTTTTTTTTAGTATAGAGTCTCACTCTGTCGCCCAGGCTGGAGTAGAGTGGCGTGATCTCGGCTCACTGCAACCTCTGCCTCCCGGGTTCAAGTGATTCTCATGCCTCAGCTTCCCAAGTAGCTGGGATTACAGGCACGCACCACCACGCCTGGCTAACTTTTGTATTTTTAGTAGAGATGGGGTTTCCACCATGTTGGCCATTGAACTAGCCTTGAACTGCTGACCTCAAGTGATCCGACCACCTTGGCCTCCCCAAAGTGCTGGGATTACAGGCATAAGCCGCCATACCTGGCCTCTTTCACTCTTGGAATAACTATTCTTCCTCCTAATTGCTTCTGTCCTTCCATAACTACCCACCAATCAAAAGCTCATCTATTCTTCAGGGTGTATCTCAAGCACAAATGCCTCTTGAAAGCTTTTCAGACAACTCTAGCCTGTACTAATCTCTCTTCTTACATTGGCTAAAGCACTGCCAGTATCTTCTGCTTTCAAATTTATATATAATTTAACATCATAACATACCTTTTCATTTTGTTCTAAGTGTTTCGTAAACTTGAATTTTATAAATCCTTGAGGACAGTAACATAGATTTCTTTTTTATCAGCATCAGTTACCTTAGCAGCCTTAGGCATAGATTACATACCTATTGAATACTACTGAACTGAAATTTAACTGTACCATATCTTCCCAGTGTTCTGTAAACAGGGTTAGTATTAAATCTTAGTGAAACATGGCCAAGTTGAGATGAATACCTGCAATGAAGTACTAATTATTTGGTTCTCCCATCCACCAAAGCCTGGTATTCCAGCCCTCTATGTATTCCACGTCACTAGGGATGTCCTGTCTCCCCCCAGCCCCCAATCCCCAATCAACTCACAGGTTCCGTTGTTACTGGTTTCACAGTTACAGGCTTCGGATGGTCTGCACGTGCTGTTTCAAGACTAATGGTAGTCTCTATTGCTTCTGTTATGTCCTTATCCAACCTGTTCTACCCTCAGTAGGATTTGGGAAACACAGAGTTATCAGTTTTTCCATCCAACATCTTCATAGATTCTCTACTTAAAGTTCTCCCCTTCACCACCTCCACCCAGCCCAAAGACTTAAGCTCAGGGATTCCCCCCTACCCTATGCTTGCATAGATTTGTACCCATCTCATTCAAAAGTCCCTTGATGCCCCTCCTCAGTGTCTTAGCAAACTTACTGAGGACAATTTATAAAGTTCTGGCTTTTTTCTCCTCCCCAGATAGGTTAACAAATCTGTTTTGGGCCTACTACTTAGTTTCTCCTCATCAAACTCATTTTTATTCTTGTTAATCAGATACATTTCAACATTGCCCAGTTTCTTTTCTTTTCTTTTTTCTTTTTTTTTTGTAGATGAAGTCTGGATCTGTCACCCAGGCTGGAGTGCAGTGGAACGATCTTGGCTCACTGCGTCCTCCATCTCCCGGATTCAAGTGATTCTCCTACCTCAGCCTTCTGAGTAGCTGGGATTATAGGCATATGCTACCATGTCCAACTAATGTTTTTGTATTTTTAGTAGAGACGGGGTTTCACCATTTTGGCCAGGCTGGTCTCAAACTCTTGACCTCAAATGATCCACTCGCCTTGGCCTCCCAAAGTGCTGGGATTATAGGCATGAGCCACTGCGCCCGGCCAGTTTCTTTTTAATTGTTACTTATCCTAACCCTTTTAGATGTAGAGTTCACTCACCAGCCTGTCCTCTGACTCAAATATGGAGTAATCAATGGTGAAATCTGCACTAAAGTCATCTGCAGAGGAGAAAGAAAATCAGTAATAATTAAAGAAAAATGTAACTCTAGATCTGGAAATGAAAAGGGAAGAAATTACTCAGAATAGTTTAACTTAAGTTGTAACATTTATTGGTATAATCCAATTTTATTTAACTAATGTTAAAAATGACTGTGAATGTGTATGCATTTATATTTTCAATGTAGGTATCTAAAATAATTTACAAATTTGAAAAATTTTCAAGTTCTTCTTTTTTTAGAGTCAGGGTCTCACTGTGTTAACAGGCTGGAGTACAGTTGGTTCAATCATAGCTCACTGCCACCTCCAGCTCCTGAGCTCAAGTGATCCTCCTGCCTCAGCCTCCTGAGTAGCTGGGACTACAGCCATGTGCCACCATGCCCAGCTAATTAAAAAAAAAAAAATTTGGCCGGGCACGATGGCTCAAGCCTGTAATCCCAGCACTTTGGGAGGCTGAGGTGGGCAGATCACGAGATCAGGAGTTCAAGACCAGCGTGGCCAACATGGTGACACCTTGTCTCTACTAAAGATACAAAATTAGCCGGGCATGGTAGCACACGCCTGTAGTCCCAGCTACCTAGGAGGCTGAGGCAAGAGAATAGCTGGAAGCCGAGAGGCAGAGGTTGCAGTGAGCTGAGATTGTGCCACTGCACTCTAGCCTGGGTGACAGCATGAGATTTGGTCTCAAAAAAAAAAAATTTTTTTTTCTATAGAGACAAGGTCTTGCTATGATGTCCAGGGTGGTCTTGAACTCCTGGGCTCAAGCAATCCTCCCATCTAAAAATCACTATCTGGAAAAATAACATCATCATGAGTCTTTTTTTTTTTTTGTGACGTAGTCTCATTCTGTCGCCCAGGCTGGAGTGCAGTGGTGTGATCTCAGTTCACCACAACCTCTGCCTCCCAGGTTCAAGCGATTCTCCTGCCTCAGCCTCCTGAATAACTGGGACTACAGGCAGGTGCCACCATGCCCAGCTAATTTTTGTATTTTTAGTAGAGACAGGGTTTCACCATGTTGGCCAGGCTGGTCTCAAACTCCTGACCGCAGGTGATCCACCCACCTCAGCCTCCCAAAGTGCTGGGATTACAGGCATGAGTCACTGCGCCCAGCCCATCATAAATCTTTTTTCATTTTTTTTTTTTGAGATGGAGTCTTGCTCTGTCACCCAGGCTGGAGTGCAGTGGCACGATCTCAGCTCACTGCAACCTCTGCCTCCCGGGTTCATGCCATTCTCCTGCCTCAGCCTCCCAAGTAGCTGGGACTGCAGGCACCCGCCACCACACCCGGCTAATTTTTTGTATTTTTAGTAGAGACAGGGTTTCACTGTGTTAGCCAGGATGGTCTCGATCTCCTGACCTCGTGATCCGCCCGCCTCAGCCTCCCAAAGTGCTGGGATTACAGGTGTGAGCCACCACGCCCGGCCCCATCATGAGTCTTGATAGGTTTTGTTCATAGCCAGATTTTTCTCTGACCCCATTGCTCTGCTTCAAAGTGAAGAGCAAAGTCTCAGAACTAAATATCCTGAAGCCTCTCTCCAGTTGGCTAAGGGCAAGAGCCTTTCATGTACTCACCATAACTGGGGGTGACTGTATAATAATAGACCACCTGATAATATTCATCCTCTCCCAGTCTTTCTTCATCCTCATATTCTTGTCCTATGGGGACAAGGACTAGAGGTCAAGGGACATCTGGAACACCTTACTAACAAAAGGACACCTGGAGATGACCTCAGCGCTCCCAGCTTTCTTGCTCTTTCTTTCTTTTCTCTCTCTCTCTCTCTCCTCCAATAGTCATACTCCTTTCTTGCCTGTGCACCTCTACACCCCTCTCAGTCTTCTGGGATCCATATCTGTAATGAGGCCTGTTACTCCGTGCCCTTTCAATCCAGGAACTCCTAAAACAGAAAACAGTCCCCTTCACATACTATAAACCCAAAGGGAGAACCAGACCTAAAAAAGGTAGGAAAAGTAGAGACCAGGAATTAAAAACGCCAAGTCTTCTATTTAGTATGCTCCAGATCTTACTGTATTTGTGAGACATCTTTTCTTATCAGTATCTCTTACAAATAACTAACATACACCCTTAGGCTTTGGATTTGAGCTTTAGTTCCACCTTCACTGCTAACAGAATAACCCTGAACAATCCACTTAACATCCGCTTTCTTAAAATGAGTCAGCTGGACTAAAATGACCCATCTCTGTTAGTTTTTCTTCCCTTTCAGAACTAAAAATATGTGGCTTTGATATGACTGGATCAAGAACTCCAGGCCTCCTGCTAAACACTTCCCTGAGCTCCTTGAATGCTTTCCCTTCAACTCCAAGCTAATGACACAAGAATCTAGAGGAAAAGGAAACAATGAGACACACCTGGTAGACTGGGGAACAAAGGAGGGAAGGAGCCAAGCTACTCTTGGGACCCTGTCCCTGAAGACAGCCAGTTTTCCACTACCCTAAAGGTCACCCCACTTCTGTGTCTTTACTAATAGCAGGTTTTTTTCTCCAATTCTCTGGGAAAGGAGATACCCTAACTACTAGTTTCAGACTGTGACACCTTCCAATAATCCCTCCTTCACCCTTACTTTAGCCCCTGTCATCTTGTTCAACTTCCGTGGTGATGGAGAACTGAGCTCAGTGTTGCTAGGGCCTCCTTGTGTCTGGAGCTCCATCCTCCTTGTTTGACAGGACTCTGCTTTTTTCCCCCTTTCCTGGCTCTGCCTTCCAGATCTCCATTCTGCCCTCAACACCGGACCCCAGCACGATGAGAAAACTCTATCGCTCCCCACTGAAATGTACCTCTCACCCACTCCTCATTTTTTTTCTCCCACCCCATTTATGGTAGAAGACCTGGCACAAAAGCTCAGAGAGAGGAGTGGACTTACCCAGGATAAGTGGCACAGCAAAGATGGCTACAAAGAGGACATCCATTCTGGATTCTGCACTATTGCTGTGAAAGTAAAAAAGGAAATTACAGAGTTTCCCACCAAACTTACCCCGCCTCCCCTCCTCCTCCAAAGCAGGGAAGGAGCTGCAGCAACTCTTCTCCTCCCAGGGGGCAGAACTCCCCGCCTACTGGCTGACTGACTAGATCTCCGGTTACTGCCGGTCCCCAGCCAGAGCTGCCCAGATTGAGAGGCAAAAGGGGGTTTTGATGCAAACATGTTTCTTAAGCTCCCCCTGCCCTAGATTAGATCCATTCAAGACTCCCACTGTCACTACCAAAATAAAAATAAAAAATAAGCCTACCAAGAAGTTTCCCCTCTCCCGGCTTTCCTTCCTTCCTCCAAGGCCTCATAAAAAGTTCACCCTCCCTCTCACTGTCTCTGACTTACCATCACCACCCAGAGTTGCCTTTCTCTCTGAGGCTTCATCAGTCTCTTTTCGTCACAGTGGAAATGTTCTGAGGAAGGGGTGAGCATTTTTCTAGACTGAAAAGAATCCCTTTCTTCTGTCTGTCTGGAGCTATAGAGAATAGGAACAATATTTACCCATCATTGTCTGACTTAAAGCACCTGCTGCATGGCTTCAGCTAAAAGTCTCTCAGCCATGGTCAGTTATTTCCTTTCTGGTAACACTGACCTCACCTCACCTCTTTGTTTTTTTTTTGAGACAGAATCTTGCTTTGTCACCCAGGTTGGAGTGCAGTGGCGCGATCTCGGCTCACTGCAACCTCTGCCTCCCGGGTTCCAGTGATTCTCCTGCCTCAGCCTCCCTGGTAGCTGGGACTACAGGCGCGTGCCACCATGCCCAGCTAAGTTTTGTATTTTTAGTAGAGACGGGGTTTCACCATGTTGGCCCAGGCTGGTCTCGAACTCCTGACCTCAGATGATCCACCTGTCTTGGCCTCCCAAAGTACTGGGATTACAGGCATGAGCCACCGTGCCCGGCCTCACCTCATCTCTTTCTCAACTTCCAGGATGCAGGTTGGAAGAAGGGAGAAAGCAGATAGTCTCTTTCCCTGCTACAGGTGCCACACCTTCCCTCCCACATTCAGTCACTTGGTATGTTCCCTTCATTCCGTCCTACAGGTGTAGAGTTTTTATCCTTTCCTCTGCTTTTATGTTTCCCATGTTCATTCAATTCAGAAACCCTTAGCAACATACGTGCTAGGCACAGTGTGCTAGGCCTAGTGTGATAGGCAATTGAGAGCTTATAGGCAAGGGAATAAGAAAAGACAGTTTTGCTTTGTTCTTAAGGGAAGTTAATAAGTATCTGCTCAACATCTACTATGAGTCAGGCACTATGCAAGTGTCTGTGGAAACACCCATGAACAAGATAGGTTTACAGCCTCCTGTCAATGGTCAGAAGATGCTGTGGTAACAGCTCAATGGAGAGATGAAGCTGGCCACAGTGGCTCACGCCTGTAATCCCAGTACTTTGGGAGGCTTAGGCGGACAGATCACCTGAGGTCAGGAGATCAGCCTGGCCAACATGGTGAAACCTTGTCTCTACTAAAAATACAAAAATTAGCTGGGCTTGGTGGCAGGCGCCAGTAATCCCAGCTACTAGGGAGGCTGAAGCAGGAGAATCACTTGAACCTGGGAGGCAGAGGTTGCAGTGAGCCGAGATAGCACCACTGTACTCCAGTCTAGGCAACAGAGTGAGACTCCATCTCAAAAAAAAAAGACATGAGAATTGTCTCATTCCTATCCACCTTACTCTGCCTGCTGGGCTCAGAAGCAGGACATACTGGAGTCTTGAACACAGGTCATGATAACGCTACCCTCTTAATTTTTTTTTTTTTTTTTTTGAGACGGAGTCTCACTCTGTTGCCCAGGCTGGAGTGCAGTGGCACGATCTCGGCTCACTGCAAGCTCCGCCTCCTGGGTTCACGCCATTCTCCTGCCTCAGCCTCCTGAGTAGCTGGGACTACAGGCGCCCGCCACCACGCCTGGCTAATTTTTTGTATTTTTAGTAGAAACGGGGTTTCATCGTGTTAGCCAGGATGGTCTCGATCTCCTGACCTCGTGATCTGCCTGCCTCGACCTCCCAAAGTGCTGGGATTACAGGCGTGAGCCACTGCGCCCAGCTACCCTCTTAGTCTCATTAGGGAATAATTTGCCTGGTGACTTTCCATGTAAATATTTTCTTTCTTTTTTTTCAGAGACAGAGTCTTGCTCTGTCGCCCAGGTTGGAGTGCAGTGGTGGGATCTCAGCTCACTGTAACCTCCACCTCTCAGATTCAAGCTATTCTCGTGGCTCAGCCTCCTGAGTAGCTGGGACTACAGGTGCGCACCACCATGCCTGGCTAATTTTTTGTATTTTTAGTAGAGATGGGGTTTTACCACACTGGCCAGGCTAGTCTCAAACTCCTGACCTCAAGTGATCCAGCCGCCTTGGCCTCCGAAAGTGCTGGGATTACAGGCATGAGCCACTGTGACCAGCCTCCGTGTAAATCTATACAATCTATTCCTCAGCTCCTTTCCAGAATATCCTGGAAGACATGTAAAACATGTATGTGAGTGTGCACATATGGATTAAATAATAAATCACTTCCAGGAAGGAAAGGAAGTTTGGTTATCTTTAAACAATTTCTGTGGGGTTTTTTTTGGTACTTTGATTATGCTTTCAAAAACAATATTCCAGATTTCTTTCCTCTTTTCCATCCTCAGATTCCTTTGCCTAACATCTTCCCTAAGGACTAACCTCTCCCCATCCAAATGAGATTACAATACCCTCCTCTCCTACTTAACTTTCTTTTTCTTTTTTGAGACAGAACCTCACTCCGTTGCCCAGGCTGTAGTGCAGTAGCGCAATCTCAGCTCACTGCCACCTCTGCCTCTTGGGTTCAAGCTATATTTGCCCCTCAGCCTCCCAGGTAGCTGGGATTACAGGCGTGCGCCACCACATCTGGCTAATTTTTGTATTTTTAGTAGAGATGGGGTTTCGCCATGTTGGCCAGGCTGGTCTCAAACTCCTGGCCTCCCAAAGTGCTGGGATTACAGGGGTGAGCCACCGCGCTCAGCCTACTTTAACTTTCATTCACTCTAATATACAACCCCTCTCAGCCTCAGGAAAACGCACCACTGAGGTTCATTTTTCAGAAAATAAATAGAGGAAGTATGACATAAAAGGAATTTATGGCGGGGGTGGGGTGGGGGTGTCGTTTTCCTTCAACCCCATCGCTCTAATTGCTTTTAAACTCCCGGACTCTTTCAAAATGCCTTCCTAACATTTCTCTCCAGGCTCCTTTTGCTTCTCTCCGATTCTCTTGTCATTACAGATGAAGGCTTCATTAGCGATATACTGTATTCCATGTTTATTATACTAGTCTGTCCGAAGAGCTCCTACTTTTTAATGTAATCTTCATCTCTTAGGCAGCAGCTCTAGCCCATTTCCTCTCATTCAAGTAAGAACAATACCCGTCCCTATCTCCCTGCGCCCCATCCTGTGCTCTCTTTGTATTTGTCCCTTAGATTCAAACAGGATCTACCCCCTCTGCAGCCCTTCAAGAAGAGGTATGATTGCTACCACTTTTCCCCACAAAGTGACGAAAGGAAACAGCGACGGAAGCGCAACCGAACCCTGGAATTGGTGTCTCGACTGGTCCATTCCCGGCCCACCCCCATTAACCGGCTCGAGCCACTCCCAGGACGAAGTCAAGGCCTCGGAAGGCGACTACAACTCCCAGCAGGTCGAGCAGCTCCGCCCGCGCTGATTCTCCATTGGCCTTCCGGGGGTGGGGATTAGATGGGAGGTGGCCGTGGGGCTGCGGCCGGGATTTGTCCCCTCTTCGGCTTCCGTAGAGGAAGTGGCGCGGACCTTCATTTGGGGTTTCGGTTCCCCCCCTTCCCCTTCCCCGGGGTCTGGGGGTGACATTGCACCGCGCCCCTCGTGGGGTCGCGTTGCCACCCCACGCGGACTCCCCAGCTGGCGCGCCCCTCCCATTTGCCTGTCCTGGTCAGGCCCCCACCCCCCTTCCCACCTGACCAGCCATGGGGGCTGCGGTGTTTTTCGGCTGCACTTTCGTCGCGTTCGGCCCGGCCTTCGCGCTTTTCTTGATCACTGTGGCTGGGGACCCGCTTCGCGTTATCATCCTGGTCGCAGGGTGAGTAGAGGGCCCGGGAGACGCGGGAGAGCGTCGAAGAGAGAGGTGCGGAAGGGGCTGGAGGAACTGGGGCAAGCCTGGGAGCCTGAATTGGGGACGATAAGTCGGAGGTGAAGTTTGGGCGGAGGTGAGGGGTTGGGTCTGGGAGATTTGTCCTTTCCCGCAGTTGGTTTCCACCTTCCAAGGATCTCACAGATTCCTCCTATATTCCTCCCAGCGACGTCAGAGAAGGCCCAAGGCCGAGACTCGTGAGGGGGCTGTGCTGACCTAGGCAGGCCGAGTCAGGTGCCTTAGGGGAGGATCCAGGAACGGATACCTCGCCCTTCCGTGCTCGCACACTCTGGCTGTCATCGCTCTGAAGACTCTTTAATTAGATTTCTCCCCTTTCCAGTGCGTTCACTTTTCTACAGATGAGTCTCTTGGTGGAGACAGTTACCCTACCTGGTCCATGTCTCCCTAACCATCCGGAAGGCTAACTTCCACTTTTCAAGCAGCTTTGGCTGGTTTCCCTCCTTGATTTCTCTGGCTCCCACTACTATTGCTTGTCTCACTGCCCCTGTCTTTTCTCAGGGCATTTTTCTGGCTGGTCTCCCTGCTCCTGGCCTCTGTGGTCTGGTTCATCTTGGTCCATGTGACCGACCGGTCAGATGCCCGGCTCCAGTACGGCCTCCTGATTTTTGGTGCTGCTGTCTCTGTCCTTCTACAGGAGGTGTTCCGCTTTGCCTACTACAAGCTGCTTAAGTAAGAAGATGGAGTGGTCTGGAGGGGAGAGGGGCAAAGGACTGCACTATGGGAAGTGGGGCAGCCCCTGGGTGCTGGTTTGGAAGAGGAGGCACTAAGGGAGGACATTAGAGGGAAAGGAGCATCCCTGCCCTCCCTCATGTTTCCCCTACCCCACCCCACCCCAGGAAGGCAGATGAGGGGTTAGCATCGCTGAGTGAGGACGGAAGATCACCCATCTCCATCCGCCAGATGGCCTATGGTGAGCCAAGGGAGAGGGACTGGAGGAGGGAGTTGGACAGCCCCCTCCTCTAGGGAAGTCTCTAAATATCCACATGTTCTAAGTGGCTTCTTACTTTCCTTCATCCGTCACTTCCAAAGAAAGTTGGTCTGGAGGGAGAGTAGATGTGAAAGAATTGTAACCGGGAATGGGGAGGGGTCAGTGGTGAACAGGCAATAGTGTGATCTCTGACATTGATGAGATCCTCCCTTCCCCCAGTTTCTGGTCTCTCCTTCGGTATCATCAGTGGTGTCTTCTCTGTTATCAATATTTTGGCTGATGCACTTGGGCCAGGTGTGGTTGGGATCCATGGAGACTCACCCTATTACTTCCTGACTTCAGGTAAGATCCACCTTCTATCTAGCCTTTACCCCCCATCCATCCTTGTCCCTGATCTGATTTATTGGCCTTCCCTGAGAGACTTCTTTGGCTCAACATCTCAGGAGCCTGGGAGAAGATCAGGGATGTATCTCCTCCCCATCTCCCTCCCTGCAGCCTTTCTGACAGCAGCCATTATCCTGCTCCATACCTTTTGGGGAGTTGTGTTCTTTGATGCCTGTGAGAGGAGACGGTACTGGGCTTTGGGCCTGGTGGTTGGGAGTCACCTACTGACATCGGGACTGGTGAGTTGGAGACAGGGGCCTGAGTTAGGGAGAAAAGCATTTAATGGTGAGTGGGATGTGGGGGAAAGGGTATCCTCACTTCTTAACATTTTTAACTTACCTGGGAGGAGGAGGAAAGGTGAGTCTTTCAAGGTCTCTCACCTCAGCATCATTTCTATCACCTGCTCTGGGGAGGAGGTTGAAAGGATTAGTCAAACTGTAATGCAGAGGGCCTGAGGTGAGCAGGAGCGGCAGAAACCTTTGAGTTTCTGAGGAGCTGAAAATCAAAAGTCCCCTTAACCACAAGATGTTGGTGCTCTGAAGGGAAAGACTGGAGAATTTGAGAGAGATATCTGGGAGTCAGAAAGGTACAGAGAGAATATGGGGATTAGGTCGAGGGAGAATCTAATCTCTTTCCTACTCTTACCCTCCTTCCTAGACATTCCTGAACCCCTGGTATGAGGCCAGCCTGCTGCCCATCTATGCAGTCACTGTTTCCATGGGGCTCTGGGCCTTCATCACAGCTGGAGGGTCCCTCCGAAGTATTCAGCGCAGCCTCTTGTGTAAGGACTGACTACCTGGACTGATCGCCTGACAGATCCCACCTGCCTGTCCACTGCCCATGACTGAGCCCAGCCCCAGCCCGGGTCCATTGCCCACATTCTCTGTCTCCTTCTCGTCGGTCTACCCCACTACCTCCAGGGTTTTGCTTTGTCCTTTTGTGACCGTTAGTCTCTAAGCTTTACCAGGAGCAGCCTGGGTTCAGCCAGTCAGTGACTGGTGGGTTTGAATCTGCACTTATCCCCACCACCTGGGGACCCCCTTGTTGTGTCCAGGACTCCCCCTGTGTCAGTGCTCTGCTCTCACCCTGCCCAAGACTCACCTCCCTTCCCCTCTGCAGGCCGACGGCAGGAGGACAGTCGGGTGATGGTGTATTCTGCCCTGCGCATCCCACCCGAGGACTGAGGGAACCTAGGGGGGACCCCTGGGCCTGGGGTGCCCTCCTGATGTCCTCGCCCTGTATTTCTCCATCTCCAGTTCTGGACAGTGCAGGTTGCCAAGAAAAGGGACCTAGTTTAGCCATTGCCCTGGAGATGAAATTAATGGAGGCTCAAGGATAGATGAGCTCTGAGTTTCTCAGTACTCCCTCAAGACTGGACATCTTGGTCTTTTTCTCAGGCCTGAGGGGGAACCATTTTTGGTGTGATAAATACCCTAAACTGCCTTTTTTTCTTTTTTGAGGTGGGGGGAGGGAGGAGGTATATTGGAACTCTTCTAACCTCCTTGGGCTATATTTTCTCTCCTCGAGTTGCTCCTCATGGCTGGGCTCATTTCGGTCCCTTTCTCCTTGGTCCCAGACCTTGGGGGAAAGGAAGGAAGTGCATGTTTGGGAACTGGCATTACTGGAACTAATGGTTTTAACCTCCTTAACCACCAGCATCCCTCCTCTCCCCAAGGTGAAGTGGAGGGTGCTGTGGTGAGCTGGCCACTCCAGAGCTGCAGTGCCACTGGAGGAGTCAGACTACCATGACATCGTAGGGAAGGAGGGGAGATTTTTTTGTAGTTTTTAATTGGGGTGTGGGAGGGGCGGGGAGGTTTTCTATAAACTGTATCATTTTCTGCTGAGGGTGGAGTGTCCCATCCTTTTAATCAAGGTGATTGTGATTTTGACTAATAAAAAAGAATTTGTAATTGTGGGGGAACTTGGCTTTTAAGGGAGGGGATAGCATGTTAATTGAGATTTCTGTCCTCAGATCTCTCATCCAGCCACTTTCCTAACCTGGCAACCACTGATTTCCAAGCATAGCCTTGGTGCAAGGGCAGAAATCTGGGCTAGTGGTTTAACATGTCTGAAACTTTGGGTTAAGTGTCTTCCCAGAAGCTTATCTTTCCTTCCAGGGGTGGGATAAAAGGAGTTAATCACCCATGCTTCTTTTCCCCATCCTTTGCCCATCTTTACCACCTGAGGGATTCAGGAACTTGCCCACCCTCAAGAGCCTCAAAGGATAGGCCAGAATTAAAGTCAGAAACTTTAATTTCCAAATATATTGATCAAAAATATACAACTTCAACAGCAACTCTTTATCCTAAGGAGAGATCCCGCAGTATATCTAGGGAAAGGGCCATAAAAGTGAGGGGGTAGAGGACTTTGGGGTATATCCCAAACTTCCCCTGCAACTAAACAGAGTTTGTTCTCTGCATTAACAACACAGCGATTTCCTCATTTCCTCCTACATGTTTGGAGAGGCTGAAGGCTCTGCAGTTCTTCCTGGAATGACAGCCTGGGTCCATTCCTCTCTAGGAGATGTCCAGGGGAAGGAGGACATCTGCTTACTACTCCTACAGTGTTTCTGGCCAGATCCTACACCCCATTTTAGAGGCTTCCTGATAGGCATGAAGGGAAGTCATCCACATCCATGGTATCTGAGAAGGAATTTATGCCTCAGTCGTGGCTTGTGCTGAGGTGAAGACCACACTCTTTCGGTTTTCCAGCCTCTTCTTCCTGGAAAGGGGAATGGCTCATGAGAATGACTGCTATCTAAGTGAAGCAGATTAGAGGTGAAATAGGAGAATGCTTTTTAACAGAAAAGAGGGCTGGGCAAGGTGTTTCACACCTATAATCCCAGCACTTTGGGAGGCTGAGGCGGGCGGATCACTTGAGGTCAGGAGTTGGAGACCAGCCTGGGCAATGTAGTGAAAACCCGTCTCTGCTAAAAATACAAAAATTATCTGGGCATGGTGGCACATGCCTGTAGTCCCACCTACTCAGGAGGCTGAGGTGGGAGGACCACTTGAGCCCGGGAGGTGGAGGTTGCAGTGAGCTGTGATAAAGCCATGCACTCCAGCCTCGACAACAGTGAGAACCTGTCTCAAAAAGCGGGTGGCTCATGCCTATAATCCCAGTACTTTGGGAGGCTGAGGCAGGCGAATTGCCTGAGGTCAGGAGTTTGAGACCAGCCTGGCCAATATGGTGAAACCTTGTCTCTACTAAAAGTACAAAAATTAGCTGGGTGTGATGGTGCGTGCCTGTAGTCCCAGCTACTCGGGAGGCTGAGGCAGGAGAATTGCTTGAACCCAGAAGGCAGAGGTTGCAGTGAGCTGAGATTGCACACCACTGCACTCCAGACTGAGTAACAGAGCAAGACTCCGTCTCCCACCTACCAAAAAAAAAAAAAAAAAGAAGAAGGGACTGGAGGAATGGAAAGTAGGGCCTCACCGAATCTTTCTAGCAATGAAATAAACAGCCAGGAGAAGGCAGAGACAGCCAACCAAGATTCCTACACCTAGACTCAGCATTTCACCTGGGGGAGATAAAGGTAAAAGGTGTCAGCCTAGGACTAACATAGATTTTGAGCCTTTCCCCCACTCGGTGAGGACACCTCCCCTCCCCGCATTATCTTATAAGGCTGGCTTACCTGTGGTATACGAGGATCCTGCTGTAAGAGAAGAAAATGGGTCAGTGGGACTTCAGATCCCCATCCCAGCTGGGAGCAGCACTCTCTGCTGCTGTGCCTGGGAGAATCCCCCGGGGGCACCCTGGGGTGGGGGTTGGTTCCCAGTCCAAGCAAGTCCCAGAAACCCCCTCCCCTTTTAGCCTTTTCTTCCCATTGGCTCCCTAGTTCCTGCCATTGTGTCCCCCTCAGTTTCCCATCTCTTCTGAGCCGTGCAGAATCACCTTGGATGAAAGAAGCAAAGACCATGCGCTGATTGAGAGGCTGAAGGGCTCGGTAGTTCTGTACCAGAAGCTTAGAGGGCTCCTCTTCTGTGGAGAACAATGTCCCCTGAAGCTTTTCCAGCTGAGGAGCAGAAGCGTGGGAGAGGTGTTACTTTGGGGAGTGGGAAGGGGTCTGAAGTTACAACTGTGTCTCACCTCACCTCGTTTCTCCACCACTTACCTGTTCCATTGAAATCTGGGACCTTCTATAAAAAACTGTCCAGAGCACACTCTGGTAGCAAGGGGGAGTTGTGAGCGAGCCATTGTAGCGGAAGTACTGCCCCAGCTGTTTGGGGAGCAGCTCTCTTAGGTTGAAGGGAGGCACTGAGGTCTTCTGATCTGGGGAGAACAGACTGGGACTCATCTTCCTTTCAGTGTGCCCTAGCTTACCTAGATAGGGCTCCCAGAAGCAAAATTCCTTGGCTCTATGTAATTGCTTCATCCCAAGGCTTTTAAGGATAGTTTTTGAAAGTCTAATCTTACTTCCTGCTATAGATTTTTAAGGCTCACCTTTATGCCTGACTTCATGCAAGTGACTCAGAATGTGTTCATAAGCTATATTCTTAGTCTCACCCACCTGGAAGAGAAGGAAAGGGAGAGAGTTTGGAATGAGTCCATGTTTGGAATAAGAAATTTATGTACAGAATAAATGGTCAGGGTGGGCTGCTGCCTGCCATAGGAAGGAGGCCAGCAACAGAAATAGGTTTGAGGGTTGCAGAGGAAGTGGAGAGAAACCTGGAAGGGACTGGGGGCTACTGACCTCAATTAGGATGCCCAGGACAGCCAGGCCCTGAGGCCTCTCAGCAGCCTCACTCAAGCTGTCATAGGAATCAGAGTCATAATGTACAATGTGGAGCTAAAGGAAGGAAGAGGGAATTGAATCATGGAATGTCTGCACCCCCTTCAAGGCCTTGATCCTAGCTGCCACCATCCCCCCGCTGTCCCCGGCAGGCACTAAGTCTGTCCCTCAGAGATTGGCCTTATCCCCCCAGCATGACTTTTCCTAAGGTCCAGATCCTTTCCCCAGGACCACCCATCCCTGTTACTTTGTCTGAGTCCCAGCTCTTTGTTCCCTGGTACCTCTGCAAATGTGGCTTCACTGTTGATCTGGTGTTCTGACCCCCCTGGGGATCCTTTCTGACCCCAGTGCAGGTGGAGCTGGGCAGCTACATATTTTCGGGGAAGTCCACCCAGATACAGGGTAGAGGGCAGAGAGAGTTGCACTGTGAGGAAAAGAGCAAACTCGGATTGGTGGAGGCATGTGGATACATTCCCACTCCTGGGTTGCCACCACTTCTTGGGAGACTTGGCCCTCTTCCAGTTTTCTCCCCCAGTAGCACCCAGTTCCTCCCATAGGCCAGTGCTTTTCTAGCATATCTTCCTTTTTCTTGGTGAAGACCAAGTCAGTGCAATGATACCTACCTACTGAGCTTGGTTATAAACATTTCGATTCCCGCTTTGGCTACAGGATCCTGATCCCCATTCTCATATCTCCAAATTCATGGACAAAGGTTTTTGAGAATTCGTAGGTTAGGAAAATGCTGCTTTCCTCTGACTCCTGAGGTTATTTGTTTGTTTATTTATGTCAGATGGGTAATGTGCCAACATCTTGACAAGATTTGAGGGCGGCACATCTTACGCATGCTCAGGAACACCCCATCATCATGCCCATGAACTACAAAAGGATCTGACTCCTAAGATCTGAGCTGGAGCCTACAACTCCTTGGAGCCTGTGCTTTTACCTGTGTGGCCATTGTTGTGCAGGTCCAAAGGCTCGGTGCCAGGCTGGTCATATCCGTGGGGCTGCAGAGCAGGCAAATCAGGGTCAAATGTCACACTGTCTGTCTGAATATCGATGGGCGACTGGGCATTGTTTCCACACTCAGGGTAAGAGGCTGGCCAATGGTCCTGACCATGTGGGCCTGGTGGGGGTTACCAAAGACATTGGTCCTGTCCTCCAGCTCTAGCTACCCTTCAACAGCACCCCCTCCCTTTGACCCTTCCCCTAACCAAGCCATACATCTGTGTGGAGGTAGAAATGGACTTCCCTCCACCCAGGTTAAGACCCCAGTTGTATAGGGATGGGTGAGGTAGGAGTCCTGTTGAGTCTCATGCTGCAGTTCCCCTTCCCTACCCAGAGGCAGTGATGATTCCCCAACTATCCTGATGAATGGGGAGTGGTAGCTCTTTTACTTACCTGTATTTTGAGGACAAGAAAGCTGAATGAGGGCAGAGGGGATGCATAGAAAACCTGAATACCCTGAGAGATGGGATTAGAGAGTAGGAGTAGAAAAATGGGAGAAATAAAATGATCCTAGATAGGCCAGGCACAGTGGCTCATGCCTGTAATCCCAGCACTTTGGGAGGCCGAGGCAGGTGGATCGCTTGAGGTCAGGAGTTCGAGACCAGCCTGGCCAACATGGTGAAACCCCATCTCTACTAAAAATGCAAAAATTAGCCAGACGTGGTGGTGGGCACCTGTAATCCCAGCTACTCGAGAAGCTGAGGCAGGAGAATCACTTAAACCCAGGAGGTGGAGTTTGCAGTGAGCCCAGATTGCGCCACTGCACTCCAGCCTGGGTGACAGAGCAAGACTCTGTGTCAAAAAAAAAAAAAAAAAAAAAAATAACCTAGAGAGATACGGTCTCCTGGAGGCCCCTATCAAGTGGCCTTGGGATTCAGATATCCTGACTTCTCATCATTCACTTCTTGCTCTCACACTGACCGTTTATCATGAACTTGAGTTTGGTTAAGTCATTAATCAGTAGTTCATAGGAACTGAGTTCCACCTCCCCCAGGGTCAGAAACTATCCTGCCAGCCTCTTCCTCACCCCTGACCTCCAGCTCTGTCCCAATTTCAGATGCAGGTTAGGGGTAGGATGGATTAGGATAGACGGAGCCAGAAGGAGACCTGGCAGCTAAGCTCAGAGTTCCCACCCAGCTTCCTTTCCACCCCAGCTCCCTCACTCCTACACGATTTACTGAGGACTTAACTAGCTTTTCTGCCAAATCAGGAGGTGTAGGATTTGATGATTAGAGCAGGATCTAGGAGCCATATATGTGAAACTCAAGGCAGGAGGAGATCCAGAAGGGAGGAGCTAGGGTGAGAAGGTAAAGGAAGTCTCCTCCCACCCGCACAGTGTGTCTTCCTGCCAGGTGAGGAGGTCCCAGTGTGAAAGGGTTGTCGGGAGGCCTTGAGATCTGCTCACCCTCATACGTCCAGTGTTGACCTGCAAGGCAGAATAGTTTGGGTTACAGCCAGCGCAGCCTGGGGCAGAACCCTGGCCTCCACACTCCCCTCCCTCTGGCATTCTGTACTGCTCCACCTCCCTCTCTGCAGTCTCTCCTCCCTCTGCTCCAGCACTTTGCAAAGGAAGCCCTGAAACCGGACACCTCTGTGGAAAGGTCGGGGGGCCTATTTAAAATCACCAGCCAGGCTGTGTTGGTGCCTGCCGAGTAAAAGGGGAGGAGGAAGGAAAAGAGGTAAAGCCCAGAGACTAAAATTAACCTGGATCCAAATGTGCGATTGGCCCAACCCTTTCTTTTCTGTAACCTGTGCCAAGTCAATCTAACACTTAGAAGATTGGGGTGGGTGGGGTGAGGGTGTGGGCAGAGGGTTGGAAGGATAGGGACTAGAAAGCGGGGAGGAGAAAGGAGTTTAGAGTGTGTGTGTGTTGGGGGGTGCTACTGAGGGGAGAAGGGGAGATTATTCCTTTGCTTTAAAAAATTGCATGAATAAAGCCACTGAGCTGTAAACTCATATGTAAATTCTTCTTTTCTGGTCCCATTAGCTCTAGAGGAAACTCCTCATCACCAGGAGGCTCTGCTCCCTACATTCTGAGATGGTTAGGGAAGGGTGGGAGTCAGGGCAGGGTCTACTCTAGATTGAGGGTGGTGGGTGGGCACAGGCAGCCAGGCTGGCAGGGACAGGATGAAAGTGAAGCATTGTGTGTAGAGAAGAGAGCTGCCAGCTGGGTCACATGCCAGGCTCTCGTGCAGTCCTGTCTGACGCAAAGGCTGAGGGTCTGCAGGTCCAGCCCCTCCCTACGGCCAAACTGCCTCAAGAAGAAAACGAAGGCCTTCATGGTTTATGCTGCAATATTCATACTACTAGAAACTCTGGAGAAAAATCCTAAATTCCTTCCTCTCTCTGTCTCTTATTCCCTTAAATTCCTCAAACTTGTGAGATGTCCTGCTCTTATCCTTGACCTATTCTGCTAGCCCAAGGGAGAGCTGGAGGCAGCCTCTCATTTTACCATATCTGTGGGACCCCCCAACAACTCAAACTCCCTGGTCTGTAAAGGTGCCTGTCCACTCTGGTCAGAGCCTCAACACACTTATTCTGTCTCTTCCTCCTCTTTCCCTCTTTTTTTCTTTCTCCTCAGATGAGATTTGTGACTCTCCATTTGGCTGCCTGCCTGCCCCCATCCTCTCTGCATTTGCCTTCTGCTCTCTGGACACCCACCTCACCCTGCTCTTTCCACAAACCTCAGTTACACACCTAGTATGTGCTGGACACTGTGCTAGGCACAGGAAACACAAAAATGAGGTCTAGGAGTTCCTGGGGACACTCCTGGAGCGCTTCAGCCTGTTCTCCCAAGAATCCCTCCTCATCTCCTGGGAGCTCCTGAAAGTCCTTTGTAAACTGTAAAATGTCAAACAAATGTTGACTCTTACTGCCACTTTCAGAGGATAACTGGGGAGTTAGTCGCTCCACAGAATGAAGAGGGAATCTTGGCCAAAAGGGGATGAATTGGAGATCAGGGTCTGAGTTGGGCAGGAAGTATTCTTCCCCCTACCCCCATCTATCCATCTTTTTACTCCAGGCCTCTTTGACTCCCTATTTGGAGGAGTTTGTAAATAAAGAAGTCCAGGAGTCCTGCCTGGGACCAGGGCAGTGGGGGAAAGAGCTCTGGAGAAAATCTGTAGCCTGCAAAGAGATTCCAGCACTTGCATGTGTACACACTCTGCCTGCCTGCCGCTAGTTCTCCCCGACCTCCAATAACAACAAGGCTGGAGAGACAAAAGGTAAAGAAGGGAAGTGGTCTCCTCCACACCCCACTCTTTTTTCCTCATCTCTGAGCCTATTATTCCAGCCTCTAGGCTTCCTTTCACACCTCTCCTCCCCCCATTAAGCACACCTGGCGACATGTGAACATCAGCACAAATCCACACACAGACATTTAGTTGTACCTACCCCCATCTGCAGCCAGGATCCAAATCACCTCCAGCAGGAGGGCGGAGAACAACATAGTGTCCCAGGAAGGGGTGCAGGGGACTGGGAATTTGAGGACTAGAGGACTAGGACAGGCAGAGAGAGAGGGAGGGAGGAGTGAGAGAGAGAGAGAGAGAGCGAGCGAGCTCCTGGCGTGAGTGTATTTATCTCTGCTTCTCTTGCTGTCTCTGTCTCTGTGGGCTTCCAGGGGATTCGGTGTTCAGTAGGGTATCATGGGTTTCTGGATCCCCAGGACAAATCTCTTGCTGCCTCTTTGCCCTCTCTCTTTATCTCCCTCTGCAGTCTCCACTCCACTAGCTGGCCAGCGACTTTACAACTGCCTCCTGCTTTTAAGGTGGCTCTGAACTGGTGTATGTGGGGACGGGGGTGCTGCCTGGGCTGCTGGTGAACAGCTCCTTAAATAGCCAATTAGGCATGCAGGATGGCCCCACTCGGAGCTGGAGCGCGGCAAGTTTCACTGGAGCCCTGGCCCTGGCTCAGGAGCCCAGCTGGGGTGAGCTCTTCCTTCCTCTGCTAGTCACACAGATGCTGTTTAGATGGGTGTTCCCTGGAGCAGGCAGGGTCAAGGAAGGGGCTTTGGGGTTCAACTCAGCCCCCTCAAAAGGACACTGTATTTTCATCCCCCCGCCTGATTTCTCCTCTGAGGAGCAGCTCCCTGGGTGGTATGCGGCAGATGGTGGGGGTACCTGTTCCCAATTCCCTGCATAATCTGAGCTGCCCTGGAATGGGAAGAGTCCAGAATTAGGAGATATATAACAAGAAGGAATTAGGGACTCAGGGTGCAGGGGAGGGGTGGAGGAAGTCAATAACTAAAACCTGAGTTGTGTCCTAAGTTCTAAGGAAGAGAAGTGAGGCAAGGAGAACTCATCTGGAGCAATCTCTTCTGTGCCTGCCACCACCCCCTTCCCACGGTGAGGCCTGGGTCCACGTGCCTGTGTGGCCTGGGGTGGGGGGAGTGCGGGGAGGGAGCGTTGTTTGCTGGATAAAGCCCATTTGTATGCCCAGTGGGGGAGGGGTGTAGCAGCACCATGGAGAGACAGCGGCTGTAACTGCCAGACCCAGCCACCTCCCTCTCCAGGGAGCCCAGATCTAGGGCGGCTTTTGTCACTGAAGAGGACACTGACCTCCGGCAGAGAGGCCAGGGCAGGAGGAAAGGAGAGACTTTAGGAACAATCACTACCACCATCAGAAAAAGGTGGTTTCCAGAGAAAGAGAGGGGAGGGTCTGGAGAGACCATGTGATCCAGATGGAAGAGGGGCTCAGGGTCTTCCTTCCAGCCCAACAAAGGGCTGAGGCAGGACATGTGGCACTGAATGAAACCTGCCACCAAGGAGCTGCGTCCGTGGAGCATGGAGGCTGCACGTCTCAGGAATGTGAACTGATGTTTGCTCCCCACGGGACTGGAAATCCCGATTGGAATGTACATCCTAAATCCCTCGTTAGAGAATGTGAAACCCACAGATACTTTCAAGCCAGACATTGAAACCTCTTTCTCCTCCATGCTCTTCACCAGAGGCACCAGCCAGGAGGATGCACCCATCTGAAGCTCCCTCTGCCCTCCTTGCTCCTGCCGAGTAGCAATAAATAGCCAAACAAAGGGAGCAGAAGCTAAATAAGGGAGCAGGATAAAAGCCAAATGAACAGAATAATGCATGTGCTGGATCATCAGCTCCTGCAGAGACAGGAGCTCACTGTGCCTTTCTATCCCCTGTGATTGATCTGCAAAGCCAAGCCATTTTGCTGATGTCATTTCCCTTTTTCTTCTCCTATCACCCTCTGAGTTATTTGTCCCCTTCAGGAAAGTTTTATGTTTTGAGGTTCCCCAAAGCCCCATCCATCCCATCTAAGAAGAGTAAAAGACTTGAAGTATAAATTAGATTTCCCGGGAATCAGGGTACTTAACACAAAGAAACAAAAAAAGAAAGCAGAGACATCTTGGTATGAAAGAAGAGATTTAGTAGGAAAGAAGAGGTCTGAACAGAATGACCTCTGCCGGAACAGAGTTCCCCTGGAGCGCTGAGCTGAGATTCCGATTTCCAAGGCAGATAGCGTGTCTTGCCAGGCGCCACCTCCTGGCTCGTCTATGAATTTTTAAATTTTAATTTAAAATGCTTTGTGTATGTGGTTCCTTCTGGGAGGTATTTCACTGCTGCTGGGCTTTGGGATTTTGCCTACGCAACTGAACATTGTTTCACAAAGATATCTTAGCCTGGAATCAACACTTCCCTGATCTTGGGTGAGCAACGCATCCAGGTGCTTATGCTTCCCAGACGACAAAGGCCCTCCTTTCTAGGACAGAGGGAGCCAGAAGGCGAGCGCCGTCCTCCAGGCACTTGACTTTATCTTGATCTTTGGCTTTACTGTGGATATTTCTTTTGTTGCTTTCTAGCTGTGCTGATTTGGAGTAGGTGTCAAGGGGACCCTTATATGTAAGTTAAAAAAAAAAAAACTGACACAGCTCCCTCTCCCCACTCAGTCTTAGTTTCCACTCAAACTCTGGCACCTTTGTTTTAGTTCTGACCTCTCTCTCAAGCCCTTTCCTTGCTTGCATTGGCTAAAACCGTTAAAACCAAAACCAAGCATCTCACTGCCTTCTGGCGCCATCTCCTGTCCTTGTAGATATACTGAAACTTGACTGAGATGAGGCGTGGTGGCTCACGCCTGTAATGCCAGCACTTTGGGAGGCCGAGGCAGGTGGGCCAGGAGTTCCAGACCAGCCTGGCCAAAGCATAGCAAAACCTCGTCTCTACTAAAAATACAAAAATTAGCCAGGCGTGGTGGTGCATGCCTGTAATCCCAGCTACGCAGGAGGCTGAGGCAGGAGAATTGCTTGAACTCGGGAGTGGGAGGTTGCAGTGAGTTGAGATTGCTCCACTGCACTCCAGCCTGGGTGACAGAGTGAGACTCTGTCACAAAAACAAAAAAGAAAAAACAAACAAACAAAAAAGAATTAAGTAATTTTGGAAAAAATGACCCTTTGGATCATTTTCTTAGTTTTCCAGTTCACATTACACAACAAATGTAGTATGAGAATCTTGTAAATTGAGGACCGGTAAAAGTTTGTGGTCTGAAAATTTGCAAGTCATTTAATTATAAGCGATAAGTTACACTATTTCAGTTGCAATTTTGTGTTATACATTGATTCCATGAACAGAACGCTGCCTGGTACATAACTGTTGATTGAATGAATCTAGTAATTGCAACATTTATTTACTGTCTTTCACAGAATTTTAGAGCAGAAGGGCCCTCAGGCATCATTCTAAACCCCTTGTTATACCCTGTAAAACTGAGTTTTGAGAGATTTAGGGATTTAGCCATGGTTAGTCATATAGCTGCTAGGCTAAACCAGAACAAGGACACAGGCACCAGTGAGCTTTCTCCTACACCATTGGTTCTCAAATGTCAATGTGCATCAGAATCACCTGGAAAGCTTTTTAAACTTGGAAAGCTTATTAAAATACAGATTTCTGGCCAGGTGCAGTGGCTCATGTCTGTAATCCCAGCACTTTGAGAGGCCGAGGCGGGCAGATCACCTGAGGTCAGGAATTTGAGACCAGCCTGGCTAATATGGCGAAACCCCATCTCCACCAAAAATACAAAAAAATTAGCCAGGTGTGGTAGCGGGTGCCTGTAATCCCAGCTACTTGGGAGGCTAAGGCAGGAGAATCGCTTGAACTTGGGAGGCAGAGGTTGCGGTGAGCCGAGACTGCACCACCGCACTCCAGCCTGGGTGACAAGAGCAAAACTCTATCTCAAAGATAAAATAGAATAAATAAATAGAGATTTCTGGACCTCACCCCCATAGTACCCGATTCTATAGTTCTGGGTGTGTCCAAATCTACATTAGAGATTTGGCATTAGAGAAATTAGCATTTCTCTTTCTCTCTCTCTCTCTCTCTTCTTTTTTTTGTACAGTCTCAGCTGGGCGCGGTGGCTCACGCCTGTAGTCCCAGCTACTCGGGAGGCTGAGGCAGGAGAACCGCTTGAACCCAGGAGGAGGAGTTTGCAGTGAGCCGAGATAGCGCCATTGCACTCTAGCCCGGGCAACAGAGCGAGACTCCATCTCAAAAAAAAAAAAAAAACAGAGTCTCACTCTGTTGCCCAAGCTGCAGTGCAATGGCATGATCTTGGCTCACCGTAAACTCTGCCTCCCAGGTTCAAGTGATTCTCGTGCCTCAGCCTCCCAAGTAGCTGGGATTACAGGCATTTGCCACCACGCCCGGCTAATTTGGTATTTTTAGTAGAGACGGGGTTTCTCCATGTTGATCAGGCTAGTCTTGAACTCCCTACCTCAGGTGATCTGCCTGCCTCAGCCTCCCAAAGTGCTGGGATTACAGGTGTGAGCCACCACGCCCAGCCTCTCTCTTTTTTTTTGGAAGCAGGGTCTCACTCTGTCCCCTAGGCTGGAGTGCAGTGGCAGAATCATAGCTCACTTCAGCCTCAAACTCAAATGATCCTCTTCTCAGCCTCCTGAGTAGCTAGGTCTACATGCGCATGCCACCATGACTGGCAGGTTTTAAAAATTTTCTTAGTTTTTGTAGAGACAAAATTTTGTCATGTTTCCCAGGCTGGTCTCGAACTCCTGGGCTCGAGTGATTTGCCCAGCTTGGCCTCCCAAAGTGCTGAGATTATAAGCATGAGCCACCGCAGCCACTTCTTTCTAGTCACCATGAATAAAAGCACTATAAGTATTTGAGTACAGGTCTTTGAGCAGACATATGTTTTTATTGTTCTTGAGTAAATACCTAGGAGTGGGAATAAATAGATACTGAGTGCTGGATTGTACGGGAAGCGTATGTTTAACTTTGTAAAAAAACTGCCGGGCTGTTTTTCTTTTACTTTCTTTTCTTTTGAGACGGCATGGCTCTGTTGTCCAGGTTGGAGTGCAGTGGCGTGATCTTGGCTCACTGCAGCCTTCCCTTCCTGGGCTCAAGCGATCCTCCCACCTCAGCTCCCAAGCACCTGAGACTACAGGTTCATGCCACCACTCCCAGCTAATTTTTTAATTTTTTTGTAGAGACAAGGTTTCACCATATTGCCTAGGTTGGTCTTGAACTCCTGGCTCAAGTAATTCTCCTGCCTCAGCCTCCCAAAGTGTTAGAATTACAGGTATGAGCCACCATGCCTGGCCTCTTTTATTTTATTATTTATTTATTTATTTATTTTTTGAGACGGAGTCTTGCTCTGTTTCCCAGGCTGGAGTGCAGTGGCATGATCATGGCTCACTGGCAACCTCTGCCTCCCAGGTTCAAGCAATTCTCCTGCCTCAGCCTCCCAAGTAGCTGGGACTACAGGCACGTGCCACCATGTCTGGCTAATTTTTGCATTTTTAGTAGAGACAGAGTTTCACCATCTTGGCGAGGCTGGTCTCTAACTCCTGACCTCATGATCCACCTGCCTCAGCCTCCCAAAGTGCTGGGATTACAGGTGTGAGCCACCGCGCCCAGACTATTTTATTTTTTTTAATAGAGATGGGGTCTTGCCATGTTGCCTAGGCTGGTCTCATCTCCTAGGTTCAAGTGATTCTCTTGCCTAGGCCTTCCAAAGTGTTGGGATTACCAGCGTGAGCCATTGCACCTGGTCCCCAGACTGTTTTTCATAGTGCTTATACAGTTTTTCTTTCCCACCAGCAATGTATGAGTTCTAGTTGTCCTCATCTTTACAAGCATTTGATATTGTCCGTTTAAAAAAAAAAAAGGTACAGCCGGGCACGGTGGCTCACACCTGTAATCCCAGCACTTCGGGAGGCCAAGGCGGGCGCATCATGAGGTCAGGAGTTCGAGACCAGCCTGGCCAACATGGCAAAACCCCGTCTTTACTAAAAATACAAAAATTAGTCAGGTGTGGTGGCTCGTGCCTGTAATCCCAGCTATTCTAGAGGCTGAGGCAGGAGAATCTCTTGAACCTGGGAGGCAGAGGTTGAAGTGAGCCGAGATCATGCCATTGTGCTCCAGCCTGGGCGACAAGAGCAGGACTCCGTCTACAAAAAAAAAAAAAAAAAAGAAAAAAGTAGCTATTCTTCTAGTGTATAATGGTATCTCATTTTGGTTTTAATTTAGGATATCAACTTTTTAAAGGGTTTTTGCTATATTTGTTACCATATTGCCTTCCATAAAGGTTATACTCCTCCAATGGTATTTATACAAGTTGTTACTCTTTTCTTCTTTGGGGAGATAAACAAAGGACTCTACAATTGGTGTTTCACACTAGGCAAAAATTCAATATTTTTCTTTCCCTTGTGACCTTTTAGCTATCATACAGAAATAAAATTCACTTGTAACATGGTTAAATTTCTGTACAGTGAATATCATCCTTTCATGGACTTTCAGAATAAAATGAGAGATATGTTCATTTGGAGGAAATTTTGGCTTAAAGATAAGTAAAGGCTACATTAGTGAGTGTAGCAAACTCTTAAAAAACACATATTGAAAGTAAACTCATTATTTTATGAGAAAGTATAACACTAAAATAATATATACTAATGCAAAATACTGTTTGTTGAAATAGCTCAAATAATTAAGCAGGAGAAAATCATAATTAAATAGATCAGATTGCACCAAATAATCACCCAGCTTCTATCAAATTTCACTATATTTCAGTAGAATTACATTCAACTCTGATTACTTAGATTTTGTTTTTGGTGTTTTGTGGAAGCAATTGGCTTGATCGAGCTAAAATTAAATGGAAACACAAATACAACACTGGCAAAAATATCTAAACTGTATTAATAAATAGAGAAATATACCTATTGAAACATGACAGATGAGTATAGCAAGGTCCTGTCAACAGATATTGTACATTGAATAAGTTTGAATTTGGCATGCTAAATTTCTATATAACAAGATATAGCCAGGTGTAGTGGCTCACACCTATAGCCTCAACACTTCAGGAGGCTGAGGTGGGAGGATAGCTTGAGCCCAAGAAATTTGAGGCTGTAGTGAGCCATGATCACACCACTACACCCTAACCTGGGTGATGGAGCAAGAAAGACCCTGTCTCTAAAACCAAAAAAATGAACCAAACAAAAACAAATCAAAAAAGTTAAACAAACAAACAATATACCTACATTCTTATCTTTCACCACAGAATAAAAAATGTTGATATCAGTTTAAAGACTGCTGGTCCACTCAATATGTTTCATTGTGTTTATGGAAGGTCCACAAGTCAGTGGTTAACTAACTCACATTATTATTGTTATTATTTTTTGAGACAGAGTCTTGCTCTGTTGCCCAGGCTGGAGTGCAGTGGCGTGATCTAGCTCACTGCAACCTTCACCTCCTGGGTTCAAGTGATTCTCCTGCTTCAGCCTCCCGAGTAACTGGGATTACTGGCTCCCCTAACCAAGCCCAACTAATTTTTGTATTTTCAGTAGGGACAGGGTTTTGCCATGTTGGCCAGGTGGTCTCAAACTCCTGACCTCAGGTGATCTGCCCGCCTCGGCCTCCCAAAGTGCTGGGATTACAGGCGTGAGCCACTGCGCACAGCCTATTTTTAAATTTAATTTTTATTTTTATCAAAGTAGAACAGGTACATAGTTTAAAAAGTCAAATAGATCAACATAGGTTATAATTAAACACTCTATTCTTCCCACATCTAATTCTTACTTCCCAGAGATAATTGCTGCAACTTTCTAACTTCCTCCTAGTATTCACCTCAAATTTCCAAAAACATATTTATACTGCTATGTCTTGATTTTTTAGAGTTTCAGGTATTTGTGAAAGCTAATCCACCATGTTGGCTTCTGATTAACCCCAGTTCTGGGAAGGCCTCTAAGATTTCAAGTTTGCCTATTGTTCCTGGTGTAAGAGCAGGTATTACCATACATTCTGCCCTTAGCTCAAACAACCTTGATGTTATCGTATCTATACATCCCTTCTGAATCACCCTTTCCCTGTAGTATAGAAGCCCCAGGTCTGGGGGTAATGGAGCAGGAAACCACCATCTCATCTCACCATTGCCCAAGACATGCACACGGCCTCTGTTCATAAGTCTCTATTAAATGTTTATTTCTAAGAAACTGGACTTGTCAGCCTCTTTCTTTGGCCTCTCAGCTTCCTTGGACTTTTGGAACAGGTTTGCATAGGCCTGCCCTCTGCCACAGAATTACCTATTAACTTCCAACCACAAAAGATGAGGAGTTACTTCTTTTACATAATACTTCCTTCCTAAAACACACTTCTCCTGCCCCCAGCCCCTTGGAAATAACTATTATATCGTAATATTAGTTAAATTAACATTTAAGTTATCATCAGTATTTACTCACAGCTTAGCCAAGAAGTGTATTATATTTCCTTTCTTGTATAACTTTTAATTTCCCTCAAATTAATAATGGCCTTATTTTTTTCTTTTGTTTTAGTTTTCTAGTTGCTTATTCATCTCCAAATTCACTGTTGAAAATCTAACTCTTATTTTATTATGTTCCAACCTGTCAGATATTCATTCTGTCATAACATTTTTAAAAGAGATATTCCTCTTGGAACCCTTTAACCTCCAGTTCTGAGTTCAACTGGCTCTTCTCTCTGGAAGCTTTTTAGTAATTTTCCTTTCTCCTGGGTGTTATATATAATTTCATGATAATGTATATTGGGTTTTTGGGGGGGGGTGGGGCAGGGTTTTGAGACAGAGTATCCCTCCATTGCCCAGGCTGGAGTGCAGTGGTACAATCTTGGCTCACTGCAACCTCCACCTCCCGCGTTCAAGCAATTCTTGTGCCTCAGCCTCATGAGTAGCTGAGATTACGGGTGCGAGTCACCAGGCCCAGCTAATATTTGTATTTTTGTAGAGACAGTGTTTCACCCTGTTGGCCAGGTTGGTCTCGAACTCCTGACCTCAGGTAATTTGCCTGCCTCGGCCTCCCAAAGTGCTGGGATTACAGGCATGAGCCACCGTTCCCGGCCCTGCTAAGATAATTACTGGGACCTCTGAAGGGGATCCCAATAAAAGCATTCCTTCTTTGTTCTAAGGTCCTGAACACATTGAGAAATCAAGCAAAAAATAAATACAGAGGTCAACATATCACCTTTATTACTGTTTGAGACCAGATTGGAGGATGTGGGTTAGTATGGGAGTCAATGAGCCTGCTAACTGGCCAGGCGCAGCTCACACCTGTAATCCCAGCACTTTGGGAGGCCAGATCACCTGAGGTCAGAAGTTCAAGACCAGCCTGGCCAACATGGAGAAACCCCATCTCTATTTAAAAATAAAAAATTAGCTGAGTGTGGTGGTGGGCGCCTATAATCCCAGCTACTTGAGAGATCGTGCCACTGCACTCCAGCCTGGGCAACAGAGTGAAACTCTGTCTAAAAAAAAAAAAAAAAAAAAAAAGCTGGGCTCGGAGGCTCATGCCTGTAATCCCAACACTTTGGGAGGCCGAGGTAGGCTGATCACCTGAGGTCGGGAGTTCAAGACCAGCCTGACCAACATGGAGAAACTCCCGTCTTTACTAAAAATACAAAATTAGCTGGGTGTGGTGATGCATGCCTGCAATCCCAGCTACTCGGGAGGCCAAGGTAGGAGAATCACTTGAACCCGGGAGGCAGAGGTGGTGAGCCAAGATCGTGCCATTGCACTCCAGCCTGGGCAACAAAGGAGAAACTTCGTCTCAAAAAAAAAAAAAAAAAAAAGAGCCTGCTAACTGTATCCCAGGATCAGGCAGCTTGGATTGGGGCAGATCTCAGCATGGAGGAAACAAGCAGAAAATGTGTTCTGATGGGTGGGCTCCTCTTCCCAAGAGCAACAGGATAGAACTGAGTGGAACAGACCATTAAGAGTGGATGAACAAAGGCTGGGCACGGTGGCTCAAGCCTGTAATCCCAGCACTTTGGGAGGCTGAGGCGGGTGGATCACGAGGCCAGGAGATCGAGACCATCCTGGCTAACACGGTGAAACCCTGTCTCTACTAAAAATACAAAAAATTAGCCGGGCATGGTGGCGGGCGCCTGTAGTCCCAGCTACTCAGGAGGCTGAGGCAGGAGAATGGCGTGAACCCAGGAGGCGGAGCTTGCAGTGAGCCGAGATCGTGCCACTGCACTCCAGCCTGGGCCACAGAGCGAGACTCCGTCTCAAAAAAAAAGAAAAAGAAAAAGAAAAAGAAAAAGAGTGTATGAACAAAGGGCTAAAAAAGGCACAGTTACATGAATTAAGTCTCTTCATAAGAAGGAAAACCTGCCGGGCGCGTTGTCTCAAGCCTGTAATCCCAGCACTTTGGGAGGCTGAGGCAGGCAGATCACGAGGTCAGGAGATTGAGACCATCCTGGCTAACACGGCTAAACTCCATTTCTTTCTTTCTTCTTCTTCTTCTTTTTTTTTTTTTGAGACTGATTTTCACTCTTGTTGCCCAGACCGGAGTGCAATGGCGCGATCTTGGCTCACTGCAACCTCTGCCTCCCCGGTGCAAGCGATTCTCCTGCCTCAGCCTCCCAAAATGCTGGGATTACAGGCGTGAGACACCGCGCCCAGCCAGTTAAACCCCATATCTACTAAAAATACAAAAAATTAGCCGGGCATGGTGCTGCGCGCTTGTAGTCCCAGCTACTTAGGAGGCTGAGACAGGAGAATCGCTTGAACCTGGGAGGCGGAGGCTGCAGTGAGCCGAGATCGCGCCAGTGTGCTCCAGCCTGGGCAACAGAACGAGACTCTGTCTCAAAAAAAAAAAAAAAAAAGAGGAAACCTCAGAAGTAAAGAAGCATATCTGAACTACATTGTTCATCAGCTTTACAGATTCCAAAATTTTGTTGAGGTCTCTCCTCAGTTGTCTTCTTGCTCATTCTCTTTGTCCTTTGTATTTAGATCTCATTCTTTCAAAGTCATTTTATTAAGATTTGGGAGGAAATATAGGTAAATATAGATATTAAATTCTCCATATTAACCATAAGTTTTCAGTTTTTATTGATTGATTGCAGTGGCAAAATGACAGCTCACTCTAGCCTCAACCTCCTGGGCTCAAGCGATCCTCCCACCCCAGCCTCCTGAGTAGCTGGGACCACAGGTGGGCACCACCACGCCCAGCTAATTTTTTATTTTTTGTAGAGACAGGGTCTCCCCATGTTGCCCAGGCTGGTCTTGAACTCCTGAAGCAATCCTCCTCAGCCTTCCAAAGTGTTGAGATTACAGGTGTGAGCCACTATGCTTGGTCCTTTTTTTTTTTTTTTTTTTTAATTTGAGATGGAGTTTCGCTCTTGTTGCCCAGGCTGCAGTACAATGGCACGATCTTGGCTCACTGCAATCTCCGCCTCCCAGGTTCAAGCGATTCTCCTACCTCAGCCTGCTGAGTAGCTGGGATTATAGGCACCTGCCACCACACCCAGCTAATTTTTGTATTTTTTTAGTAGAGACAGGGTTTCA
Source organism: Homo sapiens (assembly GCF_000001405.40). Taxonomy (NCBI): domain Eukaryota; kingdom Metazoa; phylum Chordata; class Mammalia; order Primates; family Hominidae; genus Homo; species Homo sapiens. The sequence goes on along the minus strand of NC_000001.11, from coordinate 150,246,801 downwards.
CCATGTTGGCCAGGCTGGTCTCGAACTCCTGACATCAGGTGATCCACCCGCCTCGACCTCCCAAAATGCTGGGATTACAGGTGTGAGCCACCGCGCCCTTACCTTTTTTTTTTTTTTTTTTTTTTTTTTTAATTAGAGACAGGATCTTGCTATATTGCACAGGCTGGTTTAGAACTTCTGGGCTCAAGCAATCCTCTGCCTCAGGCTTCCAAAGTGCTGTGATTACAGGTGTCAGCCACTGGACCTAGCCTCAAGTTATGTTTTGAAGGTAACCTTGTTACCAAAATTACAAATTTGGCCGGGCACCGTGGCTCATGCCTATAATCTCAACATTTTGGGAGGCTGAGGGGGATGGATCACTTGAGGTCAGGAGTTTGAGACCAGCCTGGCCAACATGAGGAAACCCCGTCTCTACTGAAAATACAAAAATTAGCCGAGCATGCTGGTGCATGCCTGTAATCCCAGCTACTTGGGAGGCTGAGGCAGGAGAATCGCTTGAATCTGGGAGGCAGAGATTGCAGTGAGCTAAGATTGCCCCATTGCACTCTAGCCTGGGCAACAAGACCAAAACTCTGTCTCAAAAACAAAATACAAAAATTAGCTGGGCGTGATGGTGCACTCCTGTAGTCCCAGCTACTCAGGAGGCTGAGGCAGGAAAATTGCTTGAACCAGCAGGCGGAGGTTGTAGTAAGCCAATATCATGCCATTGTTCTCCAGCCTGGGTGACAGAATTACTGTGTTTATCCAGTAGCACAGATGACAAAGAGTTGCCGTAAGATAAATTTGTAAATTTTTTTGATTTTTATTTTTTGAGATGGAGTCTCTCTCTTTGTTGCCCAGGCTGGAATGCAGTGGGCAAACTCAGCTCACTGCAACCTCCACCTCCCAGGTTCAAGCAATTCTCCTGCCTCAGCCTCCTGAGTAGCTGGGATTACAGGTACGTGACACCATGCCCAGCTAATTTTTGTATTTTTAGTAGAGACCAGGTTTTACCATATTGACAAGGATGGTCTCGATCTCCTGACCTCGTGATCCACCCGCCTCAGCCTCCCAAAGTGCTGGGATTACAGGTGTGAGCCACCGCACCCAGCCAAAATCTCTAAATCATATCTATTTGATATTGCAATATGGATTTGTTTCTAGGAGACTTACTCTTCTAATTTTGTTTGACTTTGGCTAATGTTAGAACTTGTTTACACTCACTCCCTTAGCATGTAGAGAGGTGATTCAAACTGGGAAAGCTCAACCTAGAATTTTATATTTTTGCAGATATTCCGCAGAATTTTGTATTCACATGGCAGTAATCAAGAGTTTACTGGCCGGGCGCAGTGGCTCATGCCTGTAATCCCAGCACTTTGGGAGGCCGAGGCGGGCGGATCACGAGGTCAGGAGATCAAGACCATCCTGGCTAACACGTTGACACCCCATCTCTACTAAAAATACAAAAAAATAGTCGGGCGTGGTGGTGGGCGCTTGTAATCCCAGCTACTCAAGAGGCTGAGGCAGGAGAATGGCGTGAACCCGGGAGACGGAGCTTGCAGTGAGCCGGGATCGCGCCACTGCACTCCAGCCTGGGCGACAGAGAGAGACTCTGTCTCAAAAAAAAAAAAAAAAAAGAAGTTTACCGTAACAATATGCAATCTTCTCTCTTCACCATTTACTGACAATCTCTACAGAGAAGAGGATCCCAAATTAAAGAAAAAACTTGAAAAATCCTGGAAAATATAGGGTAGTTTGATCATTTTATAGTTTTCATGCTGCCAATCAGAATCTTTTCTAAAAATTATTTGATAAAGATATTCAACAAAGGTTTAATAGATTAATCAAGTTTACTAGGCTGATTGCAGTGGCTCACGCCTGTAATCTCAGCACTTTGGGAGGCCAAGGTGGGAGGATCACTTGAGCTCAAGAGTTCGAGACCAGCCTGGGCGACATGGTGAAACTCTGTCTCTACTAAAAATACAAAAAAACAAAAACAAAAAAACCCAAAACTAACCAGGCATGCCTGTAGTCCCAGATACTTGGGGAATTGAGGTGAGAGGATAACTGCTACTTGGGGAGTTGAGGTGGGAGGATAACTTGAGCCTGGGATGTATAGGTTGCAGTGAGCTGAGATCCCACCACTGCACCCCAACCTGGGTGATAGAGCCAGACCCTGTCTACAAAAAAAAAAAAAAAAGTTTACTTGTTAGTCATCCTGGAGTTTTTGTATCTCAATGGGAGTCATAAGATTGAGTATCTATTTGTGGCATTTTGAGCATCAATAAATAATAAGAATGATATTTTAGGGAGCAGAACTTTTTGTGCACCCATGAATTAAACAGGATTCTATTGGTAACCTTTGGAAAAAGAGTTGAACTTCGAAAAAGAGGAAATAGAGGAAATGAATTTGAGTTTCATATTTACAAATTACTAATCACTACCTCTTGTTTTAGTTATCTTCTAGTTATCTATTATTGCTATTGTTTACTTATTAATAATTAATAAACAACCTTAAAAATGAGTAGTTTAAAACAACAACTATGCTTTATTTATTCAATATTCTTTTGCTGTTGTTGTTGTTTGTTTGAGACAGGGTCTTACTCTGTCACCCAGGCTGGAGTGCAGTGGGATGATCTTGGCTCATTGCAGCCTGGACCTCCATGGCTTAGTTGGTTCTCCTACCTCAGCCTCCCAAGTAACTGAGACTACAGGTATATGCCACGATGCCTGGCTAATTTTTTGTATTTTTTGTAGAGATGGATTTTTGCCATGTTGCCTACAGTGGTCTCAAACGCTTGTGCTCAAACGATCCGCCTGCCTCTGCCTCCCAAAGTGCTAGGATTACAGGTGTGAGCCACCACATCTGGCCTTACTCAAGATTCTTTTTTTTTTCTTTTTGAGATGGAGTTTCACTCGTGTTGCCCATGATGGAGTGCAGTGGTGCAGTCTCGGCTCACTGCAACCTCCGCCTCCCAGGTTCAAGCGATTCTCCTGCCTCAGCCTCCTGAGTAGCTGGGATTACAGGTGTGTGCCACCATGCCCGGCTAATTTTTGTATTTTTAGTAGAGACAGGGTTTCATCATCTTGATCAGGCTGGTCTCAAACTTCTGACCTCGTGATCTGGCCACCTTGGCCTCCCAGAGTGCTAGGATTATAGGTGTGAGCCATCACATCTGGCTGTACTCAAAATTCTTTAGGCCAGGCGTGATGGCTCACGCCTGTAATCCCAGCGCTTTGGGAAGCCGAGGCAGGTGGATCACCTGAGTTTGGGAGTTCGAGACCAGCCTGACCAACATGGAGAAACCCCCATCTCTACTAAAAAAAATACAAAATTAGCCAGGCATGGTTGTGCATGCCTGAAATCCCAGCTACTCAGGAGCCTGAGGCAGGAGAATCGCTTGAACTCAGGAGGCGGAGGTTGCGGTGAGCAAAGATCATGCCGTTGCACTCTAGCCTGGGCAACAAGAGCAAAATTCTGTCTCAAAAAAAAAAAAGAAAAAAAGAGAAAGATTCTTTAATTTGGCCAGAACATAGTGGAATAGCCTGTCTCTACTCCACATGGTGTTGGCTGGGCAGCTTGACAAAAGGCTGGAGGATCCAAGTCAACTTCACTTGCATGGCTGGGGCCTGCACTGGTTGGCTGGGACAGCTGGAGGATGTCTAGGCTCTCTCTCCCTTCATAATCTCTCATTTCCCAGGGCCTCTATCTACAATGAAAGATACATGGCCACTCTCTCCAATAGGGTAGTTAGACTTCTTTATATGAGAAATGGCTTCCCAAAGAGCAAAGCGGAAACTGCCAGGTCTCTTAAGGAATAGGCCCAGAACTGGCACAGTGTTATTTCCACTACATTCTATTGGTGAAAGCAAGTCATAAGACTAGCCCAGATTCAAGGGGAAAAGAAACAGACTCCACCTCCTGATGGGGGGAGTGTGGTGTGTGCACAGGGATGGGAGAAACTGTTGATGACTATTTTTCTACTTTTGCAGACAATTTACCACACCACTTAACCTCATAAAATTCAGTGTTTTTTGTTTTTGTTTTTGTTTTTTTTGTAAAAGTAACTCACTTTAGATCTATAGATAGAATATAAATATATAGACATATATCCCCTAACTCTAAGGTCCTGTACAAATATAAAAACCTACATTGCCTTAAAAGGTGTTGACCTGGAAGGTTCTCAAAACATATTAGCACAGTGGGCATCTAGAATTATTGGTGTTCTCTGGGTATTGATCATCTCTCCTAGTGCTAAGGAGAGCAGTAGTGACCCTGTTGGGTGGTTTTCTGGGACAGGATTTCTTAGTGGTATGAGTGGGAATGATTTCTGGTGGTTCCAAGTGAGTTTAAACTCTGGAGAAAATGCATTAGTTGCACTGGCCTACCTTTATCTTTAAACTGCAAATTAACTAGTTTGGAAAAGGGAAAGTGAAAAGGTTAAGAGAAGAGCAGAACAGCAGTCTGTAGCTATTCTTTTTTTTTTTTTTTTTTTTTTTAGACAGAGGCTTGCTCTGTCACTCAGGCTGAAGTACAATGGTGCAGTCTCAGCTCACTGCAATCTCTGCCTCCCAGGTTCAAGCATTTCTCCTGCCTCAGCCTCCTGAGTAGCTGGGATTACAGGCACGTGCCACCACACCCAGATAATTCCTGTAGTTTTACTAGAGACGGGGTTTCATCATGTTGGCCAGGGTGATCTCGATCTCCTGACCTCGTGATCCGCCCGCCTCGGCCTCCCACAGTGCTAGGATTACAGGCGTGAGCCACTGCACCTGGCTTGTAGTTATTCTTAACTCCTACTCCATCACCTATTCCCCAAGAAAGCATCAACCAAATTATTTCCTAATAGAAGTATGAATTTAAAGGCAGGGCGTGGTGGCTCACGCCTGTAATCCCAGCACTTTGGGAGGCCAAGGTGGGCAAACCACGAGGTCAGGAGATCAAGACCATCCTGGCCAACATGGTGAAACCCCATCTCTACTAAAAATACAAAAATTAGCTGGGCGTGGTGGCACGTGCCTGTAATCTCAGCTACTCCGGAGGCTGAGGCAGGAGAATCGCTTGAACCAGGGAGTCGGAGGTTGCAGTGGGCTGAGATCGTGCCACTGCACTCCAGCCTGGCTACAGAGCGAGACTCTGTCAAAAAAAAAAGAAGTATGAATTTAAACTACTAGCTGAGACTTATTTGAGGTATAATCAATTATTAAAACTGTCTTAAATACCCACTCTGTGCTCAGCACTGTGCCCACTCCTATGAGTGATGCCAGAGAAAGCCAAGTTAACTGACTTAATTTCCCTGTAGGAAATTCCAATCTAGTTGGGAGCAATCAGAGTTAAATAACATATATGAGACCGGGCATAGTGCCTCACCCCTGTAATCCCAGCACTTTGGGAGGCCGAAGTGGGTGGATCACCTGAGGTCAGGAGTTCAAGACCAGCCTGGCTAACATGGTGAAACCCCATCTCTACTAAAAATACAAAAATTAGCCAGGTGTGGTAGTGCACAGCTGTAGTCCCAGCTACTCAGGAGGCTGAGGCAGGAGAGTTGCTTGAGCCCGGGAGGCGGAGGTTGCAGTGAGCCAAGATCTCGCCACTTACTTCTAGCCTGGGCAATGGAGTGAGCTCTGTCTCAAAAAAAAAAAACAAAAACACGCACACACACAAACATATATGAGATGTTGCAAGGCATCATAGGGTAAATGCTAAATGAGTAGAACATTTAATAAGTGCTGAGAATTCAGAGGAGGGAATTTGTTTTGTTTAAGGTAGAAAATAGCATAAGCAAAACTAAAAGGAGCAGAATGACTATCACCTGTCATCACAGAACAAAAAGGGCACTAGTGAGATTTTGTTTGTTTGTTTGTTTTTGTTTTTTTTTGAGATGGAGTCTCACTCTGTCACCCAGGCTGGAGTGCAATGGCACGATCTCGGCTCACCACAACCTCTGCCTCCTGGGTTCAAGCAATTCTCCTGTTTCAGCCTCCCAGGTAGCTGGGATTACAGGTGTCCACCACAACGCCCGTCTAAGTTTTTGTATTTTTAGTAGAGACAAGGTTTCACCATGTTGGCCAGGCTGGTTTCGAACTCCTGACCTCAAGTAATCTGCCCACCTCAGCCTCCCAAAGTACTAGGATTACAGGCGTGAGCCACTGTGCCCGGTGCACTAGTGAGATTTGATCAGAAAAATGTGTGCTAGGAAGTTGTTCCAATTACTATTGCTACCTAACAACCCCAAATTTAGATATTTAAAAGAATAATGATTATTTTATTATTTCTGGTGATTTCTGTGACACAGGAGTTTGGGAAAGGCTGAGCTGGCTGGTTCTGACTCAGGATCTCTCATGAGGTCAGATGGTGGCTGCAACTGGAAATGGGGGTTGAAGAAGCTGGGGGCTGGCTGGGCACCTGTCACTCTCTTCACATGGTCTCAAGGCTTCTCTAGGTGATTGCTTTTATAGGTTAGTTTGGGCGTTCTCAGAGGGTAGGTATTTGGAGAGAGCCACTGTCACATGTCCCCAGGAAGCAGACTGAGATGTTGGGACATTTGTTGTTGAGTGATATTGGGACCATTACCTGTGGGAGGAAGAAGAAAGAAGCAGGATGAAGTAGAGAGAGAAACTGAATGGCAATGCCATCCTAACGAAGGCCTCAGCTGACCCCAACAGGGTGCTCTGGAGCTGGGATGACCCTTCTGAGTTTGTCTAAAACTGGGCAAAAGGGCAGGCTGGTCCTTTACACCTCTGTGTTAATCACTCGTTGGATTCAGGCTTCCCCAAAAGGAGGTATAACCTTGAGTGAGGTAATCTTGAGCCAGGCAATCCCCTAAAAGGGCTGACAGTTTAGGGTCATCTTCCAGTAGTACTCCCAGCAGCTACAGGAACAAGTTCCTCATTCCTGAAGGAAAAGCTGGGTGGTACATCACAGTGTCCACCACAGTTCTGACACCATCTATGGCTTTCCTTAGAGGGACTCAGCCATTTTGTATGGACCTGGCAGAGAGGAAGCTGGGGAATAAATGTCCAACCTCACTTTCCTCCTGACTTGATTTCCTATCAGGACCAAGTCCAGGAAGCCACAGGACTTCACGCAGTCCATATAGGTTCTGGGTTACAGAGCAGGGTGGAGAAGCGTGAAGAGTAGATCTAGAAGTGCAAACAAGATATTCAGCAGCAGTAGATGAGCTTGGATTTTGAATGTTAAAGGCATGTTGAATTTAATAATATCCTGAGGGGCCAGGCGTGGTGGCTCAAGCCTGTAATCCCAGCACTTTGGGAGGCCGAGGCGGGCGGATCACGAGATCAGGAGATCGAGATCATCCTGGCTAACACGGTGAAACCCCCCGTCTCTACTAAAAATACAAAAAATTAGCCGGGCTTGGTGGCGGGCGCCTGTAGTCCCAGCTACTCAGGAGGCTGAGGCAGGGGAATGGTGTGAACCTGGGAGGTGGAGCTTGCAGTGAGCTGAGATGGCGCCACTGCACTCCAGCCTGGGCGACAGAAGGAGATTCTGTCTCAAAAAAAAAAAAAAATGATAATAATAATAAATATCTTGAGGGAGCTTTCTTACTGGTGGATTAAAGGAGTTTCTGAATCACTCTCTCGCCTGCTCCACTTAACTTGTTTTTTTTGTTTTGTTTTTTGTTTGTTTTTTTTTGAGACAGAATCTTGCTTTGTTGCCCAGGCTGGAGTGCAATATCATGATCTTGGCTCACTGCAACCTCCACCTCTTGGGTTCAAGTGATTTTTGTGCCTCAGCCTCCCAGATAGCTGGGATTATAGGCATATGACACCAAGCCCGGCTAATTTTTGTATTTTTAGTAGAGATGGGGTTTCACCATGTTGGTCAAGCTGGTCTCAAACTCCTGGCCTCAAGTGGTTTGCCCACCTCAGCCTCCCAAAGTGCTGGGATTACAGGCGAGAGCCACCGTGCCCCACCTTAACTTGGTTACTTAACCTCACTTTTCATTTTGCCATTTAAACCCTACCTAATTACTTCAGCTTAAATAAAGAGTGATCTGATCTGGTACATGTGTTTGGCTTTGGCTTTTCTCCTGACTAAATTTCACTCTTTTTTTTTTTCTTTGAGACGGAGTCTCGCTCGTCTCCCAGGCTGGAGTGCAGTGGCGCGATCTCGGCTCACTGCAAGCTCCGCTTCCCGGGTTCACGCCATTCTCCTGCCTCAGCCTCCTGAGTAGCTGGGACTACAGGCGCCCGCTACCACGCCCGGCTAATTTTTTTGTATTTTTAGTAGAGACGGGGTTTCATCGTGTTAGCCAGGATGGTCTCGATCTCCTGACCTCATGATACACCCGCCTCAGCCTCCCAGAGTGCTGGGATTACAGGCGTGAGCCACCGTGCCCGGCCCTATGGCGTACTTTCTGCAGCCACTATTCAATGGTAAAATGAGTTCATGGCCTTTCTTCACATTGATTATTTCCAGGATACAATTTAATCCCAATCATCATCTTTTATTTGAAACCCTACCATTAATAATCTCTTCCATCTCTTCTTTGGCTTCCATACATTTTTTTCCTTCTCTACCTACTCCTCAGTTTCATTGAGGACTTTGGTAGACAGTCCCTCCCTCTTCTCTTTTCCCCTTCAACCATGTTTTGCTCTCCTTTGCCTGAGAATCTTATGTACATGCCCTATGGGATTTTATTTATTTATTTATTTATTTTGAGACAGAGTCTCACTTTGTCGCCCAGGTTGGAGTGCGGTGGCGCCATCTCGGCTCACTCTGTCGCTCAGGCTCATTGCAATCTCCCGCTCCTGGGTTTAAGCGATTCTAGCCGGGGTTACGGGCGCGCGCCACCGCGTCCCACTAATTTTTGTATGTTTAGTAGAGATGGGGTGTCACGATGTTGGCCAGGATGGTCTCGAACTCCTGACCTCAGGTGACCACCCGCCTTGGCCTCCCAAAGTGCTGGGATTACAGGCGTTAGCCACCGCGCCGGGTCAGCATTTACATTTTAAATGTAATCCTCTTTGAGGAGCAGTGTGTCTCTGAGTGGGGTGGAGTAGGGAAGGTGGAGTTGTGAGGAGTCTGTGTTGGAAAGCCAAAGATCTCTAACCTGAGAAACAGGAAAAATAGCAACCAGTTCTGGGAGGCATGGGACTAATTCCCCCACTTTCCACTTCCTTCCCCAAATCATTTGGAATTTATTTGGTTATTTATCCTGAGAATGGTGTAAGGGAATAAGAATGATATAATTTAAGCAAGAGCTAAGAAAAAAGTTAGACCGTCGAGACAAAATTTTAAAAGATAATTCTTTTTATTTTTGAGACAGGGTTTCGCTTTTGCTGTCTAGGCTGGAGTGCAATAGCACGATTTCGGTTCACCGCAACCTCCGCCTCCCGGGTTCAAGCAATTCTCCTGTTTCAGCCTCTGGAGTAGCTGGGATTACAGGCGCACGCCACCACACCCGGCTAATATTTTGTATTTTTTGTAGAGACGAGGTTTCACCATGTTAGTCAGGCTGGTCTCCAACTCCTGACCTCAGGTGATCCAACCGCCTTGGCCTTCCAAAGTGCTGGGATTACAGGTGGGAGCCACCACGCCCGGCCAAAAGATAATTCTTATCCCACTCTTTTGTATCCCATCCCACATAGACAGACTGTTTTTTTTTCCTTCTTCTGTTTTGAACATTAAATTTTAATCCCCTGAGGGGGTGCACTGTTCCTGGAGGTACTGCAATACCAGATCGATGCGTGAAGTGAACAAGCAAGCTCCTATTCCGTCTTCCTGCTCCCCAAATCCATTTAATATATTGGACTCGGATAGAAAATATATCAGATATTAAACTGTTAAGAACAGATCCTACACTTGATCTTAGCCAAAAGGCAGAGAAGCGATAAACACTTTTAAAAGCACACTTTACCTACAGATTTCCATGGAAACCAACCAAAGGGAAATTAGAGCGGCATCGCGGTGCCATTTCTATGCTAATTAATGTCTGATTTTCATTAGGACAGCGTCGTTTTTCCTCCAAGGTCTTAGTGTTTATTACAGCAACAATTAACTCAGTAACAATTCCTCCAGGATAGTTTTATTTAAATATTACTAACTTACATACTGCTTTCACCCAACTGCTTTCAAAATTGTTGTCTTTTATGGTGTTAACCTACCATCTTTAAAATCTCGGCTCTAGCTCTGCATCACGGAAGGTCAGTCTCTGTGAAGAGCCTGACCCCAGCAGGACAATGCCACGAAGGCATCTTTTTAATGTGATGCGCACGTTGCTGTACACCTTGGTTGCAAAGCAGAGGCTATGCTTTTAAAACGGCCAAGAGCCAGTGCGTGCCGTGTGGTGAATTCTCAGTATCGCAAGTTGGGCACGGAAGGATGCTTTCTCCCTCTTTAACACTAACAACAGAATAAAAAACCAAAAACTAAAAACCAAATCCAACAGACAACGAAACTGTCCGAGTGCCTAGGGAAAGCGCGCCAACTACATAAAGAAAAGTAGGGGGGGTACTGGGATTCAAAATCATTTCTCCGGGACGTACACCCTCCTGGACCTATCAAAATTAACTGCGCGCTTGATCGTAGCCAATAGGTACGGAATTTCTGGTCCAGGGCCTCCCTGAAGACTGATAGACCTTTACCTAGCCCAATGAAGTAATGTGACGCTGAAGAATCAACCAACACGTTTGGGAGGTGGGTGGAGTGTAGGCCAGGGGGTTGGCGGTGCCGTGTCATGGAGGCTCAGTCTCTGAGCAGCCATTGAAGGGGAAGGAACTGCGGGTGTGTGTGTGTATGTGTGTGTGTATGTGTGTGCGCGCGTGCGTGCGTGTGTGTGCGCGCGCTAGTGTGTGGACAAGGAGGTGGGGGCAGCTGAGTTAGAGTCCCAACTCTTGGACTCCATTTGCTATTCTCTTCTTTCTCCCCCACACCTATCTGGTGGTGGTAGTGGGCGTTTATATTTGCGTTCCTTTTCATTCATTTCTAAATCTCTTAAAAATTTTGGGTTGGGGGTATTGGGGAAGGCAGGAAAGGGAAAAGGAGAGTAGTAGCTGAAGAGCAAGAGGAGGACATGGAGATGAAGAAGAAGATTAACCTGGAGTTAAGGAACAGATCCCCGGAGGAGGTGAGATGACTCAGCCCCCACCGCTTCCCCATCAGTCCAGTATTCTGAGGATCGGATTTCTGGTGGTCCTGGGTGGGTGTGCGGGGATGGAGTAATAAGTTAGCCCCCATCCCCCCGGGTTAGGGTTGGGGAAATGTTTAATTTTAAGTTTTAAATCATTAAAATCTTCTACTTAAAATGGCGAAGGGTTGAAGTTTCTAGGGGCGTTTTTGTGTGTGCATGGGGGCTTAGCTCCTTTCGGCTTTCATCGAGTCGGGCGTCCTGACCTCGTGGGGGCGGGAAGCGGGCTGGTGGGGGCGCTCCGCCGCTTCGCTCCCGGCACTCCTCCTCCTGGGGGCCGGCGGCGTGGGCGCGACCCCCCAGTCCCACTCAGCCCCTGCCGCAGCCATAGGCGCCTGAGAAGTTAGTCCAACTTTTCTGCAGTGCGGCCAACTCATCTTTTTAGGGGGTGGGCTTCCCCGGCCTCGAGGCCCTGGGCGTCCGACGTCGCGACGGGCGCGGGCTGGGGTCGCTTGCAGGGTCCGCGCACTGTCTGCTCCGGCGGCGCCCACTCCTCCGGGAAGCCGCGCGCGCCGCCCTCTGCCCTTCGCCCGGCGGAATCTGGGTCAGCGGCGGGTTCTCCGACCGCGGGCGAGTTTGGGGACTCGTCGCAGTGACCGGAGGTGGAGAGGGGACGGGAGGCGTAATCCGCTTCTTCCCCCGCCGTGTAACGATATGTGGCACGTCGTGTGGCCGCAACTCTGAATTTGATCCCTGGAGACGGTTTCACAAAACTCAACATAAGGGACGTAGTAGTTTCGTGCTTTAAAGATGGGTTCGCCGAAACTAAATGATGCGCTCTCACTGCTGTCGCCTTAAAGAGACGGGGTTGGGAGGGGCCATGTGAGGCGGGGTCGCGGTCAACTTTTCGGGGGTCGGGTAGGAGGCGTTTCCGCCTCCTTTTCGCGGTTGCCTTCTCGGCCTCACCTACCCAGGGCGAAGGCGCGAGGACAACGCGGGTTGGGAGGCGACCCGTTTTTTCCTTGGGGAGTCCCCGCCCCGTGTGGGGTTTCCCGTCAGTCGGAGCGGCAGGTCGCGAGAGCAGGGCTGGTGGCCAGCGGGGAGCCTCGCAGAGGAAAGCATCAGTCTTGCTGAAATAAGCCTAGAATTGGAACGTAAGGGAGTTGTCTGTAGCTGAATCGACCGATCGATAGAAGGATATAACTGGGGTGGTGTCTGTGCAGATCGGCATAGAGGATGAGCAGGGTCTGTCTGGGCTTTCGCGTCCGGCGTGTGGAGTGGCAACTAAGATTTTTTTTTTTTTTTTAAGTGCCTGTTTTCTGAAATTGGCAGGGGCCAGGGAGAGGAAACAGTTGCTTGCTATCAGGGTCATCCCGGAGATAACTTGAAGTTTCTAGAGCTTATTCTTAGAGGCTTCAGGAAAAAAATAAAAAAACCAAAATCAAACTTTAAAAGCTGTCTCTCACAAGCACACGTTTAGAATACTTTTTGGTGGCTTGGGTTGGAAAATTGAATCCCGCCCCCGCCTCCCCCGCCAGGATTCTTTCACTTAGTGATTGTAGTAATTTCTTTGCCAGTTTTGGGGTGTGCAAGACGTTGCCTTTTTTCAACTTCTTCCGCTGTGTTGTAATAACGGTCTCTTATATTTGTATAGACAGTTTACAAAGCACTTTACCCGTTTGTTATTTACTTTCCTCCTTACGTACTTGTAAGGTGGATTGTGTTGTTCTAGAATCCAAATTAGCAGACAGTCTCAGGGCAGTGAAATGATTTACAGAAGTGGAGGAACTGGTTTTCTGACACCAAATCTAGTAGCCCCCACTCCTCAGCTAAACGGGGAGTCTGAAGACAGAACCAATTCACAGTCCTTCGGCAAACCAACTGTGACTCTAGGCAAGCCATTCTTCATCTCTGGGCCATAGTTTCCTCTTCTCCAAAACGGAGCTCAAGATGCTCTTTCTGGCCACAGAAATAATTATGTCAAAATCATATTCAAATAGAGAAGGTGGCATTCCTTGTTGCCAAATTTTAGCCCTCGGATACCTCAAACAGGTTTTCACATTGGGTATAGAGAACCAGGATCTTCAACCTTTCCCTTAAAGATTAAGTCCATTCAGGCCCACACCAGGAAGTTTGTTACTACAACTCTTACCTAATAGGGAATTCAGCCCCACTCCTTGAGGAATGGGGAAAAGTGCACAGAAATGCTATTATACCAGAGTGGTAGGGAGAAGTAACATTTTGTTAAGAATGTATTGTTCTGGGTGATACCGTTTGGCCTGGATGTGAGAACCAATAACACCCTCTGGGCTGTTCCCAGAAGAGCTTTCTAACGTTTCTTCATAAAGGGTAAGGAGGATTTTTTGAGTTATGATGGTTTTATCAACCAAAGAGAAGGAGGTTTAAACTGAAAAAGTGATTAAACAGTTTCTTCTCTTTGTAGGTTTTTTTTTTTTTTTTTTTTTTTTGAGATAGAGTCTCTATCTGTTGCCCAAGCTGGAGTGCAATGGTGCGGCCTCGGCTCACTGCAACCTCTGCTGCCCGGGTTCAAGTGATTCTCCTGCCTCAACTTCCCGAGTAGCTGGCATTACAGGTGCCCACCATCACGCCCGGCTGATTTTTGTATTTTTAGTAGGGACGGGGTTTCACTATGTTGGCCAGGCTTGTCTTGATCTCCTAACCTCAAGTGATCCACCTGCCTCAGCTTCCCAAAGTGCTGGGATTACAGGCGTGAGCCCCCGAGCCTGGCACTCTTTGTAGGTTTTAGGGCAGCTCACTTGAATCTTTTCCTGGTAGCTCAGGTACTCGCTCCTTGCATAAATATATTATCTGATGTTGAGGGTCCTCCTTATCAGGGTCAGAAACAGGTTTCACATGGGAACTTCTTCAAAGTTTGTTTCTTATGCATCAGTGATTTGAAGCAGGCATTGAACTTTAGTCCAAGTTTAAATTTAAAAAATGGCCAGGCAAGGTGGCTCATCCCTGTAATCCCAGCACTTTGGGAGGCTGAGGGGGGCGAATCACCTGAGGTCAGGAGTTCAAGACTAGCCTGGCCAACATGGCAAAACCCTGTCTCTACTAAAAATACAAAAAAATTAGCCGGGAGTGGTGGCATACGCCTGTAATCCCAGCTACTCCAGAGGCTGAGACAGGAGAATTGCTTGGACCCAGGAGGCAGAGGTTACAGTGAGCCGAGATCGTGCCATTGCACTCCAGCCTGGGTAACAGAGCAAGACTCCATCTACAAAAAAAAAAAAAGAAAAAAGAAATTTAAAAGATTACTTATAGTGATGACTTTAGATTGTATATCAGTTTTGGGGGGAAATGAAAAGGATCCGTGTAAGGGGATTGGTGGGGTTTCTGTTGTGTTGTTATTTTTTTTTTTTTTTGAGACGGAGTCTCCCTCTGTCGCCCAGGCTGGAGTGCAGTGGCGGGATCTCGGCTCACTGCAAGCTCCGCCTCCCGGGTTCACGCCATTCTCCTGCCTCAGCCTCCCAAGTAGCTGGGACTACAGGCGCCCGCCACTACGCCCGGCTAATTTTTTGTATTTTTAGTAGAGACGGGGTTTCACCGTTTTAGCCGGGATGGTCTCGATCTCCTGACCTCGTGATCCGCCCGCCTCGGCCTCCGAAAGTGCTGGGATTACAGGCGTGAGCCACCGCGCCCGGCCGTATTTTGTTTTAACTGACGGGCAATCAAACTGGAGATTGGTGGTTTTAATACATTTCCAGAGTGTCAAGACCCAGGTCTCTACCTAAACAGATTACAAACTAAAGAATCATTAATTAATGTTTTCCCTCTTACAGGTGACAGAGTTAGTCCTTGATAATTGCCTGTGTGTCAATGGGGAAATTGAAGGCCTGAATGATACTTTCAAAGAACTAGAATTTCTGAGTATGGCTAATGTGGAACTAAGTTCGCTGGCCCGGCTTCCCAGCTTAAATAAACTTCGAAAAGTAAGTTGGCATTTACGTGAAGCATCATGATTTCAATGCCACGGCTATATGTCTAGTGTTTGGCCAAATGGAATGACCATTCTGCTTGTTAATTAGAAGTTTTTAAGTTTCTAGAGATAAGAAAAAGTTATATAGGATTTTGAGAATAAGCTCTAATACTGCTTTTATAAATTTATTTATTTATTTATTTTTGAGACAGGGTCTTGCCAGGCTGGAGTGCCGTGGCAAGATCTTGGCTCATTGCAACCTCTGCCTCCCGAGCTCAAGCATCCTCCCACCTCAGCCTCCCGAGTAGCTGAGACTACAGGCATGCGCCACCACACCTGGCTAATTTTTGTATTTTTTGCAGAGATAGGGTTTCACCATGTTGTCCAGACTGGTTTCAAATTCCTGGGCTCCGGTCATCCTCCTGCCTCGGCCTCCCACAGTGCTGGGATTAAAGGAGTGAGCCTCTGTGCCCGGTCTAGAAATGTAAATCTAATAGTGGAATTGCCTTATAATATGAATTTGGATTTAATATATACCAAATATTTTTCTCTACATCATGAAATCCAAATGTAGTACAACTAGAATCCAAGCTGGGTTAAGAGCCCATTATGTAGGTGTTCTAATACATTATTTGGCAGATGTAGAAAGGAATTTGGAAATTAATGATCTGTCGTGATAGTTTCTTGAAGCCAGAGAGAATGACAGTTTTTTTTCTTCAAATTGATATACTTTAAAAATCTTTGATATGCCAGGCTCAGTGGTTCATGCCTGTAATCCCAGCACTTTGGGAGGCCGAGGCGGGTGGATCACCTGAGGTCAGGAGTTCGAGACCAGCCTGGCTAACATGGTGAAACCCCATCTGTACCAAAAATACAAAAGTTAGCTGGGTGTGGTGGTGGGCACCTGTAATCCCAGCTACTTGGGAGGCTGAGGCAGGAGAATTTGCTTGAACCCAGGAGGCGGAGGTTGCAGTGAGTGGAGATCGCACCACTGCACTCCAGCCTGGGCGACAGAGTGAGACTACATTTCAAAAAAAAAAAAAGTTTGATATGATACCTTTACCATTCTTTGTTTTTTCCTTTGTTGAATGTATAGTTGGAGCTTAGTGATAATATAATTTCTGGAGGCTTGGAAGTCCTGGCAGAGAAATGTCCAAATCTTACCTACCTCAATCTGAGTGGAAACAAAATAAAAGATCTCAGTACAGTAGAAGCTCTGGTAAGTGGAACAGTTTTGTCTCTGGACTTGCTTTTTTTGGTTAAATTTTCTGAGATTTGTTTGTGTCTATTAATTTCTATTTAACTCTTAAAACTTAAGAATTTTTTGTATGTTGTGATCTAGGCAGTTACTGCTTTTGTTTCTTTTAGACTAAAATATTCAGATGAATTTTTAAATCAATGAGAAATTTATTTTATCATCAACTTCAGGAGTTGACTATCTGGTTTTAACATTTCCAGTATTTTTTTTTAACCTTCTTTCATTCTTTTTCTTTGCTTCTTGATTATTTTTTGAGTTTTTTATTATTTGTCCCCTTCTTTCCTGGTTTGAGGGAAGGAAAAGAAAAACTGACATGCTGAAAATTATTGCTCTGATTTTGAAAAAAGATTGGAGGCTGGGCACAGTGGTTTATGTCTGTAATCCCAGCACTTGGAGAGGCAGAGGTGGGAGGATCGCTTGAGTCCAGGAGTTTGAGACCAACCTGGGCAACATAGTGAGACCCTGTCTCTACAAAAATAAAAAATAAAAAATAAAAATTAGCCAGGTGAGCTGGTTGTGCTTGATATAATAACCCTTCATTATAAAACTCGAAAAATACAAAAATCATTCTCAATTTCAAATATATATTTTCTGGATCATAAATTAAAAAGAAATGATGTGGTCGGGCACGGTGGCTTGCGCCTGTAATCCCAGCACTTTGGGAGGCCGAGGTGAGCCGATCATGAGGTCAGGAGATTGAGGCCATCCTGGCCAACATGGTAAAAGCCCGTCTCTACTAAAAATACAAAAATTAGGCCGGGCGCGGTGGCTCACGCCTGTAATCCTAGCACCTTGGGAGGCCGAGGCAGGCAGATCACCTGAGGTCAGGAGTTCGAGACCAGCCTGACCAATGTGGAGAAACCCTGTCTCTAATAAAAATACAAAATTAGCTGCGTGTGGAGGCGCATGCCTGTAATCCCAGCGACTCGGGAGGCTGAGGCAGGAGAATCGCTTGAACCCGGGAGGCGGAGGTGTGGTGAGCTGAGATCATGCCATTGCACTCCAGCCTGGGCAACAAGAGCAAAAAGTCCGTCTCAACAAAACAGAACAAAACAAAAACACAAAAATTAGCGGGGCATGGTGGTGCGCACCTGTAGTCCCAGCTACTCGGGAGGCTGAGGCAAGAGAATCGCTTGAACCCGGGAGGCGGAGGTTGCAGTGAGCAGAGATCGTGGCGCTGAATTCCAGCTGGCAACAGAGCTAGACTCCGTCTCAAAAAAAAAAAAAAAAAAAGAAAAAAGAAATAACATGGTATTTTAAATCTTGAATGTAAGTTTTAACTTTACTTTTCCAGCAAAATCTTAAAAATTTGAAAAGTCTTGACCTGTTTAACTGTGAGATCACAAACCTGGAAGATTATAGAGAAAGTATTTTTGAACTACTGCAGCAAATCACATACTTAGATGGATTTGATCAGGAGGATAATGAAGCGCCGGACTCTGAAGAGGAGGATGATGAGGGTAATCGTTCTTAATACTCATAAGTGTGTCATAATTATAGCCTCTGCTGTAGCTGTGCAAATTAGATTGGGCCTGGAAATTTAGGTGTGAAAAAAAAAATCCACAACAAGATATTAGTAAGACAAGAAAAAATTAAAAACCCATAGCTCTAGCCAGTATTTCTTCTTTCAGATTTCCCATAGTTTCAGGGAATTTAATGACTATTATAACATGAAGCTCTGTGAAATTTTATATCTGTAGAAAGTTGTACACCCAGTAAAAGTGGCAACCTCTTAAATAGTATTTTTTTAAAAAAGCAACCACTTATAATAGCCAGAAAGTAGAAACAACCCAAGTGTTTATCAACTGATGAACGGAATTTTTTTTTTTTTTTTATGTTGAGAGGGAGTTTTGCTCTTATTGCCCAGGCTAGAGTGCAGTGGCACAATCTCGGCTCACTGCAACCTCTGCCTTCTGGTTTCAAGCAGTTCTCCTGCCTCAGCCTCCCAAGTTGCTGGGATTACAGGTGCCCGCCACCACTCCCAGCTAATTTTTTTGTATTTTTAGTAGAGACGAGGTTTCACCATGTTGGTCAGGCTGGTCTCGAACTGCTGACCTCGTGATCCACCTGCCTCAGCCTCCTAAAGTGCTGGGATTACCAGCGTGAGCCACCACGCCCCGGCCCGATGAACAGATTTTAGAAATGTGGTTTATCTATACAGTGCAATATTATATCACCATTAATATGAATGAAGTAGTGATACATGCCACATGAATGAACCTTGAAAATGTTCTTCTACGTGAAAGAAGAGAGACACAAAAGACCATGTGTTGTTTGACTTCATTTATATGGAAAGTTCATGGGAAGCCGAGGCAGAATTGCTTGAACCTGGGAGGCGAAGGTTGCAGTGAGCTGAGATCGTGTCACTGCACTGTAGCCTGGGCGACAGAGTTAGACTCTGTCTCAAAAACAAAACAAAAAAGCAAACAAAAAACCATATATATATATATAATATATATATGGTTCAGAATAGGCAGAAACTTCAGGATAGGCAAATCCATTGAGACAGAAAGTAGATTATTGGTTGCTTGATGCTGGGGGAGACGAAAATGGGAGAGTGACTGCCTATGGGTATGGGATTTCTTTTTGAGGGATGAAAAATAATCTAGAAGTATATTGTGAGCATACAGTTTTAGGTAAGTGGATGACTAACAGATCAGATGACAGAATAGCTGTTAGTAATAGGATACTGCTCATTATTATTGAGTGAAAACTTCTTCATCGTAAAAAGAAATTTGATGGATAAATACTGTTATAAAATGATGAAATGATAGATAAGCAGGTTTATTTTTTATTTTAGATTAAGGGGGTACGTGTGCAAGTTTATTCCATGGGTGTATTGCATGATGCTGAGGTTTGGTCTTCTACTGATCCTCTCACCCAAATAGTGAACATAGTGCCTAATAGGTAGTTCTTCAGCCACCCTCCTTCCCCTCTTTTGAAGTTTCCAGTGTCTGTTCCCATCTTTATGTCCCTGTGTCCCCAGTGTTTAACTCCTGCTTGTAAGAGTGAGCATGCAGTATTTGGTTTTTTGTTTCTGCATTAATCCACTTAGGATGATGGTCCCCAGCTGCATCTATGTTGCTGCAAAGGACATGATTTCATTCTTTCTTTATGGCTGTGTAGTATTCCATCATGTGTATGTTCTACATTTTCTTTATCCAGTCCACCATTGATGGGCACCTAGGTTGGTTCCATGTCTTTGATATTGTGAATAGTGCTGTGGTGAACATACAAGTGCATGTGTCTTTTTGGTAGAATGATTTACTTTCCTTTGGGTATATACCCAGTAATGGGATTGCTGGGTCGAATGGTAGTTGTATTTTAGTTCTTTGAGAAATTTCCAAACTGCTTTTCATAGTGGCTGAACTAATTTACATTCCCACCAACAGTGTACAAGCATTCCCTTTTCTCTGCAGCCTCTCCAACATCTCACAAGCAAAGTTTTGAAGTGTTCACAAAGTAAAACAAACTTTAGTGCATGCAATATTTTCATGAGAATCTAGATATATATTGGATACCAGTATTTAGAAGCCATACTTCTCGCATTTGGTTTGTAGGAATAACTAGGAATGTTGTGAAACAGAAATCTTAAAAAAAAAAAAGTATCGCTGTGAGTTACTTTCCACCTATTGGCTTACAAGTTTGAAGTGATTGGGCAAGGGTAAAAAGCATCAACATCCTAGGAAGAAACATTTACCCAGTCATTTACTCATCTTTAAATGATTTTTTAAAGATGGCGATGAAGATGATGAAGAGGAAGAGGAAAATGAAGCTGGTCCACCGGAAGGATATGAGGAAGAGGAGGAGGAAGAGGAAGAGGAGGATGAGGATGAGGATGAAGATGAAGATGAAGCAGGTTCAGAGTTGGGAGAGGGAGAAGAGGAAGTGGGCCTCTCATACTTAATGAAAGAAGAAATTCAGGTGAATACACACTTCTTACCTGCACTGAAAATTAATTTCTAGGCATAGGAGTAAGTACTATATAAAGTGTGTTTTGTAGCAATCTGAGAGTTGTTTCTAAGTTGTGGGTGTGCATATGTCTATCCACCTGTCTTTTTTTTCATTGTCCTCCACCCCAAACTATATCCAGATAATCATAAACACCTATTGATTTTACCTCCCAGATAACTTTCAAATCTGTTACAGCCTCAATGGCATGGTATGGTGGAAACATTTTACAAATGTCTGTGAACCTCAATTTCTGCATTTATAAAACAGATTAGGCCGGGCATGGTGGCTCACACCTGTAATCCCAGTACTTTTGGAGGCTGAGGCAAGTGGATCATGAGGTCAGGAGTTCGAGACCAGCCTGACCAACATGAGTGGGGAAACCCCGTATCTACTAAAAATACAAAAATTAGCTGGGCATGATGGCACACACCTGTAGTCCCAGCTAATCGTGAGACTGAGGCTGAGAATCACTTGAACTCAGGAGGCGGAGATTGCAGTGAGCTGAGATCGTGCCTCTGCACTCCAGCCTGGGCAACGGAGCAAGACTCTGTCTCAAAAAAAAAAAAAAAACAGGTTATATCAACCTCATAGGATTAAGGATTTAACAAGGTAATCTATGTAAAGAATATAGTCCCTGGCACATTATAGGCACTCAAGAAAACTTAAGTTTCTTTCTCCTAATTATCTCTTGCTTATACTTTTGTAGTAGCTTTCTAAATAGTCTGTCTGAATACAGCATCACCACTTAGGAGTATTCTCCACAGTGCTGCCTGTTTAGTCTAATGCAAATGTGATTATACATCAGCCTTCTTGAAACCCTTTAATGTTTCCCTCTTGCCCCCAAGACATACAAGGCCTTTCATTTCTGGCCTTTGCTTCCTTCTGCTTTTTTTTTTTTTTTTTTTTTTTGTTACAGTCTCACTCTGTTGCCCAGGCTGGAGTGCAGTGGTGCGATCTTGACTCACTGCAACCTCTGCCTCCCAGGCTCAAGCAATCCTCTCACCTCAGCCTCCCAAGTAGCTGGGACTACAGGCACACTCCACCACGCCTGGTTAATTTTTGTATTTTTTTGTAGAGACAGGGTTTCACCATGTTGGCCAGGCTGGTCTTGAACTCCTGACCTCAAATTATCCGCCCACCTTGGCATCCCACAGTGCTGGGATTACAGGTGTGAGCCACTGTGCCCGGCCCCTGCTTTCTCCTCCAGCTTCATCTCCCTTGATTCCAAATTAAATGATCACACCAAACTATTTTACCTTTATGGCTGTGTATGAATATGTTGTTCACTCTATCTGAAATGAGCCTCTGATGAACTTTTTGTTTTTTGCTGAGTGAAGCTTGTGAAGTGCACTGATTTTATTTACAACTCCATGGAATTTTACATATGCATGTACTTGTGCAACCACCACCCAAATCATGCTTTGTGAATTCTTATCTTTACAAACCCAACTCTTCAGTTGCCTCATCATTGAAGCTCTCTATATTTTTTCTTAGGCAGTCACTCCTCCATCTGTTACCTCTGAATCGTGATCAGAATTCTATTGCCTACAGACACTTGTAAAATAATTTGGCCACTTCCTGCTAAGTGGTGAGCTCCTTAAGGGGAGTGCCACTCACCTTTGTATCTCAGCATCTAGTACACTGACTGGTACATGGTAGGCTCATGGGAAATGTCAGTTGACTAGAACAAGTTATCTACAGCCCCTGGGAGTTTAGGTTAGTTATTTTCTCCTAATGTTAAATTGAAGTTTATTTTAAAAACTCATAATTTAAAGTATTTTTTATTATTAAAAATAACATCTCTTATTTAGACTGGAAGTTGCTAATATTTGTTTCAATGAGTTTTGCATTGGTTAGATACATAATATAAACGATCAATGACACATATTTGCTGATGAAACTAGTATGGAAAAAATAGGATTTATATTCATTTGGGGTCTTGGCGAGTTAGGAGCTATATATAATGAAGAACAGAACTTTAAGTGTTCTTTTTTTTTCTTTTTTGAGACGGAGTTTCGTTCTTGTCGCCCAGGCTGGAGTGGGTGGTGCGATCTCGGTTCACTGCTACCTCTGCCTCTTGAGTGCAAGCGATTCTCCTGCCTCACTCTCCTGAGTAGCTGGGATTACAGGTGCCCACCACCACACCTGGCTAATTTTTTGTATTTTTAGTAGAGACAGGGTTTCACTGTGTTGGCCAGGCTGGTCTTGAACTCCTGACCTCAGGTGATCCATGCACCTCAGCCTCCCAAAGTGCTGGGATTACAGGTGAGCCGCTGCACCTGGCCCCACCTTTTCCTTTTTTAATGAACAAATTCTGCAACAAAAGCCACATTCAGTCTTCCCCTTTTTTTCTTGTCTCTCCTTCTTCAGTTTAGTCTGCAGTATTTCCTGATTTTCATTGTGTTCCTTTTTATGCTTTTTGCTATCTCATCTATTCCTTTCGCTCCTTATAGCTTACTGGTATTCTGGTATGGAGATGCTTTATTTCAACTGATTGTATAAGAATGATTTCTGATACAGGAATTAGGCAGTTGGCCGGGTGCAGTGGCTCACGCCTGTAATCTCACCATTTTGGGAGGCTGAGGCAGGCGGATCACTTGAGGTCGGGAGTTTGAGACCAGCCTGACCAACATGGAGAAACCCTGTCTCTACTATAAATACAAAATTAGCTGGGCGTGGTGGCGCATGCCTGTAATCCCAGCTAATCGGGAGGCCGAGGCAGGAGAATCGCTTGAACCCGGGAGGCGGAGTTTGCGGTGAGCCGAGATCACGCCATTGCACTTCAGCCTGGGCAACAAGAGCGAAACTCTGTCTCAAAAAAAAAAATAAATAAATAAAAAGGAAAGAGAAAAAAAAGACTACAGATTTAGTTTAGGTTTTTTTTTTTTTTTTTTTTGAGATGAAGCCTTGCTCTTTTCTGCCAGGCTGGAGTGCAATGGCGCTATCTCAGCTCACTGCAACCTCTGCCTCCGAGGTTCTTGCGATTCTCCTGCGTCAGCCTCCCGAGTAGCTGGGATTACAGGCGCCTGCCACCATGCCCGGCTAGTTTTTGTATTTTTAGTAGAGATAGGGTTTCACCATGTTGGCCATGCTGGTCTGGAACTCCTGACCTCAGGTCATCTGCCCGCCTTGGCCTCCCAAAGTACTGGGATTACAGGCGTGAGCCACCGCGCCCGGCCCTTTAGTTAGGTTTTAAAAAGGACCTTTATAAGAATGGCAGAGGTTGTCAAAACACAGAATAACCATAGTTTCTTTGCTCTTGTTGGAATATATTACAAGAAAGAGTGAAAAATCATATGGATTTTTCAATCTTCAAACTGAATATTTGAATTTCAAGGATGAAGAAGATGATGATGACTATGTTGAAGAAGGGGAAGAAGAGGAAGAAGAGGGTGAGTTACATTAGCCATAAACAAATTATAAAATTAAAGACATAGTCATTTTTTATACTTTATTTATTTGTATTTCATACACTTTAAAGAATGAGCCTATAATGCCAATTTTTACTGATCCCTTTGATTTTGCTTTATCATAGAGTGCCTTCAAAGTTATAAAAGTTTTTTTTTTAAGAGTAATTGTCTTAGGGCACTCATTAATTCATAACTCATAAACAGCTTATAACATTTATTTTAAAAACAAATGAAGAGATGAATGGAACCTTGAGCTCAATTTATTATTTTTATAGAGTCTCATTTTGGACAGAGTGAAGCCTTATCTTATAAGAGAGGAGCAGTTGAACTCCAGATAATTAATGCTCTTTTTAGATTTGTTTTCCAGGCCTTTAAAAATTTATATATATATATATTTTTGTTTGTTTGTTTGAAACAGGGTCTTACTTTGTTACCCAGGCGAGTACAGTGATGCAATCACAGCTCACTGCAGTCTCAATCTCCTTGGGCTCAGGTGATCCCCCCATCTCAGCCTCCCAAGTAGCTGGGACCACAGGCACACACCATCATGCCCAGCTAATTTCTGTATGTTTTTTTTTTAGAGATGGGGTTTCGCCATATTGCCCAGGCTTTGTTGAACTCTGGGTTCAAACGATCTGCCCACCCCACCCTCCCAAAGTGCTGGGATTGTAGATGTGAGCCACCATGGCCAACCAATATTTTTATTTTATTTTATTTTATTTTATTTTATTTATTTATTTATTTTTTTTGAGATGGAGTCTCGCTCTGTTGCCCAGGCTGGAGTACAGTGGCCCGATCTCAGTTCACTGCAAGCTCTGCCTCCCGGGTTCACGCCATTCTCCTGCCTCAGCCTCCCGAGTAGCTGGGACTATAGGCGCCGCCACCACGCCTGGCTAATTTTTTGTATTTTTAGTAGAGACGGGGTTTCACCGTGTTAGCAAGGTTGCTCTCGATCTCCTGACCTCGTGATCCGCCTGCCTCAGCCTCCCAAAGTGCTGGGATTATAGGCGTGAGCCACCGCACCCGGCCTATTTTATTTTATTTTATTTTATTTTATTTTATTTTATTTCATTTTATTGTTTTGAGACAGGGTCTCTGTCAGCAGTGAGTGCAGTGTGGCAATCATAGGTCACTGCAGCCTCGACCTCCCAGGCTTAAGCAATCCTCCCACCTCAGCCTCTTCCAAAGTAGCTGAGACTACAGGTGCCCACCACCACACCTTGCTAATTTTTGTATTTTTTGTATAGACGGGGTCTCACTGTTGCCCGGGCTGGTCTTGAACTCCTGGGCCCAACTGATCCTCTTGCCTTGGCAAAGTGCTAGGATTATAAATGTGAGCCACTGCACCCAGCCTCAAAATAATTTTTAAAATTTACTAACAATTGCATTGATGTCAAGCCCTTGGTTTCTTAATCTGTACTTCATGATATGGCCACAAGGGTGCATAGCAAACTGTAATTATGGATTTCTAAGCCTGTTAAGTCTGTTTTCAACCTTCTCAAATTTAAAGAAATTCAGAGAGGAAACTTGAAGTATAATTTCCTTCCTTCCTTCCTTCCTTCCCTCCCTCCCTCCCTCCCTCCCTTCCTCCCACTCTCCTTCCTTTCCTTCCCTCCCTCCCTCCCTCCCTCCCTTCCTCCCACTCTCCTTCCTTTCCTCCCTCCCTCCCTCCCTCCCTTCCTTCCTCTCTTCCTCTCTTCCTCTCTTAGCCTGCCCTCCCTCCCTCTTTTTGAGACAGTCTTGCTCTGTCGCCCAGACTGGAGTGCAGTGGTGCAATCTCGGCTCACTGCAGCCTCTGCCTCCTGGGTTCAAACAATTCTCCTGCCCCAGCCTCCCAGGTGGCTGGGACTACAGGCACCTGCCACCATACCCAGCTGATTTTTATATTTTTAGTAGAGATGGGGGGTTTACCCTATTGGCCAGGCTGGTCTCCAACTCCTGACCTTAAGTGATCCGCCTGGCTCGGCCTCCCAAGGTATTGGAATTACTGGCGTGAGCCACCTTACCTGGCCAATTTTCTTCTGCCATTAACGTTTTTTTTTTTTTTTTTTTGGAGACAAAGTTTTGCTCGGTTGCCCAGGCTGGAGTGCAGTGGCGCAATCTTGGCTCACTGGAACCTCTGCCTTCCAGGTTCATGGAATTCTTCCTTAGCCTCTGGAGTAGCTGGGATTACAGGCACCCGCCACCATGCCTGGCTAATTTTTTGTATTTTTAGTAGAGATGGGGTTTCACCTTGTTGGCCAGGCCTCAAGTGATCCATCCACCTCAGCCTCCCAAAGTGCTGGGATTACAGGTGTGAGCCACCGTGCTAGGCCTTGCCATTAACTTTTCACTAAGATTCAAAAATGTAACCAATCCTCATTTGTTAAAATTAAGCACTTTGCATTTTTCTTTCCACTCTTTAAGAAGAAGGAGGTCTTCGAGGGGAGAAGAGGAAACGAGATGCTGAAGACGATGGAGAGGAAGAAGATGACTAGATCATTCTAAGACCAGATTCTCTAATGTTTCTGGGTGTGCAATAGAGTGATCACATCTTTGTTTCTTCATGTACGATAGCTATCCCTACAGAAGATAATGTGTAACTTTTTATAGGAAAAGTGTGGTTTTACTATTTTTGCCTTATCATTCCAAATAAGAACTAGTCTGTTAATGATCATATTGTATGTAGAGAAAAATTTTCATTGACTCCCATTGTGGAATTCCCTAGCAATTTATTTAGACTTAATTTTTTAAATTCAAGCTTACTGTATTAGTCATTTTTAGCCCATAATTAAAACATGATCACTTTTACACAGGTGTAGTATGGTGCATTTCATTCCTTATTTATAAATTAACTGAAATTACAGTTTGCTATAATATAAAATGACAATAGTCTCTTGAGTGGTAAGTTGGTTATTTTTTTAGTAGGTGATCCAGGAATCTTTAGTTTGAAGGCAGTTACCTTTTTTTTTTTTTTTTTTTGACTAAGAGTGTTTGGTTGCTTTTTTGTCACAAGTAACTTGGAAAATAGAAGCAGAATAGTAAAGGTTCTATTCAGCAACATAGTTCATGGATTTTGTGGAGGTTCTATTCAGTAATATGGTTCATGGATTTAGTGGTGACTGATAAGATTTTATTTTTGAAGGAAAAATTGCTTATACTAAGTCCAGAGACATGCAGGTGAGCCCTTTTGTCAGGCTGCAAATCATGACATGCCGATGGTTGTTTATTTTGTTTTTAGGTGTGCATTCTTTTTCTTCTTAGCAATTCCTTTATGATCACCTTCCCTTCTTGTTTCACTCCCTCCCGCTCTCTCAAAAGGAACTTGGGAAACTTGTGAAACCCAGGAAAACCTTTAGTCTTATACCTCAACTACCTTTCAGTCCTGTCTGGGTTTTAAATAAGTGAAGTAGAAGAAATTGAGTATTTTCTGACATAAGAATATATTATCAATACAGTTTTATGCAGTAAGCTCTCCTTACCATAAATGTTTCTTGGTTGACAACATCTAAGACAATATTAGTGGGATGAAGAAAGAAAAGCAGGGGTGCTTTTGGAAGCAGTGTTAGTGTTCCTCAAAAGTCGGAACAATTGCCTGTTGATATATTAATAAGACATTAAAGTCAAATTTTAATGTTGGCCTCTCAAATGATTTGGATACCACTCTGCAAAGTATTTCTAACCTTTAATTCCCAGTTTTAAAACAGATATAATAATAGCATTTAATTGGAATATACTAGGCAGCTGGAAAAGTATTTGAAACTAAATTGACATTAAAATTAAGATTTGTTTTCAAGTGGATGTCCATTAAAAGTAGAAAAATATTTGGGATAAGTGAGTGTGTGTTTCCTTACATGGCTACTAAATAAAATATAATGAGTATACAAGTATATCTCCTCTTTTGCTATGGAGGCTCCATGTTCAAGGCAATGGCTTTTTAAATCTTGGCTATCTAAAATTTTTTCCCTTTGTTTTGAATATTTGTAAGTTTTTAAGAAGTTAGTGTCAGCAAATTAATTGAAGTTATGCTTCTATACTGGGACATATTTAAATACTGAGTATAGTACTGCTGCTACTGCTTCTACAATGTAAAATGTATGACTTGGTGTTTTAAAGTAAAAATTATGATGTTACTTGTGGAGAAACTAAAAATGTTGTACAACTGACCGAAAGAAAACCCTTGGGGATAAGTTTAGTGAGGGGATTGGAATCCCCAAAAAGATAACATTTTTCTTCTGCTTTTAAAAACTGAAATTCCCTGTTCTAGTTCCTAACAATTCTCATTACATACTATGCCAGATTACAAAATACTTATTTTTAAAATGAAATCTATATATTGACTTTCTTATCAATCATCTTACTGTGCAATCAAAATTAGAGTACTTTGGTTTGAAAACAACACTTAGAGCCTCCAGATAACTTTTAAGACTTATTTAGCTTTGTGGGTGGTATTTTCATGCAAATAAGTAAGGGTGGGTTTTATATTTTGTAGAAGTTTTCGGTCCTATTTTAATGCTCTTTGTATGGCAGTATGTATATATTGTGTTAAGTTCCTCAAGAATCTCCTTAAAAACTTTGAAGTTAATACTTTTGTGCAACTGTGTTTTGAATAAAGCCATGACAGTGTTAAAAACAAACAAAAAAATTTGCAGTACTCCTGATTATTCTTTTATTGTTTTTGACTGTTCCCTGTTTTTTTCTGTGACTGCTGTAACTTAAAGTTTTTGAAACTGAATTGCTTCAAATAAATTGAAGATTTGTTATAATGATTAGTTTCAGTGTATAGCATTCACTTTTTCAACAATACCATTAGCGGCTTTGAAGGTCTTTTTAAAAACTAACAGCTTGAAAGTTAACTGATTTAAATACTTGGATGTGATATAAGGCATTACAATTTATTTATTATTTTTTGAGATGGAATCTTGCTCTATCGCCATGCTGGAGTGCAATGGCGCCATCTCGACTCACTGCAACCTCTGCCTCCCGGGTTCAAGCGATTCCCCTGTCTTAGCCTCCTGAGTAGCTGGGACTACAGGCATGCACCACCATGCCTGGCTAATTTTTTGTATTTTAGTAGAGACAGGGTTTCACCATGTTGGCCAGGATGGTCTCGATCTCCTGACCTCATGATCTGCCTGCCTCAGCCTCCCAAAGTACTGGGATTACAGGCATGAGCCACTGCTCCCAGCTGGCATTACAATTTAATAGTTTTAACTCATCATCTTCTTTCTTAACTTTTTTTTTTTTTGAGACAGAATTTCGCTCTCATTGCCCAGGCTGGAGGGCAATGGCGCGATCTCGGCTCACCACAACCTCCACTTCCTGGGTTCAAGAGATTCTCCTGCCTCAGCCTCCCGAGTAGCTGGGATTACAGGCATGTGCCACCACGCCCAGCTAATTTTGTATTTTTAGTAGAGATGAGGTTTCGCCATGTTGGTCAGGCCGGTCTCGAACTCCCTGACCTCAGGTGATCCACCAGCCTCATTCTTCCAAAGTGTTGGGATTACGGGCGTGAGCCACCACACCCGGCCTTCTTTATTAACTTCTTGTCCAAAAGGCAGAAAAAAAATTTGTATTCTCTTAATTTTCCTTTTGGGGTTGCAAATTGAACCAGTACTTTCTGCAGTTTGATTTGAAGTAATAAGTTTATTACCTATACTTGTATTATCTGTGGTTTATTAAAGTGATTATAAGACTATTGTATATCAATAGTTTTTTCTAAAGTGAATCCAAAGTTCTCCAATTATACTGTATGTTTATCTTCTGAATCTTGATAATATAAATGGAAATATACATAATACTTAAATGTTTACTAGAGCAAAATCAAACTTGAAACAATAGTTTTTTTCTGCTCTCTTCTTTTTGGTTTCTCTACGGTAAGTGATTTTTAAAATGTTTCATATGTAGACAACTGGAATTTTATATTCAAGGCACAAGTATAATTAGTAATGTTTTCATGATTGCTTTACAGTTTAATATTGAAAAGGTATTTTAATTATTGAACTCTGCTTCCTGAGAGATGGAAAATATTGAAGTATTTTCAACTAAAGGTATTATTTACTGAAATTAATATAATTTTTTGCAGGTATTATCTTTAAAAAATTCAAAGCCTTTCACCTCTTGGTTACAGAAAGTGGTGGAACCACACAAAGTTTTTGATGAAGTTGTTAGATAATGAAGCAATTCAGTGAGAGATTGTGACTGAAGACACCTTTAAGTATAGTTTTTTCTATATTTTAAAGAGAGGCTTTGGAATGTGACATGCTTTCAGTTGCTGAAAATTTCCCCTCTCTTGTTTCTAGTACTGGATGCAGTGATATTCTGCAGCTGTTGCTTAACTATAGAATTCTACTACTGCATGCCTTTTTCATGTACTAATTCAGCCTAAGATTTGAGAACCTGGCATGGGTACTTCCGCCTGAGGTAGTTACTTGTGTTACTAACCCTAACTTGAAGGAGAATGGTTACACCACAAAATGGAAATTACAAAATGAGTTGATCTCCAAGAAAATTGCTTTTTTTTTTTTTTGAGACTAGTCTCGCTCTGTCACCCATGCTGGAGTGCAGTGGCACGATCTTGGCTCACTGCAACCTCTGCCTCCAGGGTTTAAGGGATTCTCTTGCCTCAGCCTCCTGAGTAGCTGGGATTACAGGCACGCGCCACCATGCCTCGCCCAGCTTTTTTTTTTTGTATTTTTAGTAGAGATGGGGTTTCACCGTGTTGCCTAGGCTGGTCTCGAACTCCTTTCCTGAAGAGACCTGCCCGTCTCGGCCTCCTAAAAGTGCTGGGATTATGGGCGTGAGCCACCGCACCCAACCAAAAATACTTTATTTCATACAAATCTAGTCACATTTTTGGGTAGTAAGACCCTGAAGTAAGGTTATCCCATAATACTCTGGGGCCGGGTGTGGTGGCTTACGCCTGTAATCCCAGCCCTTTGGGAGCCTGAGGCGGGCAAATCACCTGAGGTTAGGAGTTCCAGACCAGCCTGGCCAACATGGCGAAACCTCATCTCTACCAAAAATACAAAAATTAGCCAGGTGTGGTGGGGCTCACCTGTAATCCCAGCTACTCCGGAGGCTGAGGCAGGAGAATCATTTGAACCCAGTAGGCAGAGGTTGCAGTGAGCCAAGACTGTGCCACTGTACTCCAGCCGGGGCAACAGAGCAAGACTCCATCTTAAATAAATAAATAAATAAATACTCCAAAACTCGGATTAATAATCAGAAGCAGGTATAACCTTTTCTAACTTCACGAATATTTACAAATAATTCAAATTTTTGTTTGGACTTGATCCCTTATAATATGGACACATCCATGTTGATGGTTAATACTGACACAAGCCACCAAATAGGCACACAGCTCTGGTGAAAACTACCTGTTCTAGCTTCAAGAAGTAACTTCGACACTGTAAACACTTGCCTACTTTCTCTGACTTCCCTATTATCTTTTTTTTTTTTAGACAGAGTTTGACTCTTGTTGCCCAGGCTGGAGTGCAATGGCATGATCTCGGCTCACTGCAACCTCTGCCTCTCGGGTTCAAGCGATTCTCCTGCCTCAGCCTCCCGAGTGGCTGGGATTACAGGCGCCCGCCACCACACCCAGCTAATTTTTTGTATTTTTAGTAGAGACGGGGTTTCACTATGTTGACCAGGCTGGTCTCGAACTCCTGACCTCAGGTGATCCACCCACCTTGGCCTCCCAAAGTGCTGGGATTACAGGCGTGAGCCACCACGACTGGACTCCTATTATCTTTAAAAAACCTTTTTTTTAAAAATATGGCAGTATATTGATGATTTTTCTATTAAATAAACTGCACCATCTTGCCGATGGTGAAGGCTACGATCTGTTTTCCGCTTTAGTTGTGACTTTTCCTGGCTAGAGTCACTCCCCGGAATTAGCTCAAAGGGGTTACAGGGTTTCTCCACTTGGAGGGATTTTCTCCCAGAGTCCATTTCTCTTGGCACTGAGTAGACACCAACAGTGTAGTCAGTGGCTTTCAAAGCCATTTATATAGAGAGCTGTGACTGAGGAATTCTGGGGGTCCGTAGAAGAATCTGTAAGTGTAATGGAAGGAACTGCAGTTGAAACTACTAAATTATCAATGACAGCAACACCAGAGGAACCCAAGGGAAGCAGCAGTCACTATCACTGCAAGTCTGCAGCGAAGCTCCTGTGAGTCCAGCGCTTTGAGCTGTGTTGCACTCTGCTCCACCACCGGCCACTTTTCTGAGAATATGCTGAGTTAAAAACAAACCAATTTTTGTAGTGTGGAGGATTTATTATCTGTGGGGAATTAGTTAAATCTTTCTGAAAAGGATTACGGGTGAGAAATTTTTTCAGTAAATTGGATACTTTTACCAACACTTTTTTTTTTTTTTTTTTTGGAGACAGATTCTCACTCTGTCGCCCAGGCTGGAGTGCAGTGGCACGATCTCGGCTCACTGCAACCTCCGCCTCCCGGGTTCAAGCGATTCTCCTGCCTCAGCCTCCTGAGTAGCTGGGATTACAGGCGCGTGCCACCACGCCCAGCTAATTTTTGTATTTTTAGTAGAGACAGGATTTCACCATGTTGGTCAGGCTGGTCTCGAACTCCTGACATTGTGATCCGCCCGCCTCAGCCTCCCAAAGTGATAGGATTACAGGGGTGAGCCACTGCGCCCGGCCTGTCAACACGTATTTTTACCAAGCCATGTATATTGGGGTATGTGACATGAACCACTGCTAAGCTTCCTGGGCTGTAGCAGTCAGTACGTGAAGGATTAGAGCTCTAGAACTCAGCCTCATCCATTTTGCTTTTCCCCCAATTCCCTTTATTTCAGGGAAATGAGGAAAGTACTCCAGTTTTAAGATTAAATTTCTCTAAGCCCTGTTTCCCCGTCACACTCCACTGGGTTGGACCAACCACATATTATCTCAGCATCACTACTTCAGATTTTTGATAGGCTTGAATAGACAGATTGGGAGATTTTAAATGCTTAAACTGACAAAGTGACCTTTGGGGGTACGTGTTGAGGTACGTATCTGTCATAGTCCTAGGGGACACTTGCTTCTTTAAATTTTTCATCTTTATTTCTCCAATCCTCAACCCCCTGATATAGATAAAACTTTCTCTCTCTTTTTGTGGGGAGTGCTATTTTTACAACAGGGCGCCCTCCAGCGATTCTGGAATCTCAAGCAATAGAACAGAATTCGAGCGTCTTGGGGAGACAGCAATGTTATTTTAGTTGATGAAGGAAAAAAATAAAAAGTGCTGATCACTTTAGAGTGTGTCCCTAATGTAATTCCTGGAACACAGGGAAAAACTTCTGCCAAGGCAAATTTTTAGATTCGAGAGCAGAGTCGAAAAGCCAGAAGCAAAAGAGGAGGTCAAGACTCGGAAAGGACCCGGGCAACCCGAATTGCTCTACAGGGCGCTCTACGAAACCGTCTCGGATTGGGCCAGAAATGCCGCAACCCCAGTCACGTGGTCCCGCACCGCCCTTCCCCTCTAGATAAACTAGGGCTGGCGCGCACCCGCCAAAACGGTCAGAGACCTGCGCATGCGCGGGGGCGCAGGCGGCCTGCTGAAAGCGTTTTGGATCCTACTTCCGCTTTGCTTCCTCTGGGCAGGTCCAGGTTACTTGGACTGAAACTCGTGGGTCAGATTCTTAGGACCTTCCTTTTCTTTACTGTCTTCCATTTTGCAATCCTTACTTAACGATTAACAAAGCTTTTGTTTTCTTAATTTTTTTTTTTTAATACACATGGAGTCTTGTCCTGTTGCCCAGGTTGGTCTCGAATTCTTGGGCTCAAGCGATCCTCCTGCCTCGGCCTCCCAAAATGCTGGGGTTCGAGGCGTGAGCCACCGTGCCTGGCCTTATTTTCTTTCTAATTTTATTTCAAACATTGCATTATTCTAAACCCCACGTTGACGAATGTCATCCACCTGCTCAGCAGCTATAAATGGTGGAGTTAGGTATGTTTTCAATCTCTCTAAGGTGGAAATGAGGGCTGATCATGAGTGTGGTTTATCAAGTGCTGCGTTTGCAGCTGAGGCCACTTTCGCTTCTGTCACTTGTTTGTGCACAGTCTGGTTCAAGTTTGCACTTAGGTGACCTTTGCTTAAGTGAATTTCTCTTCTTGTCCCCAGGGGCTAACCTACTATTCCACGTTGTTCCTACTCCTATTTTTCTTCTATTTTATTTTATTATTTATTTATTTATTTATTTTTTTGAGACAGAGTCTTGCTCTGTCGCCCAGGCTGGAGCACAGTGGCACGATCTCGGCTCACTGCAAGCTCTGCCTCCCAGGTTCACGCCATTCTCCTGCCTCGAGTAGCTGGGACTATAGGCGCCCGCCACCACGCCTGGCTAATATTTTGTATGTTAAGTGGAGATAGGATTTCACCGTGTTAGCCAGGATGGTCTCGATCTCCTGACCTCGTGATCTGCCCTCCTCGGCCTCCCAAAGTGCTGGGATTACAGGCGTGAGCCACCGCGCCCGGCCTTTTCTTCTATTTTAAAGCCAGAATTGCTGAATTGAACGGTCAAGTTGGTACCTAAGAACGAATCAATTCTGGAAAATATTGGAGCAACCAGCTACCCAGAGGGAAACCGTTGAAAAATGACATGTAGCCCACATGTAAAGTGATTAAGAGCTTTAAGGTATAAGATGTAGGATCCTTTTCCTCTCTCTCCGAAGGAAAGAATGGGTCCATTGAGGGACATTTTGTAGAGGTCACTGTGTGAGATTATTAACATTTTTCTTCTTTTAATTAGGACAACTAAATTATAGTTTGTTAGAAGTGTCTTAAACTATTGAAGAAAAACTGTCATCAAATTATACTTTTTTTGTGTGTGTGACAGAGTCTCGCTCTGTTGCCAGGCTGGAGTGCAGTAGCACGATTTCGGCTCATTGCAACCTCCGCCTCCTGAGTTCAAGCGATTCTCCTGCCTCAGCCTCCAGAGTAGCTGGGACTACAGGCGCGCGCCAACACATGGTGAAACCCCATCTCTATTAAACATACAAAAATTATACGTTTTATTGGCATCAGTCACTTTTCAGAGAATATTTGCTTCACTTTTTCTTGTGCAACCAAAAGATGTCTTTGATCCTATGGAAGGAGAAGAGAATAATTAAATTTGAAATCTTGTATACACAATTTTTATTAAAATGTCAAAGGACAGTTACATGTTTCTATAGAATTAGCATATGTATATATATACGCTCTATCTATCTATCTATCTATCTATCTATCTATCTATCTATCTATCTATCTAGAGAGACAGGGTCTGTTACCCAGGGTGGAGTGCAGTGGCTATTCACAAGCACGATCCTGCTACTGATCCGCACGGGAGTTTTGACCTGCTCTATTTCTGACCTTGGCCAGTTTACCCCTCCCCTTAGGCAACCTCGTGGTCCCCTGTTCCTGGGAGGTCACCATATTGGTGCCGAACTTAGTGCGGACACGCGATCGGTATAGCACACTACAGCCCAGAACTCCTGGGCTCAAGCCGTCTCCTGCCTCAGCCTCCCAAGTAGCTGGGACTACAGGCACGGGACACCGCGCCTGGCAAAGTTAACAAATATTTAACTGCAGTAAAACTAATGTCAGTAGTTTCTCAGGCATTTTCATTGGCTTTTACAAAGTCACAAAATTGGGTAAAATGAGGGCCATTTACTTTATTTAAAAAAAAGAGGCCGAGCGCTGTGGCTCACGCCTGTAATCCCAACACTTTGGGACGCCGAGGCAGGTGGATCACAAGGTCAGGAGTTGGAGAGCAGCCTGGCCAATATGGTGAAACCTCGTCTCTACTAAAAAATACAAAAATTAGCCGGGCATGGTGGCACGTGCCTGTAATCCCAGCTACTCAGGAGGCTGAGGCAGGAGAATCGCTTGAACCTGGGAGGTGGAGCTTGCAGTGAGCCAAGATCGCGCCACTGCACTCTGGCCTGGGCAACAGAGTGAGACTCTGTCTCAAAAAAAGAAAAAAAAAAAAAAAAGAGATGAGAATATTCTTGGATTTTAAGAAGCCAAGATTTTCTAGTGGGTAATAGCATTTCTCAGAAAAGACTTTTTCTTTTAACAGACTAAATATTTAGGAAAACTTTTTTTCTTATATTGAGGGATTGTATTTTCAGCATTGTTTCGATGTTGCCGCAATATTTTAAAAAATACTTATTAGCAGGTGGAGATGATGTGAATTTGTTGTTTACAACCCGTAGGATATTGAAGAGCTACCTGCTGAGAGAGGAGCTGCTACCATCTGGTCTCTGCTATGAGGCCAAAGCACTACATTGGTCCCATGATAAACCTACTTTTCTTTTTGTGTCATTTATTTTCCTTTCCACTGCTATTCTATATCAGCCTTGAGGTTGCTATTGGAGTTGAGGGACAAATAAGAGGTCATATAATGTAGGCCATCGCATAATGATGAAACATCAATTCTGTGGTCTGTCTCTAAGGCTCTGTCCTTGATAATAAAATACAGTGTGCTGTAATGGTTATCAAGTTTCCACTCCATATTATTAGGTTATTAGCTATTAATTAGATATCACTTGCCATTTTTACTTTACATGACTGTAAATAACTGCTGTCTTTCAGATCTTCATGTACTCAATCTTTACAAGCGGTTTGCAATTAACATATTAAGAAAAAAACCATGGAGAATTATGTGCAAATCCTTTTCAAGGCAAGCAGTCTTACAGCTATGATCAAAGGCATAAAATGTAGAATATTTAACAAACTTTTAAAATCCTTTGTTTAAGGAACATAAGTGATAGGAAAACAAATATGAATGATACCAACTCTATCCCTTGAAAAACA
Source organism: Homo sapiens (assembly GCF_000001405.40). Lineage (NCBI taxonomy): Eukaryota > Metazoa > Chordata > Mammalia > Primates > Hominidae > Homo > Homo sapiens. Next base: position 150,210,379 of record NC_000001.11, on the reverse strand, counting down.
GCCTAAACCCAAGATTATAAACCAAGAGCGAAATTGCAGGCAGAGAAATGGCTGAGCTGACAGCTTGTGCCCAGAAAGCTCAGAAGATGCCAAAACTTTGATTTGCTCACTTCAGTGAAGGCGTGATCCTTCATTTTGCAGGGCTATAGAAGGAGATGTATTTGAGTTTGTAAATACAAAATCGATCAATATGTGAGGGACAGACTTGTGCCGTGAAAATTCACCAAAGTCAGATTTCTAAATCAAGTTGTCAATTTATTAATTTACAGGGAGAATGTATATTTACATTGTTTATGGTATTATTGTTCAGTGTTCTAAATTGGCGCTCTTTAATAGACATATAATTCTGTCAAAAATGCAAGTTGGTGGAGTGCGGTGGCTCTCACCTATAATCCCAGCACTTTGGGAGGCCAAGGCGGGTGGATCACCTGAGGTCAGGAGTTGGAGACCAGCCTGGCCAACATGGTGAAACCCTGTCTCTACTAAAAACACAAAAATTAGCCAGGCATGGTGGTGGGTGTCTGTAATCCCAGTTACTCGGGAGGCTGAGGTAGGAGAATTGTTTGTGCCTGGGAGGCAGAGGCTGCAGTAAGCCAAGATCGAGCCACTCTACTCCAGCCTGGGTGACAGAATGAGACTCTGTCTCAAGAAATAAATAAATAAATAAAATAAAAATGCAAGTCACAGATGTATTTAGAATTTTCTAGTAGACATATTTAAAAAACTAAAAAGAAACAGGTAAAATTAATTTTAATGTATTTTAATTAACCCAACATATTCAAAATATTATACTTTCTACATGTAATCAATGTAAAAAATCATTAGTAAGATGTTTTGTATTTTTTTCATGCAAAGTCTTCCAAATCTGGGATGGATTTTATGCTTACAGCAAATCTCAATTCAGATAGCCACTTTTCTTTCTTTCTTTTTTTTTTTAACAGAGTTTTATTTTTATTTAGTTACTTTCTTCTTCTTTTTTTTCTTTTTATAAAGATAGGATCTCACCATGTTGCCCAGGCTGGTCTCAAACTCCTGGGCTCAAGTGATCCTCCCTCCTTGGCCTCCCAAAGTGCCTGGATTAGCCACATTTCAAGTGCAGTAGTCATGTTGCTAGGTGAAGGTCTCGTGTATCCCTTCTAGGAAAGGTAACTGAGAGGCCAAGTGCACAATCAGAATCCTCTCAGGTGAGCATAGAAGTGGAGGAGAGGGTGCTAGAGGGATATTTTATGTGTTTGACAAGTATGAGGAACCTACCCTGATCCACACTATTCTTTCTAGAGGTTTTAGTATTTGTTGTGTTCAGTTTGTCTGACTTTGGCAGCAGTACGCTCAGCACTATTAGACTAATGCTGCCAAATTCTTGCTTCCTTTGATTCTATGTAAATTACTTTATTCTATTAACATACTTTCTATTTTTCTTTCTTTCCTTTTTTTTTTTTTGAGACAGAGTCTCGCTCTGTTGCCCAGGCTGGAGTGCAGTGGTGTGATCTCGGCTCACTGCAACCTCCGCCTCTCAGGGTCAAGCAATTTTTGTGCCTCAGCCACCCGGGTAGCTGGGATTCCACCACCCTGGCTAATGTTTATATTTTTAGTAGAGGTGGGGTTTTGCCATGTTGGCCAGGCTGGTCACAAACTCCTGGCCTCAAGTGATCCGCCCACCTTGGCCTCCCAAAGTGCTGGGATTGCAGGTGTGAGCCACCGTGCCCGGCCACAGTTTTTAAATATAATAATTATACGAATCATTTTTTATATTAGATGATAATATTTCTCCTTTTTGTCTTTTTAAAATTTTTTAAATTTTATTTATTTATTTATTTATTTATTTATTGAGATGGAGTCTTGCTCTGTCACCCAGGCTGGACTGCAGTGGTGTGATCTCAGCTCACTGCAACCTCCGCCTCCTGGGTTCAAGCAATTCTCCTGCCTCAGCCTCCTGAGTAGCTGGGAATACAGGCATGCACCACCACGCTGGGATAATTTTTGTATTTTTAGTACAGATGAGGTTTCACCATGTTGGTCAGGCTGGTCTCAAACTCCTGACCTTGCTAACTGCCCGTCTTGGCCTCCCAAAGTGCTGGGATTGCAGGTGTGAGCCACTGCGCCCGGCCACTTTATTTATTTATTGAGACGGAATTCACTCTTGTTGCCTAGGCTGGAGTGCAGTGGCGTGATCTCGGCTCACTGCAACCTCTGCCTCCCGGGTTCAAGTGACTCTTCTGCCTCAGCCTCCCGAGTAGCTGGGATTACAGGCGCCCACCACCACGCCTGGCTAATTTTTGTATTTTTAGTAGAGATGGGATTTCACTGTGTTGGCCAGGCTGGTCTTGAGCTCCTGCATGCACCTGTAGTCCCAGCTACTTGGGAGGCTGAGGCAGGAGAATCACTTGAACTGGGGAGGCAGAGGTTACAGTGAGTTGAGATGGCACCACTGCACTCCTGGGTGACAGAGTGAGACTCTGTCTTTAAAAGAAAAAAGACCTACCAAATGAGAGAAGCAACGGCTGTTTATTCTGAGCTTGCTTTAGCAAGGGAGTCAGCTACCAGCACTGGCATTTGGGCAGAGACCCAAAGGCAGGCAGAGAAATGGGAAAGCTTTATAGAGGAAAAAAGCCCTGATTGGAAGCTGTTGGCATGAGGAAGCTGTAGGTGAGCTAACCAGAAGTGGGGCGTCTTATGTGATTGGTTAGTGGTGCATATTTGGCTTTCCTTGGTTGGTCCTATGCTGGAAATGGGGACTACAATTCTGGACGCCGTCAGTTATCGATCAAGTCCTGGCCATTTTAGGCCAATTGTTACAGAAGTTATTTTTTAGCTTCTTGGATTGTCACTAGAGATAGCAAACTGGCTTCCTCTAAGTCTGACTTATAGCAGGCTGGCTTCCTGAGTTGTTTATTTTAGATAAAGGGTTGATCTCCTGGGCAAGGTGTTGCACATCATGGGTCAAAGTTCAATTTTTCATATGATCTTGCCATTGTCCATTTGTTATTCAGTCTCTCAGCCTCTATAATTTGACGTTGTTATAGAAGTTCCGACAAATACAATAAGATAGTAAATAAATAAGTGGCTTAAATTCTGGGAGAAAAGCAGATGATGGAATCTTTGTGCTCAACTAAACTATTTGAATTAATGAAGTTGTTCAGAAAAAAAACACTCTAGACCAGGTGCAGGGGCTCATGCCAGGTGCTGTTTTCTGTAATCCCAGCACTTTGGGAGGCCGAGGCAGGCAGATCACTTGAGGCCAGGAGTTAGAGACCAGCTTGGCCAACATGGGGAAAACCCATCTCTACTATAATAAAAATACAAAAATTAGCTTGGCGTGATGGCGGGTGCCTGTAATCCCATCTACTTGGGAGGCTGAGGAAGGAGAATCATTTGAATTCGGGAGGCAGAGGTTGTAGTGAGCCAAGATCGCATCACTGCACTTGAGCCTGGGTGACAGGGCAAGGCTCTGTCTCAAAAAACAAAACAAAACAAAGCACTCTAATATTCTGGCAATAATTAGGTAAAGAACGTAGAGAAAAAAAGATCCCATGCACCATATCAACAAATACAATTCATAGGCATAGTCTTACTGAGGACTTGTTTGAGCTATATAATACAAACTATCAAACTATTACTAGAGAGAAAAAATTAGAAACACCCTTTAATAGAAACACTCTTAATTTTTCACCAGTGAGTAAAAGGAGAGGCATGCTAAGTTTTAGATGAAAAGGCTAAACATTGTGAAGATTTTAGCCTGTCCTCAATCAATTTAAAAATTCAACGCAGTTCCCATCTAAATTCCCACTGGATTTTTTTTATAGGGAGGAAACCATGAAAAAAAATTTTTTTTTTGAGATGGAGTCTCACTCTGTTGCCCAAGCTGGAGTGCGGTGGCGTGATCTTAGCTCACTGAAATCTCTGCCTCCCGGGTTCAGGCAATTATCCTGCCTCAGCCTCCTGAGTAGCTGGGACTACAGGCACGTGCCACCACACCCGGCTAATGGAAATTTTCTAAAGGTTATCTAAAAGAGTAAACAAAAAAGTACAAGACAAATTTACTTATTTAATAAATATTTATTGATTTCCATGTCCAAGACCTAAGGATATATAATATTGTTTCCTCACCCATTGGTTCATGGCTGAGGCCACATAACAAAAGACAGTTTAACAAGAGAAATGCAAACAAAAAAAATTTTTTTTTAACAACACGGCTGTTTACTTCACCTGGGTGCAGGCAAGCTGAGTCCGAAAAAGGAGTCAGCAAAGGGTGGTGGGATTATCATTAGTTCTTACAGGTTTGGGATAGACGGTGGAGTTAGGAGCAATTTTTTGCAGGCAGAGGGGTAGATCTTACAAAGCACATTCTCAAGGGTGGGGAAAATATTACAAAGTACCTTCTTAAGGGTGGGGTAGGATATTACAAAGTACCTTCTCTTTTTTTTTTTGAGACGGAGTCTCGCTCTGTTGCCCAGGCTGGAGCACAGTGGCGCATCTCCGCTCACTGCAAGCTCTGCCTCCCGGGTTCATGCCATTCTGCCTCAGCCTCCTGAGTAGCTGGGACTACAGGCGCCCGCCACCGCGCCTGGCTAATTTTTTTTTTTTGTATTTTCAGTAGAGACGGGGTTTCACCGTATTAGCCAGGATGCTCTTGATCTCCTGACCTCGTGATCTGCCTGCCTCGGCCTCCCAAAGTGCTGGGATTACAGGCGTGAGCCACCACACACGGCCTAGACCTGATATATGTTAACCTAAATAACAAGCAGAAAGAGAGGCTCTCTAAAAGCAAATGATGTTTATTTGGGAATAGAGCATTGCAATGGGAATCCGCATGCCATAGTAAATGATGTGCATATTCAAGGAGATAAAGGAAGACCAAAGTTTTTAAAGGGAAAAATCAGGAGGATTATGCAATTGTTTTGAAATAATTATCTTTGGCTACAAGGATTAATAACAGGGGTGATACCAGTCTGAGGCTGAACAAGTAGTTGCTGGGCAGATGTCCTTGTAGAAGTCTTTTTTGCCTAAGATTGTGATGGCTTTTTTTGTAAGGTTGTGGTTTTTGTATAGTCTTTTTCATTCTCAAGCATACAAGTGTAAAAGCCCTTTCATTATGACTTCTTCTGGCCTTATTTGTGAGGGTTTTCTTAACATTAGTGACTCCATTTTGATTCTGACAACTTTTACATACGAGAACACTAATGTCCAGGCACTGTGGCTTAAGCCTGTATCCCAGCACTTTGGGAGACAGAGGCGGGTAGACCACCTGAGGTCAGGAGTTCGAGACCAGCCTGGCCAACATGGTGAAACCCCCATCTCTACTAAAAATACAAAAATTAGCTGGGCGTGGTGGCGGGTGCCTGTAATCCCAGCTACTTGGGAGGTTGAGGCAGGAGAATCCCTTGAACTGAGGCGGAGGTTGCAGTGAGCGGAGATCATGCTGTTGCACTCCAGCCTGGGTGACAAGAGCAAAACTCCATCTCAAAAACAAAAAAAAAGAAAAAAGAAAAAATTAATGATTAAAAATCTTAAAGAAATCAGGCAAGAGTAAAATGTGTTTTATTTTTTCTTACTAAGTCCCCATAGTGGCATAATACTGGTTTTAAAAAACAGGTATAGTAAGATAACACAGCTTAAATTACATTGATTAGATGAACAAAACTTAAAAAAAAAACTCATTACAGGAATGGATGGTGATAGAATTATTTCTAAGGATTTATTCTAAAAAATAATCTGTAAAACACCAGAATGTTCATTGCGAGGATAATTGTGTTAAGGAAAAACTGGAAGCAGCCTAAATGTCCAGCAGTACGGTAATAGTAAATTATCTTTTACTCATAAGTAGGATATTATGCAGCCATTAAGAATGGTGTTTTGGCCAGGTGTGGTGGCTCACACCTGTAATCCCAGCACTTTGGGAGGCCCATGTGAGCAGATCACTTGAGGTCAGGAGTTTGAGACCAGCCTGGCCAATATGGGGAAACCCCATCTCTACTAAACATACAAAAAAATTAGCTGGGTGTGGTGGTGTATGTCTGTAATCTCAGCTACTTGAGAGGCTGAGGCGGGAGACTAGCTTGAACATGGAAGGCAGAGGTTGCAGTCAGCCGAGATCGCGCCACTGCACTCCAGACTGGGCGACAGAGCGAGACTCCGTCTACAAAAAAAAAAAAAGAAAAAAAAGAGTGGTGTTTTGAAACTATTTGTTTATTTATTTATTTAAGAGAGTCTCGATCTGTTGCCCAGGCTGGAGTGCAGTGGGGCAATCTCAGCTTACAACCTCCGTCTCCCGGGTTCAAGCGATTCTCGTGCCTCAACATCTGGAGTAGCTGGGACTACAGGCACACACCACCAAGCCCCACTAATTTTGTATTTTTGTAGAGACAGGGTTTCACCACGTTGCCCATGCTGGTCTGGAACTCCTGACTTCAAGTGATCTGCCTGCCTTGACCTCCCAAAGTATTAGGATTACAGGCGTGAGCCACGATGCCCAGCCTTGAAACAATTTAAATGAAAAGGGGAAACACTAGAGTTGAAAGGAACATTAGTAATCATGGAGTCCACCTTCTCTATCTTAACTGCATGGAAAACCAAAATCTGTGGGGTTAAGTGACTTGCTTGAGGACACAGGGAGGAAGTATCAGTTGTTACCAGCACAGGCTCTTGAGTGAACTGACCTGGCTTTGAATCCTTACTCTACCAATTACTGATATTACGATCTTGGGGCTCATTATATAGTCCCTGCGTTTCAATCTCCTCACCTGTAAAATAGAGATGATAAATAAGGTTGGTATGAGAGTTAAATGTGCCTGTTATATATCTAGTCCTTAATCCTTAATAAATATCATTTATTAAAATGTATGTGATATAATAAAGGCTTGGCACGGTGGCTCAAGCCTGTAATCTGAGCACCTTGGGAGGCTGAGGCAGGCGGATCACCTGAGGTTAGGAGTTTGAGACCAGCCTGGCCAAGATGGTGAAGCCCCATCTCTACTAAAAATACATAAATTGCCGGGCGCGGTGGCTCACACCTGTAATCCCAGCACTTTGGGAGGCCAAGGCGGGCGGATCATGAGGTCAGGAGATCGAGACCATCCTGGCTAACACAGTGAAAACCCGTCTCTACTAAAAATACAAAAAATTAGCTGGGCGTGATGGCAGGCGTCTGTAGTCCCAGTTACTCGGGAGGATGAGGCAGGAGAATGGCGTGAACCCAGGAGGCGGAGCTTGCAGTGAGCCGAAATTGAGCCACTGCACTCCAGCCTGGGTGACAGAATGAGACTCCGTCGCAAAAAATAAATAAATAAATAAAAATAAAAATAAAAATACATAAATTAGCCAGGCATGGTGGTAGGCACCTGTAATCCCAGCTGCTCGGGAGACTGAGGCAGGAGAATCGCTTGAACCTGGGAGGCAGAGGTTGCAGTGAGCCGAGACTGCATCACTGCACTCCAGCCTGGGCAACAGAGTGAGTCTCTGTCTAAAAAAAAAAAAAAAGTATAGTGATATAATAAAGAATACTGGCATATTTTATTGAGCTTCACCTTTATTGCACTTTGTAGTTTTTTTTTTTTTTTTTTTTTTTTTTTGAGATGGAGTCTTGCTCTGTCACCCAGGCTGGAGTGCAATGGCACGATCTCGGCTCACTGCAACCTCTGCCTCCCGGGTTCAAGTGATTCTCCCACCTTAGCCTCCCAAGTAGCTGGGATTACAGGCACCTGCTACCACGTCTGGCTAATTTTTGTATTATTATTTTTTTTTTGTAGACACAGAGTTTTACCATGTTGGCCAGGCTGGTCTTGAACTCCTGACCTTGGGTGATCTGCCTGCCTCGGCTTCCCAAAGTGTTGGGATTACAGGCATGAGCCACTGCGCCTGGCCTGGATGTTATATTTTTTACAAATTGAATGTTTATTGCAACCCTGCATCAAGCAAGTCTATCGGTGCCATTTTTCTAACAGCCCTAGTCACTTCATGTCTCTGTGTCACATTGTGGTAATCCTTATAATATTTTAAACTCTTAAATTATTATTATATCTTTTAAGGTGATCTATGATTAGTGATTTTTGTTCTTTTCCCAACCCTCAAGTGGAAACAGAGATGATCAGTGATCTTTGATGTTAGTATTGTAATTATTTTGGGGTGCCACAAATTGTGCCTATATAAAATGGTAAACTTAATGGATAAATTTGTGCGTTCCGACGGCTCTTCTGAATGGCCATTCCTGTGTCTCTCCCTCTCTTCAGGCCTCCCTATTCCCTGAGACACAACGACATTGAAATTAGGTCAATTAATAACTTTACAATGGCCTCTAAGTGTTTAATTGTAAAGAAGAGTTGCATGTCTTTCATGTTAAATCAAAAGCTAGAAATGATTACATTTAGTAAAGATGGCATTTCAAAAGCCAAGAAAGCTGAGATAGGCCAAAAACTAGGTCTCTTGTGCCAAGCAGCTAGCTAATGATAAGTTAGCCATGAATGATAAGAAAGCTAAACAGCCTTATTGCTGACATGGAGGAAGTTTGAGTGGTCTTAATAGAAGATCAAAACAGCCACAGCATGCCCTTAAACCAATCCCTAATCCAGAGCAAGGCCTTGTCTTCATTTCTGTCCCTTAGGAAATTCTAAGGGTTTTACTTAGTTTGTTTTTAGAGATGGGGGTCTCACTCCATTACCCAGTCTGGAGGGCAGTGGTGCAGTCATAGCTCATTGCAGCCTCAAACTCCTGGACTCAAGCAATCCTTCTGCTTCAGCCTCTCAAAGTGCTGGAATTACAGGCGTGAGCCACTGTGCCCATTCTCCAAGGGTTTTTGAACCCATGTGCTGGCAACCAGAGACAAAGATCAGACATATAGGCAAAGCTCAGAGATGCTGCAGTTTGTTTCCAAACCACAGAGGTGAGGAAGCTGCAGAAGAGTAGTTAAAAGCTAGCAGAGGTTGGTTCATGAGGAAAGAAGCTATCTCCATGACATAAAAGGGCAAGGTGAAGTAGCAAGTGCTGATGTAGGAACTGCAGCAAGTTATCCAGAAACTTTAGCTAGGATCATTGATGAAGGTGGCTCCATTAAACAACAGGTTTTCTTTTTCTTTTTCTTTTTTTTTTTGAGACAGAGTCTTGCTCTGTCACTTAGGCTGGAGTGCAGTGGTGCGGTCTTGGCTTACTATAGCCTCCACCTCTCAGGTTCAAGAGAGTCTCATGCCTCAGCCTCCCAAGTAGCTGGTACTACAGGTGTGCGCCACCACACCCAGCTAATTTTTGTATTTTAAGCAGAGATAAAGTTTCACTATGTTGCCCAGGCTGGTATTGAACTCCTGACCTCAAGTGATCCACTCATCTTGGCTTTCCAAAGTGCTGGGATTATAGGCGAGAGCCACCATGCCCAACCCAACTGGTAACTTTAAGTTGAAGCCAATGCTTATTTACCATTCCAAAAATTCTAGGATCCTAAAGTATTATGCAAAATCTACTCTGCCTGTGCTCTATCATTGGAAAAACAAAGCCTGGATTACAGCATATCTGTTTACAGCATGGTTTACTGAATACTTTTTTTTTGGTTTGTTTTTGATACAGGGTCTCATTCTGTCACCCAGGCTGGAGTGCAGTGGCACGATCGTGGCTCACTGCAGCCTCGACCTCATTGGGCTTGGGTGATCCTCTCACCCCAGCCTCCCTAGTAGCTGGGACCACAGGTAAGTGCTACCACACCTGGCTAATTTTTGTATTTTTTGTAGAGACAGAGTTTTGCCATGTTGCACAGACTGGTCTTAAACTCATGGGCTCAAGTGATCCTCCTGTCTTGGCCTCCCAAAGTGCTGGGATTGCAGGCACTAGCCACTTCACCTGGCCTATTAAATACTTTAAGCCCACTGTTGAGACCTACTCCTCAGAAAAAAGATTTCTTTCAAAATATTACTGCTCATTGACAATCCACCTGGTCACCCAAGACCTCTGATGGAGATGTAAAAGGAAATTACTGTTGTTTTTATGCCTGCTAACCCAACATCCATTCTGCCACCCAGGGATAAAGGAGCAATTTGGACTTTCAAGTCTTCTTATTTATGAAATATATTTCATAAGGCTATAACTGTCATTGATAGTGATTCCTCTGATGGATCTGGGCAAAGAAAATTGAAAACCTTCTGGAAAGGAATCACCATTCTAGATGCCATTAGAACATTTATGATTCAAGGCCAGGTGTGGTGGCTCACGCCTGTAATCCCAGCACTTTGGGAGGCCGAGGTGGGTGGATTGCCTGAGGTCAGGAGTTTGAGATCAGCCTGGCCAACATGATGAAACCCCATCTCTACTAAAAATACAAGAATTAGCCAGGTGTGGCAGTAGGCACCTGTAATCCCAGCTGCTTGGGAGGCTGTGGCAGGAGAACAGCTTGAACCTGGGAGGCAGAGGTTGCAGTCAGCCGAGATTGCACCATTGCACTCCAGCCTGGGCAATAAGAGTGAACCTCCATCTCAAAAAAACAAAAACAAAAGAAAAAGAACATTTATGATTCATGGGAGGAGGTCAAAATATCATTAACAGAAATTTGGAAGAAGTTGATTCCAATCCTCATGGATGACTTTGAGGAGTTTAAGACATCAGTGGAGGAAGGAACTGCAGATGTGGTAGAAATAGCAAGGGGACTAGATTTAGAAGTGGAGCTTGAAGATGAATCTGAATTGCCTCAATCTCATGATAAAACTTTAACAGATGTGGAGTTGCTTCTTATGGATAAGCAAAGAAAGAGATTTCTTGAGATGGAATCTACTTGTGAAGATTCTGTGAACATAGTGGAAATGACAACAAAGGATTTAAAATATTACAACAACTTAGTTGTTAAAGCAGTGGCAGGGTTTGAGGATTGATTCCAATTTTGAAAGAAATTCTACTGTAGTTAAACGCTATCAAAAAGCATCGCATGCTACAGAGCAATCTCTTGTGAAAGGAAAGGTCAATTGATGCAGCAATGTCATTGTTTTATTTAAGAAATTGCCGCAGCCACCTCAGGGTTCAGCAACCACCACTGTGATCAGTCAGCAGCCATCAACATCAAGCCAAGACTCTCCACCAGACTCAGACGATCGTTAGCATTTTTTTTAGCAATAAAGTATTTTCAAATTAAAATGTGTATACTTCTAAGACATAATGCTATTGCACACTTAATAGTCTACAGTATAGTATAAACATAACTTTTATAAGCACTGGGAAACCAAAAAATTTGTGTGACTCGCTTCATTGTGATATTCACTTTATTGCTGTGGTTTGGAACACAAACTGCAACATCTCTGAGCTTTGCCTATATGTCTGATCTTTGTCTCTGGTTGCCAGCACATGGGTTCAAAAACCCTTGGAAAATGGGCACAGTGGCTCACGCCTGTAATTCCAGCACTTTGAGAGGCTGATGCAGGAAGATTGCTTGAGTCCAGGAGTTTGAGGCTGCAATGAGCTATGACTGCACCACTGCCCTCCAGACTGAGTAATGGAGTGAGACCCCCATCTCTAAAAACAAACTAAAACCCTTAGAATTTCCTAAGGGACAGAAAGGGATATTTTTTTGTTATTCTTTATGATCCTCTTTTGACCATACCTGAGTTGATGTGACTGAATTAACACACTGTGAGTCCTTTGATATTTTCAAGGGACTGGCTGGTCACACCAGAAAGACCAAGCATAGGTTCAGAGGACTGAACTTTCAATCTTTCAATTTTACTGACCTACCCTACTCCCGGCAACCCTGATCTTCTTGGAGGAGAGAGAGTCTAGAGATTGGGTTCAATCAAGTGGCCAATGATTTCATGAATCATGCCCTACATAATGAAAACCTAATAAATACTCTAGACTCCAAGGCTCAGTGGAGCTTCCTAGTTTGTGAACACGTTGATGTACAGGGAGGGTGATGTACCCAGATTCCATGAGGAGAAGGCACGGGAAGCTCTGTTCCTGTTCCCTGCTCCCCCACCCTCAGACCTTGCCCTAAGTGTCTTTTTCATTGGTTGTTCTTGAATTGTATTTTTGTTTTTGGAGACAAAGTCTCTGTTGCCAGGCTGGAGTGCAGTGGCATGATCTTGGTTCACTGCAACCTCTGCCTCCCGGGTTCAAGCGATTCTCCTACCTTAGTCTCCCAAGTAGCTGGGACTACAGGTGCGCACCACCATGCCTGGCTAATTTTTGTATTTTTAGTAGAGACAGGGTTTCACCACGTTGGCCAGGATGGTCTTGATCTCCTGACCTCATGATCCGCCTACCTCGGCCTCCCAAAGTGCTGGGATTACAGGTGTGAGCCACCACGCCTGGTTTCTTTCTTTCTTTCTTTTTTTTTTGAGATGGAGTCTCACTCTTGTCACCTAGGCTGGAGTGTAATGGCACAATCTCGGCTCACTGCAACCTCTGCCTCCTGGGTTCAAGGGATTCTTCTGCCTCAGCCTCCCAAGTAGCTGGAATTACAGACGCCTGCCACTACTCCTGTCTAATTTTGTTGTATTTTTTTTTTCAGTAGAGATGGGGTTTCACCATGTTTGCCAGGCTGATCTTGAACTCCTGACCTCAGGTGATCCGCCTGCCTTGGCCTCCCAAAGTGCTGGGATTACGTGGGATTACAGATGTGAGCCACTGTGCCTGGCTTTTTTTTTTTTTGACAATCTTATTCTGCCACCCAGGCTGGAGTGCAGTGGTACAATCAGCTCACTGTAGCCTCAAGCTCCTGGACTCAAGCAGTCCTCCTGCCTCAGGCCTCTCAAGTAGTTGGGACTACAGGTGCATATCACCACGCCCTGGTTTTTTGTTTTATTGAATTGTATTCCTTTTTTTTTTTGAGGCAAAGAAAATTGTCATTCAGGTCTGTCATCCAGGCTGGAGTACAGTGGCACAAACATGGCTCACTGCAGCCTTGGCTTCTTGGGCTCAAGTGATCCTCCCACCTCAGCCTCTGTCTGAGTAGCTTAGGACCACAGGTGTGCACCACCACACCCAGCTAATTTTTAAAAAATTTTGTAGAGATGGGACTTGCCATGTTTCCCAGGCTAGTATCAAACTCCTGGGCTCAAGCAATCTTTCTGCCTTGGCCTCCCAAAATGTTGAGATTCCGGGCATGAACCACTGCATCTGCAGTGAATTCTATTCTTTTTTTTTTTTTTTGTGAGGGAGTCTCGCTCTTGTCACCCAGGCTGGAGCGCAGTGGCGTGATCTCTGCTCACTACAAGCTCCACCTCCCGGGTTCACGCCATTCTCCTGCCTCAGCCTCCCTAGTAGCTGGGACTACAGCCGCCTGCCACCACGCCTGGCTAATTTTTTGTATTTTTAGGGGAGACGAGGTTTCATCGTGTTAGCCAGGATGGTCTCAATCTCCTGACCTCATGATCCGTCCGCCTCAGCCTCCCAAAGTGCTGGGATTACAGGCATGGGCCACCGCGCCTGGCTGTGAATGCTATTCTTTATGATACAAATGTGATGTTAAATAACAGTTGTATTATTTACCCAGAACAGTGGGTTCTGGGTTGTTCTAGCAAATTATTGAACCTGAGGAGGTTGTGGGAAGCCCCGAATTTATAGTTGTGTGGGCAGAAGTTTGGGTGGTTTGGGGACACCCAAGATGCAATTTTGTGAAGGACTTTGTCCTTAACCTGTGGATTCTGCACTTAAGGTTCATAAATTTGGAAACAAGAGTTTTATTTTTTATGATGGATTGCAGCCTGCAGGCTGGGAAGTGTAGCCTCTGGTAGAAACTGAAAGCAGGCACTTTGAGGGAGGAGAGGGTGAGGCAGGAATTTATGCTGAATGGATTGGCTTTGTATACAGTCAACAGGTTACAGGAGGAGCTGTGAATATTCATAAAGAGGGGGGCACATGCTAGTAAGTCAAAATGCGTGTTACAAATGTCACATGTTTACTTTGGGGTGGTGACTTAATATTTAAATGTATTAAAATTAGGCTGTAATGTCAGAAAGTAATTAAAATTAGGCTGTAATGTCAGAAAGTGAAATGGAGGACATAGAGGCATCCTGTGTACAGCCTCTGTAAAGTGGCCAGAACAAGTCCACGGACAGTGGTCTCTTGACCAAGAGGGGGCCCATTCAGTTGGCTGGGAGTACTTAGGATTTCATTTTTATTTCTCAGTAGGTAGTATCAGAATTGAAATGTAGAACACCCAGTTGACACCCGAGAATTGGTGTTAGAATGCAGTTTGATTAATGTAACAATGATAATAATTCTAACACTATTCTCCTAGTCCCCAACTTCAGTCATACCTCATCTCTTATAACCAGGCTGTCTTGTATGTCCCATTCTTTACAGATCTATGGACTATTTTATTTGATGCATCACGAACCCCCTCTATTCCTGAAGTAGCTCTCTGACTTTTCCTATTCTTTTCTCTTTTTCTACTATAATGAATTTTAAATAATAATGACAAATCAATTTTCCCAAATGGACAACTTTATTAGTAATACTCCTTTTAATTTAATTAATTAATTAATTAATTTATTTATTTTTTTGAGATGGTGTCTCAGTCTGTCGCCCAGGCTAGAGTGCAGTGGCATGATCTCAGCTTACTGCAGCCTCTGCCTCCCAAGCTCAAGCAGCCTCCCACCTCAGCCCCCCAAGTAGCCGGGATCACAGGCATGCACCACCATGCCCAGTAAATTTTTGTATTTTTAGTAGAGACGAAGTTTTGCCATGTCGCCCAGGCTGGTCGCAAACTCCTGAGCTCAAGGGATCCACCCACTCGGCCTCCCAAAGTGCTGAGATTACAGGCGTGAGCCACCACACCTGGCCAGTAATACTCCTTTACTTAAAAATATTCTGTGCACCCTAATGGCTGGGCGTGGTGGCTCACGCCTGTAATCCCAGCACTTTGGGAGGCCAAGGCAGGCAGATCACCTGAGGTCAGGAGTGCAAGACTAGCCTGACCAACATGGAGAAACCCTGTCTCTACTAAAAATACAAAATTAGCCAGGTGTGGTGGCACATGCCTGTAATCCCAGCTACTTGGGAGGCTGAGGCAGGAGAATCGCTTGAACCCGGGAGGCAGAGGTTGCAGTGAGCCAAGATCGTGCATTGCAACTCCAGCTGGGCAACAAGAGTGAAACTCTGCCTCGAAAAAATATATATATATATTCTGTGCACCCTCATTGCTTATTCATCAAGGTTCTCTATACTCCAGCCCCTTCTTCCTGAGTTACTTCCACTCTTTCCCTAGATATACTCTACTTTCTGACCACACTGACCTTCTCATGACCATATGTTGTGGGTTGAATTGTGTCCTTCAAAAAGATATGTTCAAGTTCTAATGCCTACCTATGAATGTGACCTTATTTGGAGATAGAGTCATTGTAGATGTAGTTAAGATGATGTCCTAGTGGGTGGGTGGGCTCTAATCCAGTATAAGCTATGTACCTATGAGAGGAGGAGATATAGATACAGACGCAGAGCTGGGGGGCATGTGAACAGAGAGACATATAAAGAAAACAACATATCACGGTGGAGGCAGAGATTGGAGTGATGTGTGTCTACAAACCAAAGAATGCCAAGAATTGTCTGCAACCACCAGAAGCTAAGAAGCAGCAAGGAAAATCCTCTCTTAGAGCCTTCAGAGAAAGTATTGCCCCACCCACAACTCTATGTCAGACTTCTGGCCTTCAGAACTGTGAGAGATTTCTGCTGTTTTAAGCCACCCAGTTTGTGGTACCTTGTTCCAGCAGCCCTGGGAAATGAATACACAAATCTCTCTGTCTTTGCTCACACTTTTCCCTCTGCCTGGAAGGTTTTCCATCTCATCAAGATCCCACCCACCTTCAGGCAGTCTCTTTCATGGACCCCTGGAGACAGTCTTTCTCTTGCATATCCATGGGTTGCTTGTCTAGACTACCCTCATGATGCAGCCATTACTCAGCCTCTTACCATTATTCTTTCTGTCCCCACAACAGAGAAAACTGAAAGGCAGTACTCGTCTCAGGGAAATTCTCTGGAGGGTAGGAACTCTCTTTGTGTCTTCCATATTTTGTAGCATTGTCTTGCTTACAATGTCGGTTTAGGTTCTTTTTTTTTTTTTTTTTTTGAGTACGGAGTCTCACTCTGTCGCCCAGGATGGAGTGCAGTGGTGCGATCTCAGCTCACTGCAAGCTCCGCCTTCCAGGTTCATGCCATTCTCTTGCCTCAGCCTCCCGAGTAGCTGGGACTACAGGCGTCCGCCACCATGCCTGGCTAATTTTTTGTATTTTCAGTAGAGACGGGGTTTCACTGTTAGCCAGGATGGTCTGGATCTCCTGACCTCGTGATCCGCCCACCTCGGCCTCCCAAAGTGCTGGGATTACAGGCATGAGTCACCGCGCCCGGCCGGTTTAGATCTTTATAACCAACCCGCTTAGTTGTGATTAGCTGTCTCATTACAGAAATGTAAGACAGAAAGATCTTAAGTATAGCTTAAAAATGGCTGGAGTTGGCCGGGCGCAATGGCTTACGCCTATGATCCCAGCACTTTGGGAGGTCGAGGCGGCGGATCACGAGGTCGAGATTGAGATCATCCTGGCCAACATGGTGAAACCCCATCTCTACTAAAAATACAAAAAAATTAGCTGGGCGTGGTGGCACATGCCTGTAGTCCCAGCTACTGGGAGGCTGAGGCAGGAGAATCACTTGAATCTGGGAGGCGGAGGTTGCAGTGAGCCGAGATCGTGCCACTACACTCCACGCCGTGGGTGACAGAGCGAGACTCTGTCTACAAAAAAAAAAAAAAAAAGGATGGAGTTTGCTTTTTTTTGATATCATCCCTTCAACCCACACTGTACTTGATGTTTAGACTTAAAGCATACAGTTTTCTACAGACATTTTAGTAGCACATCAAGGAGAAAAAAATTATGTAAAACATCTCAAAAGAGAAATACAGTAAAATCTCCAAGTTACTATAGGTATATATAATCCATGTTACCAATTCAGATTAAACTGCTTAGTAGGAGGACACCTTGATGCCCACATTGATGCCAGCTGAAAATAAAGAAAATGTTCTGTAATGAACTAATTTATTCTAAACACACTATTTGAAAAGTCAGTCTACTACATGACCATTAGTTAGGGCTAAGAAGAAATCAACTCATGTCCTAATTGAAGCCAAAGGCCAAATGATATTGACACATCACAGGAGAAACAGGAGAATTTTTGAAGCTTACTTTCTTAAGATGTAAGTGCTAAACTGAATTGGCCAATTTAGAAAACAGCATCTGGATTAAACATTCTTGTTTTTCTTAAGCATTTTGGGAAAGATGAGGGACTAGTCTGTGTACAGAGTTATCTGCATAAAGTTTCAAGAGTCATAATCATAAGAACAATGAACATTATGTTGGGATTTTATCTTTTCCAAATTTGTCAATATATTGGCAAAGGAAGAAAAGTTTTCTTTTTAGAGTATGTGCTATTGCTTTAGTTATTTGGAGGAATTACAAGCCTTAAAAGTTGCAATTAGGATTCCTTAAGAGGGTCGGGTGTGGTGGCTCATGCTTGTAATCCCAGCACTTTGGGAGGCAGAGGTGGGCGGATCCCTTGAAGTCAGGAGTTCGAGACCAGCCTGGCTAACATGGTGAAACCCCGCCTCTACTAAAAATACAAAAATTAGCTGGTGTGGTGGCGCACGCCTGTAGTCCTAGCTACTCGGGGGGCTGAGGCAGGAGAATCGCTTGAACCCGGGAGGAGGAGGTTGCAGTGAGCCGAGATTGCGCCGCTACACTCCAGCCTGGGCAACGAAGTGAGGCTCCATCTCGGGAAAAAAAAAGAAAAAGGATTCTTGAAGAGTGTCCAAATAATACCTTGCAGGAAAATGAAGAGTGTATGGATGCTGCAATCAAGAGGAATTCTGGGAACTGCGAGATGAGAATGAGGCCTAACAGGTGCCATGCAGCGAGCTTTCGCAGTGGCAGCTTCCACTGTTAAAATGATAGTGGAACAAGATGAGACTAAATTGTCAGTGATTTCTCTCTATATTATGGGGATAGACCTGTTTTCTTCATTTATCAAGCTCTGCTCTCTCCTACAGACATACCTTGCTTTTTAACAACTGCCGAAAAGGTCAGCTTTCTGCTAAAGGGTCACATCAAAATAGCATTGTTAACGTTACCATTTTTGTCTTCTGAATCAGATTCTATTTTCTGAATCAAATTTCAGCCTGTTTGACAGCCAGTGTGGTTGGGCTGCTGGACTTTATCTCTTGAGATTTGATAGGTAGCTGCTTAGAATTTTCCACATATTTAAATGCATGTGTCATGTCTACTAAATGTGTCTGGTATTGCTAGAGTGGTGCTCCTTATTGTGTGTATATTTGCCCTGGATTTTAATTCTGGAATACATTATTCACTTAAAGGTAAATAGCAAGTATATTTGAGCAAAAACATTTTTATTAGCAACCATAAAAAGGGTGCATACAGTTTTATAGCCAACATGATAATATGAGATGTAATTGGACAGGCACGGTGGCTCACGCTTGTAATCCCAGCACTTTGGGAGGCCGAGGCGGGTGGATCACGAGGTCAGGAGATCGAGACCATCCTGGCTAACATGGTGAAACCCTGTCTCTACTAAAAAAAAAAAAACAAAAAACAAGACAAAAATTAAGCCGGCGTGGTGGTGGGTGCCTGTAGTCCCAGCTACTTGGGAGGCTGAGGCAGGAGAATGGCGTGAACCCAGGAGGCGGAGCTTGCAGTGAGCCGAGATCGCCCCACTGCACTCCAGCCTGGGCGACAGGGCAAGACTCCATCTAAAAAAAAAAATACATATATATATGAGATGTAATTATTTAAATGCCACAATTCTGACTGAACGGGATAGTCAAAGTACTAAAAGACTAATAAAATGCTCCTGTATTAGTTTCATATTGTTGCTATAACAAATTACCACAAATGAAGCCACTTAACACAAATTAATTTTCTTACAGTTTTAGAGGTTAGATGATGGAAATGGATCTTACGGTGCTAAAATCAAGGTGTCCACAGGGCTGTGTTCCTTCTGCGGGCTCTAGGGGAGAATCTGTTCTTTGGCTTTTCCAGCTTCTAGATGCTGCCCGAATTCCTTGGCTCATGGCCCCGCTTCATCTCAAAGCTAACTATTGCACCACGCTGACCTCCACTTCCAGCATCTCTGGCTCTGACTTTCCCGTTTCCCTCTTTTACTTATAAGGACTCTTGTGATTACGCTGGGCCCAGGATAATCTCCCCGCCTCAAAATCCTTAACTTCATCACACCTGCAAAATCCCTTTTGTCCTGTAAGGTAACATATTCACTCTGAGGATTAGGACATGGACTTAGGGTGAGGAGGGATTATTCTGCCTGCCACAGTTCCTTAATATAAAAACCTAAGGAATTTTCCTTCACCTAAGGGATTTAAAGTGCTAAGAAATTAGCAATGAATATATAAACAAATTTCTACCATAATTTGTTTTTTAGAAAAACTTCTGGATGTTTTAAATAATTGCATATTCCAGAATAGCTTGACTTTTTTATATAACTGAAAAAAGATCCTTTTAATATCTGGTGACATATACCTCTCCTCTCTCTGTGATCAGAATGATATATTTCCAGATTTTGTGTTTTGCTTTAGCTTTTTACTTCCAAGTCATATGACTTTTCTAGGTTATAGTTTCAAATATATATATTCTAAATCATTTGGTTGCCCTTTAAAGATGAAAGCATAAGAACTATTTGCACTTTGCTTTATTGTATGATTAGAAGACTTTCTAATTGCATTAATCAGAATGGGGCCAGGTGCGGTGGCTCACACCTGTAATCCCAGCACTTTGGGAGGCCGAGGCTGGTGGATGGCTTGAGCCCAGGAGTTCAAGACCAGCCTGGGCAACATGGTAAAACCTGTCTCTACCAAATCCATCCCACCCTGTGCCCCCTCCAAAATTAGCAGGGTGAGTTGGCACGTGCCTGTAGTCTCAGGTACTCTGGAGGCTGAGACAGGAGGATTGCTTGAGCTCAGGAGGCAGAGGTTGCAGTGAGCTGAGATCATGTTGCTGTACTCCAGCCTGGTGACAAAGCACGACCCTGTTTCAAAAGAAAAAAAAAGAGAGAGAGAGAGAAAGAGAATAGGATGAACCCAGTAAAAACAGAGTCAGTAATGCCACAGCCTCTGAAGAAGAGATCGGGCAGTGATCACAAACCGCTCTGGGTAGCTGTATTAGTCAGGGTTCTCTAAAGGGACAGAACTAATGGGAGAATAAAGGGGAGTTTATTAACTCACATGATCACAAGGTCCCACAATAGGCCATCTGCAGGCTGAGGAGTAAGGAGAGCCAGTCCGAGTTCCAAAACTGAAGAACTTGGAGTCTGATGTTCGAGGGCAGGAAGCAGCCAGCACGGGAGGAAGATGTAGGTTGGGAGGCTAGGCCAGTCTCTCTTTTCACATTTTTCTGCCTGCTTATATTCTAGCTGCACTGGCAGCTGATTAGGGTGCCAGATTAAGGGTGGATCTGCCGTTCCCGGCCCACTGACTCAAATGTTAATCTCTTTTTGCAACACCCTCACGGACACACCCAGGATCAATACTTTGCGTCCTTCAATCCAATCAAGTTGACACTCAGTATTAACCGTTACAGTAGCTAAAACAGATTTCCATTCCAACGGTCTGCTAATAAGAGCTTGACGATTGTAGAGCTCTATGACTTTCAATTTCACTAAATGATAAAAAAAACTAGGTCTGAAAATGTTAATAAAGAATGAAATATTTTTAATTATACAAATGTATTTAGGCCGGGCATGCTGGCTAATGTCTGTAATACCAGCACTTTGGGAGGCCAAGGAGGGCAAATCACTTGAGCTCTGGAGTTCAAGACCAGCCTGGGCAATATGGTGAAACCCCGTCTCTACTAAAATTACAAAAATTAGCCAGGCGTGGTGGTGCGTGCCTGTAGTCCCTGTTACTCTGGAGGCTGAGGCACGAGAATCACTTGAGCCCGGGAGGCAGGGAGGTTGCAGTGAGCAGAGGTTGCACCACTGCACTCTAGCCTGGGCGACAGAGCGAGACTCTGTCTCAAAAAAAAAAATTATTATTTTTTGAGACAGAAAAAAATTATTATTTTTTTGATACAGGTTGCTCACTGCAACCTCCGCCTCCCAGACTCAAATGATTCTCGTGCCTCAGCCTCCCCAGAAACTGGGATTACAGGCATGCACCACCAAGCCTGGCTAATTTTTTGTATTTTTAATAGAGACGGGGTTTCACCATGTTGCCCAGGCTGGTCGCAAACTCCTGGCCTCAAGTAATCCACCTGTCTCAGTCTCCCAAACTGCTGGGATTACAGGCATGAACCACTGCTCCCGGCCCGATTATTCTTATTTTTTGTTTAGTTCTTCAGTGAAATCAACTAAGTCAGTGAGAAATTTGATGAGGGGAGGAAGTTAGTGACAGTCCAAACTCCTTTTTTATTTTTTAAATATCAAGTTCTCAGTAATTTGCAAGTGTTAAAATTCATAGAACTAGCCAGGCACGGTGGCTCACACCTGTAATCCCAGCACTTTGGAAGGCTGAGGCAGGCGGATCACGAGGTCAAGAGATCATGACCATCCTGGCCAACATGGTGAAACCCCGTCTCTATTAAAAACACAAAAATTAGCCGGGTGTGGTGGCGGACGTCTGTAATCCCAGCTACTTGGGAGGCTGAGGCAGGAGAATTGCTTGAACCCGGGAGACGGAGGTTGCAGTGAGCTGAGATCGTGCCACTGCACTCCAGCCTGGGAGACAGAGTGAGACTCCGTCTGGAAAAAAAAAATCACAGAACCAAGGTTTATAAGCATAATGCACTTGTATGAAGAATAATCATTCATAGCAGATTGGAATAAACCCTCCTAAATATCTTTCTAAAAGCCAGATTTGAAACTTATTTTGATATTTGATAAGAATTTTCATATTAGGCTGACAATCAATACAGGTTCCTGGTTGGCTGGCATTATTAATGCTGAGCCTTAACGCTTTGCTAGAGCCCCTCTCCTTTTTTTTTTTTTGAGACAGAGTCTTGCTCTGTTGCCCAGGCTGGAGTGCAGTGGGGCAATCTTGGCTCACTGCAGCCTCCCTGCCCCCTAGGCTCAAGGGATTCTCATGCCTTAGCCTCCAGAATAGCTGGGACTACAAGCACCTGCCACTGAACCCGGCTAATTTTGTATTTTTAGTAGAGATGGGGTTTTGCCATGTTGCCAAGGCTGGTCTTGAACTCCTGCCCACCTCAGCCTCCCAAAGTGCCGGGATTACAGGCACGAGCCACCACATCTGGCCAGAGCCCTTTTTTTGAGTACAAATGCTCAGACCTCCCTTCTTCCTTTTCCCTACCACATTCTCTGCATTTGGCTAGAAGGGCAAGCTTTGTTTGTGATGCACTTTGAAAGGAAGTGAAGAGGTCTAAGAGGTAAAGCTGGAACAGAAAGCTAAAGGTGTAAAAAATGTCCCAATGGCCAGGACTTTGCGGGTACGTGGAGGCGGGGAGCTGAAAATCTTAATTCTCTACCTCCTTGTTTTTCATGCAGAAATGAAGTTCTTTATCTCATTCAATGGAATTAGCCCAGAGAAGCCCTTTTCCCTTACAATTTTCAGGTCTAATGTGAATGTTTTGGACAACCTTTAGACTAATACAGTGGATCTCAAGCAGGGGTGATTTTGTTCCCCTGGGGACATTTAGCTGTGTCTGGAGATATTTTTGGTTGTCACACCGGGATGTGTGTGGGAGTGCTACTGCATCAAGTGGGAAGATGCCAGGGGTGCTGCCAAAACGTCCCACAGTGCACAAGACAGCCCCGCAACAAAGGGTGATCAGAATGCCAGTAGTGTGAAGGTGAAAAATCTTGGGTTAATAGGATATTATTTAGTTTTTGACAGATTTTCCATGCTTTGAGGTCAGTTAAAAGGGTAGTGTGTAAAATTTTTATTATAAAAGTATAAACACTAGAGGGCAGTACCTGCCCGATAATTGCAACGGATGTGACTTTGGGCGGGGTCTCTGAAGGAAAAAAAAAAGAAGCTAGTGATTTAGGTAACTGGAAGATAAGTGACTATAGGAGACCCTTAAAGAGGTATTTAAGTAATTTTAAATCAAAAGACAGTTTTGCTTGGTGTGGTGGTGTGCCTGTAGTCCCAGCTCTGCTTGAGCCCAGGAGATGGAGACCTGTCTGGGCAGCATAGCAAGACCCCATTTTTTTTTTTTTAAAGAGTTTTAACAACTACTGCTTCTGAGGTCAGGAAAAGCAGAACAAGCAGTTTTTTCTTCTGCTTTTCTATAATGATGGCTTGTGAGCTTTTGCCAGAGAAGGGAAAATTCACACTAGGTTTTCACACACACAAACACTAACGTCATTGCCACTTACACTTCTATTTGCTCTGATGAGGCAGATGATGGAAAGTCGCTATTCCTAGGGCATGTAGATCATTGTAATGCTGTGAGAGATGTGTCTGGAACAGGGGAACTTGGAGCAGACAGGCAAAACATCACGACTGAGTCCGTTAGACAAGTCAGAATCTGACTCAGCTCTTTTTTTTTTTTTTTTTTTTCCCGAGATGAAAAAAACCTCCAGCCCAGGCTGGAGTTCAGTGGTGCAATCTCTGCTTGGCTCACTGCAACTTCCACCTACCGGGTTCAAGCGATTCTTGTGCCTCAGCCTCCCCAGTAGCTGGGACTACAGGCACGCGCCACCATGCCCAGCTAATTTTTGTATTTTTTTGTTGTAGACATGGGGTTTCACCACATTGGCCAGGCTGGTCTCCAACTCCTGACCTCAGGTGATCCGCCTGCCTCGGCCTCTCAAAGTGCTGGGATTACAGGCATGAGCCACCGTGTACAGCCTGACTCAGCTCTTTTGAAACGGATCAATAATATCTAGTTTGTTGCTTGAAGCTATTTACATTAGCTAGCTATGCAAGAATGTAGTACAATTTTCTGTTTTCTCCTAAGGTTCAGTCCAATTTTAAAAAATGAAACAAATAGGCTGGGCGTGGTGGCTCACGCCTGTAATGCCAGCACTTTGGGAGGCTGAGGCAGGTGGATCACGAGGTCAGGAGATTGAGACCATCCTGGCTAACACGGTGAAACCCCGTCTCTACTAAAAATACAAAAATTAGCTGGGCGTGGTGGTGGGCGCTTGTGTTCCCAGCTACTCAGGAGGCTGAGTCAGGAGAATGGCGTGAACACGGGAGGTGGAGCTTGCAGTGAGCCAAGATTGCCCCACTGCACTCCAGCCCAGGCGACAGAGCGAGACTCCATCTCTAAAAAAAAAGAAGAAAGAAGAAAGAAACAAATGGGGCATTTTTTGTTTTTAGTGTCAGAAATCTGGGCTCAAACCAAGTTTTTGGATATGTTAATATAAGCTGACCTCACCTCTGCCCTCAAATAGGACAAACCATTTGCTAAATTCACATTAAATCTACACATTCCTGGCTGGGCGTAGTGGCTCATGCCTGTAATTCCAGCACTTTGGGAGATCAAGGCAGGTGGACCACTTGAAGTCAGGAGTTCGAGACCAGCCTGGCCAACATGGTAAAACTCTACTAAAAATACAAAAATTAGCCAGGCATGGTGGTGCACGCCTGTAGTCCCAGATACTCAGGATCTGGGCGTGAGCCCAGATCACGCCACTGTAGTCCAGCCTGGGTGACAGAGCGAGACTCTATCTAAAAAAACAAAAAAAAACAAAAAAAAGCCCAAAACTGCACATTTCTTTTTATTTATTATTAAATATTTAAGGTACACAGTGGTATCAAGAATGGACATTGATCGACTTGTCACTCAGTTTAAAAAATGAAACATCAACAATGCAGTTGAAGCCCCCTGTGCATCCTTCTCCAGTTGTATCCTTCTCCTGCCTCCCCCTGACGTCATTCCCAGGTAAATGAGTTTGATGTGGAACATTCCTTTTTGTTTTTTGAGACAAGAGTCTTACTCTGTCACCGAGGCTGGAGTGCAGTGGCACAATCTTGGCTCACTGCATCCTCTGGCTCCCGGGTTCAGTGATTCTCCTGCCTCAGCCTCCTGAGTAGCTAGGGTTACAGATGCGCAACAACACACCTGGCTAATTTTTGAATTTTTAGTAGAGATGGGGTTTCGCCATGTTGGCCAGGCTGGTCTTGAACTCCTGATCTCAAGTGATCCACCTGCCTCAGCTCCCAAAGTGCTGGGATTACAGGCATGAGCCACTGCGCATGGCCTGTTCAGACTTTTATTATATATGTTAAATATGCTCAGTAATATATAATTTCTGCATATTTAAAATTTGTATATAAATGACGTTGTAACTGTTCTTCTGTAATTTGTGTTTTCTCTTAAATAGGTTTGTAAGATCATCCATGTTGATACATGTAACTCCAGTTTTTGTCTACCAACATTTTTGGTATCTGCATACTTGCTAATTCACATAATGATGTTATGAACATTCTCATGTGTAGTTGAGTTATGTGTATGTAAGAGTTCTTTTTGTCTGTTTGTTTTTAAGACAGAGTCTTGCTCTGTCACCCAGGGTGGAATGCAGTGGCACGACTTCGGCTCACTGCAACATCTGCCTCCTGGGTTCAAGCGGTTTTCGTGCCTCAGCCTCCCAAGTAGCTGGGACCACGGATGCGCGACACCACACTCAGTTAATTTTTGTATTTTTAGTAGAGACAGGGTTTCACTGTGTTGGCCAGGCTGGTCTTGAACTCCTGGCCTCATGTGATCTGCCCACCTTGGCCTCCCAAAGTGCTGGGATTATAAGCGCGAGCCACTGTGCCTGGCCTGTAAGAGTTCTTTAGAGCAGGGATTGGCAAACCATGGTCTGGCCCGTGGACCCTCCACCTTTTTTTTGTATGACCCAGACACTAAGGTGGTTTTTACATTTCTGAATGGTTTTTAAAAATGGAAAGACTAATATTTTATGACACATGAAAATTCAAGTTTCAGTGTCCATAAGTAAAGTTTTATTGGAACAGCCATGCTCATGCATTTATATATTACCTAAGGCCGTTTTCAGGCCTAGTGAGTGGTTGTAACAGAGACTGGATGGCGTGCAAAGCCTAAAATATCTGGTATCTAATTCTATGCAGAAAATGTTTGCTGATTACTGCTCTAGTGTGTACGTGGAATGAAATTGCTGGGTTCCACATATTCATTTTTTGCTGTCTTATCAATTAGATCTATTTTTTAAAAATGCAAAACTCTATAATCTGTGCATCAGATTATGTTTTCTAAAACCCTTTTTTCTTTCCTTTTTTTTTTTAATGAGGCCTCACTATGTTGCCTGGGGTGGATACAAATTCCTGGGCTTAAGCTATCCTTCTGCCTCAGCCTCCCGAGTAGCTAGGACAACAGGCATGTGCCAGCCTGCCCAGCCTTTCTGAAGCTCTTAAACAAACATAAAAAGAACTCTCTGGATCTTATGTTTTCATTTTGTTTAAGTAATGAGCTTTAAATACATCCTTGTATAGCTTCCTTTCCTCTCACTTCAGTGGTCCTGATTGTTGTAGTGGTAAGGAATACCAATTAGGTTTATCTTTCTTTGGAGTGGAGAAAAGACTAGGAAAATAACAGACTCGTATAATTTTTGAACTTCAAGATCTTTTTTTTTTTTCAGACGGAGTTCTGCTCTTGTTGCCCAAGCCAGAGTGCCATGGCGCAATCTCAGCTCATTGCAACCTCCGCCTCCCAGGTTCAAGGAATTCTCCTGCCTCAGCCTCCCGAGTAGCTGGGATTACAGGCGTGCGCCAAACACGCCTGGCTAATTTTTTGTGTTTTTAGTAGAGATGGGGTTTTACCATGTTAGCCAGGCTGGTCTCGAACTCCTGACCTCAGATGATTCGCCCGCCTCGGCCTCCCAACATGCTGGGATTACAGACATGAGCCACTGCTCGGCCCAAGATCTCTTTTAAATACCCAAGAATAAGTCAGCTAAAAAACACAAGTGTTGGTCACTGGCTTTTATCGGTCACTGGCTTTTCTGCCCTCTACTAGAATATAGAGTCCATAAAGACAGCAATTTTTGTCTACTTTTGTTTTTACTTGTAAAAATGCCTAGCATGTCGTAGATGCTCAAGGAATATTTATTAGTTGAATGAATATGAAGAACTCCATTCATCTGGATGAAAACTTGAAATTCACTGAACTATTTGGACATAATACATTAATATTTAACAATACTGTATTTGGAATTATGGAAGGCACTTCCTGTTTTCTTCTTCTTCTTTTTTTTTTTTTGTGAGACTGAGTTTCACTCTTGTTACCCAGGCTGGAGTGCAGGCTCAGTCTTGGATCACTGCAACCTCTGTCTCCTGGGTTCAAGCGATTCTCCTGCCTCAGCTCCCGAGTAGCTGAGATTACAGGTGTGCACCACCATGCCTGGCTAATTTTTTGTATTTTTAGTAGAGATGGGGTT
Organism: Homo sapiens; assembly: GCF_000001405.40. Taxonomy (NCBI): domain Eukaryota; kingdom Metazoa; phylum Chordata; class Mammalia; order Primates; family Hominidae; genus Homo; species Homo sapiens. The sequence continues at coordinate 150,183,043 of NC_000001.11, read as the reverse complement.
TCACCATCTTGGCCAGGCTGATCTTGAACTCCTGACCTCGTGATCTGCCTGCCTTGGCCTCCCAAAATGCTGGGATTATAAGCATGAGCCACTGTGCCCGGCTAAAAAGATTTTTAAAAAATTACTTTATTGAGGTAAAATTCACATGTGAAAATATTTCTATTTTTACATTTTGGAAGGCTGTATTATTTGATTGGGAAAAGATAGATGGGCTGTGCACATTTATTTTTTGTTTTTAAATTTTTTTGTTACTCCACACCCTGAAGAGTCCCTTATTGTTGATTCCCAGGGTTGAGGACTGAGTTTTTTTTTTTTTAATTAGTACTGGTTTCTATGGGATGCAAACTTTTCTCTAATAGCTGAAAGCAGAGGCTTCTGGGTGCTTTCAAATTTATTCTTTCTTCACGGTTTTAAAAGAGGCCCTTGCCTCTTCTGTGTGTCGTTATGCGTACTGGAGTGCAGAATAGAAAATGCAAAACAAGAGAGCCGTACAGGAGGTTTTTCTTTTTAAAGGAGTTGATAGACAAATGGCACAGAGTTCACTGTTCTCGCCAGCTGAGAGTTTAGCTTCCAGAAAGCACTACTTTAGGGAACAAGTGAAGCAGTGTGGAGGGCCTGAAAGGCTTCATTGACACAGCAGCCGGGAGGCTCTTGTAGCACATTGTCTGGGGTGCGGTGCCTTCGGAAACCAGCTCTCGAGATGTCTACACCCCCAACATCCCCAACGCTGAAAACATTCGGGTTTTTTTTTTTGGTTGTTTTTGCCATTATACTTGGTTTTCCAAGTGAGATTCCTGAAAAGGTATTTGCTTTTATTTGTTTTTGTTTATTAGTTTCCTCTGGGTGTCAGTCAGTTCTTCACATGGTCACTTGGCTTACTTGGTAGGAACGTGGGGGATCTGGGTGGTGGGGCCGAGGCAGTTTCCCCAACAAATCACTGGTACGGCATGAATGCGTTTGTTTTCTGAATGAGAATCTAAGTGCTGCCACAAAAAAGGCATGCTGGGGTAGAAGAAATAAGGTGAATTTGAAGCCGACAATTGAAATCATTATTGATAGTTTCCTAGTTTTCCTGAAGGTTGATCTGGAGAGATGGAAGTCTAAGCTAAGGAATAATAGATCTGTATCAGTGAAGTTGTAGAGTCACTTGTAGGCTCTGAGGGTCTGTCCCAGGGAAGATACAATGATCCATGGTGTGTTGGTTTGGTATAGAAATGCCAGGGCCAGGCAAGCTCTTCATCCGTGGTTTTTATTCAGGTATTAATAGAGCTCCTAGTATGTGTCTGGCCTTGAGAAGGGATGTGGCTTGTGTTTCTGCACTTTGAGGAGTTTCGAGTCATAAACCCATAGACCACGGAAGATCCTTAGAGATCGGCAGTCCTCCTCTTACCCTGCAGGAAGCACCAAGGCCCAGAACATTGGCTTGCTCAAGGTTACACAGAGAGTTAGTGGCGGCCTCTTGAGAGGCCAGATCTTTTTTTTTTTTTTTTGAGACGGAGTCTTGCTCTGTCGCTCAGGCTGGAGTGCAATGGCCCGATCTCGGCTCACTGCAACCTCCGCCTCCCAGGTGCAGGCGATTCTCATGCCTCAGTCTCCCGAGCAGCTGGGATTACAGGCGCCCACCATGACGCTTGACTAATTTTTCTATTTTTAGTAGAGACAGGGTTTCACCATGTTGTCCAGGCTGGTCTCGAACTCTTGAGCTCAGGTGATCCGCCCGCCTCAGCCTCCCAAAGTACTGGGATTACATGCATGAGCCACCGCGCCTGGCCTGGAAGCCAGATCTTTTTACTCCCAGTTTGGTATTTTTCCATTCAACTACCGTTGAAAACGCCTCATAGTTGTTAGAGAACAGTTCCAGAGAATATATAATTCAGTGTTAAATTGAATAATCAACTGTTACTGCATAGGGGGAGAGTTCATTGTTCACTGGAACTATCTGGAAGTGTGACAGATTTTGAAGAATGGGAATGGTGTGGACATTCCAAAAGGACCAGAAACCTTGTCTCTGTTCTGTGTTGTTTGGGGATGTCCATGAAGAAATGTATAACCCTCAATCCAAGTGTGAAGCCTTTGCACATGCTGTGGGAGCAGGCGTGTTCAGGGAGTGCCCCTGCTGAGCATCCTGCAGACTGATAGGGAGAGAGACATATTGTGTAGAGACCACTTTCTCCCCAAGCAAAACCAAAGCAAGGTGGGGTGGAGGACCCAGGGTGGGAGGGGAAGTGGAGTCCAAGTGATTTACAGGTTTTCATTACACATTTGAGGATGAACCTAGGTCGCTAGAACTTTGACTCAATGACAGAAGGGGCCTTTGTGGAGGTCTTGATGTAAAAAACACGAGTCACCTCTCAGAACTTCTGCATAGCTGCTAGAAGTTAGTTCTCAACCTTAAAGTTCCTTCTTTTTCTAGAGGATCGCTGAAAGCAAAAGTAACAATCTAAACCATCTGCCACTTAAATAAGAGGAGATTTATTGCTTTTAATAGAAAGGATGCTTGTTCCAACAGAAGGGTATGGCTCAGAGAAGCAAGCCTGGCTGGGCACGGTGGCTCACGCCTCTAATCCCAGGACTTTGGGAGGCGGAGGTGCGTGGATCACCTGAGGCCAGGAGTTCGAGACCAGCCTGACCAACATGGCGAAACCCCATCTCTACAAAAAAAGACAAAAAATAATTAGCCGGGTGTGATGGTACACCTGTATAGTTCCAGCTACCTGGGAGGCTGAGGTACGAGAATTGCTTGAACCTGGGAGGTGGAGGTTACAGTGAGCCGAGATCGCACCACTGCACTCCAGCCCGGGCAACAGAATGAGACTGTCTCAAAAAAAAAAAAGAGGCAGCTGCGGCTTCATCTCTTTGGCCTTCCTGAGCATATATTCTGGTCACTGCTCTGCCGTCAAGCTGTGGAGTAGGGGGGATCCCTAAAGAGCAAACAGCAGGTATGAGTGTTAGAGACCAGAGACAGCAATGCTGATTCAGCGCATAAAGTTCACCAATGTGCAGTGTGGCTGGAGTTTAGAGCATGGGGCAGCCCTGAGGTGTCTATAAGGGGAATGGAGAGGAAGGACAAGGCCAAAGAAAGAAGCGACTAGGATCACAGAGGCCCTGTAAACCGTGTTAAAGAAGGTGGACTCTAACTCAAGGGCAGTGGGGACTATAAATATCAGATTTAAAATTTTAATTTTTTTTTTTTTGATATGGAGTCTTGCTCTTGTTGCCCAGGCTGGAGTGCTATGGCATGATCTGGGTTCACTGCAACCTCTGCCTCCCAGGTTCAAGCAATTCTCCTGCTTCAGCCTCCCGAGTAGCTGGGATTACAGGTGCCTACCACCATGCCTGGCTAATTTTTTCTTTTTCTTTTTTTTTCCGTATTTTTAATAGAGACAGGGTTTCATCATGTTGGCCAGGCTGGTCTCAAACTCCTGACCTCAGGTGATATGCCCGCCTCGGCTTCCTAAAGTGTTGGGATTACAGGCGTGAGCCACTGCGCCAAGCCAGATTTAAAATTTTAGATCACTCTAATTGCAGTGTGGGCATAAGAAACAGTAGAGTTAGTGACACTAATTAGAAGACTGTTGCAGTCGTTGGAGAGAGAGGGGTTGATGGCCTGAAACTGTAGAGGCAAAACCATGAGTAGCAATGTTGGCACTCAGGGCAAACAACTCAAAATTGACCTTCAAACAGCTCTGTAATGCAGGATACAGCCAGGTGTGACTGGTAATATGCCTTTTGATAGTTTTCAATTTAACCAAATGGTCTGGATAACCAGGTGTTTTTTTTTTTTAAACAATTATGTTTTAAAGGAAACATGCCCCTTGAGATTATGGAATTCAGGAGCAAAGCACAGTCCACTCCTGTAGTTGGGCTGGGGCAGAGGCAGTGGGAAGGGGGTGGTAATCAGATTTGGGAGATACTTAGGAAGTAGGGTGGACAAGTAAAGCTTTTGGTAGAAAAACATGTTTAGTTAAAGTTGTTTTTGTTTTGTTTGAATTGAATTAGTAATATATGCCATGGTAAAATTCAAACAGCACTAAAGGAATACAATGAAAAGTGTCTCCTTAACCAGAGTCAGCCATTCTTAACAGTTCTTGTGTATTCTAGAGCTTTTTGTGCCACTGTAAGCCTATGTTTAATATTTATTTTTTATAAAAATTGGAACATACTATACACCTTGCTCTTCCCTTTACTAATTCACTTAACATTATATTTTGGCAGTCTTGCTATATCTATTTTTGGTTTGTTTCTAAAGAGACAGGGCCTTGGTCTATTGCTCAGGCTGGATTGCAGTGGTGCAATCATAGCTCACTGTAACCCCAGACTTCCTCCTGCTCCTGCCTCCAAGTAGCTATAACTACAGGAGTGTGCCACCATGCCCATCTAATTTTTAAATTTTTTATAGAGATGGGCTCTCCCTATGTTGCCCAGGCTGGTCTCAAACCCTGGCCTCAAGTGATCCTCCTGCATTGGCCTCCCAGAGCACTGGGATTACAGGTGTGAGCCACCATGTCCTGTCTACTTTGTTCTTTTAATAGTCCATTGTTTGAATGTGTGCTCTCATTATTTATTTAAACTAGTCTCCTTTTTTTTTTTTTTTTTTTTGAGACAGGGTCTCGCTGTATTTCTCAGGCTGGAGTGCAGTGGCGTGATCTCGGCTCACTGCAACCTCTGCCTCCTGAGGTCAAAGTATCCTCCCACTTCAGCCTCCTGATTAGCTGAGACTACAGGTGTGTGCCAACACACCCAGCTAATCTTTGTATTTCTTTTTAGAGTCGGAGTTTCACCCTGTTGCTCAGGCTGGTTTCAAACTCCTGGGCTCAAGCGATCCACCTGTCTCAGCCTCCCAAAGTGCTAGGATTACAGGTGTGAGTCCAGCCAAATTGGTCTCCAAATTGATGTACATTGGGGCTGTTTCTAATTTTTGATATTTGAGTTAGATTTTTTAAAATTAGCTTTTAAATAAGGGAAGAGACACAAAATAATGAAGGAAGAATTCTAGGTGGTGAAAAAGATTTATACATAAATAGGGACCACTAGTGTCTTTGTGTCTGACGGACTACTCTTGACTCGCCTAGGCCATAGGATGAACATATTTATGAGGAGGGAGGTGGGAGAGTAGTGGGTGTTTCTGCAAACCCTTGAGTCTATGTGTAGAATTGGGATGTGACTTAAGAACTGGGCATTTCTAACAGGGTCAGAGTGAAGCTGGCTATAGCCACTTCTTCTCCAATTAAAGATCTTTCAGGGGAGCAGGCTGCCACAGCTGTGAACATTGATCATACTCCGCTCCAGTAAAAATGCCTTCCTGCCCGTGCACAGACGTCACCCTGTTGTATCCTAAATCCACCTGTTGTCATAGTTGTTTCTCTGGGAACCCCAGCCATAGTAAGAAATATGAAGTACTGGCCGGGCGCGGTGGCTTATGCCTGTAATCCCAGAATGTTGGGAGGCCGAGGCAGGTGGATCACAAGGTCAGGAGTTTGAGACCAGCCTGGCCAACTTGGTGAAACGCTGTCTCTACTAAAAATACAAAAATTAGCCGGGCACGGTGGCATGCACCTATAAACCCAGCTACTTGGGAGGCTGAGGCAGGAGAATTGCTGGAACCAGGGAGGTGGAGGTTACAGTGAACTGAGATTGTGCCACTACACTCCAGCCTGGGTGACAGAGTGAGACTCCGTCTAACAAAAAAAAAAAAAAAAAGAGAAAAGAAGTATTTGTGAAAGAAAATGTTTGCTGGCTTGGGTAGAAAGTTGTGTCAGGGAGGAATGAGAAATGGGCCATTTGTTTAAGGCCACCCCCGACTAGCTCTTCCTTTTCTTTTTTTTTTTTTTTTTTTTTTTTGAGACGGAGTTTCATTCTTGTTGCCCAGGCTGGAGTGCAACGGTCTGATCTCGGCTCACAGCAACCACTGCCTCCTGGGTTCAAATGATTCTCCTGCCTCAGCCTCCCGAGTTACAGGCATGCAACACCACGCCCAGATAATTTTTTCTTTTTTTGTATTTTTAGTAGAGATGGGGTTTCTCCATGTTGGTCAGGCTGGTCTCAAGCTCCTGACTTCAGGTGATCCACCTGCCTCAGCCTCCCAAAGTGTTGGGATTACAGGTGTGAGCCACGCGCCCGGCCAGCTCTTCCTTTTCATGTAAGCATGCTCTTAACTTTTCTGCTGGAGTTGGAGAAATTTGTTTTGATGCAGCCATCTGCCAGTTGCATAATCTTGGGTATGTTTCAACATCTCCAAGCTTCAGTTCCCCATCAGTCAAATGGGCATCATAATTCCCACTTGGCACAGTGTTGGGAAGATTTATTGAGCCAATGTATGTGAAAGGGCCTATGTTTCATTTTACTTTTTTGCAAGGCCTTGTCACAATGGAGTTCCTAAGGCAATGTGTAATCCAACCCAAGATAATAGATACCAAAATGTTCTATTCTTTCCTGGGATGTGACTGCCAATGTTAGCCTCCCATACTCTCAGCCTGTGTGCTTTACTGAAACTGTCTCTGAAAGCTCATCACCTTCAGGTAATTCATACAAGATTTTTTTACATTTGTATAGTACTTTATAGCTGTCACAGAGACCTTAGCAACAATCATCTAATTTGAACCCCCTAGCAAACCTTCTGGGGCAAGGCACATTTTATCACCATGTTACATATAACATAAACGAGGCTCAGAGAGAATGATATAAAGAAACTGAGGGCCGGGCACAGTGGCTCACACCTGTAATCCCAGCATTTTGGGAGGCCAAGGTGGGAGGATCACTTGAGGTCAGGAGTTCAAGACCATCCTGGCCAACATGGTGAAACCCCGTCTCTACCAAAAATATGAAAGTTAGTCAGGTGTGGTGGCACACGCATGTAATCCCAGCTACTCATGAGGCTGAGGCATGAGAATTCCTTGAGCCCAGGAGGCGGAGACTGCAGTGAGCTGAGATCGCACCACTGCACTCCAGCCTGGGCGAGAGTGAGACCTTGTCTCAAAAAAAAAAAAAGATCCAGGTGCCATGTCTCATGTCTGTAATCCCAGCACTTTGGGAGGCTGAGATGGGTGGATCACCTGAGGTCAGAAGTTCGAGAGCAGCCTGGCCAACATGGTGAAACCCCGTCTCTAGTAAAAATACAAAAATTAGCCGGGCATGGTGGCAGGTGCCTGTAATCCCAGCTACTCAGGAGGCTGAGGCAGAAAAATCGCTTCAACCTAGGAGGTGGAGGTTGCAGTGAGCCGAGATCGTGCCATTGCACTCTGGCCTGGGCAACGGAGTAAGACTCTTGTCTACAAAAAAAAAAAAAGAAAAAAAAAGAAACTGAAGCTCAAAGAAGACAAATAATAAACAGCAGAGACCAGGAGTAGATTACTTCTAGACTACTTCAAGACTAAAGAGATGAGAGGTACCTTCCCTGACCTCAATCTGCCTAGGTTTAGAATTCTTGAGTCTGTTTCCCCAATCATGTTTTGCATCCTAGTAAAATGCATGCCACTTCTAAAATAATTTTTCTGTTGAAATAATAACATCAGCAGGCCGGGCGCGGTGGGTCACACCTGTAATCTCAGCACTTTGGGAGGCCGAGGTAGGTGGATCACCTGAGGCCAGGAGTTCGAGGCCAGTCTGGACAACATGGCGAAACCCTGTCTCTACTAAAAACACACAAATTAGCTGGGTATGGTGGTGGGTGCCTGTAGTTCCAGCTACTTGGGAGGCTGAGGCAGGATAATCATTTCAGCCTGGGAGGCAGAGGTTGCAGTGAGCTGAGATGGCACCACGGCACTCCAGCCTGGGTGACAGAGTGAGACTCCGTCTCAAAACAGCAACAACAAAAAGAAATAATAACATCAGCAAAATACTTCATCGTTTGTAAAACACCTTAAAATTGATGGATTCATTTGATTCTTACAGTAGCCTCCTGGGTAAGTAGAGCAAACATGAGTTATTCTGTTTTTCAGATGAGGAAATAGATGTGAGAATTGAGACCTGCCCAATGTCAAACAACCAAGGAGCAGAGCTGGAACGGGAAACTGACTTTCTGGGCAGCAACTTCAATGCCTTCTTATAGGTTCATTATTGTTGTTATACTTTTATTATGCTTCTATTGTGCTGTGTAATTTTTTTTTTTTTTGAGATGGAGTCTCGCTGTCGCCCAGGCTGGAGTGCAGTGCCACGATCTCGGCTCACTGCAGGCTCTGTCCCCCGGGGTTTACGCCATTCTCCTGCCTCAGCCTCCCGAGTAGCTGGGACTACAGGTGCCCGCCACCTCTCCCGGCTAATTTTTTGTATTTTTAGTAGAGACAGGGTTTCACCGTGTTAGCCAGGATGGTCTCGATCTCCTGACCTCGTGATCCGCCCACCTCGGGTAATTTTTTTTAAAAATTCAAATTAGTTAACCTCTTGTAGACATTCATTAAAATACATTTGTTGAGCACCTGTGTAAACTGCTCACCATCTAGTTGGGAGAAAGGTAAATAAACAGTTACAAAAACAAAACATACTTTGCAATTTGGAGACTTAATAAATGTTTTTGATGACAGTGTGATGACAGCTTGTACTCCAAAATTAATAATCACAATGAAGGCTGGGCGTGGTGGATCAAGCCTATAATCCCAGCACTTTGGGAGGCTTAGGTAAGCAGATCATGAGGTTAGGAGTTCGAGAACAGCCTGGCCAACATGGTGAAACCCAATCTCTACTAAAAATACAAAAAAATTAGCCAGGTGTGATGGCGCATGCCTGTAATCCCAGCTACTTAGGAGGCTGAGGCAGGAAAATCGCTTGAACCCAGGAGGCGGAGGGTGCAGTGAGCAGAGATCATGCCACTGCACTCCAGCCTGGGCAACAGAGCGAGACTCCATCTCAAACAAACGAACAAAAAACCCGCAATGGACTTTTGTGAAATAAGAGAGAAAGCAGCCACACGTTTATATACCCATGTGCATAAGCTCCCACCACACACCAGTGAAATCATCTGAATTTTACATTTCAATAAGTAACTGGCACCTTCTTGGCATATTAATCTGTAGGAAATTATAGGCTGCAGTGTTGTGGTATATTATCAGAGAATGTCAAGTAGATTACAGTATTATGTTACTTTGACATCACTGCCCGGCATTGCTTTGGTCTTTTCCTTACTAACAGATACATTTACTAGAACTCATTTCAATGTCATGTAAAAAAAGATAATTTATAATAATTTCCATTGTAAACAGAATATTTCTTGCTTGATCATAAAGACTTCACTTACCTTCTGTCCTCTTGCTGTTTGGGGTCATGATTGGTGTCTGCTCACCCTTCTCGGTTCTCCAGAGCAACATGTGACCTGAAGCCAACTTGGAAAGAGAAGAAACAGGTCAAAGAAGAGAGCAAAGATTAAACAGAACAGTGTGTTATAGCACTCGATCTCGAATTAAAAAAAACAAAAGGTAAAACTCCCCTGTGTAGTGAAGAATTGATTTTACCCAAAGAGAGGTCTGGCTTTGGCCCTCGGCTACTGGGAGATGATCTCTAGGCCTCTGGAATGTCCTGCCCAATAGGAATGTCATTGTTTGCCTGAGGAGTTTGGCCACCAGATGCTCAAATGATGTGATTTATAATGGGGGCTCCGAAACACGCCATATCAGTTCCAGCCCCCATAGGGACTGGAGAGCAAAGGTCAGTCATGCAGGCAGCATGTGGTCAAGCTCCAGCAAGGGCTCTGGACACCAAAGACTCGGGCAAGCTTTCCTGGTGGCAGCACTCGCAAGCACTGCCACACCTCGTAGCAGGGAGGGGCAGTGATGTCTGGAACTCCACAGGAGAAGGTGCCCAAAGCTTCCCGTGTAGCTCTTCCCAGACTTTGCCCTCTGTATCTCTTCTCTTGGCTGGTTCTGATTTGTACCCTTTTGCTGCAATAAAAGTTTAACTTATCATAAGTATAGTGCTTTCCTGAGTTCTGTGAGTCATTGTAGCAAATTATCAAACCTGCAGGGGTAGTGGAACCAACCCCTGAACTGGCTACTGGTGTCTGAAGTGAGAGTGGCCTGAAGTGGAGGACTGTTCCTTACCCTGTGAAGTCTGGCCTGAATCCAGGCAGTTGGGGTCAGACATCACTGCATTTCCCAAAGCCTGCTTTTAGATTTTGATTTTGACACTTTTTGACACTTTCTACCTTGGTTACTTCTCTCGATTTCATTTTTTTTTTTTTTTTTTTTTTAAGTACAGATTCTTGCTCTGTCACCCAGGCTGGAGTGCAATGGCACGATCTCAGCTCACTGCAACCTCCGCCTCCCAGGTTCACCTGATTCTCCTGCCTGAGCCTCCCGAGTAGCTGGGGTTATAGGTGCCCGCCACCACGCCCGGCTAATTTTTTTTGTATTTTTAGTAGAGATGGAGTTTCACCATGTTGGCCAGGCTGGTCTCAAACTCCTGACCTCAAGTGATCCACCCGCCTCGGCCTTCCAAAGTGCTGGGATTACAGGCGTGAGCCACCATGCCTGGCCGGCTTCAATTTTTCTAATCCTTAATTTGGGGGTCATACTTGTCCTATTTTCTTCACAGGGTTAATTATGAAGATCAAAAATTAAATAGTGTGTGTGTGAGAGAGCTATTGATGGCAAACAAGAACATGCTATCTAAAACTGTAAAGGACCATCAAAAGGTATTACTTTTATTACAATGGAACTAAATGGTGGGGATAATGTGGTGGAGATGTACATGTGTTAGGTAAGGCTTTCTTCAATCATTCATTACACAAATAAAGATTGAGTTTAGGTGTGGGGAGATAAGTCAGGGCCCCACCCTGTGCGGGCTTCTATTCTACCCAGGGAGAGAGAAAATAAAGAGGCAACTGAGGAGAATAATTAGACTGTGGTCATTGTTGTGATGGAAGCAGAATGATAAGGTAACAATTCTGTTGGAAGGGGTGCCTCTCAAGACAGAGCAGCCAGAGAAGGCTCATAAGAACTGATGTTTGGATAAAGAAGTTAAAAAAGAGAACAAGGGTATTTTAGGCAGAAGGAATAGCAAGGGCAAAGGTCCTGAGGTGGGAAAGAGCTTGGCGTGTGTACAGAACAGAAAAGAGATCTGTGTGTCTGGCCTGGGGATAAGGTTGGAGATATGCATGAGTCAGAAGAAGAAGGACCTTTTTTTTTCCCTTTTTCTTTTTTGAGACAAGCTCTCACTCTGTCGCCCAGACTGGAGTGCAGTGGGACAATCTTGATTCACTGCATCCTTGACCTCCCAGGCTCAAGTGGTCCTCCCACCTCAGCCTCCCAAGTAGCTGGGACTATAGGTATGCATCACCACGCCTGGCTATTTATTTGTATTTTTAGTAGAGATGAGGTTTTGCCATGTTGTGCAGGCTGGTCTCAAATTCCTGGGCTCAAGCTATCTGCCTGCCTCAGCCTTCCAAAGTGCTGGGATTACAGGCATGAGCCACTGTGCTTGGCAGAGAAGGGCCTTATTTGCCAAAGAAAATATTTGGATTTTTAAGAGTGACATGAAATTAGGGTGGTTTTAAGTAGTCAAGTGACATGAACTGCTTTAAGAAGACACTCCAGGCTGGGCGTGGTGGCTCACACCTGTAATCCCAGCACTTTGGGAGGCTGAGGCTGGCAGATCACCTGAAGTCGGAGTTCAAGACCAGCCTGACCAACATGGAGAAACCTCGTCTCTACTAAAAAAAAAAAAATACAAAATTAGCCGGGCATGATGGCACATATACCTGTAATCCCAGCTACTCGGGAGGCTGAGGCAGGAGAATCACTTGAACCTGGGAGGCGGAGGTTGTGATGAGCCGAGATTACACCATGGCCCTCCAGCCTGGACAACAAGAGCGAAACTCTGTCACACACACACACACACACACACACACACACACACACAAACAAAAACAAAAACAAAAACACCCACACACATACAAGAAGACACTCCAGCTGCTGAATGGGGATGAGAGGAGGCAAAGAGACATCACTAGACTATGTAGGGAAGGAGCTGGCAGAGGAGAGATGGAGAAATGGTCATATTCCAGCTATGCTTTAAGGTAGAACCAAAAAGACTTGCTGATGGATTAGATGTTGGGGATGGGAAAGACAAGAGGAAGAAAGGTTTGTCAGCTGCCTCCTCTGAGAAGCAGATACTGAATGAGGAGTGTAAGAGGCCTAAGAGGGAGTACCTATGAGAGGGGACAGGAAGCAGGGTTCAACAAGGAGAGCCTCAGACTGAAATGCAGATAGAATCTTGGGCAACATATTGGGGAACTCCAGAGCAAAGGTGTTTCATTAGAGGGGTTCGCATAGGGCAGAAATGTCCAGGCCCTAAGAACCCCTCCACTCTGCTCAGTCACTGGCCAGAGCCTGCTGAGAGCAGTGTGCCTTGGCTGGAAAACTGAGACAGATCCCTCAGCACTAACAGCTGGAGGCTGACAGCTAACTGTCCTCCTTGCAGCTGAGCAGCAAGTTCTTTCTTGAAGACAAATCCAAGTGGGGCACCTTCATGGCTACCACAGTCTTCCTTTTGTACCATGTGGATCTACTTTCCACACACATTGAGGGGTAGCTCTTCCGGGGTTTCAATGGGCTCTTTTCTTGAAGGGACTTAGTTAAGGGAGGTCAGTGGGTTAACCACAGGCTGTTGCTGCAGTTGGTCTTGCAATAGGTAACATCATTTCCCTCCTCCATTATCCATTCTAAATTCCACTCTCCCTCTCTGCTACAGATGACACCACTGTCATTTCTGCTGGTCTCGATAGCCTACCAGGTGGCGTAGCACAACCCTGATTCCTGAGAGGCTCTGAGTCCCTGATCACGTCACCCTTCACAGGCTGGGCTGCACTTGCCATTCAGGTCACCATTGGGCATGAAAGGTATCATCAAGAGGTGCTCAAGTGGCTGACCTGAGTTTCACACATATTCCTGCCTTATTGTCCAAGAGCAGTTCTAGCTCCTTTTGTTGATCAGGCTCTATATCCCTGCCCCAGGCCCACACAAAGCTGCACCCTCTAGAATACAGGCTGGAGCACTATTCCCAGGCATGGAATATGCTTGCTGCCAGAACCCTCCAGGCATTTTAGTTCCTTCTTTGTGCATGCAAGACGCAGCATTTTGTCTTTTGTTTCAGAGGCAACGTCCTAGTACACCCTTTACCACTGGATTCCAAAAAACTTTATGGGAGGGGCAAGCCCTGGAATCTTCAGAGAGTTTATGTCTCATTTTCTAGAGTGCATGTGTCTTCCCGAGGCTTTCAGGTGTCAGCCACCTCTTGCTATTCTCCCAAATTAGCCTAATGTCATTGATGAATGGAGCATTGTGATATTCTGTGGGAAGTCCAGATGATCTAGATCTTTTCTGAATGTATCATGACATAGATTGGGAGAGTTAACAACAACCCTGGGGGCCGGGGGAATCTAAATGAATATTGTCATCCAGTCCATGTGAATGCTGTTTCTGATTCTCTTTCTTGATCGAGATAAAGAAGAATGCATTTGCCAAATCAATGGCCAAATGTCATGTACTTGAAGCCATATTTATATAATCTAGCAATGACACCACACCCTGCATGATCACTCGGGGCTTGAGCTGAGCTAGGAATCGTCTATGGTTATTTCCCAGGATCCATGTGTTTTCTGCAGGGGCCAGGCTGGTGAATTAAACAGAGGTATGACACAGACCACAATCCTTGCATCCTTGAGGTACTTAAGGGTGGCAATGATCTCTATCTTCCCTCTGGAATGAGATATTATTTTGTATTTGCTATCTTGGCTGGGTGAAGGGGGACGGACACAATTTCAGAGGCTTCCACTGACCTTCCCCACATGATAGCTCTTATATCATAAAGCAGGGGCCCCACATCGGGGCTTCCCCAACTGCTGAATATACCAATCCCAGTTATACACTCAGGGACTGGGGCAATGACCACCAGGTGGAGCCACGGCCCCGGTGGACCCACTTGAAGCTGGACATCAGCCAGAATCCCCATTTTACCTGACCTATAGCCCATCATTGTAACAGGGGCCATAATGACATTTCAGGTCTTTGAATATCAGTGTCATTTCAGGCCCTGTGTCTAGTGGATATTCCTCCTCTCCCAGGTGACAGTCACCCAGGACTGGTGGAATTATTACAGTGCACACTTGCTGTGATGTTGCAGGGACCTTCCTCTCGGGGACTCTGTCACATTTTCCCATTCAATAGATTTCAGGTCTGAAAAATGTCTCAGGTCTAGGAAATGAGAAGGAATCATGACTTTTTTTTTAGTATTCTTAAAACATATATTTTATTTTAAATAGTGATAAAAACATAACATTTTCAGCTGGGTGTGGTGGTGTGCGTTTGTAGTCCCAGCTACTTGGGAGGCTGAAGTGGGAGGATCGCTTGAACCTAGGAGGTCAAGGCTGTAATGAGCCGAGATAGCGCCACTGCACTTCAGCCTGGGCAACAGAGCGAGACCCTGTCCCCAAAAAAGAAAAAAACCACACACAAAACAACATTGATTATCTTAACAATTTGTAAGTGTACAGTTTCATAGTTTTAAGTATATTCACAGTGTTGTGCAGCTGAGCTCTAGAGCTGCTCATCTTGCAACACTGACCCCCCCATACCTATTAAACAACAACTCCAAATTTCTCCCTGCCCCTGGCTCCTGGCAACCACCATTCTACTTTATGTTCCTATGAATCTGACTACTTTAGATACCTCATATAAATAAAATCATACAGTATTTTTGTCTTTTTGTGACTGGCGTGTTTCACTAAGCATAATATCCTCAAGGCTCATCCATGTTGTAGTATGTGACAGGACTTTCTTCCTTTTTAAGGCTGAATAATGTACATTTCCCATTTTATTTATCCTTTCATCCATCAATGGACACTTGAGTTGCTTCCTTTTGGCTGTTGTGAATAACGCTGCTGTGAATATGGGTGTGCAAATATCTCAAGACACTGCTTTCAATACTTTTGAAGTGGGATTGCTGGATCATACGGTAATTCCATTTTTAATTTTTTGGGAACACTCAGACTGTTTTCCACAGCAGCTGCACCATTTTACATTCCCACCAACACTGCACAAGGCTTCCAATTTCTCTACTTCAAGACTTTTTATGGGGGCAACTGTGCTCAGCCTATTCTTGCATTTGTTTGATTTGCCCTTGTTGGCTGTTAATTTTATCCCTAGGGATATCATGTTCTATTAATCAACTTAATTTCCCCTTGACTGGCTTTTTTATTGATTGATTGATTGAGACAAGGTCTCACTCTGTCACAAGGATGGAGTGCAATGGCACCAGCCTAGGAGGCTCACTGCAGCCTCCAACCCCTGGGCTCAAGGGATCCTCCCACCTCAGCCTCCCAAGTAGCTGGAGCTACAGGCACATGCAACTATGCCTGGCTAATTTTTTTTTTTTTTGAGATGGAGTTTTGCTCTGTCGCCCAAGCTGGAGTGCAGTGGCGCGATCTCAGCTCACTGCAAGCTCTGCCTCCCGGGTCACACCATTCTCCTGCCTCAGCCTCCCGAGTAGCTGGGGCTACAGGCGCCCACCACCACGCCCAGCTAATTATTTTTTGTATTTTTAGTAGAGACGGGGTTTCACCATGTTAGCCAGGATGGTCTCGATCTCCTGACCTCGTGATCCGCCCGCCTCGGCCTCCCAAAGTGCTGGGATTTATAGGCGTGAGCCACCGCGCCTGGCCGTGCCTGGCTAATTTCTAATTTTTTTTTTGTAGAGACAGGTCTTACTATGTTGCCCAGGTTGGTCACAAATCCCTGGCCTCAGGTGATCCTCCCACCTTGCACCAGGATTACAGGCATGAACCGTACCTGGTCTTGACTGGCTCTTTGACTTTGCTGGTCATTGAGAGAACTGTGACCTCCTGGCTTCTATTGTTGCCACCTGGCCTTTATTGCTTGGCATTGGGGAGGGGGTCGGTTATTTCCATTGCTATCAATAATCCCAGCTTTGTTATGACCTCTCCTACCTTCATCCCTGGCCCACTGTCTGTCTAGCTCCCATTTTGTTTATTGATGCTGGTGCCCCCCTCACCAATGCTGTGGTAAAGGATGTGTGTCTTCCATGGAACATAATCCCACGGTGAGTCTTTAGACCTCAAATAATACATTCCAACATGTCTACTTTCCTAAACTTTTAAATTTCTTCCTCCACTGCTGATGTGGAGGAAGCATTGAAATTCAAGCATTTCAACTGGGCTGCGTGGGTCATTACTTTTTCAAGGCTTGTAGGAGCACAATAATATTCATATATCTGAACTATTTCGTGGGGTCCTTGCTGGAGTGTAAATCCTGTATCCCAAGAAAGTGCCCCTAAATTAATAAACTTTCTTATCCAGGTTTCTATTCTGATATTCTCAAAACTCTAGGTCCGGCTGGGCACAGTGGCTCACGTCTGGAATCCTAACACTTTGGGAGGCGGAGGCGGGTGGATCACTCGAGGTCAGGAGTTCGAGACCAGTCTGGCCAACATGGTGAAACCCCGTCTCTACTAAAATTACAAAAAATTAGCCGGGCGTGGTGGCAGGTGCCTGTAATCCCAGCTACTAGGGAGGCTGGGGCAGGAGAATCGCTTGAACCCAGGAGGCGGAGGTTGCAGTGAGCCGAGATCGTGCCACGTGCTCCAGCCTGGGGGACAGAGCAAGACTCCATATCAAAAAACAAACAAACAAACAAAAACAAAAAAAAATTCTAGGTCCATGGGAACCTCCCCCGCTCCTGTGGGTACATGCTTGGTTTAGTTCCTTTCTTCCTTGTAAGGCCCAGCACATTCTTGGCTCTGAATTACGTGGTGACTTATGTCCAGTTATTCTGGTAGCCAGAAGAGGAGATGGGGCTGATCTGGTGGGGCACTCCTGTTATGTTTCAGGGAGAGATCTCTGCATTGCCTTTCCTGGGCAGCAGGTGGTGCTAGCTCTTAATAGAGAGGGGTGGGTCCTCTTAGCAGGGTATGTGGGGTCAGAGGAATCTGGGAACCAAAATCTTCAGGGATCTCCACCATCCAAGGTACCAGATGTCCCCATTCTGCGTGTTGGAATCCCAGCCCAGGTATTCTCAGCCACGGCCTTGATCTTGATGGGGCAGATCTACCTTGGCTGAGGGTTCTAGCCACCTGCCTCAGCCTCAGTGGGGTGTTAGTTTTTGAAGCTCCTGGTTGCTATCAATTTCTGAGTTCTGTCTATCTTTTATGGCTCTTCTGTTGCAGGCGATCTCTTTGCTACCAAAGAAGCCCCTGGCCCTCACACTTAGTTTCAGTTGTTTGCTAAGTGCCTTTCCTTATCTTTCTGTACGATACCAGTGCAGCTGAGTAACAGCCAATTCCTTTGTCATTGTGTGCTTTGTTCTCCTGTGCATTTTTGGTGTGTTTTAATTTTAATGTTAAAAATGGACACACTGTTATTGCCCATCCTTATGGGGTACAATTTATCTCTGTACTTTTCAAAAGCCTGAATTGTTTCACTGACCAGGTGGTCCCTGCCATCAGCACATTCTCCTAAATTACCAATGGTGAAAGTTTTTCTTGCTGGAGACTGTTCTGGTCTCTTATTTTTCTGTCAAATTCTGCTTGCAAACTGAAAAGTTTCTTTTTTAGTTCCTCTTTCCTGCAATACCTTACCAATCACAGCTAAGAAAAGCCTGTTGCTACTTTTAACATTCTGCCTGGAAGTCTCTTTAGCTACCTCCAACAAATTTATTAGGTATATTTTCTAGCTCCCAAGATACCACAGGTGACAGTTTTGTGAATGATTCCACCGCCATATAACACGGGTGGTCTTTCTCCCGTCTCTGAGAGCAGTTTTCTCCCTGCTCATCCAGACTCTGTAAGTCTCCTTGCTGCCCTTCTAGGCTGTCTGCTGCTGGGTCCCAAGATCAATGCCACTTGTTTCAGGTTTTAGTTAGGGCAGCATCCCACTTCCAAGAAACAATCTTTGTTTTAGTATCTATTGCTGAGTAACAAACCACCCCAAAACCTAGTGACTTAAGACAGCAATGGTTTGTTAGTTTCTCACACTTCTGGGGGCTGGCCGAGCGGCTGGTCTCTGGTCTTGCTTGTGTGCTGCTCCAGCTGTGTCTGACTGGAGGCTTGGATGCTGGGACAGAGCCATGTGGTTTCATGGTCTCATAGCAAGGATGCTCGCCCAGGCTTCTTAGAAGCACCTGAATTTTAAGAGAGTAAAGGAGTGGAAACTACAAGGCCCTTTAAGGCCTAGGCGCTGGAACGTACACAGCACATGTTCTTTGTTCTATTGGGCAAAACAAGTCACTGGCAAACCCAGATTCAAGCAGCAGTTGGAGAGAAAGCAATACCTCTCAAAAGGGAGGAACAGCAAACTCATATTGCAAAGGAGCCTGGAGTGGGGCTGGTTCACTGAGGATCATTATTTAGTCATTTATTACATTTATAGTACATTTAAGATGCATGTTAGATACCCAGGTAAAGATGTCAAGTTGACACTTAGCTCTAAGTGCCAGAGAGGGAAATTTAGGCTGGAGAAATAAATTTGGGACAACACATCAACATACAGATTTGGTGTGTCTCGGAATCATCCTGCCCTTAGGGTTGCCGGCTGCTGTATAAGTCTGGACTGTGCATGAATTGCGGTACAAGCGGAGTGCGGCCCTCTGCAGCCAGAGCTGGGTGGAGGCTGGGGCAAGAGGAACATTGTGTTTTTGAGTCCACTTCCCTATTTGTGCACAGAGTATTCCACTAGTGTTCTCTTCCCTGCCTCCCCCACTTGATAGAGCCAAAAACATTAGGGATGGTATTAGGACAACTGACCTGCATGCCAAGGACATAGGACAGGAGACTATGCCACTGCCTTGTTTTGCCACTTCAAATCAGGAACCTTAGGAGAAAGGGGCTGTTTGCTGTCATGGCTTTAATATCTGGAGGAAGGGAAAGAAAGAACGGACATGAGCCTACTATTTCTGAAAGAAAGGGGTGATTTCTGAGCCATCCCAAACCAGCAGGAAGGACAGGGGTGATAACCCCAACTTGTTCACAGCAGGAAGCAAAGAGGAGAAGGGATTTGGTGTCGGAGACCATGACAAAGGTCAAGAGTTCTAGTGCTACTTGCCTTTCTATGAGTTACTTTTCCTCATATTAAGTCCTTATGAAAGCCGCCTTATGTCCATGGTTTCTGTAGCTGCACCAGCCTCTACACTTCTGATAGTTCAGGAGGAGTTGGGAATCTGTATTCTCCAATTGCTCCCCAACCTTAATGCACTTAACAAGTGTGTTCTCCACACTTTTTAACCCTCCAAAACCCCGTTTTTAAACTGGTCCTGCTAATTTTTGCATTCTCCCCATCCTTGCTTCCAACCCCAGGGTTGGGGTGAGGTTGGGGTGGGCCATGTACAAGACTTTCTGGCTCTATCTCTCATTTCCTGAGCAGAGCTGGGCTGCACTAATTGACCTCGAGGGTCTCAGCTGTTCTAAGTGGGGTGTTTGTTAGCTCTTGTTAGGCTTGTAATTAGTGCAAGGAATCTAGGTCAGAGGCAACGGGTTGGAGTGATGGTCTCCTGGGGCACGACTAAAGGTGGGGAATAGCAAACAGCCTCCTCATTCTGTGGGTGGGACTTGTGTCACACAGAGACAAATAGACACAGGGTCACATGCAGAAAGGCGGTCAAACTCTGCTGTGTGTGCATGAGTATGTGCATGAGTATGAGTGTGTGTGTGTGTTCGCTCCTGCATTTACTCGGGTTTCTTTCCAACCTCTCCATATATGGCGTGGCTCTAGAGCAGGCTGGGGATTGGCTGCTCCTGTTGGGAGACAGGGAGGTAGTAAGAAAGCAGAAAGAGAAAGGAACCCAGCGTAGAGAAGGGAGTGACGAAGTGGGGGGTGGGGGCAGTAGCTGAGCTTGAGGGTTGCAGAAGTGGGCTGGGACTGCTTGCCTGTGAGGTTTAGATAGAAGAGAGATTCTTAGAGACTCATTTCCTGGGAGAATGAGGCAAATTTATTACTGGCAGAGGGGTTGGGAGAGCGGCTGGGGAAGGAGGCGAGAGCTGTTTCCCCAGGGACAGAGCTCTAGGCTCAGAACCGCATAGTATGTGAGGACCAGGGCAGGAGTTAGAGAAATTTGCACCTTTCTTTTCTCCCTGGTAAACCTATGCTGTGGAGATAGAAGGAAATCAACTCATCAGCGTTCCAGGCCAACACCCCAGACATTCTTCCTAATGGAGGGAGCCGGGACTGCAGTTCCTTTATCCCTCCTCAGGCCCCTGGCTAACAACCTGATGGGGAAGGACAGGAAAAGTTGAGGAAAGTGTCACTGAAATGAGAATTAAGATTTCGTTCTTTACCTGCCTCTACCCCTCACCCCCTCTCAACTCTGTGTCCTGGGTTCCACCCCTTACCCCGTCTCCCCATCCTAGGGCCTCCGGAGGGCACTTCCCTTTGCTTCATCTGTGTAAGAAAAGAAGGGAGCAGAGCGGTTGGGAGTGGAAAGGGAGGGAGAATAAGTGCACCCTGAAAGTGTCTGGGGGCAGCTGTGTGCTGAGAAAGTTGCCCCACACAGCTACTGAGCCAGCCCATTTGCCACGCATCACAGTTACCGGGGGCACGGAAGGGAAATATTGCAGGCAGAGGGGCTAAAATGATGAAGTGAGGGAGGAGAAGCACTGGGAGGAAGGGAAATGAACGTAAGCACCTTCCCATCCTCCTGTCACAGTGCCCAGGTTCAATACAAATGCTTCAACAGAACTCATGCCAGCAGCCTACCACAAGGGTGCACCTTAAGCGATTTTTCTAGTGGGAAGCCTGGTTCCATGCTAAGCTCTAAAGTTCTTGAAGACCAGGGACCATGCTTTCATCCCTTCTGGCTCTCTCCTCTGAAGAGAGAGGTCCAGCACAGCCTGTGGCCTGGATCTAGCTAAGTGACAGTGACCCCACCCCGGTGGCCTCATTCACACAGTGCTCCTTCCAACTGAGCTAGCGGCTCACTGCCCAGAGTCAAACCAGTAACAGTAGCTGCAGTGGTCACTTTCTGACTGACAGGCATTTTCCATATTGTCCTCACCCATCCAATAGCTCTGCAGCTTGCAGATGAAAAAAACTGATACTCGGAAAGCATGTGCCTTGCCCAGAGCCTCATAATCAAGAAGTAACAGAGTTAGAATTTGAATCCAGATCCATCTGGTTTCAAAGCTGGGCTCATTTCACCACCCTAGGGCCTGGATGTTCCAGTAACTGCTGGAGAACTGGAAGCTGTTGGTTTTAGAGCCTGAAGCCCAGGAGCACAGTGCCCAGCTCCTCTCTTACTGTTGTGAGGTCCCCGATCTTTCTTTTCTGCTTCTTTCACCTGTCATTCTCCTCTCTAGTGTCTCCCTCCATCTTCTGGCTCCCCTGGGAGCCACAGATAATTGACATGTTGGGATACACATGTCATTTGTGCTTTTGTCTTTTTTCATTATGTGGGAGCAACAAGGAAGAAAAAAAGAAAAGGAAAAATGCTGGTAAAATACAAAGATAGAGACTTGTAAAAAGAAAGCATAATTCTACCTTAGACTTCAATACTTGTGACAATGGATGGCTCTGCTGACCATGCTTAGGGCTGTGGAGAGTGCAGCTATTTGAAGGACAGGAAGTCTGGAAGCCTGGGTTCTCACCTCATACCCCAAGAGACCATAGAATGACATGAAGGTGGCACTCTTGCACACTTTCCCTCACTCAACTGGGATACACATTCTTCAAGGAAGAGGCTAGGTAACTACAGTCTAGAGCTGGGGACAATCTCCATGACAGAGTGGCAAGGGACTAGAGAGAGCAAGAATTCCTCTGCCCTAGGGATGGTTTAACAGCAGTGATAAGGTCCAGAGAAGAGCTGTGAAGGAAAGAGATGATTTCTGGAAAGGGGACAGAGGCCCCCATTTTGCTTACATGGGTTGTAGGAGTGACGTTAGAGCAGAAGAATGCGGACTGAAGAATCTGTTTCTCCCACAGGTTTTTCCCCCGCTTCCTCCTATCCCATCTTCCTATAACATCGGGGCAGCGTCATGGCCAGGTCTACATGTAACTTGGCCCCGTTTCCTCCCCCTCCTCCCCTTACCTCTAGTGAAGCCCCGCTGCTCTTGGAGGATCAAGCAGCTAGCAAGGCACACTTCAATGTGGCTTTTAACCCCTCATTTACTTGATTCATGAGACTCTGTCCCCTTCTTTCCCAAAATCAAATTATTCCCTTCATAGCTCTTCTGGGGACCTCACCGTTACTAAACCTCATCTCACACACTTCCAAGGAAAGAGTGAACAGTGAGTTGTGTGGGACCTACCACAGACAAGAATGTTGGGAAGCCTGGCAACTTCAGAGGTGGCTGGGAGGGTGGTGGCGTGGGCATCCAGATGCTTTTCTAAAGTGGGGACTTGCTTAGTGATGGAAGAGGTTTGAGGAAGGAGAGGGGGAGGCTACAGGAAACCTCAGCATGGCTGAAAGAGGAACTTGGACAGATGTTTGGTTTTCCCCTTCATCCTACCCAGCTTGCATCACACACCAGTTTCATTCTTAGTTCAGTTCTTCTGTGGGGTCTGTCTCTAGTTCCCCTGTGCTAGGGCCCTGAATCAAATAATGAAACTAGTCTCATCCACTCAAGGTTGGATTTTTTTTTTTTTTTTGAGACGGAGTTTCGCTCTTGTTGCCCAGGCTGGAGTGCAATGGCACAATCTTGGCTTGCTGCAACCTCTGCCTCCCAGGTTCAAGTGATTCTCCTGCCTCAGCCTCCCGCATAGCTGGGATTACAGGCGCCCACCACCATGCCTGGCTAATTTTTTGTATTTTCGGTAGAGACTGGGTTTCATCATGTCGGTCAGGCTGGTCTCAAACTTCTGACCTCAGGTGATCCACCCGCCTTGGCCTCCCAAAGTGCTGGGATTACAGGCGTGAGCCACTGCGCCCGACAAGGGTGGATCTTTGAGTCAAGGTTGGGAAGGGTGTGGAAGATGAAGGGAAGAAACACCTCATGTAAGAAAATCCAGGCAGCTCGATCTCAATGAGAGACTGCTAGGAATGAGAAGCCAGTGTCTGGCTGGGGAGATTTTAATTCCACAAATCCTCCTCAGGGCTGGGATAAATTTCACTTCCATGTGCACGGACAGGTGACACTGGCCTCCACATCCCTACAACTAGAGTTGGGCAGCTGAAACTTCACCCTCAAACTGAAGGCCTGGGGTGGGACATAACAGAAAACATCCTCATCCCCCTCCCGCTCTAAGCTTAGAAGCCCACTGTATCCTTGGGAGCAGCAGTGGACTCCCTGTGCCGTCTTGGGGGCGGGCGGTGTGTGGAGTGGTCAGACTGTGTCTTTACCGTGCCTTCTCTCTCTCTGGCTGGGTAAAAACTTCCTGCTACTGCTGCGGGGTCACTTCCTCAAACCTGAGGGGCATACGAGGGGCATATGGAAAGTAGGTGGGGCAATAAGGGTTGTAGTGGGGTCAGGCATCAGCAAGAGCAATGAGTTCATTTTTGTTTTCTTTTTTTGATTGAGGTAAATAAAAAAGCTTTATCCAGCAACACGGAGATAAGAGTCTGTCCAACCCGACAAGTTCCAGACCCCACCCTGCCCTCACATCAGGCTCTTCCGGTACTGACTGTGCGGGGTGGTCTGTCTGAGGTGGGAGTCCGGGGTCTGCAGGTCCATCTGTCTGTACAGGTCTCTCAGCTCCCTGACCTCCTGCAGCACCCTCTTTGCCTGGCTCCAATTCGATGATGCCTCTCCCAGCAGCCGTTCCGTCTCCAGCAGCAGCTGCTCTGACTCAGAATCCGGCGGAGACCGAGGGGGGTCCTTGGCCTTTCGCTTCCCATCTCCCAGTCCCTGAACCTCTGCCAGAAGCTCCTGAGTCTCCTCCAGTTTCCTTGCTACCAGGTCCTGGATCCGGGACAGCTGCCCCGGGTTGGGGAGGGCAGGGGTTGGGGGTTCCTCAGCCCGCAGCTGGAGGGTGCGGGCAGAGGCAGCATCCCGCTGAGATAGGATCTCCTCCAGGGAGGCGCAGCGGCCTTTCTCTGTGGGCGTCAACTTCTTGGGTGCCTGGGGGGTGTAGGTGGCCCCTTTGTCTGTTTTTTCCCAAGGTCGGGAGAGACTGCTTGCCCGGTCTGCGGAGGGCTGGATGCGGTCTGAGTCCGCTCTCCGCCGGCTCCCTGCCAGCTGGGCCACAGACTTGTCCAGGTCAACCCGAAAGCTCTCAGCACAAGAGGTTGGTTCCTCAGGGGAAGGGTCTTCCTCTTGGATCAAGTCCAAGGTCAGCATCCCATCCGAGGTAGAGGTGGAAGCCTGTGGAGGAAGGGGGGAATGAGTGGGGAACCTGTCATCAGGAGGGATTTTCGGAATGACTGCCTAAAAGATGCAAGCTGTGGTCATTTTCCTCTACAAGCCTTCCTTGAATGAGAAGTACTTTTTTTTAGAGACAGAGTCTTGCTCTGTCACCCAGGCTGGAGTGCAGTGGCACGATTTGAGCTCACTGCAAGCTCCGCCTCCCGGGTTCACGCCATTCTCCTGCCTCAGCCTCCCGAGTAGCTGGGATTACATGCGTGCACCACCACGCCCAGCTCTTTTTTTTTGTATTTTTAGCAGAGGCAGGGTTTCACCATGTTGGCCATGGCTGGTCTCAAACTCCTGACCTCAAGTGATACACCGTCTCAGCCTCCCAAAGTACTGGGATTACAGGTGTGAGCCCCCCTGCCTGGCAAAGCCCTCTGCTCTTGACTGAACCCTCCTACTGAATGTGCTGTTTCTTATTCCTTTGATAGTGACTTGAATGTTTCTTCTTCTGTGATTTAGTTTGTTACTTGTTTCCTGTATTCTCCACTCTACCATAAGCTTCCTGAGGGGCGCCCTCTTCCTTGGTATTGTGGACTCTCAGCAATTAAACTGCATCTGATGCACACAGGATGCTCCCCATGGCACGACTGTCCTCCTCCATCTGCATCCTCTGAGTCCCACACTTCAGCCCCCTTGCCTTATAATAAAATTTGTTCTCTTATTTCCAGAATACTAAAAATGATGAGTATTCAATACCAAATATGTTGTTTTAGTCATTCCTCACAGCAGCCCTTCAAGGCAGGCATGATTACTGCCTCATTTTACAGTTGGAGACATGCAACTTCAGGGAACCACACAGGTAGCTGATTACAGTGAGGTTCCAACTCAGGTTCTAACTCCAAAGCCTGTGTTCTCTGCATTATACCTGCCTGCCTCTCTCTCTGAAGACTTAAGAGCTCAGAGGCATGAAAGAAACTAGCACGTTGTATGTTTCAGGAGTTCATTGTGATCCTTTCTCCTCCAAACACCCGCGGTACTACATGTTGTTACCCATCAAGACAGCCACCATACAGTAGCTAATTTTTCATTTTCCTGTGGGTATAACTCATTTTCTCCGAAAGAGGGTAACATTACTGGGAGCTGGGACTTTTGAACTCCTAATGGGCGCTGAATAAAACCTTTTGATTTAGATCTGGCAGAGGCATTGGGTGGAAGGACTTCCCTCGCCTTTGATCTTGGCATCAAGGAGGCCTCCCGCAAATGCCTCTGGTGGCATACAGTTCTGTCTGAGATGGACTGACACAGAATTGGCCCTTTGGCAATGTTTATTACAGTCTTACATACCACAGCCATTAGGTGTCCCCTTGTTGGGGGGCGGCGGGAGTGCTGGATTTTTGCCCTGTCTCGAGTGGGATGGGCAAGATAGCTGTCCTCCTCAACGGTGACCTGAAGAGATGTACTGTGAATCATGAGTGCTCTTCAGCGACTCGCTGTCCCAACCCAGCATCCCGAGGCCTGAACATGTGCCCACTCCATTCACTGCTTCTGAATGGGCAAGGGGATTTACTGGACACGAAGGGGGCTCTTTAAGCTGACCCAAGGCTGGCTCCCCCATCATGAAGCGGGGAAGAGGAGGTGTCAGATGAGACTTGGAGAGAAGGTAGAAAGAGATCAGGGCTTTTAAAAGGGTGGTAAAGAAGTAGAGCTGGTGGAGGAGCGAGTAAACGGGGCCTGCACAATCCTCCCCCTTCAGTGGGTCACAGCTGTTCCCTCTGCCCCAGCGTTCCTCCCTCTCCCCACAGTGAGCCCCCTGACCTCATCCAAGATACGGTTCTTGGCTCGGGTGATGGCAGAGTTGAGGGCATTGATCCACGATTCCTTCTCTTCTGGACTCACTGCCAGGAAGATCAGGTTGGGTGCCTGTGAGGGGAAGATTCCTGTTTCAGCCAGGGTTTTAGAGGTGGTGCCTCACCTTGACAATGAAGAAATAAGAGATTATAATCTCACTTTCTTAGACCTAGCTCCAGGAAGGAGAGATATTCTGCTTCCAGAGTCATCCATAACTTAAGGAAACCCAGCTTCTATTCCTGCAAAATGCATAGCTAGGAGGTTGTTTTAGAAATGACCAAGGAGGAGCTAAGAAGGATACTGAATATTAGTATGGTATTAGAGATAATTAGAGGAAGTCTGATGAAGGATAGGTATTAAAATACAAATCTTTCAATGTTTGAAGAAATAGAATGTGACAGGAATAACTTCCCTGGGTTCCCTCAGACAAGATGAATTAGATTCAGAACTTCAACCACCTATCAGGGTACAAGGACAGGGATTTTCTTCTAAGGGATGTAAATATGCACATGTGTGGATGTGTGTGTATAAGACAGAGAAAAATAAAGAGATATATAGAGAGATGATCTTTGTGGCTGAACAGGTTAAAGGGTGGCCTGCCTGGAAAGAAGGAAATGGCTACAATATTCTCAGGTGAAATGATAAAAGCCAGCAGGAGAGCAATTCAGGGAATCTGAACCAAGATTGCTGAGAGAGAAACTGAGGGGAAGGAGTTCTCCCCTGCCCCCTCCAACCCTGTCCATGTTCCAGCAGCCAAGGTGGCAGGAGAAACATACCGTGTTACCGGGCTGTTTGGAGTGGGCAAGAGTAAACTTGCTATGATTTTTCTTGCTCCTGCTCTTGGACTTCCGGAGCTCTTCACACTTCTCATAGTCACTCAGGTCAAATACCTCTTGAATATTTTTCTCATCTTTTACCTAGGGGAGGGTTGGGGTGAGGTGAGGAGGATAAAATTATTTAGCCCCTCCACCCAGACTGTTAGTTTAGATCATCTTGGGAAACAGAGGAAGCCTGAGGAGAGGGAGGCACGCCAGGAGAGGAGAGGGCCGTCTGCCCAAAGCCTACAAGGTCCTCACATCGAGGAGGACGCTAGGGCAGCTCCAAGTCTTGAATGTTAAGGTGTGTTTCTGTTTAAACCCCTTCTCTTCACTCTCCTTAGCCAGGCTGCCATTTCCAGAGTCCCACTATGCCTCTCTTCACCAACCGCCCCACTCTTTTCCTTAAGGACACAGCTTACATGTTCTAAAAAGGCTCACGTCCTTAAAGGGACATGGTAGATGGTTGATCCATTGCCCTCAGTAAGACAGACCTGTATGGCCCTTGATGGTCCACAGAAAGAAGATCAAGGCAGGGCCAGTTATCGGGGTGTCTGGAGGGAACGAGGGGCGGTCTCTGGCCTCCCCACTCACATGTGTGCAGTATAGCTCTCCCACCCCACCTCGCTTCCTTCTCTGGTATGTACAATTATAGAGACTC
Organism: Homo sapiens; assembly: GCF_000001405.40. Lineage (NCBI taxonomy): Eukaryota > Metazoa > Chordata > Mammalia > Primates > Hominidae > Homo > Homo sapiens. Next base: position 150,155,506 of record NC_000001.11, on the reverse strand, counting down.
ATCTTCCTTGTTCATTTCAGGAGCATCGCCACCACAGGACGGCAGCCCCGTGTTCAGTTTGCTGAATTTGTCCAGAGAAGCTGAAAACTACAATTACAGTTCCTACCCTTTCCTCCTCCCTCTAAGGTACTGTGACAATCCAAACTAACTCCTCCAGACCCCCTATCTCTAGGCAAGAATGCACTTAGACTCTCCCTGGGAGACTACACTTTAGACTTGGAAAAAAGTGACTTCTGTGACTTCTTGCCATTATTCCAGTTTGAGTGCCTGGGCCCCCTTTACTGCCAGGAAGCTCTTCCTCCTATCTAAACTTAGCCCTCCCTGCTATAGTCTCCGTCCCGCACTCTGGTTCCACCTTTAGCAGGTTTTAAGCAACATTTAGCTCTTAGCACTCCTGCTGAACGTCTCATCGAGGCCGCATTCCTAGTGACATTCTCCAACCCCAACTAGCCTTTTCTGAGCACTGCAAAGCAGCTCTAGGAACATTTCTTCGCAGGTTCATCTGAAACTGACCACAATGTTTTCTCTTTTCCCCTAAGGTGGTGTTCCTACAACTCTGGGACTCTGAAGCAGTGGCTTATGGATTTGTTTTGGCTAGCAAGGACCAAAGTTACAGAGAGGAGACTTAGTTACAAGTCCAGACCGTGCAGTCTGTCCACCCTCCGTGGCTTGAGCCCAGGGTTGGAACACCTCAGGAAAAACCTGGTCACGTTTTCCTGGAATGAGAATTAAAAGCACCAGCACTTGTCTCATTAAAACTAAACAAACAGATAAAAGTAGCCTCACGTCTTCCTTGGATGACATCTACCCACCCTGACTGAAATTATTTTCCAAAACAGTCCCCAACTTCCCAAGTTCTGAAATAGGACTCGTGTGCATGGAGGTGAACTCATCTATCCTCCTGGTTCCTGGAAACCTGGAAGTGGGGAAGTGGTTCTCCCTTCCATTACCCAGACCATCTACAGTCTTGTATCTGCCCATCCTTCTGAACTGCTGCTGGACCTGGAGGCTGATGACAGATGAGGACAGATGTCAACATGGCCCCATTCAGGTGAGTGACGCCTCATACATCTACCTCCATTTGTTTCAGCAAGGCTTGGCTCCTCCAGGGCCTCCCACTTTCCAGGGTTCCCTGGCTTTGGGCTGGAAAGTGGCCAGAGGCCTTGAATGATTACGGGTGGAAGTAGGACAAGGTGCTGGCAAGGGGTGTCCAAGAGCAATTCCCAGAAACACGGGACAGGGATACAAGATGATGCATCATCCCTCCTCTCCCCCTCCTTCTCCAGAGCTGAGACTATCAGCAGAGCCCAGAAACCGTGGAGAGGAAAGTGTTGGGTGTGTGAATGTAGCCAGGGGAAGAGAGTTAACTTACTATGTTTTCCTTAGGGGAAGGGAAGGAAAGGGAGTTATTCTACCTTGCATACAGACTGATTAGGAGCTCTGGGGAGCAGGAGACACTGATAGAGGTTAGCCCTTGGTGGAGAGGGTGGGAGATGGGGTGAGGCAAGCAGTAGGACAAGTATATTCCAGTGCCTGGGAAGATGGACAAAGCCAAGCAGCCTTGTTCTCCACCATATTGTTTTTTTTTTCCCCACATATCTAATTCCCAGAGTCTCATTTATAACTACCCATCTTCCAAATTAACCCTTCCTTTCCCCTGATTCTTCGTCCTTGACTATAGAAAGGGATTTTTCCCACGCCTGTCCAAAGAGTTGCCCCGAATCCAATTTCCTCCACCATGAGGTCTTCCTAAGGTCTAGCTTCTGTTCTTACACATCAGCCTGTGATCATAAGGTGCTCCAGCCCTCTTTGAGAGAGGATGCCCTTTGAGAAGGAAGAAAATGATTACTATCGAACACAGAAGAAATTCTACGGCAGAGGTGGTTGTGGGAGACCCTGCCTTTAAGAGAGGAAATAACAAAAGAGACTGGTGAAAATTCTGGGAGATAGGGTTAGAAATTTTCTTGCATTAACAGTAAATGATATAGATTATACTCTGCCTTAAAAAAAAAAATCTTGGTCAGGGACTGTGGCTCACGCCTATAATCCCAGAATTTCAGGAGGTTGAGGCAGGAGGATCACTTGAAGCCAGGAATTTGAGACCAGCCTGGGAAACATAGTGAGACCCCATGTCTACAAAAAATAAAAAAAATTAGCTGGGTGTGGTGGTGCATGCCTGTAGTCCCAGCTACTCCGGAGGCTGAGGTGGGAGGATTGCTTAAGCCCGGGAGGTCAAGGCAGCAGTGAGCTACGATTGTGACACTGCACTCCAGCGTGGGCGACAGAGTGAGACCCTGTCTCTAAAAAACAAAACAAAACAGAACACCGTGTCTTGATTCTATTGGCCCTGGAGCTTTTCACAAGTGGGCAAAATAAAGCCCAGAGTACTCTGTCAATTTCACTTTTTAACCAGGCCCACTGTAGCATTGAAACTGGCTCTAAAAAAGCACAGTATCAATATGCCTAGTCCCTCTTTCCTGTGCCCTTCCCAGCAGGAGACAGCTGGCTCCATGACCAGTCAGATGGTCCTGACTCATAGGACACCAGATATCCTAGGCTGAGGTCATTCCATCCTTTCCTCTGTCTCTGTACCTAAAAGCAAGGATCAACTACGCTTTTGCCCCCAGACTCTGCTCTTTGGGCAAATACAAACAAGCAATGGATGTCTTATTCCTCTTACCCTTTCACTATTATGTTTTTCTCTTTGATGTGTAGGAAGTTCTCCCTGATTCGTAACTAGAGTTTCCTGCAATTAAGAAGTTCGGGGAAGACAGGAGATACACTTTGACACTTGTTTTTTTTTTTTTTTTTTTTTTTTAATTTAGAAAGCCAGAAAATTGTGGAGAAAACTTTCTGGAGGATTTGTGATTGGGCAGAGGTAACTCTTAAAAATAAATCCTCCTGGCCAGGCACGGTTGGCTCACACCTGTAATCCCAGCACTTTGGGAGGCTGAGGCGGGTGGTTCACTTGAGGCCAGGAGTTTTGAGAGCAGCCTGGTCAACAACGCGAAACACTGTCTCTACAAAAAATACAAAAACTAGCCAGACATGGTGGCACCCACCTGTAGTCCCAGCTACTCCAAGGATGAGGTGGGAGGATCACTTGAGCCTGGGAGGTGGAAGCTGAAGTGAGCTGTGATTGAGCCACTGCATTCCTGCCTGGATGACAGACCAAGAAAAGTGCCCTCACCTCACTCCTAAGACTTTCCATCACCAACTTGCTAGTTTTGTGTAAACAGCTAGGTTTCAATACCCTTAAGAGGGATCTCTTTGGCTGTGGCACAGCTTAGTTCTTCCCTAGATGCCTCAGTAGATGTTCTTTTAGATGAGTACTTTGTCTCAGGGTGTGTGTGTGTATGTTTCAATACCATAAAAGGTTTTATTTACCTAAATATAATCTACTGAATAAGGATGTCTACTGCAGAAAGCAGAAGAGGTTAGAACTCAGGGAGGACTTCCCAGTTAGCCCTGGGTGAGGGAACACAGAATACCTCCCGTGAGGGCGGGAGGAAGGGCCACTCTAACCGGTACACAGGACAGTCTTCCAGGCTATACTGACTGCCTTTGGACAGTCACAGAGGCAGGGAATGGAATGACTTCTAACCACTGTAGGGGCAATTCTGATTTCTCCACATTAGTACACGTTATTGATCCCAAGACTTAGGGAAAAAAGGGAGATGGGTCTGGATTCAATTATCATAGCTCAGGTCTTGACACAGTGTAGACTGTGGTTTTCATGGTTAACTACACAGCCAAAGCTATCCAAAGACATACAGGGGTTCTTAACTCCATTTCTCTCCCTTCTGATACAAATGGAGGGGTGGGCAGGAAGTGGGTAGAAAATGGGTTCCTTGCCTTTTTTAAATGGGGTGGGGGTGGGGAACAGAGAGCATACTGGTTAGGGACACTGGCTTCAACGAAAATAACTGCCACTCACACACCCGAGGTCACAGGGGCCTGACGGCGGGGTGCGTGTTTTCTGTGATTCAGGGCGGATGCGCCACGGACAGGACCTGTGCACGCTCCTGCCACAGACAGGAAAGGGGAGGCTGGCTGGGTTAAGGTGGGGGGACAGGAAGGGGTGGCGAATAGGCTAAACTGTTTCAGCAGAAATAGAAAAGAAATCCTATATGCAGGAGGCCAGGTTAGGGTGGGAGGCAGCAAGGGACACTTAGAACTTCTGGGGCATCTTGGGAGGGGCTTATCGTTGTTAGAAAGGTATTTGCAAACAAAAAAACACTGAGTAAGCGGCCAACTCAACTTCTAATTCTCACTCTGGTCTTCTCATTAAAGGGTGGCCTTTCTCTGCAGATGAGATGGGGGTAGAGAGGAGACCACTGAACTTGCCTTTGGAACAAAACGGGGGTGGAGTAAGCTAGGCGAGCCCTTGGGGAGTGACAAAGTGGGGGCTATGAGAAAACGGAGAGTTAGAGGCAAGAGGCACCCACCTCCTTCTCAGAGATGTAGAGCTGGTCCCCTTTCAGCACCACATAGCGGTTTTTCCAAATCTCCCTGAAAATCCCTTTCCCGCAGAATTTCCGGACCCAGCCGACCTTCTCGGGCGGTGCAGGCTGCTGGTTTCCATCCTGAGGTCCCTGCCCCAGGACAAGATGAGAAGCGGGCGGTTAGGAGATTCCAGCCGGCGCTTCCTCTCCGTCCGTCTCTCACGACCGCCTCGGCGGCCCAGTCTCCTCCGAAGGCTGCGGCCGGGGGGCGGGGGGCCGCCCCAGGTTCGCTCCCACTTCGGAAAGGTTTTCACTCCGAGGAACTCCCCCCGCTCCCCTCCCCCGCTCCCGAATAAACAACCGGGGCTGCAAGTGGCAGGGGCGCCGGCCGGGCGCGGAGAGGCTCCCAGGTTCCCTCCAGGCCCTGCGCCCCCGCCGCCCCGTCCTCGCCGCGCGGGGACTAACGGCGTTTCTCTGGTTTTCTCTCCCATTGTCTCCTCGCCACGGCGGAGCGCGAGGCAAACGCTCGCCCGGCGCCCGGGGGCGGGGGAGGTGCGGGTCGTGGGGAAACTCAGCCAAGTTGAAGCCCCCCGAGGCGAGTAAACAAACAAAAGCCCCCGCGGGCGCCTGGCGGGGCCGAGGCCGAGGGGACCGGGCCGCCGGGGCGGGGGCGCGGCCGGGCCGTGGGTCTCCCAGGCCGCCGCGGCGCCGACGGAGCGGGGGTCGTCAGAGCGCGGAGGCGGCGGCGGCCGCAGGGCGGGCAAGCGCACTCACCCGCTTGGCGGAATTGTTCTTCTTCATCATTCCCAGCGGGCGCGGGCGCGGGGCGGCGAGCCGAGGGGCGGCCCCGCGTCGGGGCCTCGGCGGCACCGCGGGGGCTCCTTCCCCGCGGGAGGGCGTCGGAGCTGCCCCGGCGCCGCCGCTCCTCCCTCGCGCCCTCCCGCTCCCGGACTCTCCCCTTCTTTGTAGCTCCGGTTTCACTCAAGGCCGGCCTCCCTCGCATTCGCACTCGCACACACACGCACGCCCGCTCCCCGCCCCTTGGCGCCCTCCATCCCGGCGCCCACGCGGCCCGGGTCCCCGAGCGCACCCCCGCCACCCGCCCGCCCGGCCCAGCGCGGCCGCTCCCCCGGCCCGGTGCGCTGTGGGCGGCCCAGTCCGCACCCCGCAGCTCCATCCGCGGGCCGCTGACGTTGCGAGTTCAGAATAAAGGGCGAATCGCGGAGCCGCAGCTCGGGCGCTCCCCCCGCCCCCCCGCCTTTGTTTCTGACTCACGGAGGGGGAAGAAGGCGGCTTCGAAGCGGCTGGAGACCGCTCCCCAGGGGGCAGGGACCCTCGCTCCGGCGGCGGCTCGGGCGACACGCGGAGCCCGAGAGACCCGGCCGCCGGCCGCCCCGGGGCCCAGTGGGCGGGCGCGGTGGATAATGGAGAGACGTGCGGATTCGTGAAGACTGGAGATCGCCAGCCTCTACAGCATCGCCTTACCCGACCAAAAACAAAAACGAGAGCGGGAACCGGGAGGGCGCGCCACCCACAACCCGCATCAGGAATTCACGCTCCTAGGTGCTAGGGTGGCCTGGGCAGGTCAGATGCTGGGGGAAAGTTTTATGCTCCGGAGGGGATCGACGTGTTGGGGGATGGGGTGGGACAGAAGTTGCTATTAATACACGTTTCTTCCAGCGTACAATGCCTCAGGCCTTATTGTAGCTTCAGGAGAATAATCCTAAGGATGAGGCGGATTTTATGATCTCCATCTCACAGGGAGAAAACGGAGACTCAGAATAGCTGAGGGATTTGCAGACACAGTGTCGATGCTGGCTTTTCAGACACAGTGTCAATGCTGGCAGGAATAGAACTCTGTCTCCAAACCATTATCCTTTCTACCAAGTGGCTTTCAATATAAGTTCCAGGTGAGGCTTAAACTTCCTGCCACCTGGGTATCTTTTCCCGCTATACTGATAGGTAAAAACCCCACCCTCTCTACAGCGCTGGAGCCCAGTGGAGGGAAGGGCTGAACGCCCAGAGAATGCCCTGACTAGAGAAGCCTCTGCTGATCCCTCCTACAGCAGATCTGCCTCAGAGCCTCCAGGACACATCTTAGTAACTTCATGTCTTTTTAATATATATACGTGTGATGGAAAAGGGGAGTGAGAAACCCCGCGCTTGGGTACTGGTTTCATCACCACTCTGGGCTTTGGTCAAGTCACTGAATTTCTTTAGGCCCGCGTCCCTCCACGTATTAAGTGGTGAGGGATGAACTGCCATTTTTATCAACAAGGAAAGCTAGGGGAAGATATGAGATGACCTCTGAGAGTCCTTTGAAGATATGTGTTGTCTTCCAGGGCTAATTTTGAAATCATAATAAGCTAATAAACACATTGCCTGGCATATGGCAAGCATGCAGTAACCACAAAATGAATAAAAATCCCTGGCACTGAGGAGCAGGGAAAAGGAAAAATCATTTTTCCAGAGATGTCTCAAGATAAAAGTGTTGGCTAGATTTGTGGTTTGAATAGTGGAGGCTCTTTTGACTTTTTCTGGTGTCTGTCAAATGAAGGAGGGGCTCCCTCTCTTTTCCAGTTCCACCTTTCCTCCTAATCCAATGATATTCCTCTCAACTTCTTTCCATTCACCATACCAATTAATTCCACGATTTTAGACTGACACAGAACTTTATCCTTTCAAAATGCTCTTATATGTCATTTCTTTACACTTTTAATGCCACCTTGTAAGGTATATAGAGTATTAATATTTCCATTTGGAAAATGAGGAAACAGGGCATGCCAGATAAACTGACTTGCCCAAGTTTATACATCAAGTTACTGGCTAAATGGATTAGAATCCAGGCTTCCTGACTGCAGTCTCCTCTTCAGATTTTGTAACCCCCTCCCATGGGCATGAGTGTGCACACACCACGTTCCCCAAACCATCTTGTCCCCTTTCCACCGTCTCTATTTTCTAACCCCCTGTTTAAAGAGCGATGAAAAAATAATGAGCAAATCCAGGGTGTCTTCATATGTGAGGATGCAAAATGTCCAAATGTACTGGTGAGCAAATAGCCTGCACGATTTTTTGAGGGCTTGCTGGACAAACACACAGGAGTGGTTTAGAGTTATCATTTAAATAGATTCTGATTTATGGGAAAAAAGTAATTCATCATTTGCCCCATCTTCCTCCTTTCCCAGTAGTTTCTATCAGTCAACAAATATTGGGCTGCGTGTGGTGGCTCACGCCTGTAATCCCAGCACTTTGGGAGGCCGAGGCGGGTGGATCATTTGAGGTCAGAAGTTCAAGACCAGCCTGACCAACATGTCGAAACCCCATATCTACTAAATACAAAAAAAAATTAGCTGGGTGTGGTGGCACACGCCTGTAATCCCAGCTACTTGGGAGGCTGAGGCAGGAGAATAGCTCGAACCTGGGAGGCAGAGGTTGCAGTGAGCCGAGATTGCACCACTGCACTCCAGCCTGGGCAACAGAGTGAAACTCCGTCTCAAAAATAGATACATAGATAGATAAATAAGTATTTGAGTGTCTCCTATATGCAAGGTCCAGGGTTCCTTTCGTGCCTCATCAGATAGGTGCCAGAGCATTGTGAAACATTAGGCAGAGGGGCTAATGAAAAAGAAAAACCGTCTAAAGTAATTTTCAGATTCCACAGCAGATGCATGTGGGCTGCAGAACCTTCCCTGCCTGTCTGCTCTCTTAAGATGTTACATAAATCTCTGGTGTCCTCTCTTTCTCTCTGCCCTGCTCCATCCTGTGATCCTGCCCCTACTTTCGTTCACCTGTTCTCCCTTTGTCCTGTCACTCACCCCTTTCCACTTCCCCTGGCCTATTCTTGAAGCTGGTTTGTCTCACCAGGTGAACCTCATGGCACCTGAATTGGGATGTAGGTGGGACTGTTTTCCAAAGACCAATGCTAAAGTGAGAAATCTGAGAACGTATGTGTTCCTATACACATTTTTATAGCGCTGTCTCCTCAGCGCTCCTCAGTGAGCTTGACACTACACGCACATAAACCACAGAAATCACTCTCAGCCAGTTTCTGTCTGTGGTGAAGATAAGACACTGGGAGGACCTCATGATGGGGGTACCTCTCTAACAACATCTGAGGATAAGACGCGACTGCTAGTAGCTGTATTCTATAACGGAATATTTTATAACTTCACTAAAGGGAGAAAGAAGGGAACTATTAGAGATAAAAACTTGTCAACTGCTGCTTGCAAGTTTACTGGACAGAAACTGTTATTCAAACACAGTTGTCTAAAAACAAATATCCTTGGCTTTTGTGGAGTAAATGGAACACAGAGGTTTTGACCAGGGCATTTCCACCTATGGGGGAGAGGATTATTAAAAGCATACAAGACCTTAATTAAAGTGATGTTTTTAAAGGGCACAAAAATAAAGGGCCAGTACAAATGGAATCAGCTCTGTAAATCTTACACAAAAATACGTGTCTTTGATTCTTAATAAAGAAATGCCAACTTCTGACATCAAACACCCTGATGGTAGGGCTCATTTCTTAGACTTCTTGATATTGTCAGTTGAGTAGGCACAATGGAAGCAGATGAATAATGAGGAAAATGACATAAGGAAGGTCTCTGTTTTTGCTCTTTTTATTCCACAGCGTTATCTTGCTGATAGGAAGAGAAGCACAGATATTCCTGCTTGGAGGAGGGAGTTTTTCATATTTTAAAAGGCTATATAACTTGTAAAATGCTGCATTTAAAATACTCCATCCCCAAGTGCAGGCTGTCTTAAATACTTATAAAAAATGAAGAAGAAAAAATTACCCAAAGGGACCCACAAAAGCAAAAAAAAAAAAAAAAGAACTTGGATTTTACTTCATGAGTGCGTGTAAAGAAACAACAGCTGAGGCCGAGTGCAGTGGCTCACGCCTGTAATCCCAACACTTTGGGAAGCAGAGGCGGGTGGATCACGAGGTCAGGAGTTCAAGACCATCCTGGCCAAGATGGTGAAACCCCATCTCTACTAAAAATAAAAAATAATAAAAAAAAAGAAACAACAGCTGAGAGCTGGGACGAGTGGAAAAAAGAGAGGGACAGAATGACCTTTCAGCTTTTCCCTCTATTTTTTGAACTGCTTATTAGTGCAATGATTAGATGTGCAATGATTAAAATGATTAGTCCAATCATTTTACATGTGACTCTGTAACCCCAACTTAGAGACAGAAATTAATCTTATTTACTATTAGCCAAATTTTATTAAATGATTACCGTATACCAGTGTTTTAAGCACTTTTCATGTATCATCTCATCTCATTTAATTCTTCTAATCCTATGAGGAAGGTTCTATTTTATAGATGAGAAAGCTGAGCCACAAAGAGGCTAAATAATATTCCCAAAGCCATATAAATATGACATAGGTTTGACCCTTACTGTCTGATGCTAGAGAATATTTGTCAACATACAAGTTTACACACACACACACACACACACACACACACAAAACAGGGAGGGATTGTGCTTTGGTATTTTTGCTATGATGATTTGAGGATGCCTTAATTTCCTGGCAATAATGATACTGTCACTTTCTCCTGTTTTCAAGAGAGGTGAAATTGACACTAGAATTTATTATTTGCCTTGACATACTTTAAATATCCTTCAGGTAGAAGTAATGCCTTCATTATGTTTGGTGTGAAACCAGCTCATGTCCCACCTCATAAATTCCCATAAATTAGCCTCAAAGAAATAAAACTAAATCACTCATATCCTTTCACAAAATGGATTTTTATTGTGGTCATACATGGTTTCTCAGTGCCACAGAAAATTGCTATGTAGGGACAAAAAATTTTTGGATGGCTCTGTAAAGAAACATGGTAGGTTTTCAGAAATGAGTTGTGCAGGAATGTGGTTAATGAAAAGCAGAAAGGGTTAAGGGAAGAGAAAGGAAGCCAAGGAGTGTGGTATGTACATCAAATGATTACTTTTTAAGCCCCTCTAGGCTCTGATAACCCTTTCCCCAAGTCAGATCCCAACAAAATTCATCAGTAACTGAAGTGATTGTGCTAACAGATACATAAAGACTACCGGAGAAAAGTGGGTTGAGATGGGCTCAGACTTATTGTTAGGACAACTCTGGGAGTCTTGTGTCTGTGCCAACCACGTATCCGTGGGCTACCTGGAGATGAGTTCTAACAACCAGCACAGAACCCAAAGCTGCTCTCCAACACCTTTGTTTAGTAGGGAAAACCTGTAGTGGGGACAAGAGAGGAAGCTGTGCCCTTCCCCCAACCACCGTTTCATCTTCTGCTCGCTGACCTTGATGTGACTTGAGAGCTCTCCTTGCTTCGGCTGTGCAGTCCAGAAGCCAGAACTTCCTCTAGGAAACTGATAAGTAGTTTGAGGTTACTTGAAGGAAAAAACAAAAGCATCTCCAAAAATAGAATGTCTTGCTCTGGACATCTAACCAGATGAAAATATATCATGAATAGTAGGCAGGAGGTACTGGTCTGATATTTGGGTATAGAATGGAAGCATCAGTTGAGCACTACAACATCCATACTGCAAGGACAGTCCTTCTGTGCTCTTCCCCAGGGTCTTCATTTTTTTTTTAGAATTAAATTTGTAAGATCTATTAAGACTAACATTTCAAGTTTGAAGTTTCTATTTAGGATCCCAGAATTTTTAAGGGCAAGGCCACTATATTAACTCAGTACCATGTTACATCAGCACCTGTTATCTGTACTCTTGAAACTGTCTCAGAGCTTGTATGTTGTCTATAGTTTCTTTCTTATCCAATCTACTCTCCAGAGTGGCACCAGAGTTACTTTTCTAAAATGCAGATTACAGGCAGGCGCGGTGGCTCAGGCCTGTAATGCTAGCACTTTAGAAGGCTGAGGCGGGTGGATTGCTCGAGCCCAGGAGTTTGAGACCAACCTGGGCAACAGAGCAAGACCCTGTCTCTAATAAAAAAAAAATTAAAAAATAAAACAAAATACAGATTATATCCTGTTGTATACTCTCCCTTCTTCTGCTTTAAAACCTTTCTTTTACTTATGGAAAATGTACAGTTCAAGGCCTTTCATAATGTGCCCTAATAAAGAATACTTATATTCATTTTGTTCTGAGCACCGTTTAAAGCCATGTGTGTGTATATATGCATATATGCATGCGGCCCTGTCAAACAGATGCTACTATTATCCTCATTTTAAAAAACGAAGAAACAAAGCTATAGAGGGGAGGTTAAGTGACTTGCCAAGGTCACAACAGCTAGTAAGTGGCTCAGCTGGGATTCAGATCCAGGCTCTAGATTCTGTGCCTTTCAGCATCTTGCAATACTGCTTCCCACTTGTCTGTTCCATCTCTCAGAGTGCAGCCTCTATGCCATCCATGCCCAACTACTCACTGTTCCTAAACACGTCATGAGCTTTCCTACCTCAAGTAGTTATTCTTACTATGTCCTATGTTTGACTATTCTTTCTCTGCTGAAATCTTCTTTTTTTTTTTTTGAGACGGAGTCTTGCTCTGTTGCCCAGGCTGGAGTGCAATGGCACAATCTCAGCTCACTGCAACTTCTGCCTCCCAGGTTCAAACGATTCTCCTCCCTCAGCCTCCCGATTAGGTGGGATTACAGGCATATACTACCATGCTGGCTAATTTTTGTAGTTTTAGTAGAGACGGGTTTCACCATGTTGGCCAGGCTGGTCTCAAATTCCTGGCCTCAAGTGATCTGCCTGCTTCAGCCTCCCAAAGTGCTGGGATTACAAGCGTGAGCCACTGCGCCTGGCAAGAACCTTATTCTTCAAGACTAAGGATTAAAAGTCACTTTTCTGGCCAGGCATGGTCTCATTCATACATACATACATAAATACATAATCATAAAAGTCACTTTTTCTGTAAAGCCCTTCCAGACCCCTCCATGCTGAACTAATTACTGTTATTACTTTATCCCACTCCTATCTTAGCACTGTATAATTGTTGCCAAGACAGACTGTGAGCTTCTTGGGAGGTAGGGGGAAGTCTTACTCACCTTAGATCTCCAGGGCTTAACACAGAGGTATCCAATAAAGTTATGCTGAGTAAATGAATAAAATAGCTACCCATTGGCAAGACAGCCTTCTTTATAATATAAAAGTTATTTGGATGGACGGGTGCAGTGGCTTACGCTGTAATCCCAGCACTTTGGGAGGCTGAGGCGGGTGGATCGCTTGAGCCCAGGAGTTCGAAACCAGGCAGGGGAACATAGTGAAACCCCATCTCTATAAAAAATACAAAAATTAGACAGGTGCCTGTAGTCCCAGCTACTTGGGAGGCTAAGGCAGAAGAATTGCTTGAGCCTGGAGGCAGAGGTTGCAGTGAGCCAAGATTGTGCCATTGCACTCCAACCTGGGCGACAGGAGTGAAACCCTGTCTCAACAACAACAACAGCAACAACAACAAGTTATTTGGATGCTCAGGACTCTCTCTCAGAGCAGACAGATATTTAAAAGACAGAGGACTGGAGGAATGACCAGTTATTACCATTGTTTTGCAGTTTTATTACCATCTTGCATTGAAAGATTCTGGGCTTGGAGAATTTAAATTCCAAACTCCTTTGCAAAAGAAAAAATTGCAAAGTAGAGGGAAAGGAGTAGAAGCTAAGTTCATTTGTTCCTCTATGGAAATACAGACATCTTTGGCCTGGCTTTTTGGCCAGTTGGACTAGACACAATTGGAGGTCAGAAAACAAGTGTTAGGAAATGAGGTAGCACTGATTTTTTTTTGAACAATAACACAATAAGTCTTGATGACTTCTAGAAAGAATGAAATAAATGTGCTGGGAAGCCCTATAGGAATTTTATCAGGGGATCTTTGGTTCATTTCCAACTCTGCTACAAAGGGAAGAAATAAAGATCCTCCTCTGTATATCAACAAGACCCCACATTCCTGACTATAATGAGAACACACTTACTATTTATATTTACCAGCCTAATTTTGTTTCCTAGGGCCACTATGACTTAAAAAAAAACTATTTGGGGACTCTAATGAGTCATTGCTCAGAATGCTTAAAAAATTATGGCGAATGAACATATTGCTAGCTGTACCCCAAATTTAGACTATGTTTAAAAACAAAACAAAAAGAATAATTTTTCTTTCTAAATTCATTTTAAATCAATCTCACTTAAAAGCAAACTCAAAAATCCCCTTCTCCGTTGGTGCCATAGTCCAGTTCAATTCAGTTCAATTCAATCCAATTCAACAAATGTTTAATGAGCATCCATTATGAACTAGGTGTTGAACTAGGTGTACAAATGTACACCTTAGTTATGATTCCTACCTTAAGGGACTCTCAGAGACAGATACACAATCACAATCCAATATGAGTATAAACAGAGGCAGTGCCAGAAACTAACAGAGTGGATTAATGCTACTGCTTTTTTTAGTTTGTGCTGTCATCAAGGGTGTTTTCCTGACTCCATGTATAGAAGGAAGGTGGGTGGAAAAAAGCAGAACCCCAACCCTGATTTTAAAAAGTCAACCTTGAGAAGTCTTGAGTCACACACTGAAAAGCAAGCTTCTCCACTTACATCACTGGTAAGGGACTAGAGACCAATGTTTATAGGATTAAAAATATTAATTACTAAAATAATTCAGCTGAACAACTGTGTTTCTATTCCTAAACAAAGCTATCATACTGTAACAAAAACTATGTGTGTGTATGTGTATATAATTTAAGGATATGTCTTCCTCCTTTTTCACTATACTCCACAGGTAAAAATTACATGTGAATTTCTTATACCAAAGACACCAAGGGGAATCTAGAACCTGAATAGTGTTATAATAATTAAAAAAATAGAACTTGTGGGGAGCAGAAAAATAGAAAAAGACTTTCAGGAAAATAATGAGAAAAACCCCAAGATATTTGTCTTAATGGAGTAATAAGCTCCTAATTACAGCCAAACACTTACTTGGAGAAGTTAGGAGTATGGGAGTGGGTAAGGCAGAAGGATAAGATGAAATTATTAATAGCTTAAAACACTGAAAATGCTCCTCACCTCTCAACTTCCACGGCTTGCAGTTTTCAGAGCCACTGCTATGTTTCATACTTCTTTGCTTTTGCACCTGCTATTCAAAGGCTGTCCCATCCATCTCACACTTTGTTTGGTGGAACTATGCATCTTTAAAAACCCAACTCTCACATTATTACTCCTCTAGGAAGCTTTCCTCAACTGCATTGCTTTCCCCTTAGAGTTACGTACTCATTCTTCCATATCTTGTAAATATACTGTGTTGTAATTTATTTGTCTGTATGTCCATTTTCCATGCAAGCTTATGAAGCTTTTAGGGGCACAAGGATACATGAGTACATTCTCTTTGTAAAAGTTCTAAACATATACCTTGTCTTCCTTGACCCTCCTTATCCTCATCACTCCAGAAATAACATAATTTGATCAACAAATATTTACTGAGTGTCTACTATGTGCTAGGCACTGTTCTAGAAGCTGTGAATACAGCAATGAAGAAAGTAAAAAAAAACCCCTCTGCTCTCATGGAATTTATATTCCAATGGGAGAGAAGGAAAATAAAATTAATTAGTAGTTAATAATAATAATACAATAATAATGGTGTACACATATTACTATATGCAAAGTACTGCTCTAATGGACAGAAACCATTCCACTTTAAATACACACACACACACACACACACACACACACACACACACACACCAGAAGTGATGGAATTGGGATATAATCCCAGGCAATCTGGCTTCAGTTTGTCTTCTTAACTATAATGCTATACTGCCTCTTTGTAATATGTTAGATGAAGAAATACTATGGGAAAAGATAAAGCAGGTTTAAAAAAGGAGTATTGGAGATGGTAGTGGTGTGAGATTTTAAAACTAGTGACTGGGCTGGGTGCGGTGGCTCACGCCTGTAATCCCAGCACTTTGGGAGGCCAAGGCGGGAGGATCACTTGAGGTCACTTGAGGTCACGAGTTTCAGATCAGCTTGACCAACATGGTGAAACCCTGTCTCTACTAAAAATACAAAAATTAGCCAGGCGTGGTGGTGCATGCCTGTAATCTCAGCTACTTGGGAGGCTGAGGCACAAGAATCGTTTGAACCTGGGAGGCGGAGGTTACAGTGAGCTGAGATTGCACCACAGCACTCCAGGCTGGGCACCAAAGCAAGACTCCATCTCAAAACAACAACAACAACAACAACAAAAATAAAATAAAACTAGTGACTGGCTGCCCATGGTGGCTCACGCCTATAATCCCAGAACTCTGGTAGGCCGAAACAGGAGGATATTTTTAATCCTATTGCTTGAGTCCAGGAGTTCAAGACCAGCCTGGACAACATAGCAAGACCCTCTACAAAAAATTTTAAAAATTAGCCAAGCATTGTGGTGCACACCTGTAGTCCCAGCTCCTCAGGAAGCTGAGGTGGAAAGATCACTTGAGCATGAGCCCAGGATTTAGAGACTGCAGTGAGCTATGATCATCCCATTGCACCCCAGCATGGGTGACAGAGTGAGACTCTGTCTCAAAAAAAAGAGAGTTCATCAATGTTAGGTAATAGCTTTTCTTGAAGAGGAATAAAATGCTACCATAAAAAACATCCCCCCAAAACAAAAACAAAAACTAGTACCCAAGGAAGGCCTCCCTGAGAAACTGACATTTGAGTCAAGACCTGAATGAGGCAACAGAGCATGTATCTGGGAAAGAGCAAGTGCAAAGGGATCAAGGCTCTGTATGTTTAAGGAACAGAAAGAAGGTTAGTGTGGCTAGAGTGAAGTGAATAAGGTGTTGGATAGTAAGAGGTGAGATTGGAGAGGTAAGGAATGGGTAGAGCGGGCTATAAGGAGAGACCATATAAGGCCTGGCATGTCATTGTAAGAATTTTGGTTTTTACTTTGGGTAAGATGAGAGACATCTGGAGGGTTCTGCAAAAAGATGTGACATACCCTGAATGACACATTTTCACAAGATCACCCTACTACTATATTGAGAAGGGGGTGTTGGGGGACAAGAGTAAAGCAGCTGCAGTAATCCCAGTGGGAAGTGACGGTGGCATGGACCAGAGCAGTAGTGGTGAAAGGGCATTAGATTCTGGGTGTATTTTGAAGGTAAAGCTCTCAGGACTTATTGATAAGTCAGGATGTAGGTGTGAGATAAAGAGGAGATTCAAGAAAATGCCAAGTTTTTTTTTGCCTAAGCAACTAAAGGAATGGATGTGCCACTGAGGTGGGAAGTCGGAGGGAGGATTATATTGAGCAACAAAGATCAGAAGTTTGGTTTTGATCACGTTAAGTATGAATATTTATTAGACATTCAAGTAGAGATGTCAAAAAGACAGTGGATATACAAGTCCAGAGTTTGGGGGAGAAGTTCGGACAAGAAACACTGGTTCTCAATGGGGTGAGGAGTGTGATTTTAGTCTCAGGGGACATTTGGCAGAGTCTGGAGATGTTTTTCCTCGTCATAACTGGTGGAGTGCTGCTGGTTTCTCATGGGTATAGGCCAGGAATGTTGCTGAACATCTATAATGCAAAGGACAGTCCTCCACAACAACAGATTATCTGCCTCCAAATAGCAATAATGAAACTCAGGACTAGAAATATAAATCTGGGAGTTAGTAGTCGAGACATACAACTTAAAGCCGTGAGACTGAATGAGGTGGCCAAGTCCCAGGGATTCCAAAAATAGGAGAAACAGCAAATGAGACAGAGAAGGAATGGCCAGTGAGGTAGGACGACCAAGACAGTATAGTTCCTGGAAGCTAAGTGATAACAACGACCAGCCTGCGCAACATAGCAATACCTCATCTCTATTTTTTTTTAAAAAATAAGTAAGGGAACTGCGTCAGATGCTGCTGATAGGTCAAGCAAAATGAGGACTGAAAGTTGACTCTATGTTTAGCTATGTGGAGGTCCCTAGGGACCCTGACAACAGCGATTTTAGAGTGATGGGAGTGAAGGCCTGAATGCAGTAGTTGAGGAGAATATGTGGATTTAAGAGAATATGTGAGGGAAGGAATTAGAGACAGTGAGTGTAAACAACTCTTGGAGAATTTTCCCATGAAAGAGAACACAGAAATGAGATGGAGCCTAGAAAGAGTAAGGGGGTTAAGAGAGGGCTTTTAAAGATGCAGAACATAGCAGGATATTTCAAACTGTTTTTTTTTTTTTTTTTTTTGGAGACGGAGTCTCACTCTGTCGCCTAGGCTGGAGTGCAGTGGCACAATCTCGGCTCACTGCAACCTCCACCTCCCGGGTTCAAGCAATTCTCCTGCCTCAGCCTCCTGAGTAGCTGGGACTACAGAAATACGCCGCCATGCCTGGCTAATTTTTTATATTTTAGTAGAGATGAGGTTTCACTGTGTTGCCCAGGCTGGTCTCAAACTGCTGAGCTCAGGCAATCTGCCCACCTCAGCCTCCAAAAGTGCTAGGATTACAGGCGTGAGCCACTGTGCCCAGCATAGCAGGATATTTCTATGCTTCTATGAATAATACAACAGGTGGGAAAAAATGATTTGGGAAAGAAAGGGGAGTTTGGAGAGATATCCCGGTGTAGGTGAGGTAGATGGGCTCTGGTGCCCAAGTGGAAGAGCTAGCCCCAGCTAGGAGCATTCATCCCCTATGACAGGACAGAAGGCAGTGAGCGGGTTTTCTTCCTCCTAATTCTCTTCTAATGGTTTGTCTTACTAGTTAGTGCACATCTTGAGTATTACTTTCTTCATCCTTAGTATAAAGTGGATGAATTGTTTGCCAAATGAACATGATTCAGATACAGATTTTTAAAAGAAGACCCCAGCTTAAATGTCACCTAGTGTGCTAAACTTTTTCTAAATATCCAACAGCAGTTTTATCAGGAGCAAGGGAATAGGTTGGCATTCAACATCTACATCTGAGGCTGGGTGTGGTGGCTCACACCTGTAATCCCTGCACTTTGGGAGGCCAAGGCAGGTGGATCACTTTGAGTTCAGGAGCTCGAGACCAGCCTGGGAAACATGGTGAATCCCCGTCTCTACAAAAAAATACAAAAATTAGCTGGGTGTGGTAGCATGCACCTGTGGTCCCAGCTATTTGGGAGGCTCAGGCTGGAGAATCGCTTGAACCTGGGAGGTGGAGGCTGCAGTGAGCCGAGATGGCACCACTGCACTCCAGCCTGGGTGATAGGGTGAGACCCTGTCTCAAAACAAACAAACAAATCTACATCTGGAAATACCAGGCATCTCACACACAGAGATCATCCTGCCCCTCACTGGAGATAGACTTTACTTATGAAGAACTTCTCATTATTTCTCAAATGTGGTACACCTTTTTTTTTTTTTTTTTTTAAATCTTGCTCCTGTCCTTAATCATGCTTTTCCTCAGCCTTGACTGCTCTTTCTTCCTATGGAAATCCTACTTATCCTTTATGGTCTAGTTCAAAAACCAGCTCCTCTGTGAGGCATTTCCTAGTTACTCTGTCAGAATTAATTATTTATATTTAGGATACATTTTGTTTAACTTCTGTACATGAACACTTTTCAATTTTTTTTGTTTGTTTGTTTGAGATGGAGTTTCGCTCTCGTTGTCCAGGCTGGAGTGCAGTGGTGCGATCTTGGCTCGCTGCAACCTCCACCTCCTGAGTTCAAGCAATTCTCTTGCCTTAGCCTCCTCAATAGCTGGGATTACAGGAGTCCACCACCATGCCCAGCTAATTTTTGTATTTTTTAGTAGAGACGGGGTTTCACCATGTTGGCCAGGCTGGTCTTGAACTCCTGACCTCAGGTGATCCACCCACCTCGGCCTCCCAAAGTGCCGAGATTACAGGTGTGAACCACCGCACCCGGCCTCAAATTTTTTTTTTTTTTTTTGTAGACAGAGTCTCACTCTGTTGCCCAAGCTGGAGTGCAGTGGGACGATCTCGGCTCACTGCAATCCCTGCCTCCCAGGTTCAAGCAATCCTCCTGCCTCAGCCCTGCTAGTAGCTGGGATTACAGGCATGCACCACCATGCCTGGCTAATTTTTGTATTTTTAGTAGAGATGGGGTTTTGCCGTGTTGGTCAAGCTGGTCTTGAACACCTGACCTCAGGTGATCCACCCGCCTTGGCCTCCCAAGGTGCTGGGATTACAGGCATGAACCACTGCACCCGGCCTCAAATTTTTATACCTAGGAAGAAGCAGGGCTAGGCGTGGTGGTTCATGCCTGTAATCCCAGCACTTTGGGAGGCTGAGGCAGGCAGATCACCTGAGGTCAGGAGTTCAAAACCAGCCTGGCCAACATGATGAAACCCCATTTCTACTAAAAATACAAAAATTAGCCAGGTGGGATGACATGTGCCTGTAATCCCAGCTACCCAGGGGGGTGAGGCAGAATTGCTTGAACCTAGGAGGCGGAGGTTGCAGTGAGCTGAGATCACACCACTGCACTCTAGCCTGGGCGACAGAGGACAAAAAGAAGCAAATGAATTATGAGTCCTAAGGGTGTAGTCCAGATTGGTATATCAGCTTACATCTTTCTTTGACTTTCAGTATTTTGTTTTAAAAATGCATAACTGGCCAGGCCCAGTGACTCATGCCTGTTATCCCAGCACTTTGGGAGGCCGAGGAGGGTGGATCACGTGAGGTCAGGAGTTCGCGACCAGCCTGGCCAACTTGGTGAAACCCTGTCTCTACTAAAACAAATACAAAAATTAGCCAGGTGTGGTGGTAGGCACCTGTAATCCCAGCTATTGGGGAGGCTAAGGCTAGAGAATCACTTGAACCTGGGAGGCAGAGGTTGTAGTGAGCCGAGATCACGCCATTGCACTCCAGCCTGGGTGACAAGTGTGAGACTCTGTCATAAAAAATAAATAAATAAAATAAAAAATAAAAATGCATAATAATTTTATATTATTTTTCATAAAAGGACCTTTTAAATTTTGACACAAACATATTTTAAGGTACTTATCAGTTAAATTATTTAATTCTACCCCTGCACATCCCCCTGATTATAAGAAACTGGGCACTTCAAAAGATGTGTCATGTTTATTTTGTGCCATTAGTCTTTGAGACTAATCATATCCTAATATGAAAAATACAGAATTTGTTTGACTCCTCCACTGGACCATAAGATCATTGAAGACAGGGATGTTTTATTTATGTTTGCGTTTTAGTTCCTGCCTTGAATAGTAAAGGCAGCCACTCAATAAATATACTCCTTAATGCTCCCAAACAATATAATCATAATATTCTGTCAATATTCTTAGCTCACATTTTCTTCTTGTTTCTCCTTGAGAGGAGCAATAGTAATAATAAAAAATATAACAAAAAACCTCACGTCTATGGACAGGTGAATGGAAAAGTAAACTGTGGTATGTTCACATAATGGAATGTTACACAGCACTGAAAAATGATTGAGGTTACCTGCAACAATACAGATGAATCTTAGAAGCAAAGTTTAATGAAAAAAGTATGATACTATTTTTATAAAGCTCAAAAACAAGCAAAACTAAACAATGTGTTATTTAGAAATACATAGGTAAGTGCTAAAAACACAATCTTCTTCCACCAAAGCAAGGGAATTAAATACAAAATCTAGGTTAGCACTTACCTGCTGTAGGGAGATAAGGGATGTAATTGGAGAGGAACACATGGATACATCTATGTTACTGGCAATTTTCTAGTCCTTGGGTTAGGTGAAAGGCTCAAGCGTATTTATTATATTATGCTTTCTAACTTACATGCTACATATATTTTATCAAATATTATATTAAAATACAATTAAAAAACACAAAAGTGAAGTGGGTTTCTTTACCCTAGATTTTCTCAGAATCTTTAATATGCTAATATGAGTTTTGACTTTTCAAGAGAAGGATAGAGTGTTTTCCAAACTTAGTTGGCTATAGAACCCTTTTAAAAATGGAATACCTATCAATATCTCCTCAAATAAATTTTCTATATAATAAGTCTTGGAATACACTGAATTAAAGTATAAGATATTTCCTTGATTCTAACTAATTCCACTGGGGTTATTTTACCCTATGACACTTTCTTACAAATGATATAATTGCCTATTCAAAAATGTAGCTATTCCTTCGGAATTCCCTCCTTAGTACTGGCCACCTGATTTATGAAATGAAACAAAACAAAACAAAACAAAGAAGCAAACAGGAGCCCTTGGCACTATTTCCTCTCTTATTGAGAAGAAACAGCAAGAAAAGCAAACAATGAGATTCTGCATGGATCTAGCACTGTTTGTGTCATTCACTGGAATGTCATGCGAAGAGAAAGGAAAAAATTACCCTCATCGTCCACAGGGTTAAAAATGGACTCCTCAAGGACAGAACTCAGAGATCTGAAAGGTGGTTATCATCTGAGAACATATCTGAAAGGTAGTTATCATCTGAGAATAAAAAGAGGTGTAGATGTATGGGAACATTCAAGCCCACATCAATGTGTCAGAACAACCACAACTACAGGGGCAGCATGGTGAACACTATTAAAAAATGCAAGAAACGAAGCCCCAAATAGCCCAGCTGTAGCAACCATGAATGCTGAAGACTCTTTGCAAGTCTTCTTTATTTTTTTGAGATGGAGTCTCGCTCTGTTGCCCAGGCTGGAGTGCAGTGGCACAATCTCAGCTCACTGCAACCTCCACCTCCCTGGTTCAAAGGATTCTCCTGCCTCAGCCTCCCGAACAGCTGGGATTACAGGCGCCCACCACCACGCCCGGCTAATTTTTGTATTTTTTTTTAGTAGAGATGGGGTTTCACCATGTTGGCCAGGCTGGTCTCGAACTCCTGACCTCAGGTGATCCATACACCTCAGCCTCCCAAAGTGCTGATATTACAGGCGTGAGCCACCACGCCTGGCCTTCATCTTTTAATTATAGTGGTACTGACTCTGGGGGGCCCCAAAGGAGAAATTTTAAGTGAACACAAATGGAAATGGAACTACTAAAGATTTTTCTTCTCACAGACTGCAAAGTCATCTGACATCGGACTATCTTCATAGTACATTTTATCACTGCCTCAGTATATTTCCACTTGGAATAATAATATAATTCTGCCTTTGAATTATGGTAAAGGGTTTTAAGACAACTTATTTGGAAGTAAGGGTGATGACAGAGGTGGTGATAATGAATACCCAAAGTCTGTTTTACTTTATCTCCCCAAAATGTAACAGTAATAACAGCAACAGCAGGTAACATCCATTGAGTGCTTACCCTCTGCCAGATCACCTCTAAGCATTTTACAAATATTAATCATCTAATCATCACAACAATGGTATGAAGGAGCTATTAATACCTCCATTTTACAGCTGAAAAAGCTGAGGCAGAAAGAGGCTAAATGATTTGTCTCAGATCATACAAGTGAATATGTGGCAAAACTGGAATTTAAACAAGGTAGTCTGGCACTGAAACCCATACTCTTAATTGGTATGTTACACTGCTTCGAACAAGACCAAAGGGTACTAAAAGGTGATTTATAAGTAACAGGTTCCACTTAGGCTCAGAAGCTCTAATGATAATCCTAGTGAAAGAACATATGTGCTGAAGGATGCATCATTTATTTGGGGAAGGTAATACTGTATGGTTTTGTCAGAGGAATGGAACTCAGGGCTGTGTTGAATATAATCAACTGGACACTTTATTATTTAAATAATTCCAGTGGCATCAAATTGATGGCTCTTTAAAATTGGTAGAACATTTTAATATTTTTTGATCATGAAAACAGAAATATAGATAATACTGGAAATAATGAGGTAAACAGGTCACTTCTGTCTCACTATACAGAGTTAAGCATGTTTGAGTTTTTCCTTACATTTTTAACTTTTTAGTTTTACACAAGTCCTGAAACAAATATGCAAATCTGTATTGGATCTTCCACATGACACAAAAAGGCATATCCTACAAACTTGTGAGAGAGAATAACTTTTTCCCATAACTCAACATTCTGGCTGCAGGAAACAAACCCATTCAAAGTAGCTTACACAAAAGAAAAATGATTATTATATGGCATTGACAGGGCAGGCGTGTCTGTCACTGACTTAATGTAAGAAGATCATTGCTTCATAAAACCCTGGAATCTGGAACTGGAAGGCTGCTTTGAAACTAGATAACATCTACCTTGCTGACTCTTGCCTCCATTTCTTTCTCATTTATTCATTGGTCTCTTCTTTAAGCTTCACACTATTAATCTGTTTCTTCCTTCTTTCTCTGCATCTGGGTTGAAGTAAACTGCTTTTTAACTGACCTTCTCCACACACATTGATAATTTTTATTTATTTACTTATTGAGACATAGTCTTGCTCTGTCACACAGGCTGGAGTGCAGTGGCGTGATCATAGCTCACTGTAACCTTTAACTCCTGGGCTCAAGTGATCTTCCTGCCTGAGTCTCCCAAGTAGCTGGGACTACAGGTGCATGCCATCATGCATGGCTAAAAATACTTTTTTTTTTTTTTAGAGACAAAAAAAGAGTCTGGGCTTTGTTGCCCAGATTGGTCTCGAACTCCTGGCCTCAAGTGATTCTCCTGTCTCGACCTCTGAAAGCATCGGGATTATACGCATGTGCCACTGTGCCTAGCTGATAATTTTTAAATTTTATTTTACCTTATTTTTATTTTTTTGAGATGGAGTTTCGCTCTTGTTGCCCAGGCTGGAGTGCAATGGTGCGATCTTGTCTCACTGCAACCTCTGCCTCCCAAGTTCAAGCGATGATTCTCCTGCCTCAGCCTCCTGAGTATCTGGATTACAGGCGCCCGCCACCACACCCAGCTAATTTTTGTATTTATAGTAGAGATGGGGTGTCACCACGTTGGCCAGGCTGGTTTCAAACTCCTGACCTCAGGCAATCCACCTGCCTCGGCTTCCCAAAGTGTTGGGAATGCAAGTGTGAGCCACCATGCCCAGCCTAAATTTTATTTTTAAGAATCAGCAGCAGCTAACCTCAGGGTTGGCACGGGCATGATGTGAAGATATAAACACACTATTATGTGTATATACTATACAGGTATAATAAAATTTTTCTGGCCGGCAGTTTAGTAATTTTGCATCTTAAAAACGCTTACACCCTCTGATGCCTAACCAACATTGCCAGCAGTGCATGGAATCCAGCATCACACAAATCTGAGCTTGAGTTCCAGCTCTGTATTTCCCTGCTATATGACTTAAAGCAAATTACTTAATTTCTCTATGTTCCTATTTCTTCGTTTGAAAATTGAGATCATAATGATCTCACTTCTTGGATCATGAAGATTAAATGAGATAATATATGTAATGAAGTCAACCAACTGCCTGGCACATAGTATATATTCAATTATTATTATTCCAAGTCAACAATTGAATAAGTGTTTAAAGATGTATGTAAAATGATGTTTATTACAGTACTGTTTATAAGAGTGAAAAACTGCAAACAATATCAAACAATATTTGTTTTGCTCACCACTATATTCCAGTCTCAAGGTAACCCCTGTAATATAGTAGGTGCTCACTAAGTATTTGTTGAATGAACAAAAAATTGAGGATTGATGAAATTGTGCTACACTTAATAGAATATAATTCAGTTATTAAAAATGATATAGATAAGCATTTTCATTGAAAGCACATGTAGAGTATGTTTCCTTTTATTTAAAAATATATGTGGGCTAGGCCTGGTGTGGTGGTTTATGCCTATAATCTCAGCACTTTGGGAGGCTGAGGCAGGCAGATCACTTGAGCCCAGGAGTCTGAGACCAGCCTAGGCTGTAACATGGTGAAACCCTCTCTCTACAAAAAATATAAAAATTAGTTGGGCATGGTGGTACACACGTGTAGTCCCAGCTACTCGGGAGGATGGCTTAAGCCCGGGAGGAGGAGGTTGTAGTGAACCAAGATCACATCACTGCACTCCAGCCTGGCAACAGAGCAAGGCCTTGTCTCTCAAAAAAAAAAAAAAAAAAAAGTGTGTGTGTGTATTATATATAGATATATATGTGTGCTGGGCACAGTGGCTCATGCCTATAATCCCAGCACTTTGGGAGACCGAGGCTGCAGGATCTCTTGAGGCCAGGAGTTCAATACCAGACTGGGCAATATATTTGAGACTCCATCTCAAATAAATAGATAGATAGATAGATTAGACAGATAGATAGCCAGGCTTGGTGGCCCATAGTCCTAGATACTTGGGAGGCTGAGGTGGGAGGACTGCTTGAGCCCAAGAGTTTGAGGTTACAGTGAACTATGATCACACCACTGCATTCCAGCCTGGGTGACAGAGCAAGACCCCATCTTAAAAAAAAAAAAAAATTGGCCAGGCGTGGTGGCTCATGCCTGTAATCCCAGGACTTTGGGAGGCTGAGGCAGGTGGATCACTTGAGGTCAGGACTTTGAGACCAGCCTGGCCAACATGGTGAAATCTGTCTCTACTAAAACTACAAAAATTATTTGGGTGTGGTAGCGTGTAGTCCCAGCTACTCGGGAGGCTGAGGCAGGAGAATCGCTTGAACCTGGGAGGCGGGCGTTGCAGTGAGCCGAGGTGGTGTCACTGCACTCCAGCCTGGGTGACAGAGCAAGACTCCGTCTCAAATAAATAAATAAATAAATAAAATTAAAAAAAATGTGTATACATTCATAGCAAAAGATCTAAAAGGCTGACAACATTCCCTATGGTGGCAGTATGGCTATTTTTTTGCTTAGCTGTATTAAATTTTTTTTCCTACAGGAATTATATATTGATTTTGTAATGAAAAGATATTTTTCTTTTTTAAATTTCTTTTTTACACACAATTCAGAGGTAAAATGAAAAGCTATTTTTTTAATTAAAAAATATACGTTACAGTGCACAAACAAATTGGAATCAAGGGACATGCCTAAATTTGAATCCTGGGTTAAATTCAACTTTTAAAAAGGCATCTTATTAGAGTTGTTCATTTATATGTTTATTTTCCTATTAGACATTGAGATCCTTAAAGATACAGAACATGTCTTCATCTTTCTAGCACCGTGCACAGAACATTACACATAATCAGCACTCAATAAATGCTTGTCAGTGACAGGCGACACACTCCATCACAACTCTTGCAATGATGTCTAATCCTTTGGTCACTGGAGGAAAATAAGCTGTCAAAGAAAATCTCTTTGCCGGATGCAGTGGCTCACGCCTGTAATCCCAGCACTCAGATCACGAGATCAGGAGATCAAGACCATCCTGGCTAACACGGTGAAACCCCATCTCTACTAAAAATACAAAAATAATTAGCCAGGCGTGGTGGCACGCACTTGTAGTCCTAGCTACTTGGGACTTTGTGGCAGGAGAATCGCTTGAACCCGGGAGGCGGAGGTTGCAGTGAGCCGAGATCGTGCCACTGCACTCCAGCCTGGGCGACAGAGCGAGACTCTGTCTCACTGAAAAAAAAAAAGAAAGAAAATCTCTTTGGGAAAGTTTCAAAACTTATCCTGAAACGTCCGTAGTGAAGAGAAGTCCCCTCTGGGTTCCTGCCTCTTTGAAATGCAAATTCTGTCATAGTATCCTAATTTTTCTGTAAATAATTCAGAGATTGAACCTACTGGTGGTTACAGGAGAAGGTCCAAGTTTCTAGTGTTACTTGTTTAGGTGGAAATCTATAAAGTACCTGTTGATAACACAAATTGAATCAGCCCCCTACCAGCCTCAAACTTATGTATAGAAATTCAAGATGCCAACTATTTTTTAGGCCCTTAGCTGTATTCACTACAAAAAGTATTAATTTCACTTACTCCATGTCAAAGTTAAATTATTATAACACTTAGGCATCATTTCAGATAGTTATGAAACTAAAAGCTTCCACTAATTAATCAAGTTAATTTTCTTTTTTTTTTTAAGACAAGGGTCCCATTCTGTTACCCAGGCTGGAGTGCAGTGGCGCGAACTTGACTCACTGCAACCTCTGCCCCCTGGGCTCAAGCTATCCTCCCATCTTAGCCTCCCGAGTAGCTGGGACCACAGGCACGCACCATCACGCCCAGCTATTTTTTTGTATTTTTGGTAGAGACAGGGTCTCACCATGTTGCCCAGGCTGGTCTTGAACTCCTGAACTCAAGCAATCTGCCCGCCCCGGCCTCCCAAAGTGTGGGATTACAGGTGTGAGTCACCATGCCTGGCCAAGTTAGTCATTTTTACTCAAAGAGCAACACTGTCTCTTAAATCTCATTTTTAATCATCATTGAATGATAAAATTCTTAAAATAAAAGTAAATGATCCCTCAGTTCTGTATTATTTTTTCCCCAGCTTTGGTTTACAATATTTCTTAGTAGTCTGAAAGCTTCACATATTATCCATTTGATAAAAACATATTTTGCCTATCTTATAGGTGACATTTATAAACAAAGGATTTAAAAATATCATAGCTAGATAAATATTCCAAAATATTATTTCAACTGAGTGCTTAGGTACTCATACTGGAAACAGACTGTGCCCAATTCCAGGTTTACCACTTACTAGCTTTATGACTTTGGACAAGGTACTTAACTTCTCTCTACTTTGATTTCCTCATCTGAAAAAGGAAGTTGATAACAATTATAAAAATATCTACCTTGGCTGGGTGTGGTGGCTCATGCCAGTAATCCCAGCAATTTGGGAGGCCAAGTTGGGAGGTTTGTTTGAGCCCAGGAGTTTGAGACCAGTCTGGACAACATAGCAAGACCCTGTCTCTAGAAAAAAATAAAAAGTTAGCACAAGCTACTTGTGAGGCTGAAGTGGTAGGACTGCTTGAACCCAGATCAATGTCACAGTGAGCTGTGTGTGTGCCACTGCACTCCAGCCTGGGCAACAGAGCGAGACCCTGTTTCAAAAAAAAAAAAATCTGCTTCACTGAGTCATTATGAGAATTAACAAAATTAAATGGATAAAGCAGTGCAAGTCACAAATGTTCTCGTGGCCACATTAAAAAAGTAAAATGAAACAGGTAAAATTAATTTTAGTAGTGTATTTTATTTAACCCATATATCCAAAATATTATCTTTCAGCATGTAATCAACTTAAAAAAGTACTGAGATATTTTACATTTTGTTGTACTGTCTTTAAAATTTGGTTAAGTGTTTTACCAAATTATCATCATACCCGTTGCTTTAGGAATTGTAATAGCCCAGTTTTCCTCAAAGTGTGTGAGTCATAACATCAGTTGACATCAGGTGGTTCTGGGGCATGGCATTAAATAACATTGAATTATGCAGTGAGAAACTATTCCATTTTAAATTATCTTTTTTATCTTTCTGAACATTTGAAGGAGAAAATGTCAGTTTGGTACTACAGTGCTTTGTCTTACCTGTAGCTATGATTACAGGTGCGTACCATGATGCCTGGCTAATTTTAACGTTTTTTGTGGAGATGGAGTCTCACTATGTTGCCCAGGCTGTTCTTGAACCCCTGGCCTCAAATGATCCTCCCAATTGAGCCTCCCAAAGTGCTGGGATTACAGGCATGGGCCACCTCTGCTCAGCTACATATAAATTTTTTTTATTGAGCTATAACTCATAGACAATAAAATTCACTGATATCAAGGATATTCTTTGATGAGTTTGCCAAATATATCCAGTTGTATAACCAACTCCTCAATCAAGATATAGAACATTTCCATCACTTGAGCAAGAGCTTCTTAAAAATCAAAAAACAGGCCGGTGTGGTGGCTCACGCCTGTAATCCCAGCACTTTGGGAGGCCGAGGAGGGCGGATCACGAGGTCAGGAGATTGAGACCATCCTGGCTAACATGGTGAAACCCCATTTCTACTAAAAATACAAAAAAAAATTAGCCAGGCATGGTGGCAGATGCCTGTAGTCCCAGCTACTTGGGAGGCTGAGGCAGGACAATGGCGTGAACCTGGGAGGCGGAGCTTGCAGTGAGCCGAGATGGCACCACTGCACTCCAGCATGGGCGACAGAGTGAGGCTCTGTCTCAAAAAAACAAAACAAAACAAAAACCCAACAACAAAAGCCATGAAATTAATCCCATACCTTAGAATATATAATGCTAAATTGCTTTCTAGGAAAGTTATACTAATTTATCCTTCTACTGGCAATATTTCAGACTGCCTCACTATACGTTTATCTTAAACCTTTGTCCCCACCGAGATGGGGACCAAGTTTTATCAGTACGTAAGATGTTTATTGAAGCATTATTTATATTAAAAATGTAAGCTTGGCCAGGGGCAGTGGCTCATATCTATAATCCCACCACTTTGGGAGTCTGAGACGGGTGGATCACAAGGTCAGGAGTTCAAGACCAGTCTGGCCAAGATGGTGAAAGCCCGTCTCTACTAAAAATACAAAAATTAGCTGGGAGTGGTGGCAGGCGCCTATAATCCCAGCTACTCGGGAGGCTGAGGCAGAGAATTCCTTGAACCTGGGTGGTGGAGGTTACAGTGAGCTGAGATCACATCACTGCACTCTAGCCTGGGCAACAGAGGAGACTCCATCTCAAAAATGATTAAAAAATATAAAAAAAATAAAAAATATATCTCCTAATGCTATCCCTCCCCCCTCCCCCCAGTGTGTGATGTTCCCCTTCCTGTGTCCAAGTGTTCTCATTGTTCAATTCCCACCTATGAGTGAGAACATGTGGTGTTTGGTTTTTTGTCCTTGCGATAGTTTGCTCAGAATGATGGTTTCCAGTTTCATCCATGTCCCTACAAAGGACATGAACTCGTCATTTTTTAAATGATGAGTTAATGGGTGCAGCACACCAACATGGCACATGTATACATATGTAACAAACCTGCACATTGTGCACATGTACCCTAGAACTTAAAGTATAATAAAAATATATATATATTAAAAAATAAATAAAAAAAGTAAAAAAAATAAAAAATACATATCCAATACAGAAAAAAGAAGATTTTGAATGTTCCCAATACAAAGAAATGATAAATGTTTGATGTGCTGTTATGCTAAATATCCTGATTTGATCAGTATACATTGTATACATGTATCAAAATATTACTCTGTACCTAATAAATGTGTAAAATTATTACATGTCAATTAAAAATTTAAAAAAGCAAAAAAATAAATAAATAAAAAATAAAAGTAAACTTGCAGCTGAATATGCTGGTGAAAAAAATGTAAACAACCTAAATGTCCAATGGTAATAGTTAAATAAAGACCCATCCTTAAAAATAAAATTATATAGCCATTAAGATTGTTTTAAAGACTTTTTAGTAACATGGGAAAATGTTCTCAAATGATTAAAGAAAAAAACTCTATAGATCTTATGTTAAAAACAAAACATAAACAAAATTCTAAAACATTTAGGTTAAAAAAATATTAGAAGGGGCTGGGCACAGTGGCTTATGCCTATAATCCCAGCACTTTGGGAGGACAAGGCAGGCGGATTACTTGAGGTCAGGAGTTCAAAACCAGCCTGGCCAACATGGTGAAACCCCATCTCTACTAAAAATACAAAAAAAAAAAAAATTAGCCAGGTGTGATGCTGCAGGCTTGTAGTCCCAGCTACTTGGGAGGCTGAGGCATGAGAATTACTTAAATCCGGGAGGTAGGGGGGTTGGAGTGAGGCGGGATTGTGCCACTGCACTCCAGCCTGGGTGACAGGGCGAGACTCTGTCTCAAAAAAAAAAAAAGAAAAAAGAAAAAAAGCCAACATATTAACAGTGATTAGCTCTGAGCTGTGGTATTATGAATGATTTTTACTTTTATAATTCATTTTTTTTTTCCAAGACGGAGTCTTGGTCTCTCACCCAGGCTGGAGTGCAGTGGCGCGATCTCGGCTTACTGTAACCTCTGCCTCCCAGATTCAAGCAATTCTTCTGCCTTAGCCTCCTGAGTAGCTGGGACTACATGTGCACGCCACCACGTCTGACTGATTTTTGTATTTTTAGTAGCGATGGGGTTTCACTACGTTGGCCAGGCTGGTCTTGAACTCCAGACCTCGTGATCCACCCGCCTCGGCCTCCCAAAGTGCTGGGATTACAGGAGTAAGCCACCGTGTTCAGCCTCATTTCCTTTTAACAATGAGCATGAATTACTTGGTCAAGGGGAATGCCTACTTTCCTTTACCTGTTTGCCAGCACTATCTGTCTTTGCTACTTATGGGGAAAATAATTGAAAATGGGATCATTAATTATTCTTTAGGTTTATAGCTAATGAGGGCTTAGTTGGATCTAGTACTATGACAAAGAATATACTATGTACAGTAATTATTATTGGCTTGAAAGGGAATCTGGCAGCGAGAGAATTGTTGCTCTCATGCCATCTTCTAGCAGGATATGTCTTTCTATTTGTCAAAAGTTTTAAGAAGAACTGGAGACTAAATAAAGTTCACATAGTGTTCAAGCAATGGCAGCGCTATTGGCTAATGAATTCACCTAGCCACCCTTTTTCCCTCTACTTCTATCCTGAATCCCATGAAGACAGGTATTTTTGCCTATTACGATAACAATTCCATCTATATGGATTGGGTTCTTGACCTCTCAGCTCACACAGCTAACTTAAAGGTGTCAATTACTGCTGGCAGGGACTAGAACTCTTTAATATTGATCGACCTGTGAAGTGCTAAGGCAGGCCAGCTCAAAATCCAAACCAAGATGCTCGTTTATTTGCAAGGTAGGATCATGTGCTTCAGAAAACCAACTACAATAATGGCTCAGTTTATTGCAGGTGAATAAAATAATGGGTATAGTTTATTTAACTACATCTAGAAATTTGCATTTTTATAATAAGCAAATGTTCATTTTGGTGGATAATTTCTTAATTCACATTGCTTTGATAGATCCTCCTAAAACGTAAGTCAGGTGTCATGGCTCTGCTTAAAACCCTATTAACGCACACAAAAACTTGTACATAAATGTTTATAGCAGCATTACTTATAATAGCCAAAGGATGGAAACATCCTAAATGTCCATCAATTGATGAATGGATAAATAAAACATGGCACATGCATACAGTGAAATATTACTCAGTCATAAAAAGGAATAAAGTACTGATGTATGTTACACATGGAGGAGTCTTGAAAACATTATGCTAAGTGAAAGAAGCCAGTCACAAAAGAATACATATTATATGATTCCATTCACATGCAATGCTCAGAATGGGGACATTTGTAGAGACAGAAGTTAGATTAGTGGTTTATTAGGGCTGGAGAGGGGGATTTTTGGATACAATGAAAATGCTTTTTTTTTTTTTTTTGAGAAGGAGTTTCGCTCTTGTTGCCCAGGCTGGAGTGTAATGGCGTGATGCAACCTCCGCCTCCTGGGTTCAAGCAATTCTCCTGCCTCAGCCCCCTGAGTAGCTGGGATTACAGGTGCGTGCCACCATGCCTGGCTAATTTTTGTATTTGTAGTACAAATGGGGCTTCACCATGTTGGCCAGGCTGGTCTCAAACTCCTGACCTCAGGTGATCCACCCGCCTCAGCCTCCCAAAGTGCTGGGATTACAGGTGTGAGCCACCACGCCCAGCCAATGAAAATGTTCTAAAATTGACTGTGGTAATAGTTGAATATATCTGTGAATATACTAAAAACCACTGAATTTTACACTTCAAATGGGTGACTTGTATGGTATGTAAATTTTAGCTCAATAAAAACATTAAAAAAAACCCCAACCCAAAAGTGCTCTCTAACTCCTAGTGAAAAGCAGTCCTCACAGTATATAAGGTGCTCCAGGAACAGCCCCAGGTATTGATGCCTCTCGCACTGCATTTCTTTCTACTCCTCTTGCTCACTCCACCCAGACTCACCAGCCTCCTTGCAGCTCCTCCAACGCATTGCATGATTCTTAGGACATGGCTGTGGCTGTGCCTGGAATGCTTTTTCCCTCTATCTGTTTGGCTTACTCCCCCCACCTCCTTTAAGTCTTTGCACACTCTTCTTTCTGTCGCCCACGCTGGAGTGTAGTGGCTCAATCTCAGCTCACTGCAACCTCCACATCCTGGGTTCAAGTGATTCTCCTGCCTCAGCCTCCCATGTAGCTGGGATTACAGGAGTGCACCACCAGGCCCGGCTAATTTTTGTATTTTTAGGAGAGATGGGGTTTCGCCATGTTGGCCAGACTAGTCTTGAACTCTTGACCTCAGGTGATCCGGCCGCCTTGGCCCCCCAAAGTGCTGGGATTATAGGTGTGAGCCATGGCACCTGGCCTACACACATCTCTTCTTAAGGAGGCCTTTCCTGATACCATACTGAGTAGTGTAACCTACAGCCACTGTCCCCAAGCACTATCAATTTCCCTTTACACAGTTTCATATTCCCTGCCCCCCCACTGCATCTATTACATACTGATTTACTATAAAATATACCTATTTGTTAAGTTTATGGTTTATTTCTGTCTCCCCCTGCATTAAAATGAAGCTTCACAAGGGTTAGGATCTTTGTTTTATTCATGGAGGTATCCCAGTGCTCAGTAAATATTTGAGTGAACCAACTATTGGCTTTACATTGTTCTCACATGTTCAATAAATATCTATTACAGAACTCATAACTAGAACTCCTGACTGTTCTAGATAGACGTTGATGAAAATTTCTGTGATGCTATAGCAATGACTCATGCCATATATAATTCCTAGAAACTGAAATTTGACATTCCCCCTCCCCTACAAGTAAATATATATCTGGCTAATACAACTAATGAGACAAATGAAGAGGAGGAAATAAGGTAGTAAGAGGAAGAAAAGTAATTCCATAAGAAGGGCAAATACTGAGACAGGAGATAACAGTCTGTACACTGCAAACCTGCATAGACCCCAGAGACACACTAGACTAACTGCTTAGGACAGCATGTGTTCAGGTCAGATTCTTTTTCAGGGCAGGTTCTTTGCCTTCAAAAAAGCACAACAGTTATATCTTTAAAGAAGTCTCTGTAATTGGTTACTACATTTTATTTCTGTGTATTTCATTATATATGAAATGAAAAAGGGAAGTAATACAAAATTCATGTTAAACTTCATATGGCTATGGAAAGAGAAGAAATATTGACTGCCTCTCTTTATTTAGAAGGCAATTTTATTAAGAATGTTGCTAAGGAGGGCAGGGCATGGTGGCTCATGCCTGTAATCCCAGCACTTTGGGAGGCTGAGAAGGGTGGATCACAAGGTCAGGAGATCGAGACCACAGTGAAACCCCATCTCTACTAAAAATACAAAAAATTAGCCGGGCGCGGTGGCGGGCACCTGTAGTCCCAGCTACTCAGGAGGCTGAGGCAGGAGAATGGCGTGAACCCAGGAGGCGAAGCTTGCAGTGAGCCGAGATCGCGCCACTGCACTCCAGCCTGGGCCACAGAGCAAGACTCTGACTCAAAAAAAAAAAAAAAAAAAAAGAATGTTGCTAAGGAGATAAGTTGCTTCTGCAAAGTTCCTTGGTGTCTTAGCAGCAAATACATGCCTTCTATTTTAAATGGTGTTTAAATCTAAACAAAGATAATCACAATTACAGCTAATCAGAGCAGGCCCTATAGAAACAAATCATACAACTACGGAAGGCCTGCATATATAGAACTCTGCTTCATTACAACCAGCGCCTGAATCACTAAAAAATATTATCGCAAAAGAACTGTTTTAAAGAAATAAAGTATGCAAGAAAGAGCCACTTTAAGATAACTTTGAATGGCAACTTCAATTTCAGATTAAACTAATGTATATTTCCTATTAGGATCTAAGGGACCTATATCTTCAGGTGACTCCTTGCTTAAGATGACGAGCTTACTTATACAAAGGCTCTGTTCTTACACTAAAAATTATGTTCATTTTTGGAAATATACTAGGGAGGAAAGGAATAATTGCTTTCTCTTCTTTATTTTTAAGTTTTGTTTACAACTAAGATTTTGTTTCAATTTACAGTAAAAGTGATCTTGATATATGTCAGAAATAAAAATAGAGAAACCATGATTAAGGTTGCTAAAATTGCTACCTGACGGGTAAGGGTACTTGTTATTTTCTGGGATGCAGGAGATCAATTTTGACCTATCTACCCATTACATTAAGTGATTAAGTAATAAAAAAACTAGTAAGTGGTAGTTCTGAAATTTGCATGCAGAATAAATCTGTTTAGTAATCTCAGATTTATTATTTTTTTTTAGATGGAGTTTCACTCTTGTTGCCCAGGCTGGAGTGCGATGGCGCGATCTCAGCTCATCGCAACCTCTGCCTCCTAGGTTCAAGCGATTCTCCTGCCTCAGCCTCCCTAGTAGCTGGGATTATAGGCATGTGCCACCACGCCTGGCTAATTCTGTATTTTTAGTAGAGACGGGGTTTCTCCATGTTGGTCAGGCTGGTCTCGAACTCCCGACCTCAGGTGATCCGCCTGCCTCGGCCTCCCAAAGTGCTGGGATTACAGGCATGAGCCACCGCGCCCGGCCTCAGATTTTATTTAAGAGTTGTAATAGGGAAACCAAGTGACCTGTATTCCAGAAATATTCCACAATAGACATTTCCTATTCTGGAAGGATAGTAGCTTCTGTATTAATACATCACACAGTGACAAGATATCATTTCTTTCCTGTTTATTGGGGTACCCACTAATCCAAATCCATGGATTTGGATGTAAGACATGTAAGACATGGCCAACCATACCATGACTTACATGATTCTAAGTGTAAAAGGAGAGCAATATCGCGGCAAATCTAAACGTATACCATTTTCTAATCTCCCTAGTCTCTCAAAAAGCTACTTCTGTGCTGCAGAGCTCTTGAGGTCAAGGCTGCATTTTTGTCACTAATTCTTTTGGCCTGTTTCCTTAAGAAATAACCCATATATTACAGAGAAAATTATACACTAAAACTCCTACAAAATTAAACCCTAATAATTCACAGAAACAAATTATTCAATGTTTTCTCCTCCATATCATATTATTGCTAGTTCACTGCAGCCCTACTATATCCAGGTATAAAACTGATTTTTAAAAAATATTAGCCTTTCCATTACTGAGAGTCTAAGATTCCAATATGTATTAAGAGTTGTAAACTTACTAAATATGTTAGTAATACCCAAGGTATCCTACATTCATCATGAAAATTGAGCCTTTCCATTCAAAGGTGAAACTATTGCTTTCAGTTACTTAAGCCTTCACAATAACTGGCCTCTGAAATATAAATTCCATAATCTTCTTACTGGTATGATAAATTTCACTATTTACTTATTGGCTAGGGCTATCTATTTACAAAAGTAAACTATAAACACTTGATATTGAATCATTTATGTGTTGCAAAAATCAACTAATATTTTTTCCTGTTTGGTGATTGCCATAGCAACTCCCTCTTTGCAAAAGTTTCTTTGGTCAGGAAGCCAGTGAACAATTCTGTCCAAAATTTTATTGAATCTTTATTGCTAAGATATCTGCTCAAATGTAATACAGTGTACTGCTTAGCATGCTATTAGGTCACACAGAGATACCAACGCTGACAATAGCTGGAAGAATCTAGCATAAGGCCTTCGCAGGACTGCCTTACCTTCTTAATTTTATATAAGGATGATTTGTTGAGGCCGGGTGCGGTGGCTCACTCTTGTAATCCCAGCACTTTGGGAGGCCAAGGCAGGTGGATCACTTGAGGTCCAGAGTTCGAGACCAGCCTGGCCAACATGGTGAAACCCCGTCTCTACCAAAAATACAAAAATTAGCCAGGTGTGGTGGTGCACGCCTGTAGTGCCAGCTACTCTGGAGGCTGAGGCAGGAGAATTGCTTGAATCCGGGAGGCAGAGGTTGCAGTGAGCTGAGATCAAACCACTGCACTCCAGCCTGGGCGACAGAGCAAGACTCCGTCCCCAAAAAAACAAAAGGTCATTTGTCAGGAACTTGAACACTAATTTAAGGAAAACCCTAGATGTTTCATTTTTTTTTCTTTTTTCTACTTTTTTGAACAGAAAATGAAGTTTTATTCATAGTACCTTTTTTTTTTTTTTTTTGAGACAGGGTCTTGCCCTGTCACCCAGGCTGGAGTGCAATGGTGCCATCTCAGCTCACTGCAAACTCTGTCTCCTGGGTTCAAGTGATTCTCGTGCCTCAGCCTCCCGAGTAGCTGGGATTACAGGCACACACCATCACACCCAACTAATTTTTGTATTTTTTAGTGGAGACGAGGTTTCACCATGTTGGGCAGGCTGGTCTCGAACTCCTGGCCTCAAGTGATATGCCTGCCTTGGCCTTCCACAGTGCTCAAAATGCTGAGATTACAGGCGTGAGCCACCGTGCCCAGCCCATAGCACTATTAATTAGTCAAACACATCTAAAACATGTATTTTTGTATGTACTATGACTAAATTACAAAGACATATAAAAAATCTTTACTAATCTATCTTTCTATCTAAATCCAACTTATATTATTTATTTTGAGACAGGGTCTTGCTCTGTCACCCAGGCTGGAGTGCAGTGGTACGATCTCAGCTTACTACAGCCTCCGCCTCCCGGACTCAAGCGATTCTCCTGCCTCAGCCTCCCAAGTACCTGAGACCACAGGTGGCGCCACCACACCTGGCTACTTTTTTGTATTTTTGGTAGAGATGGAGTTTCGCCACATTGCGCAGGCTGGTCTCAAACTCCTGAGTTCAAGCAATCTGCCCACTTCGGTCTCCCAAAGTGCTGGGATTACAGGCCTGAGCCACGATGCCTGGCCCCCAACTTATTTTTAATTTTTTATTTTTACTTATTTATTTATTTATTTATTTTTGAGACAGAGTCTCACTCTTGCTGCCCAGGCTGGAGTGCAGTGGTGCGATCTCGGCTCACTGCAACCTCCGCCTCCCAGGTTCAAACGATTCTCCTGCCTCAGCCTCCTGAGTAGCTGGGACTATAGGTGCCTGTCACCATGCCTGGCTAATTTTTGTATTTTTAGTAGAGATGGGGTTTCCCCATGTTGGCCAGGCTCCTCTCAAACTCATGACCTCAGGTGATCCGCCCACCTTGGCCTCCCAAAGTGCTGGGATTACAGGCATGACCCACCATGCCTGGCCCCCCTACTTATTATTATTATTATTATTTTATTATTTTTTGAGACGGAGTCGCCCTCTGTAGCCCAGGCTGGAGTGCAGTGGCACAGTCTCGGCTCACTGCAACCTCTGCTTCCCAGGTTCAAGTGATTCTCCTGCCTCAGCCTCCTGAGTAGCTGGGACTACAGGTGCACGCCACCACGCCCAGCTAATTTTTGTATTTTTAGTAGAGATGGGGTTTCACTGTGATAGCCAGGATGGTCTCGATCTTCTGACCTCATGATCCGCCTGCCTCGGCCTCCTAAAGTGCTAGGATTACAGGTGTGATCCACTGCACCTGGCCTATTTTTTTAAATGGAGATATATATGTTTAATTTTAACCTGCTGATATTTCAGATTAAAGGGATGATGCTACAATTCTTAGTCCCTGGCCATAAGGCTACAAATAGTGAGAAATATTAACTCTCAGAGGAATCACTTAAGGGTCAAATCATCTTTTTGAATTCTGATATGGAAGCCTATTTAAAAGCATATGATTAACTAAACATTCATGAAATAACTCATTTGGATCAAGAAGACAAAATCCCATATGGCTACCATCAAGTAATAAAACCTTCTGCACCCTAAATTATTAAATATTATTTAGAGAATAATGCAGCATTAGGCATTCAAGTAATACTGAGGAAGGAAATGCATAGTGGTTAAAAGCATGGGTTCTGGCTTCCAATACTAGCTCCATCTCTTACTAGTCATGTTTACTTGAATAAGTTAATCTCTCTGTGCCTCAGTTTCCATATATAAAGATAATAATAGTACAAACTTTATGTGAGGATTCAATGAATTAATAGATTTAAAGTACTTTCAGTACAGTGCCTAGCATACAGTATCTACTCAATAAGTATGAACTATTATTGCTTTATTAGCAGCAAAGGGAGACACTTGAAAAAATAGCTCTAATAATATTATGTCACTTCTGTGCTCAAAAATATTCAAGAGGTGCCCTTGAATTAGGTACAAAACCCTCAGTTTGACATTTTAGGATGCATGGCTATCCTTCCAAATCATATCATCTACTGATGTTCAAAATGGAGTTTCTATAATGTCACTACCATTTTATCCACTCCCAAGATCATAACCACACTGACACTTCCATTTCTAGAATTAAGGGAGATTATATAAGGTGAAAATTATCTTGTAATAAAACACATACAAATGCAGGATAAAAAATGACAAACATTCTTTTAAATGAATATCTAACTTCTTTGGAAAGTGAGAGGAATTGCTAAGGGTCAGCACAAAAAGGGAACCAAAACTTAGCTTGATAAGTATAAACTGATGCTACAACTATCTAATAGGTGTGTGCCAGTGTTATTAAACAAGGGCACTGTGTTTTAGTAGCCACAGAGGGTCAGGAAAGAAGGCTTAGGCCTCGGTAAGAAAATAAATCAAAATTGAGATTTCCATGTAATATAGAGACCCTCACTGAAAAAGTGGACTAAAAAAATCTATCTGCACAAGGAGATATGCTTTGCAAGGTTCAGGAACCCTTATGTATAGCAACTAACATAAAAATGATTCCAGACTGACAATGCTCTTGGGGTACCTAGCAAAAATGAAAGAAGAATATGCAAGAGAGATGTATCTTGAATGTCAGCTCCTCACGGGTGCTATAGATAAAATCCTTCTTAAGATAACTCATAAGTCAAAATCACAGAACACATGCAGAAATGCTTCATCATGAGTTAATGTTAGCAGATATAACAGCAGAATTAGACCTACACATACTTCAGATTATAGAGTTAATGTGGTTTAGGAAAAATAAAGGATTTGAAAACATGAGAAAAAAAGAGGATACTAACAAAAACATCAGGCAAATTTGAAAAAGAAGCAAAATAGAACTCGTGAGCATAAAAATATAATATTAGTGGACTTAGTAGACAAATTAAACATAGATTAGATATAGCTGAAGAAAGAATTACTAAACTGGAACACTGATCTGAAAAAATTATACAGAAGACAGCACAGACAGATAGCAGATGGATAACATAAATGAGAGATTAAGAGACCTGAAGAATAGATGAAGGTTTAACATATATCTCACAGTAATTCCAGAAGGATAGACAACAGGAGATGAAAGAGAAGCAACAGTCAAAGAAATAATGACTGTAAAATTTCCAGAAATTATGCCAAACATGACTTTTTCATACCAAGTAATACAGCATTCCATTGTTGTCTTACTTTTAAGTAAGTGAAAATTATCAACCTGAAATTCTAAACTTGGCTGAATTAAGACACTTTTAGACAAAGGCATCAAAATGAACAATAGCTGAAAAAAATACTAAAGTTTTTTTTTTTTTTTAAGACAGGGTCTTGTTCAGATAGGCTGGGGGGTGGTGACATGATCACGGCTCACTGCAGCCTCAATCTCCCAGGCTTGTGATCTTCCCACCTCAGCCTCCCAAGTAGCTGGGACCACAGACACATGCTACCATGCCCAGCTAATTTTTGTGTTTTTTTGTAGAGACAAAGTTTCACCATGTTGCCCAGCCTGAACTCCTTGAACTCCTCTTGAATTCCTGGGCTCAAGCAATCCGCCTGCCTTGGCCTCCCAAAGTGCTGGGATTACAGGTGTGAGCCACCATGCCTAGTCCATGCCCAGCTAATTTTACCTTTTTTTTTTTTTTAGAAACAGAGTCACTCTATATTGCTCAGGTTTGGTCTTAAACTTCTGAGCTCAAATGATCCTCCCGCCATGGCCTCCTAAACTACTGGCCAATAATTTTTTTTTTTTTTTTTGAGATGGTGTTTTGCTCTGTTGCCCAGGCTGGAGTGCAGTGACTCGATCTTGGCTCACTGCAACCTCCACCTCCCCGGTTCAAGCAATTCTCCAGCCTCCTGAGTAGCTGGGATTACAGGCATGTGCCACCACGCCTGGCTAATTGTTGCATTTTTCAGGAGAGATGGGATTTCACCATGTTGGCCAGGCTGGTCTTGAATTCCTGACCTCAAGTGATCTGCCCACCTCGGCCTCCCAAAGCGCTGGGAGTACAGGCATGGGATTCAGGCAAGAGTGTTCTTTAGTTAGAAGAAAATTGGATTGAAGAAAGAGCCAGGAGGAAAGAAACAAAGTGGAGGGGGAAAAGGGGGCAAATATGTGAGTAAATATAGATAAACATTAACTACTGAAAATAATGATTAATTTGGGAATTTAAAAAGGTAAAACCAAAACACTGGACAATGATAGTGTACAAATTGGGAGGAAAGTGATTACAGTTAAAACATTTTAATATTCTTATATTATTTGTGAGAAAGGCAGAAATAGATTAAGTGTAGCCTTTATTTCTTCTTCTTCTTCTTCTTTTTTTCTTTGAGACAGAGTCTCTCTCTGTCACCCAGGCTGGAATGCAGTGGCATGATTTCGGCTCACTGCAACCTCTACCTCCCAGGTTCAAGCATTCTCCTGCCTCAGCCTCCTGAGTAGCTGGGACTACAGGCGCCTGCCACCACGCCTGGCTAATTTTTGTATTTTTAGTAGAGACGGGGTTTCACCATGTTGGCCAGGCTGGTCTCAAACTCCTGACCTCAAATGATCTACCCACCTTGGCCTCCCAAAGTGCTGGGATTACAGGTGGGAGCCACCACGCCTGGCTTATTTCTTCTTTTATTCAAAAAATATCTTTTAAGAACAGGTAAAACTAATCTACGGTGACAGAAGTCATAATAATGAATACTTTGCACGGATTTGTGACAAGGAGGGAGCATGAGGAATAAGAAAGGCTGCTGGGGGTGCTGGCAATGTGCTATTTCTTGATCATTACACTCAGAGGTCATCTCATAGATATATTCACTTTGCAATGTTTTACTGAGCTGTTTATCATTTATATACTTTTCCGTACATAATGAAATAACTGTGTGTAAGTGTATGTATGTGGTATCACAGAAAGATATTTGGTCTTTGTCCCCATTCTTGGCACAGAGCTCCTAATTCCCTAAGAATTTTCTGAGTACTGAGGGTGACGGGAGTGTCTTTTGTTTCAATGAGATGACTCTTGGTGGGCCTCTAGATAGCTTCAGGATGAGGGCTAGTTGCCGGAAAGGCCAAGCCTTAATAAGAAACTTTGAATTTTCAGTCCCACCCCTGAACCTCCAGGGTGGGGAAAACAGTTGGAGCCTGAATCAATCACCAGGGGCTAATGATTTAATCAAGCATGCCCACATAACGAAACCTCCATAAAAACCCCTACCCAATAGTGTTCGAAGAGTTTGTGGGTTGGTGAACGTATCAAGGTGCTGGGGTGGGGTGGGTGTTCCTAGAGCAGGCATGGAGACTCCACACCCCACCCCTATACCTTGCCCTATGCATCTCTTACATTTGGCTGTTCCTGAGTTGTATCCTTTGTAATAACTGGCAAATGCAGTAAAGTGGTTTCCTGAGTTGTGTGAACTGTTCTAGTAAATTATCAAACCTGAGGAAGGGGTCATGGGAACCCCTGATTTACAACCAGTCACTCCCGAAATACGGGTGGTCTGGAACTTGTGACTGGCATCTGAAGTAGGGGTGGTCTTGTGGGGTTAAGCCCTTTTAACTTTGAGATGAGATGCTAACTCCAGGTAGATCGTGTCAGAATTGAATCAAATTGCTAAATATCCAGTTGGTGTCTGGAGAATTGGAAAAATGGTGTTGGGAAAGACATGGTGTATTTGGTGTCAAGAAGAAAAAAGCCCCTCACTGTAATATTTCTCACTGTAATATTTCTGTAGAAGTTATAAAAGGAAACCCTACAGCACAGTTTACACAAAACTAAAATTCTGATAGACTGTAAAGATATCATGTTAAATATGTATCCTAAAAATAATTTTTAAAATGCATCTTAGTATTTATATAATCTTGTGTAGGAAATAACTTTCTAGGCATGACACCAAAGGCAGAAATCACAGGTAACTGTGACCATATAAAATTAAAGTAATAACAACAAAACTTTTATACAACAAAACACTGTGAATAGTATAAAACAAAAATATAGAGGAAAAAGATTTGCAAAATAAATACTAGACAAATGGCCAATAACCTTATTTATATAAATAGAATTAAAAAAATTATTAAGAAAAAAAGGAATACTTCAATTGTGGAATGGGCAAAGAATATGAACTAGCAATTCACAAAAGAAATATATAAATAGCCAGTGAGTTCTGGACACTAACAAAGAGGTTAGTAATTGGCCCAAGTTTACAAAAATAGTAAGAGGGAAATCAGGATTCAAACCCAAGAAATCTTATCCAGTAAATATTTGTTTAATGAATGAATGATTATATATTTAACACTAGAAGACGTTTACATCAGACTGCAAAATGAAAGTTAAAACACAGAATGTACGATGAGATCCCTTTCTGCCCACACACTCATACAAACGTCTATACAGGCTTAAAAAAAGGCCTGAAAACACTAAAACGTAACAGTGGTTAGATTATGGAAACGTTTTTTCTCCTTGTACTTTC
This sequence comes from Homo sapiens, assembly GCF_000001405.40. Classification (NCBI taxonomy): domain Eukaryota; kingdom Metazoa; phylum Chordata; class Mammalia; order Primates; family Hominidae; genus Homo; species Homo sapiens. The sequence goes on along the minus strand of NC_000001.11, from coordinate 150,111,767 downwards.
TGAATTAAAAATATTCAGAATATGCATATATTACTTCCATAATAAAGGAGAAAAGTTATATTAAAAACCAAATAATCATACAAAATTAAAAAGTATACAAATACTTTTAATGACTCCCAATTATCTAGAATACATGGCTCAGCATGGATCTCTCAGGGTCCCCAATCTTTAGATTCAACAATCATGTCACGGTTCTCCAGTCTTTTCCTCTTCTACCTTTAGCTGCCAAATTAATCCTCCTAAAACACCGTGAGTTTCTTGTAATCACTACTTTCAATAATTCCCCATTTTCTATGTAAAAAAGTAGAAATTCCCAAGCCTGGCACTCAAGGCCTTCCACAATGATGGCATTCAATCATCCTTTCACTTTATTACACACATTCCAGCTAGTCAACTATTTGCTGTTCTTTGTGTATGTATGTTGCCTACAGCTTTTATAACTTGTTCACGTGGTTAACTCTACCTAGAATGTGCTCTCCCTCCATATGTCCATTTTCACCCAAGGCTCAGCTAATATACTATCTTCTATGTGAAACATTTGCTAATTTCCCTTAGTCACTCTGAGAATCCTTGGCCCTTTTATCTGCCTCTCTGGGCACTTGTTTTCTTATTTTTAAATGTTCTTTCCTAATAGACAATAACTTGAGGTAGGATCTTTAGATTATTCATCTTTGTATTCTTACTGAATACTTGCTAAGTGAATAAAGTTAATCAACAAAATAGAAAAACTCACAGACTTCAATACCATTATGTTTAAGTATTTTCAAAGTCTAAGCTGTGGCTATTAGGTTTCTCCCTCTTTAAAAAAAACCCAATTTTTAATTTTTCCCCCTTCCTTATGAATTAGGTCCAAGGGTTTCTCCTTTTTTGAACACAGGAAATACAAATTGTTAACAGTGTAAGATGGTTCTTACTTTCTAGGTCTTTGACCTAATAAAGAGATTTATGAACTTAACGAACTTAACTACTATAGATCCTTTCTCTCACAAATTCTTAAATTATTCTGGAGCTGCAAACACCAGAGAATTTCAGTCTACAGCAGTTTGGTGAGTATTGACCAAATTTTTCCAACATAAAGGGAATTTAAGCTTTATCCTCTGGGAAAGAGGACACAGTTGTAGAATGAATGTTCTCTTTTACCTTTTCGTGTTGTGCACTGTGGTGCCTCCCAGGACAATCCTCACTCCAGGAGTGGTGCGGTTCAGGTTATAAACTGTTAGAGCCTCTTCATAGGTGGCTCCTCCAATTACAAACACAATGATATCCTGAGGTCTGCAATAATGAAGAATGAGATATTATCACAGGATAAGAAAAAAAAAGGACTGTGACTTACATACACAGAGTTTTAATTTCTAAATCTTTTTTTTTGGTGGAGGAAGCAGAATTAAAGCAGAATAGAATAAAAGGTTTAAAAAAAGTTTCAATTATCTGAAATTGGCAGGAAACAGAGCAGGAAATGCTGAATAGTGATTTGCTTTCTGTTTATGAGCGGATGTCTTATAATTTCTGTGCTGTGGATTTCAGAATAGCACAATAGTGTTTGCTGGAACCAAATGTAGAAATATTCTTTTATATTCAAGAGGGTGCAGAGTGCCTTACCATGACATGATATCAATACGGCAGAATTTTATGTTTGTATTAATACTACACATCTCCTTTCATGTATAAGCCTTTGTCAAATACTTAATACAGTGCTATTACAATGGCCTCTGTACAAGGACCTCAAAGCATTTTTGAAAGAACTAGCATATTTAGATGTCCCCAAAACATGGAAACTAGAAACATTTAGTATTTTGAGTATAAAAAAAAGAATGGGACACAAAAATTAATGGTGCTTCTAGGAACTCTATCTTTTCTTGAAATCTTTTTTCTGAATCCTTTGATAAACCAAGAAAAAGAAACCATGGAAACCAAAAAAACCATGAGTGTAGCTGATACTGGACATGCGAACACAGCTCAGTCACTAGCTTCACTTGGGTAGCACTGTGTTGTTTTACTCTGTTTCCTGTTTCAATCCGTATCAAAATGGCTTCATAACAAAAGTGAATGTTCCTATTAGCTCCTTCCTTAAATATCACCAAGAAGGAGATCAAATTATTTTCAAAACCATTACTAGGCAAATAATTTTGTTAAATCACTCATTGGACACTAAAACTACATCAATCAGAAGCATCCGTTTTGAATGTTATTGCACAAAACTAACCAGAAACATCTTTAATCAAGGAATATACATGCTTATGTATAAATCATGAAAAAAACCCCAACCCTACATTTCCTTCCTGCTTGTCTCTCTCTCTCTCTTTCTAAAATACCTTGAAAGAATTAACTGAGAGAGTATTTGTTCTTGTGGGACTTCACTGAAACAGAATCAGCTATTGTGGCTATTTTAAAATGTTCAGATAGTCTCTAAATTGCAGAGATTTCCCAGTAAAATTTATACAAGGGTGGGGATGATGGCTCATGCCTATATGCATTTTGGGAGGCCGAGGAAGGCGGATCACTTGAGGTCAGGAGTTTGAAACCAGCCTGGCCAACATGGTGAAACCCAGGCTCTACTAAAAATACAAAATTAGCTGGGCGTAGTGCTAGCTGCCCGTAATCCCAGCTACTCGGGAGGCTGAGGCAGGAGAATTGCTTGAATCTGGGAGGTGAAAGTTGCAGTGAGCCAAGATCGTGCCACCATACTCCAGCCTGGGCAACAGAGACTCCATCTCCAAAAACAAACAAACAAAAACACCCCAAAAAAACCTTCCCCCTAAAAACAGTTATACAAGCTACCAATGATGAAGAGGGTGTTATGGTAAAGTGTCAATTACGATAAGGGTCCCCAAACCCAGGCTGAGGACCAATACCAGTCCGTGGTCTGTTAGGAACTGGGCGGGGGCACAGCAGGAGGTGAGCAGTGAGTATTAGGGCCTGAGTTCTGCCTCCTCTTAGATCCGTGGAGGCGTTAGATTCTCATAGGAGTGCAAATCCTACTGTGAACTACGCATGGGAGGGATCTAGGTTGTGTGTTCCTTATGAAACTATTGCCTGATGATGGGTGAGGTAGAACAGTTTTATATTACTTGACTTATCAGCAACATATGACTGAGGTGATCACTTGCTCCTCCTGGATATACCTTCTTCAATTGGTTTCCAGAAAATTTCATATTTGATTTTTTCCCTTGCTACTTTTCAGTATCCTTTTATGGTCCCACTTCATCTCTGTGACCTCTTAATTGTGGAATACTCAGAGCCCAGACATTGATCCTCCTTTCTTCTTAATCTAAACTCATTCTCTCCATCTGTTCCATTCAGTATAGTGACCACTTGTCACTTATGGTTATTTAAATTTAAATTAACCAAAATAAAATTAAATATTTAATTCCCCAGTAGCACTAGCCACATTTCAAGTGCTCAACAGCTACACTGACAAGTGGTTACATTACTAGTTACCAGAGAAACAGCACATTTCCTTCCCTGGATAATCACACCATTTTTTGGTTGTAAATACATCTGCTGATGGTTCCCAAATCTCCATCTCCAGCCCAGACCTTTCTTCTAAACTCCAGACTTAAATACCTGTTTACTTGACATTTCCATTTGGATGTTTAATTATTTCTCAATTCAACACATTTTAAATCCCCAATCTTCCCTAAGTCTGTTCTACCTATAGCCTTCCCTATCTTACTTGATGGTCACTTTAGCCTTCTAGTTGCTTGGGCCAAAAACTTTGGACTCATCCTAACTCTTCCTTTGGAGCAGAAGTGAAGTTGGGGACATAGTGAGAAAAAGAGGGAAAAGCATAAGCCAGCTCACACACCTCAAATCTCACAGGTCATGGGGTTCTCACAGGTTACTATGATCAAATTTGCTTTTTTTTTGAGACGGAGTCTTGCTCTTGTCACCCAGGCTGGAGTGCAGTGGTGCAATGTCAGCTCACTGCAACCTCTGCCTCCTGGGTTCAAACGATTCTCCTGCCTCAGCCTCCTAAGTAGCTGGGAATACAGGCGTGCGCCACCATGCCAGACTACTTTTTGTATTTTTAATAGAGACGAGGTTTCACCATGTTGGCCAGGCAGGGGGTCTTGAACTCCTGACCTCAGGTGATCTGCCAGCCTTCGCCTCCCAAAGTGCTAGGATTACAGGTGTGAGCCACCATGCCCAGCCAAATTTGCTTTTTTGAAGGATAGTTTTGGCAGCTGTGCAAGAATGAATTGGGTGTAACTGTTGGGAAAAGTTGGAGAATAAAAGGCTAGTGTAAGACTTCTGGGAAGATATGATGAAACCTAGAACTAAAGACATCCCAGAAAGGGTGAAGAGGAGGTACTGGATGTCCAGTCACAAAAAAATACATATTCTTCAGTATTTGGTCAATGACTGAATGTGGAGGATAGGGGTAAAGGGGGAGTCCATAACTTTGTTTTCTGGTTTTGGTAACTAGGTGTAGTGGTTTAGGTTTGAGAAAAAGGACATTTACTGTGCATAAGACAAAAACATGCTGTGTTTTAGATACCTGTGGAATATTCTAATGGAGATGCCCACTAGACATCTGTATATTCAGGTCTAGTGCTTTCCCCGAATATGTGGTAGCTGAAGCCATGGGAATAGATGAGTTTTATCTAGGGAGATCATGTAGAATGAGAAGAAAACCAAAAGACAGATTTTTTGCTGAGTCCCTAATAACTAAAAAACAAGTAAAAAGAGTAGCCAGCATTAGCAACTGAGAAGGACATTTTCAGAAAGGTAGGAGGAGAATCAGAAGGGAGAGGTTGAGGCCCAACTGAGTCTCAAGAAGAAAAGAATGGTTAATAGTGTGAAATGCAGCAGTGGGGAAAATAAGGTGGGAATTGAGAGTCCCCTGGATTTACTACTGTGATTTTGCAAGAAATGTTTTAGTGTGTTGTAGTGGAGTAAGGAGCCAGGCTACATGGATTGAAGAATTGAGAAACAGAAGACAGTGACTGTGGGCTTCTTTATCCAAAAAGCTTGGCTATGAAGGGAAGGACATAACTTACAGGAAAATCTAGGACCAAAGGCTTTAAATTTATTATTTAACAAAAGAAAATTGAGTATGATTATAGCCTGTGGAAAAGAAGTCGGCAGAGAAGAAGCTGAAAATAATGGGGTGATGGGGGGAGCCAGAGCCAGAGTGAGAGCAAGAGCGAGAGCAAGAGAGAGAAAATAACAAAGGCTTCAGAAGAGCCGGTAGGAAGGTAAAACCAGAGTGGTGGCATCTGACTTTCTGACTAGCGTAAGATGATATCTCAGTGTGGTTTTCATTTGCATTTCTCTGATGATCAGTAATGTTGAGCATTTTTTCAAGCGTTTTTTGGCCACTTGTAATTCTTTTGAGAAATGTCTTTTCATGTCGTTTGCCCAGTTTTTAATGGGGTTGTTTTTACTTATTGCGTTCCTTGTAGGATGTGGATGGTAGTCCTTTGTTGGAGGCATTATTTGTAGGTTGTCTGTTTATTCTGTTGGTTATTTCTTTTGCTGTGCAGAAGCCCTTTAGTTTAATTAAGTCCTACTTGTCTACTTTTGTTTTTGTTGCATTTGCTTTTGGGATCTTTGTCATAAATTCTTTGCCTAGGCCAATGTCCAGAAGAGTTTTTCCTAGGTTTTCATCTAGGACTTTCACAGTTTCAGGTCCCACATCTAGGCCTTTAATCCATCTTGAGTTAATTTTTGTATATGGTTAAGAGATAGGGGTCCAATTTCATTTTTCTGCATATGGCTGGCCAATTTTCCCAGCATAATTTATCGAGTGGGGTGTTCTTTCCCCATTGTTTATTTTTATCGACTTTATTGAAGATCAGTTGGTTGTAGGTATGTGGCTTTATTTCTGGGTTCTCTATTCTGTTCCATTGATCTATGTGTCTGTTTTTGTACCAGTACCATGCTGTTTTAGTTACTGTAGCCTTATAATATAATTTGAAGTCAGGCAATGTGACTCTGGATTTGTTTTTTGCTTAGGAGCACCTTGGCTATTCAGGCTTTCTTCTGGTTCCATATCAACTTTAGGATTCTTTTTCCTAATTCTGTGAAGAATGATGTTGGTAAATTGATAGGAATTGTGTTGAATCTGTAGATTGCATTGGGTAATATGATCATTTTAATATTGATTCTTCCAATCCATAAGCATGGGATGTTTTTCCATTTGTTTGTGTCATCTATGATTTCTTTCATCAATGTTAAGTAGTTCTCCTTGTAGAGATCTTTCACCTCCTTGGTTAAATATATTCCTAAGTATTTTGTGTGTCTCTTGTAAATGGGACTGAGCTCTTACTTTGATTCTCAGCTTGAATGTTATTGGTGCCTAAAAATGTTACTCATTTTTGTATGTTGATTTTGTATCCTGAGACTTTAATGAAATCACTTATCAAGTCTAGGAATCTTCTAGAGGGATCTTTAGGGTTTTCTAAGTATATAATCCTATTGAATGCGAACAGAGATAATTTGACTTCTTTTCCAATTTGGATGTCTTATATTTCTTTCTATTGCCTGATTGCTCTGGGTAGGGCTTTCAGTATGTTGAATAGGACCAGTGAGAGTGGACATCTTTGTCTTATTCCAGTTCTTAGGGGAAATGCTTCCAACTTTTCCCCATTCAGTATGATGTTAGCTGTGGGTTTGTCATATATGGCTCTTACTATTTTGGTTTATTAAAAAGTCAAAAAACAACAGATGTTGGCATGGATGCGGAGAAAAGGGAATGCTCATATACTGTTGGTTGGAATGTAAATTAGTTCAACCTCTGTGGAAAACATTATGGAACTAGCTCAAAGAACTAAAAATAGAACTAGCAATTAAGCCACAGGGAGGGGAGCAAATGCACAGGGTACATCCTTGCTCATGTCCCCTCTTCCTCCTTAAAAACAACAACGAAAAAAGGCTGGGCCTGGTGGCTTATGCCTGTAATTCCAGCACTTTGGGAGGCCAAGGCAGGTGGATCGCTTGAGCCAAGGAGCTTGAGATCCACCTGGCAACATTGTGAGACCCCAACTCTGCCAAAAAATTTTTAAAAATTAGCCCAGCGTGGTGGCTTTCCCCTATAGTCTCAGCTACTTGGTGAGGCTGGGGGCAGGGAGGGGGCACTGAGATGGGAGGATCACTTGAGCCTGGGAAGGCTGCAGTGAGCTGTGACTGCCACTACACTCCATCCAGCACTCCATTCAACAGAATGAGATGCTGTCTCAAGAAAGGAAAAACAAAAAACAAAAACAACTTACCATTTGACCCAGAAATCCCACTACTGGGTATCTACTCAAAGGAAAGGAAATCATCATATAAAAAGAGACACTTGCACTCATGTTTATCCCAGCACTATATACAATAGCAAAGCTATGGAACCAACTTAAGTATCCACCAATAGTGGACTGAATAAAGAAAATGTGGTATATATACACCATGGAATACTAAGCAGGCATAAAAAAGAATGATATCATGTCCTTTGCAGCAACATGGATGGAGCAAGAGGCCATTATCTGAAGCAGAAAAATCAAATATAGCATATTCTCACTTATAAATGGGAGTTAAACATGGCAGGTACACATGGACATAAGGATGAAGAGAAGAGACTATGGGGGACTCCAAAAGAGGGGAAGAAGGAAGGGAGATGACTGAAAAATTACCCAGATAGTTACAGACTATGTAAAAAGCTGGAAGATAAGAGGCAGTTAAAGTGTTCGGAAACAATAAAATACTCAAGGCTGAAAGGACATTATATTCACCAAAAAACATGAAAAATGTAGGAAAGTAATATATATATTTGCTCAAGATAAACTGCATAATGGATTACTCAAATAAACACATTTTATTTACTTAAGTAAATAAATGAATTGCAGATTATTTTATTAAGAAGAAGGGAGGGAATCTTTCCTTTGCAGGGGTACAGTGACCATCTTGGTGACTAATGGGAAGAATCAGATAGTTAACACCTTTGTTTTGAGCTTCTGATCTGATAAGTCAATTTAAAAAGCGATTGAGCAGACAAATGAGAGCATCATGGAAAATGATGTTGCTTCACCATAGCTATCCTCTGACCATCACCTGCCTGGACAATATATCTGTCTCTTATGGAAAAGAAAGGCAAGAACTGGGAAGGAACAAATTCAAGTGGGCTTTTAGCATAGTAAGAGAACACTGTCCTTCAGTCTGATCATTTCAGGGTGGCAGGGTATTTTTGTACTACTGGAGAGGAAAGAAAATGTCACGGATGGTAAACTGTGGGTGTAGGTTATATACATGTAAGGACAAAACCTAGATACAGGGATAGGCTCTTAGAGCTTGGCTCAATTGTGTACCTCGCAAAGATGACTATGTCACATTTGGTTATGAAAACATTAATAAATGTTTTCCTGAGCCTCCTCCTACTACTTATTCAAGCTGACTTAAGGAAGAACGTCTATGAAAAACAATGTTTAAATACCCCTGACATTTTTCCTTTTCATTCCTTTTCCCAGTAAATTTTAAAAGTAGATGTTCTGATGAGGCCAATGGTAAAACACATAGCAAATCTTTTCCATATGATGGTTGAAGCTAAGTGGAATACACAAGTTCAATTCTTTGTATGCATCTTCCTGTGCTTTGTAATTCACCATAGCAACCAAAGCATTAATTAATGCAGACAGCAAACATTAGAAAACAGCAGCTAGCTCATGCTGTATAGAGATATACAAGGATAATCAAGGATAATATCTTATTTTGTTAAAAATAAAAAAAAATATATAGGATATCTGGAAATCATTATTTCTTTTTAAAAATTTTTAACTTAAGTTTGGGGGTACATGTGAAGGTTTGTTACATAAGCATGTGTCACGGCGGTTTGTCATACATATTATTACATCACCCAGTTATTAAGCTCAGGACCCAATAGTTATCTTTTCTGTTCCTCTCCCTCCTTTGACCCTTCCTGCTCAAGTAGACCCCAGTGTCTGCTGTTTCCTTCTGTGTTCCTGAGTTCTTATCATTTAGCTCCAACTTGTAAGTGAGAACATGCAGTATTTGGTTTTCTCTTCCTGCATTAGTTTACTAAGGGTGATAGCCTCCAGCTCCATCCATGTTCCCACAAAAGGCATAATCTCATTTTTTTATGGCTGCCTAACATTCCATGGTGTATATGTACATTTTCCTTATCCAGTCTGTCATTGGTGGGCATTTAGGTTGATTCCGTGTCTTAACTATTGTGAAAAGTGCTGCAATGAACATTTGTGTGCACGTGTCTTTTTTTTTTTTTGAGACAGAGTTTCGTTCATTGCCCAGGCTGGAATGCAAGGGCACAATCTTGGGTCACCACAACCTCTGCCTCCCAGGTTCAAGCAGTCCTCCTGCCTCAGCCTCCCAAGCAGCTGAGATTACAGGCATGCACCAACATGCTCCGCTAATTTTGTATTTTTAGTAGAGATGAGGTTTCATTATGTTGGTCAGGCTGGTCTTGAACTCCTGACCTCAGATGATCCACCCACTTCGGCCTCCCGAAGTGCTGGGATTACAGGCATGAGCCACCCAACCTGGCCATGCATGTGTTTGTTTTTTTTTTTTTTTTTTTGACGGAGTCTCACTCTGTCGCCCAGGCTGGAGTGCAGTGGAGCAATCTCGGCTCATCACAATCTCCACCTCCCGGGTTCAAGTGATTCTGCTGCCTTAGCCTCCCGAGTAGCTGGGATTACAGGCACCTGCCACCATGCCTGGCTAATTTTTTTATTTTTTAGTAGAGACGAGGTTTCACCATGTTGGCCAGGCTGGTCTCGAACTACTGACCTCAGGTGATCCACCTGCCTCAGCCTCCCAAAGTGCTGGGATTACAGGCGTGAGCCACCGTGTCCAGCTGCATGTGTTTTTATGGTAGAATGAGTTATATTCCTCTGGGTATATACCCAGTAATGGGATTGCTAGGTCAAATGGTAGTTCTGTTTTTAAATCTTTGAGGAACTGCCATACTGCTTTCCACAATGGTTGAACTAATTTACACTCCCACCAACAGCATACAAGTGTTCCCTTTTCTCTGCAGCCTCGCCAGGTTCTGTTATTTTTGACTTTTTTTTTTTTCAAGGTGGAGTCTTGCTCTGTCGCCCAGAGCTGGAGTGCAATGATGCGATCTCAGCTCACTGCAACCTTTGCCTCCCGGGTTCAAGCCATTCTCCTGCCTCTGCCTCCCGAGTAGCTGAGATTACAGGCACGCGCCACCAGGCCTGGCTAATTTTTGTATTTTTAGTAGAGAAGGGGTTTCACCATGTTGGCCAGGCTGGTCTCGAACTCCTGATCTTGTGATCCGCCCACCTCGGCCTCCCAAAGTGCTGGGATTACAGGCGTGAACCACCATGCCCAGCCTATTTTTTGACTTTTTAGTAATAGCCATTCTGACTGGTGTTGAGATGGTATCTCACCATAGTTTTGATTTGCATTTCTCTAATGATCAGTGATACTGAGTTTTTTTTCATATGCTTGTTGGCTGCACGTATGTCTTCTTTTGAGAAGTAGCTGTTCATGTCCTTTGCCCACTTTTTTTTTTTTTTGCGACAGGGTTTTGCTCTTGTTGCCCAGGCTGGTGTGCAATGGCACAATCTCGGCTCACAGCAACCTCCATCTCCCCAGGTTCAAGTGATTCTCCTGCCTCAGCCTCCCGTGGCACAATTACAGGTGCCAGCCACCACTCGTGGCTAATTTTTTGTATTTTTAGTAGAGACAGGGTTTCACCATGTTGACTAGGTGGTCTCGAATTCCTGACCTTAGGTGATCCACCTGCCTCGGCCTTCCACATTTTAATGAGGTTGTTTTTCTCTTGTAAATTTGTTTAAGTTCTTTATAGATGCTGGATATTAGACCTTTCTCAGATGCATAGTTTTTTTGTCATGAAATCTTAGCCTGTTCCTAGGTCCAGAATGGTATTACCTAGGTTGTCCTCCAGGGTTTTTATAATTTTGGGTTTTACATTTGTCTTTAATCAATCTTGAGTTGAAATTTTTGTATACCGTGTAAGGAAGGGGTCCAGCTTCAATCTTCTGCATATGGCTAGTCAGTTATTTCAGCACCATTTATTGAATGAGTCTTTTCCCCATTGCTTGTTTTTATCAGCTTTGTCAAAGATCAGATGGTCATAGATGTGAGGCCTTATTTCTGGGCTCTCTATTCTGTTCCATTGGTCTATGTGCTTGTTTTTGTACCCATACCATGCTGTTTTGGTCACTGTAGCCTTGTAGTATAGTTTGAAGTTGGGTAACGTGATTCTTCCAGCTTTGTTCTTTTTGCTTAGGATTGCCTTGGCTATTTTGGCGTTTTTTTGGTTCCATATGAATTTTAAAATAATTTTTTCTAGTTCTGTGAAGAATGTCATTGGTAGTTAGATAGGAATAGCACTGAATCTGTAAACTGCTTTGGGCAGTATAGCCATTTTAATGATATTGATTCTTCCTATCCATGAGCATGGGATGTTTTCCATTTGTTTGTGGCTTCTCTAATTTCTTTGAACAGTGTTTTGTAATTCTCACTGTAGAGCTCTTTCACCTTCCTGGTTAGCTGTATTCCTAGGTATTTTATTTTTTTGGTGGCAGTTGTGAATGGGATTGCTTTCTGATTTGGCTTTCAGCTTGGTTGTTGTTGCTGTATAGGAATGCTAGTGATTTTTGTACATTGACTTGTATCCTGCAACTTTGCTGAAGTTGTTTATCAGCTGAAGGAGCTTTTGAGCTGAGACTATGGGGTTTTCTAGATATAGAATCATGTCGTCTAAAAACAGTTTAACTTCCTGTTTTCCTGTTTGGATGCACTTTATTTCTATCTCTTGCCTGATTGCTCTGGCTAAGACTTCCAATACTCTGTTGAATAGAAGTGGTGAGAGAGGGCATCCTTGTCTTGTGCTGGTTTTCAAGGGGAATGCTTCCAGCTTTTGCCCATTCAGTATGATGTTGGCTGTGGGTTTGTCATAGATGGCTCTTTTTTTTTTTTTTTTTTTGAGACGGAGTCTCGCTCTGTCCCCCAGGCTGGAGAGCAGTGGCTTGATTTTGGCTCACTGCAAGCTCTACCTCCTGGGTTCACGCCATTCTCCTGCCTCAGCCTCCCGTGTAGCCGGGACTACAGCCACCCAACACCACACCTGGCTCATTTTTTGTATTTTTAGTAGAGACAGGGTTTTATCGTGTTAGCCAGGATGGTCTCAATCTCCTGACCTCATGATCCGCCCGCCTTGGCCTCCCAGAATACTGGGAATAGATGGCTCTTATTATTTTGAGGTATGTTCCTTCAATACCAAGTTTGTTGAGAGGTGTTTTTTTTTTTAATGGAGTCTCACTCTGTCGCCCAGACTGGAGTGCAGTGGCGCAATCTTGGCTCACTACAACTTTGCCTCCCGGGTTCAGCCAATTCTCCTACCTCAGCCTCCCAAGTAGCTGGGACTGCAGGCATCTGCCACTGTGCCTGCCACCACACCCGGCTAATTTTTGTATTTTTTTTTTTAGTAGAGACAAGGTTTCACTATGTTGGCCAGGCTAGTTTTGAACTCCCGACCTCTGATCTGCCCCACCTCAGCCTCCCAAAGTGCTGGGATTACAAGCATGAGACACATTGCCCACCTTATTGAGAATTTTTAACATTATTTCTATATGTGGTTAAGTTACATGGAAACACAAACTTTCAAAAGGCAACATTTTATCTATTTTGTGGAGCATTACACTTATGGCTAAAATTGTAATTTCTGAACATACTTACAAATGGTACAGTTCTTATGAGCATTTACTGCAGGAAAAAAGGCCAATGAAAAAGGACTGCTGCTTCACAGAAACAAAAAATAAGCTGTAGCAACAAGATTCTACTACATTTGTATAAACATGAAAAGTACTTCCTTTTTGAATTGACTGATTCTGGAATGCATGATCATATAGCTCCATTTCCTCACCAAATGAAAAAGTTGCTTGCCTTTATCAGAGACAAGAGGCAATTCTAGAGTGAGAAAAAAAAATTAGCTTGAAAAATAGGGTATGCAAGAATCCCATCTGCAGAATGATCAAATCCAATTTGTGGATATAGCTATACTGCCAAACAGCTTAAACACTAATTTAACAGCTAAGGGCTAAAAAAATTTCCACCAGTGTTCTGGTTTTGCAAAGTTGTGTTCTTGCCACATTTCCTTTGATATTTTCTATTATTATAGCAACAATAAAACCTAGAATTTCTATTATGATGAGACAAATAATAATAAATACCACTATAATCAAGGACTCTTTTCAATATGATAATACAGGGCCAAGAAAGTGGCTAGAGCTGATAGTGTGGCCAAGTGAATACAGAGCCAGAATGTTTTAAAGGGTTGTTTATGAACTTCAAAAATCTAAATTTTGTATAGCATCAATTAAGTTTATTCTCTGGTTTAAATTTTCCAACTATAAATATTGGCATATCAACTAGAAGAGATGCCTATAGAATTTACCAAACATCTATTGAACACCTATTATTTGTAAATCACTGTGTTAAACATTGTGAAAACCCCAAAGATTAACAAAACATAATACTTACTTCAAGATTACAATACCTAATACAATAACTAATAGGAAGGATAGATATGTAACTAACTACTGTCTCAATATCCAGAGGTAACGACTATTAACAACTTCTTGATTATTCTTTCAGAAATAATTACTGTAGGCAGGGCATGGTGGCTCATGCCAGTAATCCAAGCACTTTGGGAGGCTGAGGCAGGCAGATTGCTTGAGCTCAGGAGTTTGAGACAAGCCTAGGCAACATAGCAAAACCTTGTCTCTATAAAAATGCAAAAATTAGCTAGGTACTGTGGCATGTGCCTGTAGCCCCAGCTACTTAGGAGAATGAGGTGGGATGGCTTAAGCCCAAAAGGTGGAGGCTGCAGTGAGCTGAAATCACGCCACCACTCTCCAGTCTGGGCTACAGAGCCAGACCCTGTCTCAAAAAAACAAACAAACAAACAAAAAGAGTTACTGTATTTATACATATATGTGCTTGTGAAAATATATTATATATATAATATACATACATATGTATAGTCAAGCACATATTTATATACATGTACACTTTTTTTGTTTTGTTTTGTTTTGTTTTGAGACGGAGCCTTGCTCTATCACCCAGGCTGGTGTGTAATGGCATAATCTCGGCTCACTGCAACCTCCACCTCCCTGGTTCAAGCGATTCTCCTGACTCAGCCTCCTGAGTAGCTGGGACTACAGGTGCATGCCACCACGCCTGGCTAATTTTTGCATTTTTAGTAGAGACAGGGTTTCACCATGTTGGCCAGGCTGGTCTCAAACTCCTGACCTCAAAGAATCTGCCCGCTCGGCCTCCCAAAGTGCTGGGATTATAGGCATAAACCACTGCACCCAGGATTATACAGTTTTTTTACCTGAAAGAAATGTTATGGCTGGGCACAGTGGCTCATGCCTGCAATCCCAGCACTTTGGGAGGCCGAGGCGGGCGGATCACGAGGTGAGGCGGGCGGATCACGAGGTCAGGAGTTCGAGACCAGCCTGACCAACATGGTGAGACCCCATCTCTACTAAAAATACAAAAATTAGCCAGGCATGGTGGCATGCACCTGTAATCCCAGCTACTCAGGAGGCTGAGGCAGGAGAATCTTGAACCCAGGAGGCGGGGATTGCAGTGAGCCGAGATGGCACCACTGCACTCCAGCCTGGGTGACAGAGCAAGACTCTGTCTCAAAAAAAAAAAAAAAGAAAGAAATGTTACAACATCCTGCTTTTCTATCTAATATATCTTAAAAAGCTTTGCATATCACCCGTGAGGAGTTATGTCATTTAAAAAAAAAAGAATACGTAATATTGTACTGTAGTTTAGGTAACCAGCCCTCTATTAATAGATATTTAGCTTGTTCCTAGTTTTTTTGCTATTACTTCAGTGAACATCCTGGCTTAAGTATCTTTGTGTACTTGCACAGGAATATCTATACAGTAAGCTTTTAGAAGTAGAATTGGTAAATAAGAGTATTTTCAAGTCCTTTGCAGTATTCCTTCTGTTAGGCATGGCCAGGAGGTGGTATAGGTATGTTCTGTGACACCCACTGTAGTTTTGTAACCATTTCTTTGCCTTCTTCCTTCAAAATTTCCACTATCTTAGAAGCTCATAATGTAGCTGCACCGTTTTCTCCTGACCTCCTTTCCTGGTCACTTTTATTCCATGAAGACTTTAGCTCTGGCTTATTTGTCCTCCTTTTTCTCCTTCTCTTTTCAAGATTGTCAGTGACTTTAACATCACTGTGGATTACTCATCTAACATCCTGGTCTCCTTACCAATCCTGATCTTTTCTTTTACCCACTACAACCACCCACATCCATGCTTACAATCTAAACTTCTTCGTTACAAGTATCTGAACCCCCTATGAAATCTTGAATTCAAAATATCTTTATCCAATAACTACCTCTCAACTTCCAATTTACCTGTACTAATACTCTTCTGTAATAATTCTTTGGCCTCATCAAATCTCCAATTCATTCACCAATACCTTTGTCATGATCCAATACACTCTCCTCTTGTTTCCATTTCCCCAACTAGTTGCCTTTTCCATGTTTAATCTGGAGCAGTTCAACATTTCCAGAGGTTTTAATATTACTAATGTTTTTGTCAACTCTCAATATGTGACATTTCTACTTGTTATCTAATAGACATCTCCAACTGAACAACAAAACTCTGTTTCTCCTCAAAGCCTGAGAGTTATTCTTGACTTCTCTCTTACCCTTGTTCCATAAATCTGTGCCATTAAATATGACTATTGATTCTGGCTTCTCTCTCAGCCTCCTACCCAAACCACTTCCATTTCTCACCTGGACTACTGCATTCATCTCCTCAGTAGTCTCTCTGCTTCTATTTTTGCCTTCAATAATCCATTCTTACCACAAATATCTTTTAAAACACAATTAAGTTCATGTTACTCATATGCTTAACTCTTCAATGGCTTCCTATGACATTAAAAAAAAATCTCTTTACTAGGGTCTTCGAGAACCGATGTGATCCAACCCTACCTATCTTTCAACCTCTTATTTCCTCCTTATTCACTATGCTCCAGCCAAGCAGGGCTCCCTTCTGTTCCATTAACTTGCCAAATTCTCTCTTTCTTCAAGACCTTTGCTCTGGTGTTTCCCTCTGCTTTGGATGCTTTCTCTCCTAATCATAGTGTGATTGCTTTTTTTTTTTTGAGATGGGGTCTCACTCTGTTGCCCAGGCTCGAGTGCAACGGTGCAAATTTCAGCTCACTGCAACCTCCGCCTCCCAGGTTCAAGCGATTCTTCTACCTCAGCCTCCTGAGTAGCTGGGATTACAGGCGCCTGCTACCCACGCCAGGCTAATTTTTGTAGTTTTAGTAGAGACAGGGTTTTGCCATGTTGGCCAGCCTGGTTCAAACTACTGACCTCAGGTGATCCTCCCGCTTTGGCCGCCCAAAGTGTTGGGATTACAGGCGTGAGCCACCGTGTCTGGTCTGGTTCTTTCTTATGACTCAAAGCTCATCTTAAATATCACCTCTCAGAGAGGTTCTCTCTCCATCTAAAGTAGTCCTCCCCACCCCTACAATTACTTTGAAGCTCATCACCCTATTTATTTCCTGGATAGCACTTATTAAAATTATATTCTTCATTTGTTTACTTGTTTACTCATTGTCTCTATGTAAGTTCTTTGAGGGCGGGTACCTTGTCTTTCCTGTCACTTCTATATCGCCAGCATCTACAACAGCTCTTAACATACTGAAAGCATTCAATCAACATCTGTTGTGTAAAAGGACAAAGCAACTGAATTATTAACTATATGCATACTTAGGTTATAGTGACAAATGGTAACAGATGTTGACAACTGATAAATGTGCATTTTGTTCAAGGAATATAATTTTGAGCTTTGTGTGGGAATGAATTATGTAAATTAGAAAGGTTTCCTGCTGTGTACTGATCATATACAGTATATTCTTCCGGTGGCCTGTGGTTTCCCTTTGGTAATAAATAATTCCTTGTTCAGTAATTCTTATAAAAATTCATAAGCAAATAAATGTTTTTATTTATCACATTAATGCAAAAGCTCAAGAATAGTTGTTTTTTAAAAAGCCTCTCAGATAGGTGCATAACTTTGGGCTGGCGTTCATTCTTCCCACTTAGCTGACATTTCTGAATCTTGATCCCAAGGTCTTTAAACATTTTATCTGAATGAGTGTACTCTCTGAATTTAACACCAAATGTTCTGCATCTCAACCTTGGACTTTTAAAAGATGATTTTTTTTTCTGTTCTGTACCAAATTACAGAAAAAAATTTTTTAAAGGACAAAGTGAAAAAATACACTTTATCACATAAAAGAATCACCTATGTATCTCAAAACATTTTTCTCATTCAGAATCTCATTATGTTTATAAAACACTATACTTCCAAGGCTCTTAGATGTTTATTAACTGAAATAATAGAAGAATTATGTCAACAGTAAAATTTTCACATTAATCTATCCAATAGGATTCAAGTATATATGTTAGCCCCTTAGATAACATGTGTTCCAACAAAAAAAATATATAATTTTTAACTAGGTAGAATTTATGTATACAGTATTTAAAATTTCAGGTTGGCCTAAATAAGTTGTTCTGGACAAGTTTTGTTTTTATTAAAAATTAACCACTGGATTAAGATGACAATTATTGCTTCCTTTAGTTAATACTCAAAAAGAAAGCCATCCTTTGCTCCTGTGTAACAAATGGCCTTTATTAATTAGGTCTCTCAGTTTGTGTGCTGGCAACATTTGGCAAAGTCCAGTCCTCACCAAAAATAGTAACAACCTGCTCTGGATGGCAATCAAGCAGCAAGCCTATTTTTGGCCTCAATGTTTGAAACACCAAATGCCAGATGCCATCGAACAGAACCTTAAATGGCATAAGTAAACTGGTCTGATACTGAAATACAGAAGGATTTGAGGCTCTCCAAAACACTTGTTTCTTTAGTACAAAAGAAATAAATGTTTCAGACTTAGCAGGGGAATTCATATCTAATGCTGACATATGTAAAACCAAAAGAATCTTAACAGAAGAAAGGAGCAGCAGAATGCTATAACCTCAGCTTTAGTCCTTAACATTACTCTAAATTTTCTGTTTGTTCAGTATTTCTGGCTTTTATTATTAATATCTTTGTTAGCTTACCTGTCTCTGAGTGTGCTGGGGCCTAAATAAGGATATAGGTTTTCCTTAAGCCTTCCTTTGATGAGATGATCCAGGGTTTCATGTAGGAAAGGTTGATGCTGTGTATATACATTTTCTACTCCCTAAAACAGGGGAAAATGGTTCTTATGTCATTTTTGGGAAATTGGCAACACAAGAATTAATAATATTCATATCAGAAAAGGACATACACTCAATAGAGATTTCATGGGATAGATTTACGTAACTGTGGGAAATTTAAAAATTATTTTAATCAGCTAGAAATGTTCTAATCTCATAAAAATTACTCTGTAATTTAGGGCTAGTTATTGTAAAGGATTTTTTAAAAATGGAATTGCTTAAATCCTTAATCATGTCTTCACTGTCTCTCACCCTTTTGTGAAATGTTAAATGATAGGTAGAGCAAATAAAAGGAAAGGATTATGTATAAAAAAGACTGAAAATACCCAGGAAAATAGAAAAACTTCAGGAAACATAAGAAAGGCTGCCGGGCGCGGTGGCTCACGCCTGTAATCCCAGCACTTTGGGAGGCCGAGGCGGGCAGATCACAAGGTCAGGAGTTCGAGACCATCCTGGCTAACACGGTGAAACCCCATCTCTACTAAAAATACAAAAAAAAATTAGCCGGGTGTAGGTGGTGTATGCCTGTAGTCCCAGCTACTCGAGAGGCTGAGGCAGGAGAATGGCGTAAAACCCGGGAGGCAGAGCTTGCAGTGAGCCGAGATCACGCCACTGCACTCCAGCCTGGGAGACAGAGCGAGACTCCGTCTCAAAAAAAAAAAAAAAAAAAAAAGAAAGGCTAGCAGATTAGAATTAATTTTTGAGTATTTTAAGAAAACAGGTTAGTATTTTTAAAAGATCAAAAGTTTGCTTCATCTTTAATTTCCTTCAAAGAGAAACTACCTAAAAAATCTTTAATTATAAACAAATGGTGTAAAATATCTGTGACTAACAGAACTGTTGGTCTTTTTCTTCTTATTTCCTGGAAATACCTCCAGTTATTTCCTGCTAAGCTATTTGGTCCAATGTTGATACGGCTCTAAGACAGAAAGCACTAAAAGAAAAAGCTTTCAAGAGGATGCCAGTTTTAATTTCATTTAACTGACACAGTACTAAATTAGCAGCAATCTTCAAGATACTTTGAAGATCATATTCATTCACTCTCAGCCTCAAGGACTTCAACTGTTCTCACTCAGGAGAGCATAGAGGAGATGTCTATACCTTCAGTCCTTTGAGGAATTGTTTGGTGATAGCCACAGCATCTTTGGGGCTGAAGAGGTCACTTCCTCTGACTCGTTTACCACCATATTCAACAACTGCAGACACGAGCTATTAAGAAAGAGAAGCAAATTTTGATTGCTTAGGCATCAGGAAGCCCATTTCATAAGAAAATAATTTTATTAAGGAAACAAAAATGAAAAGACAGAATTATACATTTCTGTAAATAAAAATAGTATGATTTATCATTCGTTAGAGCTAAGAATATAATAACAGAGTTGGTTCCTGTTTGGTGGGCTAATATGGAAACTGGTTACCTTTCGATACTTCTCAGAAACACCTTTATTCCTGAGGTCCATCATTAGTCCTGGCAGGCTATTGCTGCTGTGTCGCTCATAATGTAAAGCATAAAGCATCACCAGGCGGGCAGCATCAAACTCTGTCACTTTGGGGTTCTGCAGAAGCCTTTTTATATTCTGAAGAAAGATAGAACTTATATTTATCCCCCTTTCACTTGAGTCATCTGTTGTACAATGCCTTAGATCTAATAATTATTGAATGGTAGTGATACATCACTACTATGACAATTATAAGTCATACATTTAGCAACTGTCTCAACTATAGAAAATTAAATGCCTTTTGTCCAAGGTAAGAATTAAATAAGGAAATATATTTCCATTGTAATTGCTTTAGGACAAAAATGAATTTAATAATGGATAGTTCCACTTTTCTTTTCCAATAGCTGAAGTTGTAATTTCCTTGCTGAAAGAACACTTACTATTTCCACGACTTGAATCAATACGGCACAACAAAACTGACTAGTTGATTTGCAAAACCTACTGCTTTCTCTTAGTATTAATGATTGACCAGTGAAATGGAGACAAGTTGGTAGAATTTTACACAGACTGGGCTTGATCTCTAAGAAGCATCAGAACATGTCTCAACATGGTTGACAGAGATGAGTATGTAATAGCATGTAATCTCTAGATTTAGTACTTAATGATTTTAAGAGGCAGGTACCGATAGGAAAGGGGGCCAGGAGAAGCCATGTTTACATTTTTTAATCCTCATATTCAGGACCTTCCATATAGTATAGATTTATATTTATTATGCAGCAGAACAAATAATTTAATTCAAGTCAACAAATACTTTTGAGTCCCCATAAGGCAGTATGTCATGCACTGTTGCAGGCACACAGATAAGTTAAAGACAATTCCTGTCCCCAGTGAGTTCACAGTCAATGGGGTGAAGGATGATCAAAGTAATATAATTTATTCTGCTATATACATGTTTCTTTAATGTACTTTAGTTCTGTGAGATGGATAAATATGGAAATGGTGTCAGTTTAACACAGAAGGCATATTGGTTCACATGTAATTTTTCCAGAATGGATAGGCTTTCTTATGATTAAAGGGGAAGCCTTACCAATACCTTAAGAAAAAAAGATGATAATCCTACAGAAGTGTGTTCTGCAAGAAGTATCTGGTTTTGTAGCTTCAAGAACTGTTGCACTTTCCACTGTGTTATGCTATATGGGGAAAGGGCAAGTGCAAATAAAAAGGATGCAAATATATTGCACTGTGTAAAAAAGCAAAACAAAACAAAATAACAATCAAACACTGATTGATGAAGAAAGCTGTCTCCATATGGTATTTTTAATTTTGACAAAGTAGTCTTTATGAGAAGTGAGTATTTTCAAGACCTTATAATTTGAAGAAAACATGAGCCCCAGGAATAAGGCTGCAGAGGATGGACTGGCTCTATTTCTAGGTGCAAATGCCGGTGGAGATTTAACCATGCTAGTATTTTTATTATAATTGTTACTATTTTTATTAGGGCTCTGATTTAAAAATTATATGAATGTTTTCTTTCTTTCTATAGTCATGTAGATTTTAAGTGGTCTGCTTATAACCCTATATTCTCATAACCCTTTTTTTAGTGCATGTTTTTATAGAATATGAGGTTTTTCAGGAACAAATATGTGGTGTTATAACAGAAACATGTATGCAAAAAACAAAACAAAAAGCAAAAGCTGAAAATCAGTGCAAAAGAGGAAGGGGAGAGAAAGGGGAAGAGAAAGTATATTGGGTTGTTGAGAAATTAGGAAAGACTTCACAGAGGTGACACTTGCCAAAGGTCCTGAAGAATCAGTAAGTATTGGAACCAGTGTGAGAGACCAAAAGCAGTGGCACTATCAAAATAAATATGGAAATCAGAGGAAGAAATGGCTTGGTTTGAAAGGCTGGCAAGAGCCTTGAAGGGCACTGAATTCTGAGGACATAACTATCAACTATATGATTACTTTACAACTTACAAAATGCTTTCACGTACATTATCTCTTTTGTACCTGACAACAACCATGTCCAATGTCTAAGAGCTCTTCTGTTCACACTGACTAGGGACTATGATGATAATGGGGAACCTCCCATGTAGCTTTCAAGTACAGAGTTCTCTGAAAGAGATTTCTATTGTTGATTTTTTGGGTTACTATTTCACTACCATCATCCTTAAGGGATCAAAAAGGGAGAAACTTCTCTTCTGTAGATTTCGATCCCAAATTCGTAAGATTTTTCTTATTTTTTTCCTTTCATGGGATCTTTCCCCTAGAGCAGCCACGGAATACAGCCCATTTAGGGTATCTGTTCAAATGTTCCACTATTTTCTACTATAATATGAAGAAATTTCAGGTACAAATTATGTATGTATCTCAATCAACAGCGTAAGTTTAAAACATTAAGAAATCCTGTTGGGGGCCGGGTGCCATGGCTTACACCTGTAATCCCAACAATTTGTGAGGTCGAGGTAGGTGGATCACTTGAGGTCAGGAGTTCGAGACCAGCCTGGCCAACATGGTGAAACTCCCTCTCTACTAAAAATACAAAAAATTAGCAGGATGTAGTGGCGGGTGCCTGTAGTCTCAGCTACTCAAGAGGCTGAGGCAGGAGAATTGCTTGAACCTGGGAGGCGGAGGTTGCAGTGAGCCGAGATTACGTGCCACAGTACTCCAGCCTGGGCGACAGAGTGAAACTGTCTCAAATAAATAAATAAAAATTTTAAAAAATTTTTTTAAAAAGAAAAGAAATCCCATTTGGGATTTCTGTTGTTACTTTTCTTATAGGCACAATGTCTCATTTCCTGCCCTTGCAGTCACTCTCTTACCACCTTTTCTGGCTGATCTGTCTCTGTACTTTTAAGCAAATCTGAGAAATCCAAGTAACTATAAATTCACAAAACTGGTATGATGACAGTCAAAGACTATTTGCAGTAATCAGTCTCTGCCCTTTTCTATTTACCTTCACTTGGATCTTGACTCTTGGCTGTTTCTTATTAGAGATAGTAAGTGTTGTTGATGATGACGTGGAGAAATAAGAACCCTTACACACAACTGGTGGGAATGTAAATTAGTACAGCCATTATGGAAAATAGTATGAAGATTCCTTAAAAAATTAAAAATAGAACTACTATATGATTTAGCAATCTAACTACTTGGTATATATCCAAAGGAAATGAAATCAGTATGTTGAAGAGCTATCTGCACTCCTATGTTTACTGCAGCACTATTCAAAATAGCCAAGATATAAAATCAACCTAAATGTCCATCAACAGATGAATGGACCAAGAAAAGCAGTATTTAGGTCGGGCACGGTGGCTCAGGTCTATAATCCCAGCACTTTGGGAGGCCGATGCAGGTGGACTGCTTGAGCTCAGGAGCTGGGGACCAGCCTGGACAACATGGTGAAATTCTGTCTCTACAAAAATACAAAAATTAGCTGGGCATGGCAGTGTATACCTGTAGTCCCAGCTACTGGGGAGGCTGAGGTGGGAGAGTAGCTTGAGCCTGGGAGGCAGAAGTTGTAGTGAGCCAAGATTGCACCACTACCCTCTAGCCTGGGCGATAGAGCCAAACCCTGTCTCAAAAAAAAAAAAAAAGAAAAAAGGGAAAAGAAAATAGCAGCATATATATATATATATATATATTTATTATTCAGCCATGAAATAGAACAAAATCCTGTCATTTGTGGCAAAACAGATTAACCTGGAGGACTTACATTAAGTGAAATAAATCAGACACAGAAGGACAAATAGTGCACGATCTTACTCATATGTGGAATCTAAAAAGTTGTTCTCATTGAACTCATAGAAGTAGAGAGCAGAATAGCAGTTACCAGAGGATGGGATGGTGAAGGATAGGGGTGGTTAGAAATTGGTTAATAGGTACAAAGCTACAGTTAGATAGCAGGAATATGTTCTGGTGTTCTATTGCATAGTAGCATGAATAGAGTTAACAATAATGTATTATATATGTCAAAATAGCTATAAGAGAGGTTTTTAAATGTTCTTATCGCAAAGAAATGACAGATGTTTAAGGTGATGGATATGCTAATTACCCTGATTTGATCACTACACAATGTATACATGTATTGAAACATCACATTGTATTCCATAAATCTGTACAATCATTATGCATCAATCCTAAAAAAAATCCACTTCCATTCCTTGAGACTTGGTAGTGGTATTTAGATTGCCTGGCTTGACTCTTAGTTCTTGACTGAGGACTTGGCCCAGATCTGACCAGGCTTACTGCGAGTAATTATTTTGCCTACTTTTGAGCCCTTAGGACCCAACTCATGGCTCAGGTCCATGTTCTAGCTAGAGGCATCTATTCTCTCATGAAAAGAAACCTGTAGGTACAAGCTGAGTTCTTTCTTTTCTTTCAGCTGTATCAGTCCTTGGAGACGCAGGACCTTTTTGTCTGCCTTGATCCCACTTTATCCTTTGACTTCATTTTGAAGGATTTCCCTCATAACTACTTGACTTGTCAACTTGATTGACAGTGGCATACATTACATTGAGATTTCAGGGCACTAACCAGAGAAGAGGAGAAAAAAGAATCAGAGAGGCTTATAATTACAAAGCAAGTTATATGCTACACGGTAGTATTTATCTGTTGGAAATTAACTGAATTACATAATTTTTTGGTTTCTCTTATTAAATTTTCCATCAGCCTTGTGACTATTAGAAAAGAACACTGTCACATTATAACAATGACTGAGTAAAGAGCAAAACAGAAAATTGTCATCTACTTAAGAAGACAGGATTCGAAAACCTTGCACTGAACTCTAACATTTGTGTGGGCGTAATCAAGGAATAGGAAAAGCAAAGCAAAGCAAAGCAAAAATAGTGTCTTTGGAGATCAAGTTTCCTAAAGGAACTAACATTCATTTATAAGACATCAACGAGAAAACCATTCTTCTTTTCTGATATTTAGAGATTCTTCCATTGTTTCTGGCTAAATCTTTTTTTACTTTTCTGTTTTCTTCTATCAAAACTATGATAAAGCAGCACAGCAAGAAGAAATCATTATGACATACACACATTTCAAACTATTATACAGATTACAGTTGGTCTTGGTAATAAAGATAGTCTCCGTCTTTTTTTTTGTTTTAGTTTAACCTAAAGAACAGGATCCCTTCTTTGTTATCTACTATATTAATGTAGTAAAGTCAGAGAATAACAAAATAAACCAACAGATTAGGACAGTAAGATGGAATTGGCAGAAGACTTCCACATGCTGATCTGACAAAAATGAGCCTAACAGTTTGAGAGAACAGTGTTGTGGGAATATAAAAAGCTTATCAGGGAAAAATGATAGAAAGCAGACAAGACCCAATTCTACTGACTGGTAAATACATCGGAGCCAGTATTCCTTTTCTTAATGACTAGTCAACATAAAATTGAGCTTTGCAGTAGATCTTCTGCTGATCAATACTATTTCTAAAATACTGGCTAAATGTTGTTTTAGAGTAAAAGGATCATTTTTACATTTAATTAATCAAAGTAAAATTGTCAGTCAGTTCAATGTGTCCCAACCACTTTTCTTATAATTTTAATGAGTGGCAAAACAAAACAAAACACACACACAAAAAAACCAAACACTTTTCTGAAATCAGAGAGATACAAGGCTATCACTGAACTAAAAAACATGTCTTGGATGCCATTAAGAAAATTAAATGTACCATCAAATAATAATACTCTTAATGTTGGTAGTTAATATTTCTTGAAAGCTGTAAGTACCAAGTACCATAAGTGTTTTACATGTATTAGCTCATTGCACTCTCACAACAATTCTGAGGTAAGTACTATTATTTTTCCCCCTTTATAGACAAAAGGACTGAGTTTTAGAGTGGTTAGGAATTATTTTCAAACCCAAGCCATCAAAGGCCCAAGCTCTTAGCCACTACTCTATACTGCTTCAAATAGAGCTCTTCCTCCTCATTTTTCTAATAAATATTTATTGAGTCCTTATTATGTATCATTAACAGGATGATTTGAGATCTTTATGAAAGGTCAGGAAAAAATACAAAATAGACTGGTTCCTCTCTCCAAATGAAAAACTGTGATATGACAACACAGGCTGGGCATGGGGGGCAGGGTATAGGGAGGATGGTAAGGGTGGAATTGCTCACTTTCTAAAGATGCTTTTCTTCATGGTATGGCAAATCTTCATTACTAATTAATAAATCTCTTCTGAGGATATGTATATGTTTCAGTGGTAGTAAATTTCACTTTGGTTCTAGTGAAATTCTTTCTAAATGAAATTTTCATTAGCCTACAAAATAATGGTTAGAATGGCAGCAATTTTTAAGTTAACTTTTAGCAATACATGCTTTTTTTTCTTGTCATGATACTATTCAATAAAGCAAACCCCATCTCTACTCACAAACCTCATTTCATTGCTTCATGACGTATTATCATCTAAGGTCAAGCCAAGGAATGCTATAACCCCTCTAGAAGTCAGGCCCCTGACATCCACTTACTATCAAACAAAAGATCCCTTTATAGACTATTTAAGTTATGTTGCCAAATAAGTCGTTTATGATGGGGGACTCCAAATCAACTGCTCACTGTAAAATCCCAATACCCTAGACAAGAAAACCTTCAAAAGATAAGTTCTAAAAATAAAAAGTGGATCACAAATAGAATTTATATTTTTAAAGTGACTATTTTTCTTTTAAAGTGAACACAAAAATAAAGTTTCAGACAAGTTATTACAAGAACTTTTTCTAATTGCTTTCCACATGTAGAGAGATACAAATAAAGACAGTAAAACTGGCTAGTGATTAAGTCTGGTTCTACTGTTTTCAAGGGAAAAATCAAATGATAAAGAAATATAAGAAATTTAAATTTAGTTACGGGACACAATTTTGTTTTTTATTTAATAAGAGGCAGAAAACTCATTTTTTGTGGTAAATATCAGGACATTTCTATTAGGCCCACAAAACAACTATAAAATACTATTAGTAGTGTTGTTTAAAGGCCAAGTTAAATAGATTAGGATACATCTTTACAAAGGATACTATTTAGTGATTAAAAAGAATGCGACTTTAGGTTCTGATCCAAAACCCAACAACAATAAGTCCCAGTAAAGACCCTGGTATAACTAGAGCACCCACAGGTAGACTTCTTTCTTTTGTTTGCACTATGTGTAAAAAAAAAATCATGCTTAGAGGAAGGGAACTAACATTTACAAAGCACCTATTACATGTGAAGCATTTTACATATCTCATTGAATCATCGTAACAGTCTGAAAGTTTGAAATCATAATCCCCAAGACTTGGGCAAATCAAGTAATTTTCCCAAAGAAACTTTGGTAAGGAGAGGTAGGATATAAGCCAAGCCAGTCTGGGTCCAAAACCTGAGTTGTTTCCAATATAACAGGTTGGCATTATTTTATAGAATAAAGTGGAACTGTAGCTGGGAAAGAAAGAAGCTAAGCTTTAGAATATAGGGCCCTATTAACAGGGAAATGTGCTTCTTATAAGTGGCTTAGAAATGGCTATTTCCTAAAGGACTCGTAGTCCTAAATTACTTGTCAGTGACATCATACTTTGTCATTTCTCAGGAAACATGGGATTACCTCTGATTTATTCTATCTTTATATCCAGCCTGTCGTCTAATTCTTCTCCCTTTGAAATGTTTTTCAGTTCAGCCCCTTGCTGTACATTTTTACTACTATCACTGTAAGTCTACAAGTCTCTCTGACCTGTTTTTTCACCTCTAAAGCATCCTTACTAGGTTACATTTCCTAAAATACTGCCTTCCTCACCTCAACTTTCTACATAAGATCCTATACTGGATCTCTTTGCTTATCTCAGCAGGTATAAATTCTTACAAGCCTCTTCATAAAGCTTGTAAACTGTTTTTTGTTTACCAATTCAATTTTATCTAATTCTGTTTCATACTCACTCTCTACAGGTCAAACTGTTTATTACTTCCTGCATATTTCTACATCTTTGCTTTTGCTGCTCCTGGCTGAACTCCTTCCCCAAATTCTATTCATTCTTTTGTGGTCCATCCAAATCTTGCCTTCTCTAAGAACTGTTCCTAATAACCTCAAAACCTGTTACAGTCAGTATTACAATTATGACTTAATTCTCATCTTGAAACATTATCTAATTTTTTCTTGTGCTTTAGTTTTGTCTCTTCAACTAGACTATACATTTCTTGAGGCCAGAGTCTGATTATGTTGCTATTCTTCTAAAATCCTCCGGGAGCCCCCATCATTTTAAGATTAAAGCCCAACTTCCTTCCAATGGCCATAACCTGGCTTCAGTCAGTCTTTCCAGTCTAAGACCACTCATCTTGTACCCTGGACTAGCCACACTGAACTATTCTCTGTTCCCATATATATATTTAAATATATGTATATTTCAAATATAAATATTTTATATATATATAGAAAATATATATATATATCAATATTTATTTCTTCACATCTTCATGCCTGCATTCTCTCTGCTGAGAATGTTTCTTCCTTTTCCCTGTTTGATGTTATTTTCCCTAAGAAGTGCTAAGAAGCTTCATCCTTGGGGAAAACAGTTGTCCTTCCTCTGTATTTCCATATTCCTTTGTAAATACCTCTAATATAGTACATAGTGCTTGGTATTACAATTGCTGGTTTAAATTTCTTTCTCCCCTACTGTAATGTGGTATCTTATTCATCTTTGTATTCAGATCCTCACAGCAGTAGTATATACATATAGCAGGCATTAATATGTTGGTGCGATGAAAAGCAGATCTTCAATAATGAAAAAACTTAGACAATACATTTTAATATATGTTTTATCTTTTAAAGTCTTCCTAACCACTCTGTGAGATGAGTATTAATATACCTATTTTACAAATAATGAAACTGGCTCAGAGATTAAGTCAACAGCTCCATGTCACAAAGCCTGTAAGTGGTATACCAAACACTCCAATCTAGATCTTCTGATTCTAGTTTGGTGCTCTTTCTAGTAGACTAGGCTGCCCTTATACTAATTAACTGAACCCTTGGGAATTGCACATTACACTTCTCTTGTGACTCTTTTTATAGATCTATCTTAAATAATATTAATTTGTGTTCTCATGTCAGCTCCTTGTTGGACTAAATTCCATGTTGATGAAGAAGGATTACTTGCCTTTTTATCTCTTGCTCTGCCTGGCACAGTGCCTTACACATAGTAGGTGCTCATCAAATTGGACTGACCTGGAGAGCACTAGAATGGTCATTTTGACAGGCCAGTTCTTGCTCAACCTCTGAAACCTCCAGCAGATTCCGTTCACTGACCAATCGAGACAGTTCTCCAACCACTGTCACATGCTTTGAAACAGTCCCAGACATTTTCTTGAACTGTGGATAATTCTCAACAAACGCCTGCCATGGGAAAAACATCAATGGGAGGTTCTGTTATTTTTTGACTGAGGATAAGCATGTACTGAATGGGGGTTGGGGAAAGCGGGGGTTGTTTTTCAGCCCAGATTAAAGCATCTACAACTTTCAGCCACATGGCATTTTGTTATGCTTAAGAAGAGAAGAACTGGTATATGTTGGTAGACTGAGTTTTTTTTTTTTTTTGAGACAGAGTTTTGCTCTTGTTGCCCAGGCTGGAGTGTAGTGGCGTGATCTTGGCTCACTGCAACCTCCCAACCTCCGCCTCCCAGGTTCAAGCGATTCCCCCGCCTCAGCCTCCCGAGTAGCTGGGATTACAGGCATGCGCCACCACACCTGGCTAATTTTGTATTTTTAGTAGAGACGGGGTTTCACCATGTTGGTCAGGCTGGTCTTGAACTCCCGACCTCAGGTGATCCACCCGCCTCGGCCTCCCAAAGTGCTGGGATTACAGGCGTGAGCCACTGCTCCCAGCAATAGATTGAGTCTTTAAATAGTCCAGATATTACTGAAGAATGGAAAGAAGCACATGGCTTATCATAAAGTTTTCACTATATTGTTTAAAGACATTACAGAAAATAAGTCTCAAACCAAATAAAATCAATCAAGGTAGAAATTAGACCCAGAAGATTCCAAAAGTGTTGCTTACATGAATAGTACCAAACTGTCACATGTTTGTCATTCATGTACATGTTCAATTTACCTTCATGTCTGCTATTGATTCTAGTTTTTGCTGTTCTTTTGGTTTCTTCTTCTGAAAATCTTCCATGAGATTCTTTATATTGCTACCAATCTCAGCAAAGTTCAGGTACATATTCTGTGAAAAAGAAAGTTGGAAGCACACTTCATCAACTAGTCTGACTTTCAGACAACTTGAAAGAAGTGAAAAAGAATTTGGAACACAGAATTGAAGGGCAGGGAAATTCTATTTTAATTACCAAATTTGGACATTAGCTGGGACACTGTTGATGAATACCATTACTATTCTCACAAACAGCTACTGGAGGGGAGAGAAGTAAATAACTACGTGATCTCTATGAAAAAAAATTGCTAAAGGGTCAGAATCCAAGTCTTCTGCCTTCCCTTCAGAGGCAGTTTATGCACAGGATGCCCCTATCATCCTTTCACATGAAATCCCATGCCTGCCCCTATACTAACAAGCCAATATTGATCTTCTTACATAAAAACAACTAAAGACAATTTAAAAAAATTTAAACCACCTACATTAGCATAGAATTCATCATTTTCAGCAGATAGGACCACTTCTCTTAAGTCTTTACTGATTCCCGGCACTCTGGAAAGATCAATCCGATTGTTGTTTATGCCTAGTAGTTCGTGGACCATGGCCTGATATGTCCACTAAATAAAGAATTATGAAAAAAAAAGGTAACTGACAGAATATGGAAATAGTAAACGTTCAGGAAAACAAATAAAAACTGATAACATTCTTTAACTAGTCTTCTTTACATGAAGATTCTCGAGTTAAATTTTATTCATACTTTGTGCTATAAGCATTAAGACTGTCATTTTAATTGATTAAACACTGAAGAAAAGTCAAAATACTTTTAGATTTCATACTTTTGGAAAAAGGGCAGCAAGATTAATATTCTTGATAGAAAGAAAACAAATTAGAGCTATTATTAGCTCCAATTTTTTGCCTGTGAATTAAGAGTATATTTTTGGCTTCACAGATAGAGCTATATTGGTACTGCAGTTACAAGCTGTACCATTTCCTGTATGCTTCTATGGTTTTCTGCAGCATGAGAAGTGTGTTCTTGCAGATCTGAGTGGTACTATATTTGTCCTGGGAACACTAATATTATCAGAAAAACCTTGTGAGTTGATCAAAACACTGGGATATTCAGAAACTTACCTTTGAACCCATTTTATTTTATATTTTTACCTAAGGGGAGATGAGAGGAAGGACTGGTTTCCAGTCTCACAAATTGAGAATTTATTTGGTAAAACTGGAAATGAGAAATCTCCAAATTTTCCCTTTTCACCAATTATGGAGAATAGATTACTTTCAGTCATAGGTCTGTTAGACAAAATGAAGTATTTTCTAGCATGTTCCCTTCTGCATCTAGAATCTAAATGCTAGAAATATTTATATACATATTTTATCTTAAGAAAACTAGATTTATTAAGAAATAATTTAGAAGGTTATAAAAGAAGGTGCTTATTTCCTAAAAGATTTGCCAAAGGAATTCTTGAAAAAGCAAGTTCCATTAAGTCGCACTTAAAATAAGTACAACAAGGCTGGGCATGGTGGCTCATGCCTGTAATCCCAGCACTTTGGGAGGCTGAGGTGGGTGGATCACTTAAGGTCGGGAGTTCGAGACCGGCCTGACCAACATGGTGAAACCCCATCTCTACTAAAAATACAAAACTAGCCGAGCATGGTGGCACATGCCTGTAATCCAAGCTACTCAGGAGGCTGAGGCAGGGAATCACTTGAACCCAGGAGGCGGAGGTTGTAGTGAGCCAAGATCACACCATTGCACTCCAGCCTGGACAATAAGAGCAAAACTCCATCTCAAAAAAAAAAAAACGTACAACAAAATGTTTTATGCTTTTATGGATAGCTTCTTGTACATGCTTCTAGCACTTACTCTACAATTAAAATTATGTTTATTTTTCTCATAATTGGACCATGAGCTCTTTGAGGACAGAAATTGTAACTTTTAACCTTTTATCTCTAGTACTTAGTTTAGTACGTGGCACAAAAGAAGTCCCCAGTGAAATCTGTGGGATAAATAGTTGCTTTTCTTTGGGAGACAGAATAATAGGCAATTAATTTTCTTTCTACTTTTTGATATTATCAAAAGTTTCTTTGGTGAACATATATTACTTTGAATTTTAGGAATACAAGGCTATTTTATACTACAGAGAAGTTTCACTCCACAGATTTCCCTTAGCATTAACATTAGTACAAGCTGGGAAGAAACTGAAACATAGACTGTGCCTTTCTCTGTAAATACAAAGTCACAGCCGGGCGTGGTGGCTCACGCCTGTCATCTTAGCACTTTGGGAGGCCGAGTCGGGCAGATCACTTGAGGTCAGGAATTCGAGACCAGCCTGGCCAATATTTAGACAGAAACCTTGTCTGTACTAAAAATATTTAATACAAAAATTAGCCAGGTGTGGGGGTGTGCACCTGTGATCCCAACTACTCAGGAAGCTGGGGCATGAGAATTGCTTGAACCTGGGAGGCGGAGGTTGCAGTGAGCTGAGATCACGCCAATCTGGGTGACAGAGAGAGACTCTGTCTCAATAAATACATACACACATACAAAATCACTATTAATAGAGCACCCGCTATGTGCACTGTTCTTATACTTGAAGGAGAAAAAACACTGGTGAGACTCAGTCTGCCTTGAAGAAATATGTAACGTAGGAGAGGATGTAAACAACCAAAGCTACAACATGGCAAGTACAGCATGAGACATGAGAGAGACACAAAGGTCTACAAGTCTACAGGGATTTTCAGGAGATAAGAACAATATCTGACTGAAAGAATACAGGCTTCGAGATGTTGAAGAATGGCTGGATGTTGGAGATGGCTTTTGAGTGTTTTTTTTTTTTTTTGAGACAAGAGTTTCGCTCTCGTTGCCCAGGCTGGAGGACAGTGGCATGATCTCGGTTCACTGCAACCTCTGCCTCCCAGGTTCAAGTGATTCTCCTGCCTCAGCATCCTGAGTAGCTGGGATTACAGGCATCTGCCACCACGTCCAGCTAATTTTTTGTATTTTTAGTAGAGACAGGGTTTCATCATGTTGGCCAGGCTGGTCTCAAACTCAGGACCTCAGGTGATCTACCCACCTCGACCTCCCAAAGTGCTGGGATTATAGGTGTGAGTCACCGCGCCCGGCTCTTCTTTTTTTTATTCTTTGCTATTATTCATATAAATCATTTTATTTATTTATTTATTTATTTTTGGAGACGGAGTCTTGCTCTGTCGCCCTGGCTGGAGTGCAGTGGCATGATCTCAGCTTACTGCAACCTTCGCCTCCTGGGTTCAAATGATTCTCCTGCCTCAGCCTCCCAAGTAGCTGGGACTACAGGTGTGTGCAACCACACCCGGCTAATTTTTTTGTAGTTTTAGTAGAGACGGGGCTTCACCATGTTGGCCAGGTTAGTCTTGAACTCTTGACCTCAGGTGATCCAGCCACCTTGGCCTCCCAAAGTGCTGGGATTACAGGCGTGAGCGACCGTGCCCGGCCAGATTGAGTGGTTTTAACAGCAGTATTTTGATAGGTGAAGATGGGAAGAGAAGGTATTCCAAACATTCTAGAGTTTAGAAAGCAGTCACAGTAAAAGCATGCTGGCAGGAAACCATGTGGCATTATCTATGTAAGTGGTGAACTCTAGGTTTTATAAGAGGTTTAGCCCACATTGTGAAGGCTCTTGGATGCCAAGTTCAGGAGTTTCTTTTTAACCTAGTAGGCAAATGGGAACCAATGAAGTTTTTTAAGCCAAGAGTAATAAGATAGAGCTGTGCTTTAGGAAATTGTACTTGTGGAACATTTGGAGTGAGAAGAAATAAAAAGTAGGGAACGAAGTAGATGACTATTTCAATATTCTTGCAAGAGATTAGGATCTAGACCAAGGCAATGGCTGTAAGCATGGAAATGAGGAGACAGAAGGAAACACAGGGAAATAGAATCTACAGAATTAAGAAGCTGTCTTGATTAGGGGTGGAGGTACTGGCAGAAAGGTACAGGAGAGATGAAGCAGAAGAGTTATGATGACAGTGGATGGAAGAATCATGATACCAAAACACCAGGAAATACAAAGCAAAACCAAGAATAGCTAAAAATAAGGAGGCAAATAAATGGACCATGTTTTTACTTCCCTATCTGTATTTTGATGAATATCACTTAAAATTATCCTTCTATTATGCCAAGAAAGGGTTTTGTACCTGGTTTAGCAATGGGGTGATGGCATCATCACAGCGATCTAAAATAAGGAGCAATGGAGGAACCTCTGTCCGACGGAATTCAAACAGTTCATATTCTTTAGTTATCACTTGCTGTGGGTGAGAGAGAAAGATGGTTTGTGCAACCATCTAGTTACATATAGAAATGATATAAATAGGAAATTAATAAACACTACATTTAACAATAGTTCTTTGCACCCACATAGATCTTCCATATGAAGGATTCAAAAGTCTCACAAAGTTTAGTAGCATACTATTTAAGAGGTTAGGATATGAAACCCTATTTTATAAGTGGTTTAACTGGACCAAAAAAAGTTAAATAGCTTGTGAATGTTTCTTGGGTTAAACCTAAGAATCTTAGCTCTAATTGTTGCTTTTTGTTTTAAATTACATATACCTACCTCTTTTCGCGGAAACCTAACATACAATCATCTCCTTGGTTGTAAATAAACTATTCCTTTAGTTTCTGAAATATGATAGAGAAATGAATGGCCTTTATGTTTTGGAACCAGGAATAGGTAATGCCATACCTTAACGCACTCTGCAAGTCTCTTTGCTGCCTCTGATGAGAGCTGATAACGAATCATGGGACACTTCTTCAGAGATAAAAGGAGAGCTGTAAGCCCTTGAGTTGTTCTAGATAGCTGGGCTGGATCCCAATTTCGACCCTTTTTGTTAAAAACATATATTCAGAGAAAATATTTGAATTTTCTCTTACAAGTCTAATTATTTGCTGAATTAACTCTCGACTGATAAATTAAACCTTTCCTTCCATACCTGGCAGCAACCCAAAATATTGAGGGAAAACAAATGTGGGTTCACAGCAATGTAATCACCATAAAATTCCTGCAAATAAAGCACCAAGAATAGTCATTCCATAAACTTCAATTGTATCAAGCAGTAATATTTTCATAAGTGATATAATATGATATAGCCAAACTTTGTGAAATACAGGTGTAAAGAGATACTAAATTGTTCAATTAATAATTGGGTAACAACAGTCAACGTGGGAGAATTAAAATAATTACAAAACAGTAGCAATAATAATAAATCTAACAAATAAAGGTTGTAAGGTTATACACATTATATTTCTGGAGACCTCTATGCATACTTATCAATTAGTAAAAATAAAATACTGCTAATAGGAGATACAATGTTCTACTCAGATAAAAAAGAACTTTGCTGTCCAATGTGTTGTCATGAGAGAGAATATAATTTAAAACAGGTATTCTTTTTATTCATTTATCACCTATCACATCCTTCTGAAAAATTCAAAACTAGTTTATTTGCTGCCTCTGAAAACAATATTCCTCATTTATGTGATAAACATATTCAAGTATTCATAATAAAACTTCTTTTGAGACAGACCTTTCCTTATTTTTTATTTTTAGACTCAAATATTTAAAAAGGGCCAACATACGAGATGTGTTACAGGACCAATATGTTTACCTGAACCTCAGCCACAACTTCCTGTTCATCAGCTTCAGCCAATGACTTCACGTCACTCTTGCTGATCACATTACTGAAATCTGAAACACATGAGTTGGGGTTGACTCAAAGGAGATAATTTCTGCTGCAATATATGTAAAAGGGCCTGATAGTTAAAGCCTAATGAATAAGTGACCTTCAAATTGGAATGGGTAGCAAAAATATATTTAATCCACAAATTCATAATTTTATATATATATATATATATATTTTAAAAGGACTGGCCAGGCGCGGTGGCTCACACCTGTAATCCCAGCACTTTGGGAGGCTGAGGCAGGTGGATCATGAGGTCAGGAGATCGAGACCATCCTGGCTAACACGGTGAAACCCCGTCTCTACTAAAAATACAAAAAAAAATTAGCTGGGCGTGGTGGCGGACGCCTGTAGTCCCAGCTACTCGGGAGGCTGAGACAGGAGAATGGCATGAACCCAGGAGGCAGAGCTTGCAGTGAGCCCAGATCAGGCCACTGCACTCCAGCCTGGGCGATAGAGGAAGACTCCATCGGAGGAATTGGAGAATGAGAATACTAGGGAAGTAAGTCATTTTATTGAAAATAAGGAGAAAGAAGTAAACTTTCATGCTGTCTTTTATATATAAACTGTACTACCAGGTAACCAAATAGATGAGGGAAAATTTTTCTTTGTGAAAACATTCCAGCTCAACAATAACTAACAAATGTTAATGACAGAATTAGAATATCATCATTTTTTCTAACCCCCAATGAATCAATTGAATGGACCCAGGCATTGAGCATCAGCAGCTACTAATATCAAAAGAATAAGCAGCCAATGAAAGCACACAATACCACCTATAAAGTATTCTTGCCAAGAAGAAATCAAATCTTAACCTAATTAAGGCTCTGTATTCACCTATGAATTTACAGGAACTAGAAGACAGAGGAATATTTTAAACTTCAAGGAACATGTTAAACTACCCCCTGGGGATGCAATCAGCAAGATCCAGTCTGTGGAAAACTTAACAGTTTCTTCAATAAATAAATTGCATGGGGCAGCAGGGGCAGGGGTGGGAGGACCTATACAGAAGATTAAGAAACTTAACATATCAACCAACAGCAATGTGTGAACCTTACTTTGATCCTGATTTTAAAAAACTGTAAAAAAAAAAAAAAAAAAAGACAATTTTAAATTTGAACGCTGAATGGTTATTTGAAAATGGTACTAAGAGTTCAAGACCAGCCTGGGCAACATCACTTGAACCTGGGAAGTTGAGGTTACAGTGAGCCGAGATCATGCCACTGCACTCTGTCTGGGTGACAGAGGGAGACTGTGTCTCAAAAAAAAAAAAAAAAAAAAAAAAGAATAAATAATTATTTTTCACTTTTAATCTAGATGTAATAATGGAAATGTGTTTTTTAAAAAAATGAGTCCTTATCTTTTAGAGATGCCTACTGAAATACTTATGGATAAAATTATATAATGTCTTAGATTTGCTTTAAAATAATATTGCTGGAGAAGTAGGTGACAGTATAGCTAAAACAAGATTGGGTGAGGCTCAATAATTGTTGAAACCAGCTGATAGGTACATTGGAACTTATGATACTATTCTACTTTTGTATGTCTTTAAAAGTTCGGTGCGGTGGCTCACACCTGTAATCCCATCACTTTGGGAGGCCAAGGTGGGCAGATCACACATGGAATTACCATATGACTCAGCAGTTGCACTCCTGGGGGTTATTTACCCCAGAGAATGAAGACTTAATGTTCACATAAAAATCTGTACACAGATATTTATAGCAGCTTTATTTGTAATAGCCAAAACTGGAAATAACTCATATGTCCTTCAATGGTGTATAGTTAAACAAACTGTGGTACATTCATACCATGGAATACTACTCAGCAATAAAAAGAAATGAACTATTTTTAAATTAAGAAAACTTTTTTTTTTGCAGTTCCAGCTCAAAGGAGGAATGAACTATTAATACACACAACAGGTGAGGTGTGGTGGCTCATGCCTGTAATCCCAGTACTTCGGGAGGCTGAAGCGGGCGTATCACCCAAGGTCAGGAGTTTGAGACCAGTCTGGACAACCAACACGGTGAAACCCTGTCTCTACTAAAAAAAAATACAAAAATTAGCTGGGCGTGGTGGTGTGTACCTGTAATCCTAGCTACTCGGGAGGCTGAGGTGGGAGAATCGCTTGAACCCGGGAGGTGGAGGTTGCAGTGAGTTGAGATGGCGACACTGCACTCCAGCCTGGGTGACAAAGCAAGACTGCTTCTCGGACAAAAAAAAAAAACAAAAACAACACACACACACACACAGAACAGCCTGGATGACTCTCCAGAGAATTATGCTGAGTGAAAAAAGCCAGTCCCAAAAGATTATATGCTGTATGATTTCATTTATAGAACATTCTTCGAATGACAAAATATAAAATGGAGAAAATATTAGTGGTTACCAGGGTTAATGAGGGGGTTGGGGTGGGACAGAAGTCCATATAAGCTAATAAAAGGGATCCTTATAGAGATGAAAATGTTGTGTATCCTGACTGTATCAGTGTTAACATCTTGGTTGTGATATTGTACTATCATCATGTAAGATACTACACAGGGGGAAGCTGGGTAAAGGGTATCTGGGATCTCTGTATTATTATTCGTTGTTTTTTTTTTAACTGCACATGAATCTACAATTACTTCAAAATAGAAAGTTTAATTTTAAAAAGAAAACCTGTGACTATTAGCCAAAAACAAACAGACAAAAACAAACAAAAATTAAGTTGCCACAGATTAATAAAATTGCCTATTTTTACCTCTTGGGGCGTCGTGCACTGAAAACCCACTGGACAAGCTTTATGTAACTTTTCAATTCTACACAGAACTGAATGAAATAAAATATGAGAGAGCTCTTATATATATATAGTCTTTTCGCAAATGTTAATTTTTTGTATCATTATTCTATTTAAGTAGTATACGCTGAAGAAAGTATGTACGTCTTAGACTGTAGTCTAAACCCTAAAACTCTAATACCTTTAAGTAAGCTTTAAAACTTCTCAAATGCCCTACTTACTGTTAAATCTAGTCCTTGGTTTTGGAAATGTTACCAAATAGACTACACTAACACTATTAACATAAAGATAAATAATGACATCTAGAGGAGAATAGATGTAACTTCTACAGCCGAATGTATTGGATCAAAAAAATCCATGTAAATTGTATAGTAAACACAAACCTAGTTTATTTCCAGATCTCCCCTACCTAACCCCCACTCCAAGAAAGTTGTGCACATAAGAGATCACTACCTGATGATTTATACTTTCAGTGCATTAAATATAGTAACAAAGAGAAGTGAAAGGCTTTTATCTGGTATGTAAAGTAAATTTCTGCTTTTCCAGCAAACTCAAGTATTACCTTCCCACTTCAAAAAATAAATCAGCTTCCATGCCTCAATTTTTAAGTGTAAAACAGGGATAAGTATATACTTTTTTTTTTTGGCAGGGGTGAGATGTGAAATTTGTCTACTTAAAACTTTTGACTTACAAAGCATCTTGAAAGGCAAAGTAAAATGTAAAATTTTTAATTTAAGCAATCAAAGATGAATGGAAATCACATTTAGCCCTCTGAAACAGAATATTGGTCAAAAGTATTTTTTTTTTTTTTGAGATGGAGTTTCGCTTTGTTGCCCAGGCTGGAGTGCAATGGCGCAATCTCGGCTCACTGCAATCTCCGCCTCTCCGGTTCAAGCGATTCTCCTGCCTCAGCCTCCCAAGTAGCTGGGATTACAGGCATGTGCCACCATGCCCAGCTAATCTTGTATTTTTAGTAGAGATGGGGTTTCACCATGTTGGTCAGGCTGGTCTCAAACTCCTCAGATGATCCGCCCGCCTTGGCCTCCCAAAGTGCTGGGATTACAGGTGTGAGCCACCGCGCCCGGCAGGTCAAAAGATTTTTAATACTTTGGAAGGACATTAAATAAACTAGACTTTTATAGTGACAGATTCAATGAAGTTATTGATGATATGAAGGGCTCAATGAAACACACTAACTGGGATGTTGTTACATGTTTGAAAAAGTGAACTAACATACTTACAAATGAAATATATAGTGTATTTGGGTCTTCGGAGCTCCTGAATAATATAATCCACATTCTCCTAGAAAATGAAGAACAAGCAAACAAAATATGAGGAGAGTTGCTTAAGGAAAAAAGTAATAAGCATTCACCCATTGATTTGTTTATTTACTGCGTCTACTGCATATTGAAGTCTAGGTTAAGTGTGCTTATGTTGGTGGGTAAGGGCTGGAGACAAAAGAGATAAATTAAATACAATGATCGGGAATCATATATTATTTAATAATATGTGTATAATATTAAATATTAACCAGCTGCATTTTGGCCAATTAAGATAAAGAATATAAAGGACACAGATGTTGAAACACAACATAAAATTGATTATAATTCTGCAAACTCACATCAAGCTGCTTGTCTATAAATTGTATTCATTTGCTCAAAATTCTTTTTTTTTTTTTTTGAGATTAAGTCTCACTCTGTTGCCCAGGCTGGAGTGCAATGGCACAATCTTGGCTCACTGTAACCTCCGTCTCCTGGGTTCAAGCAATTCTCCTGTCTCAGCCTCCCAAGTAGCTGAGATTACAGGTTTGTGCCACCATACCCAGCTAATTTTTTGTAATTGTAGCAGAGACGGGGTTTCACCATGTTGGCCAGGCTGGTCTCGAACTCCTGACCTCAACTGATCCACCTGGCTTGGCCTCCCAAAGTGTTAGGATTACAGGCATGAGCCACTGCGCCTGGCCTGATCAAAATTCCTATATAGAGCATTAAATGTGTCTATTCCTTTAAAAATTAACATGCAAGAGAAAATAAAGTTAATTATATTCACTTTGGCTTTTAACTTATTGGGATGTAAGACTCTGCACAACTACAATGTTTGTGAAGTATTTGCAAGTAGCAGGCTAAGATCTTTTCTACAATTACATTGTTTTAAAATAAAGTATGAAAGTTTAAAACAAAAAAGTTGATTTTTATATGGTCAAAATATAAGATTCCAATTACATAAGATTATAATGCAGGTTTTATTGGTTTTTGATACTATAACACCTGGTTAAATTTCAATATAAATTGTTCCCTAAACATATTAATTTGTTTTAAAAATCACATTTCTTTACAGAATTAAAAAAAAGTAAGCAATATATACTGCTTATTAATGGGGAAAGGGTTTTAAAAATTGTAATTTAGATTTAAAAATGCAATTTAGATTTCAAATTAACTTTATAATATAATCTTAAGGCAAAAAATTTAAATAATAAATCTTTTAAACCTCAATTACTTCCTCGTAATATGCTAGGCAAAAATAACAAAGTGAATTAAAAGATTCTTAAAAGTTCAGACAATGTGGAAAAAGACAAAAGAGAATATATAAAAGAGGAAAAAGAAAAAGGAAAGATTCTTTTTTAAAAATTATTTTTAATTTTTATTTTATTATTATTTTTTGAGACGGAGTCTTGCTCTGTCGCCAGGCTGGACTACAGTGGCGTGATCTCAGCTTACTGCAACCTCTGACTCCCTGGTTCAAGCGATTCTCCTGCCTCAGCCTCCCTAGTAGCTGGGACTACAGGCGCCTGCCACCATGCCTGGCTAATTTTTTTGTTGTTTTTTTTTTTTGTATTTTTAGTAGAGACGGGGTTTCACCATGTTGGCCAGGATGGTCTCGATCTCCTGACCTCGTGATCCGCCTGCCTTGGCCTCCCAAAGTGCTAGGATTACAGGCGTGAGCCACCGCGCCCGGCCAAAAGGAAAGATTCTTAAAAGAGTTCGAGAGACAGTACATAACAGTGAAAGAGTTTCTCTAATAAAAAACATTAGGAAATAATGAACTAGATGATCTCTAACATATCTCTTGAACCAAAATTTCATGACTAAGAGCTACAAACATGAAACAATTGGAAACTATTATAACACAGCATGTGTTCATTAATTCAGCAACTGTTTATTGAGTGTCCACTGTGTGACAGGAATTGGGAATATAGGGTGAGAAAAAACAGATATCATATCTGTTTTCATGGAGCTTACTGCTGGTAATCACATAAACCATATAAAAGTTCAAACCATTACACACAATAGGGAGATAAAGATGGTGTTGTAAATGCATATAAGGGGCAGGTTTGACCTGGTCAGCAAAAACAGTGAAGGGTTACTTGAAGAAGTTAAGTTCCAGGCAGAGGAAGAAGACTATGCAAACGTCCCGTGGCATGACGGGACAAGGGGAATATAGCGGATTGATATACATAGGGTGATTAAGATGCAGAGTGCAAAAGGGGGATGGTTCGAAATGAGGCTGGAGAAATGGTAGAAACCAGACCATGCTGCACCTTGAAGGCTACAATTAAGGAGTTTTGCCCTTATCAGAAAAGCAATGAGAAGTCATTCAAGGATTTCAAGCAGGAGTGTCATGATCAAATTTGCATTTTGGAAAGTTCATATGCACAAGCATGATAAAATGCATTAGAGTTGAAGAACATGAATATGAATCAAGAAAGTATAACAGCCGGGCACGGTGGCTCCCGCCTGTAATCCCAGCACTTTGGGAGGCCAAGGCGGGCGGATCATGAGGTCAGGAGATCAAGACCATCCTGGCTAACACAGTGAAACCCTGTCTCTACTAAAAATACAAAAAATTAGCCGGGCGTGGTGGCGGGCACCTGTAGTCCCAGCTACTCGGGAGGCTGAGGCAGGAGAATGGCGTGAACCCGGGAGGCGGAGCTTGCAGTGAGCCGAGATTGCGCCACTGCACTCCAGCCTGGGCGACAGAGCGAGACTCCATCTCAAAAAAAAAAAAAAAGTGTAACAAATAAGATTAAAATAGCAAAGGCTTTTTAAAGGAGAGACTCAAGCTAGATTTAGAAGATGATGGATAAAAAGTGACAAATGGCCAAAGAACTTTTAATCAGTGCAAGAAAAAAAAAACAAGGAACAGGAATGAGCATGTAGAATTGCTCATTCCAACAGTAGCCTAGCTGGCTATAGAGGAGAAGCAGACCTAGGACATAGGAAGGCTGGATACACATGGGCAGATCAAACCAACAAAGTAGGGCTTTAATGGCTGGGCTAAATATAGATTTAATCATGGAAGTAACATCAAGCCACCACAGGTTCCTGAGCATAAATGTGAATAAAGTGGCAAAGATTCAAGACACTCATAGCTGTATATAAAATTAAGTGTTGATGGTGTTCAATGTGACAGATACGGAGGTTAATCCAGGAATAAAGTAATGTGGGTCTCCGTTAAGAGTAGTTCATTAGTGGCAATGGGAATGGCTGTGAACCTAAAAAACATCTTGAAGGAAGAACTGGCTGTAAGGGGTCAACTGAAATATGGAAACAAAACAAGAAAAATGAAGGTTATAACACTGATGAACCAGGATAATTATGATGCCACAAATTATGATAATACAAATTTATTTTGCCTTCTTAATGCTTTCAGATCAGAGTGTTCTGCATCTGCCTGGGCAGATGGAAGCTCAGTTTATGCAGTACCTTTGTAGGTCGAAGAAAACAAATTGCCTTCAGGTGTTTCATGATCTCTCGATTTTGAGAATCAATGCGTTCAAAGAGGTACACTTCCTTCTGTAGAATCTCCGATTGTGTGTATACCATACTCACTATGCCAGTCTGTAA
This sequence comes from Homo sapiens, assembly GCF_000001405.40. Taxonomy (NCBI): domain Eukaryota; kingdom Metazoa; phylum Chordata; class Mammalia; order Primates; family Hominidae; genus Homo; species Homo sapiens. The sequence goes on along the minus strand of NC_000001.11, from coordinate 150,068,623 downwards.
AAACAAAAGATTAACTAAAAGTATGCTAGTCTAGAATAATAAAAACAAGTAGCACATCTAACCCTCTTTTTTCATTAATACTTAGCTGGATAACTTAAATAGTAATATACGGAAAACATTTACTGAACATCCAAACAGGTAGGTAACATACGAGAATGAAAAATACGCTCTATCCTTTCAGCTGAAGCTTCAAGATTAAAAACAAAAAACATGGTCTCTTTGAACAGGAACAATCCATAAGTTTCCAAAAATATTTTTTTCTATCACCTTAAAGAGTTTTGTTTTCTGGTCTGTGGCCAACAAATAATCTGTCATTTCAGCTTGAGCTCCAACAGCTTTACTTTAAAAACACAATGTTGAGTGGAAACAGTAGGCCCATCCCAAAGCCTTCCAAGTGCTCTGACATATTAATGATTTCTTGGCGGGGACATTTAGAAAAGGATTTCTGATTCCAATAAATTGTTCCGGGTAGAAGTAGTCTCTAGGCAGTGGCTGGAGCCATGTAGACTGAAAACCCACCGGGCAAGCTTTATATAAACAACTTTTCAATTCCACACAAACCGACCCTCATTTTCGTATGTTTAATTAAATGCTAAGTCCTACAGTGGAATGGGACGAGCAATTGTAAGGTTGAGAGGGTTCCTTCACAAATGCTGAGCAAAAGCAAACTCACCGTCTCTTTATCCATGAGAAGTACTTTCATACCAGGCCCGCTGTCCTCTATCATTTTGGAAATGTACTGCTTCACAGCAAAAACCACGTTCATGGCGGCGAATTGACAAGTACCCTACAGCCCTTCCCGCCCCCTTTTCTGGCTAAATTAACCCCCAGTCTGTTGGCCGGGTCTCAGCTGCTTCCTCCCAGCCGGGATTCGGCTTCCGGGAGTCCGGGCAGCCACGGTGCTGGGAGTTGTAGTTCCGCTGGAGTGTACAGGGGACCAAGCCTACCCCGGGGATGGAAAAATCCGGCTGAGACGGCCTGGGCCGCTGCCACGCGCGGGCGTTATTCTCCACCCACCTGCGGCCTGAAGATGCCTGAGGCCCGGACTCTCAGACCCCTATTGCCCTTTGGTGCTGGAGGCCCAGCGGCAGCCTGAAGCCCAAGAGAGTGGAGCCTCGCGAAATGAGGAACCTGGCACAAGGTTTGCTTGGAAGCAGGAACGACGGAGTGTGGCTACGTGCCCTATTTGCCATTAACGCTTTCTTGCATGGCAGTGAGAGATGAGGGCAAGGGAGGTGGCATAATGCTCCCGGCCGCTTGGGACTCGGAGAGACGGCATTTAATAAATCACACGCGGTATTTGCGAAACAGTGGTCGAGATTCGTCTTCCCGGGTTCATTGCGTCATTAATAGGCGGGAACAGTGCCCCTGTGTTGAGGCTGCAGAGGCCCTAATTGGTTTTCCCAAGACAGAGGGGCATATGAGATTGAACAAATATTTGTTGAATGAATGAACAAAGGGAACGCCTTTTAGGGATGTTTCTGGGGGAAAGGCCTGAGGTTCTCCAGGAGGGTCTGCAGCTAGGGTCGGCCGTGGGGGCTCGCAGCCCGCGGGACCACCGGACCTGCAAGCGTCCCCCTGCCCCGCCCCCGCCTCGGCGCTCTGAGCAATTGGACTCTGCCAGCTCTAACTCCGGCGGGACTCTGAAACTCAGGCAAGAGCCGAGGTGACTGGGTCCTTTGAAATGGGTAGGGGACACGTATCCGGTAGAACTAAAACTAGCGTGGGGATTTGAAGCCAAAACTCTCAAGTTTTTACTGAATCTTAAAACCATCAACTTCCAAATGTCTGCATTTGTCTTTACACCACACAGGTCTCCCCTCTATCATGGCATTTGTCGAAAAGGAGGGTAGATGTTTGTTTTTCGCACCTTTACTTTGGGGAATTGTAAAATCAGGAAGATAATAAGAAACAATTGTTAGAAATCAGTAACTAAAAATGCTTATGAATATTTCCACCAAAATAATGACCAGTGTTTGTGAGGTCAATAGATTCAGGATTACCAAATAAATTCTTTCATTATATTTTAAGAAGTACACAGTTAAAATAGACCAATAGCACTTTAACATTAATCAGCTTAAGATTATGCAATATTATATATAATTCTCAAATCCCTTAAGGGAGATCAGAAACTACTGAAATATAAGAGATTTTTGTCACCTCTGAAATTGTGAAGAATATGTTTTTTTTCTTTCAGCTTTTCTACCAAGTAAATAAAGCTTCCCTTTAGGCATTTTACTAATTTTTAGATGTGTTTTGAAAGAAAAGTCTTAAGTTATATATTAAAGTGAAAATGTGAATCTTTAAATGGATACAAGAAATGTTATATGAACATTCCATTCTTATCAATTTAAATGTTCGTATCTTACAGAAAACATGGAAACAACGCTAATGAAAATCCTGTAAATCCTGTAAATTACTGATATTTGAAAATTCACTGCCAATCTCCTATGTCACTTGGTTTTTATTTTTCTTACCTATAATTTAGATTGCAGTATAGAAGATTTTTCCCCATTTTCTGTGCTTTTTTAAGAAAGAAGGAGATAAAGACTTGTCTATGAAATTCGTGCCTTTTTAAACAATAGTCAGTCTGTAAGCAATAGATGGAAAGAATCTTTATCCTTTTGATGATTTATACTTGGGCACATAACTTTTTGAGGGACGAGGAAAATACCTACTTGACACTTACTAACTCATTCCATTTCACATAAAATTTCATTGATGTCAGTGGCAGTGATATTTTATACATTGAGCGATAAGATATGGAACATAAACATTTTGAACAAAATAATTATTACATATTTAAAGGGTGCTGTGATGGTCCTGAAGTTAGACAGCATCCTTCCTTCCTGAAGAAAACCACACAAGCCATTTTAAATGTCTCCAAATTAAGAACTTCTTTTGTATCCCCATACCTCTAAAAATAGAACTGAAACCAATGATAAAATCCAAGCTCTTGCTTTGTGACTCATCCAGGATAAACCCAGTTACTTGTTTTGTTGCAGGCAAGTGACAGCAAATCCAGAATATGAAGTGCCTACTTATTTTTAATTTAGGGTATAAGTAAACTATAATAACAAGAAATATTTTCAATAGTAAAGACATTAAATTTAAAAAATAAATCATGACATCCTTCAAATATGAATGACTACATTAACTTAAAATCTTCAACTTGAAAAATTTGTTTTCACTGGGTCCAAGAAATCAGTGCTTTAAGGATAGAAAACAGGAAGTCAAAAAATGCAGTATTGGTCAGGCACGTGGCTTACTCCTGTAATCCCAACACTTTGGAAGGCCAAGGCGAGGCCAATCGTTTGAGTCCAGAAGTTCAAGACCAGCTTAGACAATATGATGAAACTCTGTCTGTACAAAAAAATACAAAAAATTAGTTGGGCATGGTGGCCAGCGCCTCCAGTCCCAGCTACTTGGGAGGCTGAGATGGGAGGATCACCTGAGCCCAGGAGGTTGAGGTTACAGTGTGCCACTGCACTGCAGCCTGGGTGACAGAGTGAGACCTGTCTCCAAAAAAAAAAGCACTATTTACATTTGTACATTTTATTTAGGCTTGTAAATATGTAAGTTAAATAATCAGGAATGATTATCTAAATAATTAAATGTACTTCAGCTTTCTCCATGTATACTATTTAGAGGTTTAACTGCCCATTTTGTGTTTAATCAAAATCATGATTTTCCCCCACCAGAGCTCAAGGCTTCAACACAAAACAAAGAATATGTAAATAAGCTTCAGCATAATTATAATAACAATATGGCCAACTCAGTTATTTTAGATTATTAATTCTCTATTTACTATAATCCTTGTTGCTTCATGTTAACACTTCTCTCATAAGCCATGGATAGGAAGGAAGTAAAGATGAAATTCAATGAAACTGAAGTTAATTAGATTTCCTACTTGATAACAATTGAAAAAAATATTTGCATAAAGAATGGCAGTATTGGCCAGGCACAGTGGTTCATGCCTGTAATCCTAGCACTTTGGGAGGCTAAGTCAGGAGGATTGCTTGAGCCCAGGAATTTGAGACCAACCTGGGCAACATAGCTAAACCTTGTCTCTACACAAAATTTAAAAATTAGCTAGGTGTAGCGGGTACATCTGTGGTCCCAGCTACTTGAGAAGCGTGCGGTAGGATTGCTTGAGCCCTGGAAATCGAGGCTGCAGTGAGCCATGTTCATGCCACTGCACTCCAGGCAACAGAGTGAGACTCTGCCAGAAAGAAAAGAAAAGAAAAAAGAGAAGAGAAGAGAAGAGAGAAAAGAAGAAAGAAAGAGAAAGAAAGAAAGGATTACTTGTGTCATACAACTAGTATTTGTGCAGTGTTCTTAATTTCTCTAACCATTTCTTCATCAGATAAATGGTAATAACGTAACCTACCTCATGAATTTGTGAGAATTAAATGAAATAATGTGCAAAAAAGTATTTTACACAGTGCCTGGTGCATAGTAAATGCTCAATAAATATCAGCTTCGATTATTAGAAATCAAAAGGTAAACATGTTTTAGCTTATTTTTCACTTATGGTTATATGTATTTCCCATTGACAAGAAAATTTAAACATAGAATCAATTTCAGAAAATGTCATCCATAGCTTCTAAATATAATTTCCATTAAGACTTGATCTTGTATTACTATACAATAATAGAAATACTAATGGGAAGATTTGACCTGCTCCATCATAATTTGTAAAACATGCAATTTTTATGAAGAAAAAACTTAGGAAAAATATGCTTCAAGTGATTTCAGAGGCTTAGTGTCTACGCAGCCTCAAATCAAACAGAATTTGTTAAATTTTCATCACAGTTCACCAACTGTGATGTGCTGAGCTTTATGGTAGCAAAAGCATTTAATAGCTTTAAATCATTGAGTAAAAATTATCTGCATGAAGAGTTCTGTCTGCACATTCAATAATTTCAGTGATTCCACCTTTCTGAGTAGGTAAATTGATAATAGCCACAGTGAGAATATTATAGCTGAGTTGGCTTGTAGCATGACTACCAACCAGCTATCAAATCCTGTGCAGACTCCTTTAAAATAACGATCCTGAATTCATACTTTTTATTACAAATAAGTTCACCATTTGTAGCATTTTGAGATGGCCAAAGAAACTGGATTTCTGTATTGCAACCACTCCACAGCAAGAAACATTTCTTTTTTTTTCTTTGAGACGGTCTTGCTCTGTCACCCAGGCTGGAGTGCAGTGGTGCCATCTTGGTTCACTGCAACCTCTGCCTCTGGGTTCTAGTGATTATCATGCCTCAGCCTCCTCAATAACTGGCACTACAGGTGCCCGCCACCAAACTGGCTAATTTTTGTATTTTTAGTACAGGCAGGGTTTCACCATGTTGGCCAGGCTGGTCTCGAACTCCTGGCCTCAAGTGATCTGCCTGCCTTGGCCTCCCAAAGTGCTGGGATTATAGGCATGAGCCACCATGCCTAGCCTAGAACCATTTCTATCTGCAGAAACTACAGGTAATATACTCAGAGACCTGAGTAACTGAAAATTTAGTTAAATAAGATCTTTGCATTCCCAAGGATGAAATGATCTAGTCTGAGTGAAATTTTTGGTGATTTGAGCTTGTTATAAGTATAAGTCAGGGCCAGCCTTGGTGGGTCACGCCTGTAATCCCAGCACTTTGGGAGGCGGAGATGGGTGGATCACTTGAGGTCAGGAGTTTGAGACCAGCCTGATCAACATGGTGAAACTCTGATTCTACTAAAAATACACAATTAGCCGGGCGTGGTGGTGCATGCCTGTAATCCCAGGTACTCAGGAGGCTGAGGCAGGAGAATCGCTTAAACCCGGGAGGTGGAGGTTGCAGTGAGCCGAGATCGCGCGCCATTGCAGTCCAGCCTGGGCAACAAGAGTGAAACTCCGTCTCAAAAAAAAAAAAAAAAAAAAAGAAAGAAGAAGAAAAAGAAAACAAATGTATGTCAGGTTTCCCCCTTCACTTTTTAATCAGTTCTAGACCATTTTATAGATTAGCAGCTTTCAAAATGTAGACTGTGCACTATGGTAGTTTTGTAAGTTGCTCTGATATATAAAATAGAATGTGCTTTTGTTTAAGAGAGATTCCTAGCTAACACAGGTAGAAAAGAACAGTTGCTCAGAGTAAGACATAATTTCTTGGCAAAAGATTAGAAAAGGGAATTCGCTGAAAATGAAATAAATGACTAGTAAACATTCGAAGAGATGCTCAATGGTAATCTAAAAAATGCAAATTAAAGTCACAATGGAATTACCATTTCATATCCAAAAATTAAAATGTCTGATAATACCAAGTGTTGGTGAAAATGTAGAACAACACTTCATATATTGCCAGCAGAAGTGTAAAAATTGGTATAACATTTTGGAGAGCAATGTGGACATTAAAAAGCTAAAGATATACTGTACATACTCTTGTACTCAAAAATTCGTCCCCTTGGTATATTTCCCTCTTCCTTCCATGGAAACTCCCAAGGAAGCTTCCTTTCTTTGTTCCGTGAAAGGGCCATATGTGCAAAGTGGCCCCCAAATGCTGAAGGAGCTGAGAAGGCAAAGAAGGAGGCAGACAAATCCAGTTTGTCAGTTTTGAGTGATTTATTAGGGGAATGTACAGACAGAAATATGGTTCTGGGCAGCTGCATGACAGGTAGATCTCTGCATCGAAACCTTCCAGACCCAGGGCTTATATCTTAGGGAAAGTATATGTGATCTGGAAGGAGTATGTAGGTGGCTGTGGGCATCACAGCCTATGATTTCTGCAATTGCATCAAGTGTGGTTTAGGAGGAAACTTACAGTGAATAGAAGTTCTTACATAAAGACTAATACATCATTTAGACATTCTGGAGGCATTCCCAGACTCGGGGTTAGTCAGAAGTTACGTGGCAGATTAGCATTTAAAATAAAGTCACTCTTGTCCCCACACTTGTTATTAGGCTAGGAGTAGCCAAGCAGGTCTTGGGGCAGCCAGAGCCCCTGGGCAGGTCACTGCTGGCTATGAACAGCCTCCTTTTTTTTACCTATATGCTTTTCCAAGATTTCCTATGTGCGGTCATGAAAGGAATTGGAAATCGTTGCCCTAGAGAACTCTCACATGTATGTGAGACACGTATGAGAATGTTCTTAACAGTATTGCTGATAATAGCAAAAAAGTTGAAAACAACCTAAATGTCCGTCAACAGAAGAATAAATAAATAAATCATGGTATGATTTTATAACAAAATACTATATTCATATTTAGCAGTTAAGACAAATAAACCAGAGTTAAGGGCATCCATATGGTTGACTCTCAAAAAGATGGTAGGGGTATAGAAACAACATACATAGTCCTTGTAGAGTATGATATTATTTATATAACATTTGAAAACATGCAAAAAATAATAGTATATTGTTTAGGGCTACAAACCTATAGATAGGTGTATGAAGAAATGCTACATGTGGCTGGGCACAGTGGCTTACGCCTATAATCCCAGCATTTGCGGGCCAAGGCAAGAGGATTGTTGGAGGCCAGAAGTTTGAGACCAGCCAGGACAACACAAGGAGACACCATCTCTACAAATTAAACAAAAAAAATTTTTTTTGTTTTTTGTTTTTTGTTTTAGTCAGCCGGGTGCGATGAGCTTGAGGCTGCAGTGAGCCATGAACGTTCCACTGCAGTCCAGCCTGGGGGACAGCAAGACCCGGTCTCAGAAAAAAAAGAAAAGAAAAGAAAAGAGAAAAAATAAATCCTACACGAGAATGATAACCAAATTCAATTAGTGGTTATTTCTAGCATGGGAGCAAGTGGGATGCCACTGGGAACCAGAGCATAGGTGCTTCAACTATAATGCTGATGCTTCATTTCTTAAGATGGGTAGAGGGTATGTGGATATTCCTCATATTTAATAATAGCTTTTTGCCTGTCTTACTGCATAATAAATATTTAATCTGACTTTACTGGTGGAAAGTCAACCTTCAGCCTCAGCTTTGGGCAGAATTAATTGCTGGATAAACTGTAACCTTCGTTCCTTCAGTAAATACCTATTGCATATCTTGTATGTCAGATGCTATGTAAGTTTGAGAGGGCTGCAATAACGAAGTACCCCCAGACTCAGTAGCTTAAACAATAGAAACGTATTTCCTCAATAGTTCTGGTGGCTAGATGTCTAAGGTCAAGTGTCAAAGGTTGGTTTCTTCTGAGGCCTCTCATAGATGGCTGTCTTCTCCTGTGTCTTCACATGGTCTCTATGTGGTGTCTGTGTCCTAATCTCCTAATCTCTTCTCATAAGGACACCAATCATATTAGGGCCCACCCTAATGACCTCGTTTAACCTTAATTACCTCTTTAAAGACCCTTTCTCCAAATGCAATCCCATACAGAGATACTGAAGGTCAGGACTTCAACACAGGAATTTTGCAGGGACACAGTTCATCACCTAACAGATGCTAACTGGTGAATAAATCCTTCAGCCCTAGATGTCACCTAATAGCCTGAAAATATGTGAGATGAGGCATTGAAATCTCACTGAAGGAGTCACGCTGATATTACTTGTATTTTCTCTTTTATATGCCAATATTAAATAGGAACATATGGCCCTACTTCTATCCTGGATTTTTTTTCTCTTTTAAACTATCTTCTATTTCATGAAATGGTTGAGATGACTAAAAATATTCTAAATCAAAAGACTGCTGGTTTTTTTTGTTTGTTTGCAATGGCAAACAGATGTAATGGATCATGTAATTCATATTGGTCTGAACCCTTCCAACTTTTAGCTGAATATTTTGTATTTACATTGTTATTAAGTTTTATGTTTATGTTTTAAAATAATTTTAAAATAATTTTTCTTTCTTTTTTTCCCTCTCTTTGAAGAGCAAGGCTGCTCCATAGGCAGTGTGCCCAGAGTAGCCGAGTTTTATGTTTATTTTAATGAACATATTAGTAAATGTTAATCTTCCCTACCTAGACTGGGCATTAAAGAAAGAATATGATGGTGGCTCGTGCCTGTAATCCCAGCACTTTAGGAGGCTGAGGCGGGCAGATCATCTGAGGTTGGGAGTTTAA